>NC_000007.14:103756779-104381779 GCF_000001405.40 Homo sapiens
TGTCCACTATCTGAGATAACTAAACATTATTTCCTCAAAAGAGAAACATTTAGTATGCAAAACTTAATGCAAGGAAAAGTACAAATTTTCCTGAAAAAGATTCACGCATATGTGGCATAAAAATGGGCCAAAGCCTAGTAAAGTACCGGGCCTAGAAGCTTATTTTAATCATTTCTCGATAAATGACCATATCAATCTAGTTTTATGTAGTCTAAACAAATTTTCTAAGCCCGTAGGAAGTTCACCATCTTTTCCACATTTACTGAGGTAAATGCACCACGGAAAAATTAAAGTAGCCTGAGGAAGAATGATATAGTTCAACATTATTTAGTATACTCCCATTTGGATACTACCTGCCTTGCCTCATACTAGTGACTATGAGTGAATTATTAAGTTCTTATATTATATGAACTTGGTATAAAGGCCTTTACTCTTTCCTGTATTAAATGTAAAATGCATGCTTGCTAGACTGGTCCTCATTTGTCAACTGTCCAAGTGCTTACCCAATGACATATCTCCAAGTCTACCTTTCCTGTTCCTCTGCCATTGAACTAGCTCTAGATTGAATCATTGAATTTTTCTAGATTGCTCGTATGTTTTTATCTCAACATTTTATTGGTCTGTTACTGATTTTCTGTCTCTCCCAGGATCCTAGAATGCCCCACCCCACCTTGCATCTTGCCCAGTTTCTCAACTCTTTTGAATTTAAAATTGCACGATTAAAACCTAGCAACGACATAAAATTGTCAAATGGCTTAAACTAGGGAGTTTTGGTTTCTGAGAATGAGAAAAAACAGAAATGTTCTTAAAGAAGTGGGTTTTGGTTTTGGAGAAAGAATGGGATGGAATACACCTTTAACAGAAGTGTAAAAAGATATCGTAGTTTCTTCCAGGTATTTCTGTGGTAGTGATAAGAAGATCAGGTCAGATGACCAAAGGTGTGCACAGAGGGAGATGCACTAGGGATGGGAACCCTGCTACTTGTCAGAGGATACTGAATTGAAGAGAGAGGAAGATAGGCTGGAGTTGTTCTGTACCCAGAGAGATCACTGTGGGGAACCTTCATAATATGGTCCTAATTTAGTTTCATTGGTGAGACCCATGAAACTGTACATAGAGGCTGGAAGTAACTTATGGAAAGATAAATGATTTAATAAGGAATCAAGTGTTTGTATAAATCAAACTGAATTTCTACATTTTTTCAGAAGTGAATATTTTTTCTGTAAGGTAGGATGTTCAACTAGGAATGAATGTTCGGATAGGATGAATCTAGGAATATCCAATTCTGTTAAGAGTTCCCTGTTAGAAAGTGCATGTGAATGTATTTGTGTTTCGATGAACTTTAAATCTCATTCAGAATAACCATACATCTCTGTAATCTTTATCCAGAAATAATGCCATTGAAATTCACAAACATTACAGAAACTATATCCTTTGTAAAGCTTGATCAAGTTCAAGTAACTGGACTGAATTGGAAATTGACCTTAGGTATATCATGGTAACTTAAAGAGTATGCCAAATGTCCTCAGACTGAATTAACTTAATTAAGACCACAGATAAAATATAAAATGTTACACAGGTAAGTTAAAATAAAGGTTCTACTTTGCCTAAAAAACAAGTAAAAGCAAGCCAACAGAATGGAGGAATTAAGGTAGAATCTCTCTAAAATCACCAGGGTTTTTAAAAGCTTTTTTCCAGCTAGGCATTCAGAATGAAAGCCTAGCCTACTTTGACTTGTTTTTAGTTGAAAAAGCCAAATTTCTTTAAAACTATCAATACAAATTGGTAGCAATTTTTACTAGGAAAGTATTGATAAATGAGAATCTACTTAATTTCATAAGTCAAATCCCTCTTGAGAGCAGAGCAGTTAAATGAGAAAAAAATGAAATTTTAAAGTTTTCAGCATAATATAATCTTTTCATACTAGATAAGTAAATAAATGTTATGAGTGTCAAAACCACTCATAAATGTGTACTTATGATTTCTTTTCCAGATTCTTTTTCATGTTTGTGATAGTGCCACTTAAAAGTTATTTGTCCTCCAAATTCTCTCTCCAGTGGGGCCTATCCAGATGATGTTTTGGCAAAATACAAAGATTTAGATCAGCAATGAAATGCTTCAGCAACATTCTAAGTCTTTCCTTAGCCGGGCATTTTCCTAGATGCTTGAGTATTATTAAGTGACCTGAAGATTACATATGTATTTTACTAAGATTTCACAGACTACGCAAAGAGGACAGAAATAGATTTCTAAAATTAATAAGCTTAAACATGTTAAGAATAAAAGTAAACAATCACTGTTTTTAGAAGGTACTTTAAAGTTTGAAAAAAATAGATTGCTTATAGAACTTCTTTTTTAAAAAATTCAACTGTACTATTCTTGAAATGATTTACTAATCACCATAAGCTAGCAAAAGAAAGAGACTGGAACTGCCTTGAATGAACACAAGATCTCTGTACTAATGCAGATTTGATAAAGATAATTATTCAAAAAATAGTGAGGGTGAATGATTACGTGGAACAGTCATGAAAAGACCCAGTTCATAAGATAAGCAATTCATATCACAAGGCTTGATTGAGCCTAACACGAAAGCAAGTAAATTCAGTATCAAAAGTTTCAAAGGAATAACATGCTTCTTGGTCTCTTTAAACAAGGTTATTATTTATTTGCTTAAAATGAAAGCAGAAAAAGTGCATACTGATGCTTTTTTGAATAAATGATGGAAAGCTCTTAGCTCGTATATGTTAACATGTCTCTGTGTTGGTGATAGTTCTAGTCAGAAGAGTTGCAGCTTTTTTCCCAAGAAATATCTTTGGGAAAGGTGAAAAATTATTTTTAAAAAGTCACTATTTTCACTCAGTGTGAATTAATATGGCCTTCATCGCGGTATGAGAAGAACCACTTTTTACTCACTTTTTAAACTTTAAAGTGCAACTAATGTATTGCTTGTCATTAGACAGACTTACTTTGTGAACATTACCTTTAATTTACTAAATATACTTTTGTCTCCAAAATTACCTCCAATTATTTACAGCATCTCACAGATTATAATGAGTGGTTTATCCTTACGACAGTTTCTCTTGCATTAGCACCAGCTGAGCTTTGCAGGCAGAAATGAAAGTTAGAACATTTCTGCAAACTAAAATAGGCAGCAAATATCTCCACATTAGCTTCTGTGACTACATTCGGTCATTGGTGCTCACAGTCATACTTTTTTTTTTTTTTTTTTTTTTTTTTTTTTTTACATCTTAGCATTTCTTTATTTGAATTACTGCATTCAATTAATATTCACTGAATGCCTGTCATACACGAATGCTTTTCTTAATAACATTTTAATAGGTTAAACTATTGGGCCTTTCAAAATAAATATTATAAACATGGATCCTTAGATAGTATCTCAATATTAAATTGAAGCCTAAATTCCTCCCATCATCAATTCAGTTTGTCCAGGAGACAAATCACATGCTAAAAGTTAAAAAAAAAAGCTTCATTTCTTAAAAAGCATTTCTGTGCATATGCTCTTTCAAAAGTTGAGCCTGCCAGAATCTCATAGATCACAGCAGCCTGAAGTAGGCATATTAGAAAGAATGAGGTCGTGTTTAATTCCCCCAAAGGTTATTTTCTTGACATATGTGTTTTTTTCTTTCAACTGACTTATTTTGGATGGAAATTTTAAAGTAATCATCTGACTCCAAAATATAGCAGCACTAATACACTTCAGCCAACTTGTTGAACAAATTACTCAGTGCAAAGAATGGAGACTTAAATATGTGGAGCAGAAAAAGGAAAAGATGCCTGAAAATGAATTCAGGAGGTGGTAAATGAGCTTTGAGCTAATATTATTGATTACTTAAAAAAAAAAGCCTTTGAGTCAGACAAGAATTATATGTAGGTGGCAAGCAATTCTTACAAATACAGGTATTATGTTACAGGGACTATATCTCCTGAATCATTTTGGAATTCAAAGGCCCTAGGTAGTTTTGCCTCAGGTATCTCTTCACCTAATTTGAAATTCAAATGTATTAAACTTCCAAAGCTAAATATGACAAATTAGACATGGGCTCTGAAGTTAGCATTTAATGAGCTATGAACCTAGACTTTCATCTCCCCAGGAATAATTTATTACTTTTTGTATTTTATTGCAATAAAGCACCATTTGACCTTCAAGTATGATAATTAAGCTTCCAAAAATGTTATAAATTTAGAGTGAAAACAGTTCTCCCTGTGTTCAAGAACATACTTATGCTCAGTATAAAAGATTTCTTAATATTTAAAGACAGCTAAATTATACACAGAACCAGCAATATTAGGAATTATTTTTCTCTTCCCTCTCTGATTTTCCACCTCAACTTGATTTATGTCTCAAAACAATTTATCATCTTTCATATTCTAATATAAACGAAATAGGAACAAAATGAAAATATATCTTTATAACCTGCAACTAGGAGATAGAGAACTCTTTCAGATAAGATTTATTCCAATAGGAGCTATAAATAATGGGGCCTCAAACATTAAAAATTATGGCTCATTGTCTTACCATGCTCATGTCACCATCTTTTCTGGGGAGATATCCACACATTTTTCAAAAATTTGCTTACAATATAAATACAAGTTTTAAGTGAAAAATCAGAATGCAAAACAATATCATTTGAATTGTTGGTACATTTTTATTTTTATATTTATTTATATTTTGAGAGAGTGTCTCGCTCTCTTGGCCATGCTAGAGTGCAGTGGTGCATCTTGGCTCACTGCAATCTCAACCTCCTAGGCTTAAATGATCCTCCTGCCTCAGCCTCCCAAGAAGCTGGGACTACAGGCATACAGCACCAAGACCAGTAAATTTTTTTTTGGGGGGGGGTAGAGACAAGATCTTACCACATTGCCCAGGCTGGTCTTGAACTCCTGGGCTCAAGCAATCCACCCGCCTCAGCCTCCCAAAGTGCTGGGATTACAGGCGTGAGCCACCATGCCTGGCCAAATTTTAATTTTTAAAAAATTGTTACTGTGTAGCAACTTTTAAAAATCCTAGACCTTTGAGAACTTGAAGAGATGAAGTTCATAGATGGAGCAGATGTGAGAAATTGCAGGTATAAATTGACCCAAAACCTGAGAACATATGGCTTTTAAGTAACATTTAGAGGTTGGAAGGAAAATCACTAGGCTCAAAAGAGGAAGAAGGAAGAGGAAGAAGTGGAGGAGAAGGAAGAAACCTTGTTGCTAACATCAACAGAAATTGCTAGAGATTTTCCAATGTCTATTCTTCTTTTCTTTATTTCTTTATTTCTCAGCGCCCCCCTATAGCTTCCTGTGACAAAGGAATTAAGTTCTGCCCATATGAGGTGAGCAGAAGTGACTAGGGTCACTTTCAGGGCTGGGTGATGTCCTAAAGGAATGGGCATGCTTCCTTGGCCCTTTCCCCTCCCTGCTGTAGGAGGTGGTGAGTGCTGGAGCAGCCAGCTTGGCGCCTAGATTTGGAAGCTACTTGCTGTGCACAGTAGAACGACCCTGCCAGCCCTAGACCATCTATCTTCAAACTGGTTTATGACTAAGAAATAAACTTCTAGTCATTTAACCCACCCACATGTTGAAGTACTTTGCTTAGTACCTCAAGTACATAGAAGCTTAATTGACACTCTAACTACAATAGTTAATTTCCCATGGGTGAGGAAAGGGTCCCTTTTGGGGAAAAGTTTCTTCTCTTTATCTCAGTCATAATCTTAAAGGCCACAGTAGCAATTAGAGCTGATCCAACTGCAAATTCCTGTGAGTAGAGAGACTCTATCTTGAATATCTCTGCATTCCCAATGCTGAGCACAATGTCTCACACATGGCAGTTCCAAAAATGCTAGCTGAATGGATTCTGATAACATCAGCAAGCCAATATTACTAAAACCATTGTTGTTAGAAAATTCTAATCATCTCCTCTGTTCCTTTTCTTCCTTATTGCTTGTACATATGTCATCTTCTTCCTTCACTTTTCTTCATATTTCTTTTCACTTTCCTTTACATACCTAAGGATGAATTGTATAATCTGTCTTGCTCTAAGATAGATTTAAGGCAGCTTACAAAAAAAGGCAGACAGCTGAACAAGATAATAAAGGGGGGAATCAAAGATGACAAACGAGGGTAGAAAAATAATACATGCCATTTTGAGATATGTATGCAAGATGCATGCCCCCAGGACTTCAATTTGGTTCTCAAGCCATAAAGTTACAGAAATAGAAGAGTTCATAACTTTAAAAGAACACATATTATTCAGGAGAAGGACAGTTATTGCAGGTACACAGACTGTATAGAAGTTTCTTCTGTAGTTTCTCATACAGGACAGTGAGCAATAAAGCAAACATCATCTCAAATACCATGTAACCAACTCTGAGTTTTGTTAGGCTACTCCTAGTAAAGTTCATCAATGAAAAAAGAGTGCACAATGCCTAAATACAGATATAAAAGCACTTCTGGGGACATGGGAGGTACAGACTGGCTGGCAATTAAAGAAATAAGAGTAATTCGGCATTTTTGGAAAAGTGTCCTTGCTTTATATGGTTCATTCATTTCCTAAACTAATATTTGAGTGCCTGCTAAGTGTCAGGTACTGTGCCAAGTTCTGGGAATGTAAAAATGATCCAGTCTCTTCTGGATCAAGGGATCCAAAGTGTAGTATAAAATACATTTAGAAGTCAATGCATTACATACAATATGGTAAACTAAATTCAGTTAGCAAATATAAGGTGGGAGAGTGATAAAAATAAAGATGATATAGGAGGAGACACTTGAACTGGATCTTTAAGGATGAGCGCAACTTCATCAGTTAGACAGCAGAGGAGGTATGGAGGAAAGTACACCAGGGAAAGGAGTTGGCATATATGAGCTACAGTGATAGGGTCAGGATGGCATCTCTGATGAAGGACATACTTATTCCAGCTGAAATAAAGAGTCTGGTGTCAGGTGAGGGTGATGGGTGTGGAAAGATCTAAATGTGGAGATGACGTTGGAGAGAGAGAGAGGTGGGACAGATCAGGGAAGTCCTGAAATCCAGGCTGAACTGGGGGGAAACAGAGGGCAGTTATAGGGTTTGAGGCCAGGAGCATTTTGATCAATGTGTGAAAGGCCTGAATAAAAAAAAATGGCAGTGGGCATGGAAAGAAAGGGGTTGGTTTAAGAGACATTGTGTAAATTGGCCTTAGACACACTGGATATAGACATGGATGACCACAAGGAATAAGCAAAGAAATGTGTTACCTAGGTCTCTGTTTAGTGACTGGGGTGATGATGAAGATGCTAACCAGAACTGCAATAGAGGGGTACAGATTTGGGACGGACTAAAGTTCAGTTTAGAATATATTGAGTTCAAGGTGCCTAAATGACACCCAAATGTAGTGTTTAGTAATAGTAGTGAGAGCTAACATCTACGGAGTATGTGCTAGCCACTATGCTATGCACTTCATCACGACATTTAATCCTCACAACCTTATGATGTTCCTTCTGGGCACAAAATATTGTACCAGGCTCTTGGGAATGGTATGCAGTGGCCAAAAAGGTTGATACTATCCCTTTCCCTATTTTACAGATGAGAGAATTGAGACTCAAAGATTTCATGGCTAGAAAGTGCCAGAGCAGAAATTCTAACTCAGAGTATAGGTAACTGCAAACTTCATGCTCACAATCATTTTACCTTCTTGACTCTTTGTATAAGCACCAAGGAAGTGGAGAGCTAGGGAGATGAAAATTATAGGTGTGAGTGAGTTCAACAGGGACAATATAAAAGCACAAAAAGAAGGCCAGGCATGGTGGCTCATGCCTGGAATCCCAGCACTTTGGGAGGCTGAGGCGAGTGGATCATGAGATCAAGAGATTGAGACCATCCTGGCCAACATGGTGAAACCCCATCTCTACTAAAAATACAAAAATTAGCTGGGCATGGTGGTGCATGCCTGTAGTCCCAACTACTCGGGAGGCTGAGGTAGGAGAATTGCTTGAACCTGGGAGGCGGAGTTTGCAGTAAGCCGAGATCGCACCACTGCACTCCAGCCTGGTGACAAGAGTGAGACTCCTCTCAAAAAAAAAAAAAAAAAAAAAGTGCAAAAAGAAGCCCAACCCTAGAATGTGTGATGTGGGAAGAACAACTCATTAGGGAAACCGAGAAAGAAAAGAGAAGTCAGGTAGGGTGAGGATCCGAGTCCTCTGGATTAGTTGGCACCCTAGTGGGTTATTGGTGACCTTGAGGATGATGGTTTCCAGGGAGTGCTGGCGGTAGAGGCCAGATGGCAGGGTTAGGACGAAAGCCTGGCGACACACACTGCTCTTTCAAGAAGCTGGACTGTAAGAAGGAAACATGGCCGGGGGTACCCGAAGTTCAGGATGAAATACTTGTTAAAGTAGCAGTGGCTTCAGCATATTTAAGCACAGAGGAGGAGGTGGCCACTGAAGCGGAAGACATTGAAGCTATCAGAAAGAGAAAGCACAATTGGAGCAAGGGCTCAGAGGAGATGAGAGGAACACCATTCCACTAAGTTTACATTTTTCTGCAAATGTGTCTTGGTCCTTCTCTTCTGGGTTTGCATTAGTAAACCTGTACTATAAGCTTCTTAACAATGGGATGGGAGACTGCCTTATGTTGCCACACACCTTGCCTGGGGTCTGGTGCAGTGTTTCACATATGCCCACTGGGGATACAGCACAATATATATTAATTAATACCAATGAATTACAACTCTTAAAAACTTGATTATAAAAAATCTATATTAATTGTTACATGAAACAACTGAATTTTCACACGTACATTAAAAATAATGTTGGATTAATAAACTGGATGAAATAATATTTCACAAGTCAAACAAAATTGTGAATTATGTATGTTTGTAACAGCTTTGCCCTCCTTCCCCAAGTGATTGTATAGATCCAAACTTGGTCTTTGTCCTTCAAAATATGGAGGAATCAAGCAGGTTATATAGCAGCATGTGTAGAAAGAATTCTTCCATAGGCACCCAAAATAACTCAATGTAAAATCCTTCTTGGGCATAAATCTAGGAATTTTGACTTTGGACTAGATAAAGCTGTCAAGTGGGAATGTATATAGCCCTCAGCACTGAAAAAGAAGGCTGTTTAAATCTATGTTCAATCATCTTGGGATAAACAGCACCAGTCCAAAACACCATTCTTTAGGAAATTAAAAGAATAATCAGACCCACCTCCAGAGTCAGTAGCAAGAAATTTTACTATGGTCATGTGAATCAGCTCTTTGTCATTCCCCTTAATCTGCTTGTCTTCAGATCACTTAAGGATACTTTCTGCCTGCCATAGCCCCAGGAGGGCTTTAGTGTGTCGCTTTGTTGGGTAGTTTGTAAGACCGTGAAGCAAGATCGGGGGTTCCTGGATGGTTTTCCCTGAGCCTCTTAATTCAGTTGTCTTTGTTTATAAAAATCACAAAGCCTAGGGATGTCATGAACAGGAGCTGTAACCACTAAAATAAAATATAAGTTACAAAATAGCCAAGGGGAGCACAGATGTCTTTGACTAGCAAATGCTTAACACTGGGCACATTCAAGTGAAATACATCAGTATTTATTTTTCTTTTCAACAATTAAAGTAGATACGTTAAAACCCAATTCTGACAATGAGAGAGAAACAAGTCTGAATTAATAAAGACTTTGCATTTCAGGGTATTGGAAAGATATTTAGTAATATAAGCTGTTGAATAATCAAGGATAGCCAAGAGAAGATTTTGGTAGATCTGATCTACAATTTTTACAATAGTTGGGTATAAAGTTACACTTAAAGTGCTAAAAAATATAAAAGGAGGTTAAACACCCCATTCACATTCTGGACTTCTTGTTAAACTCTTCTGCCCCTCTCCATCTCACAGTTTCAACTTTCACCAATCCTTAATACAAATGATTTAAAAATTGCAAAGAGTTTGCATTTGGGATGAAGCATATATGCTGCCTACCACCACGATCCAAGGGCCCTTAGAGAGCACAGCCACAGTTTCTACCACTCACTGTTCTGAGGGTGATGAACAGCTGAAAAACTGCTGAGCCTGGCAGAAAGCAGCCAAGGTTTTCTGCGCCAGCTGTAAGCCTGACCTCTTTCCTCCTGACATAAAACGTTTGCCTTTAGTTATAGCCGCTTCCATCAACACAACAACAGAGAATTCCAGGGTGGTTTATAAATGGCACGTGCCCTTTGGGCTTTGGGGGCACTATAGGGCATGACTGCTGTCAGGCCACTAAGCCTGCCATCTGGTCTTGCTAAATAATCAATGTGTGTGTTTGAAGAGGGTATGCCAAGAAGCCCACAGGCCAATGAATATACACACACACATGATTATTTTCCCTGCTCCATCTTCAACTGTGATGTGTGCATACTGCTGGACCACTGGCAGCCATGCTGATGCACTCACATCACTTTTGCCTTAACTGTGTAGATTTAGGGCACCAAAGAGTATATGTGTTCTTTCCAAGGTTTTCAGGGAATTTAGGCAGTAGTGATAATCTTGTTTACTAGGGCTGTGGTTCCTGAGGGTTTTTAATGTTTGATCTTTTTTTAACTTTAAGAATCTACTTGGTATAATGGAACCAGCATTGGGCTGTGAGTCCAGAGCTTTGAATTCTAGGCCTGCCACTCGTGAGTACTGTAGATTTTGCCAAGTTAGCTTGCTTGGCTTCATCACTAATCCACAGATAAGGAACCTATAGTTACATGATCATAGCATGAATTCAAATACTAGTCCTCATCCTAAGTCTATCTATACCACACTCATATTAACATTTTCAATAGGACTCATGTGGTTCAGAGACAGATGTATTAGGTCTGCAGCTCTTTTTAGGTTGTTCAGTAATAATTGCTGCAAAAAAAACTGATTTCTCCTAGTTCCTTTCAAGTTTTTAGTCTATTCTGATATTTTGTCTATTCTTTGTTTTGGTCATCTCTAACAATACTTCAAAAAACACCACAATGTTTATCTTTAAAATCACTTACTGACATTTTGGACAATTTCCCAGATAGTCACTGGGCTAACTCCTTTATCCCCTTCTTGGTCTTTGCTCTAATGTCACCTTCTCAGTGAGGTCTACTCGACTTACCTGCCACCCTATTTAAAATTGCAATCAGCCTCTTCCCCCCTCCATCCAGCTGTATGCTCTTTCCCTGCTATATTTTAGTGGTCTATTTCCCCCTACAACACTTGCCACCTTCTAACATGGTACCACGTTTAGTCATTTCTGATGCCTCATGTTTACTGTCTGTCTCCTCTTCACTGCAATGTAGACTTCATGGCAGCAGGGATCTTTGCTCTGTTTATTGGCATATTCCAAGACCTAGCCTAGAACAGAGCCTGGCACACGGTAAGCATTAAGTAATTTTTGTTTAGTACTAAATATTGAATAATTTCAGTTCTTTTTGTTTTACAGCTAGTGAATGAACCTAAGCATCTTTTACTCTCAAAATAATTGAGGGTATACAGCCCAGCCAACCCCGCACCCCAGACTAAAGATGGAAAAACTCTAGCTCCTTGTCTACACCATGACACGACAGCAGAATGCAGATGGGCATGTGTTTACAATTACTTGGAACCTCAGAGATATTAAAAAAAAAAATCTCTGAATCTGGTCTATGTTCCAAGAACATTAAGGGGACTCCTTACAGTTTACATGAAAATCCATGCACAATTTTCAAAAATTTGTAATATGCTGGTACATGTATTTTACAACCAGAAATCAGTGTGAGGAACATTGCTAGTAGCAGCCACACTGCCTCATCATGGTCCATAGCAAACATTCAGGGTTAAAGATTTTTCAGTAAGGACAGTGATTTTTCAATTGTAAAATGTTTAAGTTGATCATTCAGCAAACATTTACTGAGTCTATGTTGCATGCCAAACATGATTAAATGTTAAAAAAACCAAAAAGTTAAATCATGGTTCCTGCCTTCAAAAAGCGCTCAGTTGGGGGAAATGAGTGTTTAAATAATCATGACACAACAGAGACAGAGCATGTTAAGGGAGTCAGGCAAGTCACCATATAGGAGGAGACATAGGAGTTGTAATTCAAAATTTTCCTTCGATTCTTGAGAAGGGATTTATTCTCCTTGCCACAGCAGACTCGTCCCTTCTCCTTCCTAAGTCTAACCCCCTATATACACTTTTTGGAGGAAATGTGTGCTATCTCTTTACAATACAAATAATGTAAGTTCACTGTAAACAAATTACAAAACAGAGATACATTTTTAAAAAATTAAACATTCACAATTTTACCCCACTGATCTACTTCTGCTTTTTATTTCACACCAACTGACCTTGAATAAAATTTTGCTTCAGCAAAATCCCTTCCCTTTATGATGTACTGAACCTGTGCTTTGGGCCAGGGACTCTGGAAAGTAAGGTCACACAAGTAAAGCCTGAATCCATGCTGTGATTTGAATGTGTCCCCTCCAAAATTCAGGTGTTGCCAGAGTGACAGTAGTAAGAGGTGGGGCCTTTAAGCAGTGATTAGGTCATAAGGGTTGCTCCCCCTGTGAATGGGATTAAGGTCCTTATTAAGGAGGTTTCACACTCAGCTGGCTTGCCCCTTTGCCTTCCACCACGTGAGGATACAGCATTCCTCCTCTTAGGAGGATACATCATCAAAGGCACCTTCTTAGAAGCTTAAAGCAGCCTTCACCAGACAACCAAACCTGCCAGCACCTTGATTTTGAACTTCCCAGCCTTCGGAACTGTGAGAAAATAAATTTCTGTTCCTTATCAATTACCGAGTCTGTGGCACTCTGTTATGGCAGCACAAATAAGACAATCCACTTCTGTATGATTTCAAAGCCCTCGTGAAGCCTAAAATCCAAAAGTAAATCATGCCCACTAGCATTCTCTCCTCAGTCTCATTTAAGAAAAAAGTAGCCTCTGACATCCAGAACCTGGCCTGGCAATCCCTTCTGGGCCTTGGTGTCCTCCTATTGAACATAAACAATTTCACAGAACATCAACTTCAGACAAGGCTACTCTGTGACCGTGATGAATCAAGATAGAAACACATCTATTTCTTAATCATGTTGTCTCAACACAGACACAACTTTAGCACTCTCGAAATCACAATGTGCCAAGCACCCTCTTTCCTGGCTCTTAGGAGCGACTGCTGTTTCTTTATCAATTACAGCAGTAGCCTTGCTCTAGTCTGCCCTCATGGTAGATTTATTGAGATACCTACCCACAGAATTGTCCCCACTTCCAGACAGCATCGAATCCAGAGCAAAGCTCCACTTTCTTAAACCCTACCCCAGTCACCAAATACAGCACAAATCTTTTTTACTTTATTTATTTATTTATTTATTTATTTTTAGACAGAGTCTCACTCTA
The DNA here is from genome assembly GCF_000001405.40 of Homo sapiens. Lineage (NCBI taxonomy): Eukaryota > Metazoa > Chordata > Mammalia > Primates > Hominidae > Homo > Homo sapiens. The sequence continues at coordinate 103,770,122 of NC_000007.14, forward strand.
TCGCCTAGGCTGGAGTGCAATGGCATGATTTCGGCTCACTGCTACCCCCACCTCCTGGGTTCAAGCAATTCTCCTGCCTCAGCGTCCTGAATAGCTGGGACTACAGGCATGTGCCATCACGCCCAGCTAATTTTTTGTATTTTTAGTAGAGATGGGGTTTCACTGTATTAGCCAAGATCGTCTCAATCTCCTGACTTCGTGATCCACCCGTCTTGGCCTCCCAAAGTGTTGGGATTACAGGCATGAGCCACCGCGCCCCGCCCAGCCCAAATCTTACAATAACAATTCCTTTTGTAACCTCCTCTTCTTGAGATGCCCCATGGTTCCCCCATGGTTTGCCTTCTCCCACACTGCAACAAGCACTAAAGCAACATGTTCAACCTATTCAACTTCAACTAGGTGTGTTCTAGCGGTGTTTGGCTGCAAGGCACTGGAAGCCTATAATAAACACACTCTGATTTGGAGAGAGGGAGAGAAAATCCAGAATCCTTTCCTCTCTGGGTGCCTACCTCTTTCCTTATTTTTTTTAAAAATTTTTTTTTTTAATGGACAAATAATAATGGTACATATTTATTGGGTCCACAGTAATATATATAATCTATAGTGATATTTTTTCAAAGCCTCAATTTTAAACTGCCCAGGATTTATTTCTCATGTCACAGTAATCTGTCTTCCCTTGACTGCCTGACTCCAAAGATTGAGCATGAAGCTTTCCATGCTACAAAGCTGCCTCAGGTGGTCTCGCCTCACCTAAAACCACCCTCATTTTCAGCCAAATTGCCAATCGCTTACTTTTTTTTTTTTTTTTTTTGAGGTGGAGTCTTGCTCTGTTGCCCAGGCTGGAATGTAGTGGCACAATCTAGGCTCACTGCAACCTCTGCCTCCCAGGTTTAAGCGATTCTCTTGTACTCGGCTTCTGGAGTAGCTGGGACTACAGGCACCTGCCACCATGCCTGGCTAATTTTTTCTATTTTTAGTAGAGGTGGGGTTTCACTATGTTGGCCAGGCTGGTCTCAAACTCCTGACCTCAGGTGATCTGCCCGCCTCGGCCTCCCAAAGTGCTGGGATTACAGGTGTGAGCCGCCACGCCCAGCCCAAATTGCCAATCACCTTCTGCTTGTAAAACCCTAAGGTCCTTTTCTATCCACCATCCTCTCTGTTTGTCCTTGTTGGACACCTCTACCATGTTCAGATTTCTTCCCTCAGCTCCCCTCACCTCAGAGGCTTGCCTCTTCTCCAGAGTTCCCTCTTCTTCCCACTCCTGCCCAGTCACTGGTCTTTCTCACTTGGCTGCTTCCTCCATGCTCCACCCATCTCCCTAATGAATGCATTGCCTCCGCAGCATCAATAGGCTGATGGTTCTCAAATGTCCTTGGCTGTCCCAGCCAGTGACAGGCCCCCTTCTCAGCAGGCTGCTGGAGAACTCTGCAACTCCCTCAGAGCCAACATGTGGTAGTGCAATTGATTATCTTTTCTTCCAAACACCTCTAACATTTTCTTTATTTCTTCTCTGTTCCTGGCATCAATGTCCACCCAGTCACCCAGGCCAAAAGTGACGGAGTAGCCCCAGATTTCCTCCCTGTTCTCACCTGCACCCCCATACCTTCTCTAGGTCTCTCTAACATATCCCCTTCTTTCTGGCCAAGATCTAATCACAGTAATACATGTAATGTATAATGATCACGTTTTTTCAAAGCCTCAACTTTAAACTGCCCAGCATTTATTTCTCATTTCACAATAATCTGTCTTCCCTTGTCTGCCTGTCCATCATCTGCCTTTAATCTGTCAATAATCCTGCAACACATTCCACCCCCAACCCCCATTAGATTTTCTTTAATTGTTCTATCACTCTCCTGCTTCCTTCCCACCGCCTGCAGAATGCGTAAGTCCCTGAGCATTAACAGAAGGTCCTGCACGATCTGCTCCACTTACCTTTCCAGGCCTCATGGTTTAGCTATAATGAATTACTGGCTAGCCTCCTCTTTCTTATCTATCAGACTATTGTAGTTTAATTGTTTGCTTATTCATTTGACAAACATTTATGAGGTGCATACTGTGCACCACATATTGTGAGAAGCTTTAGAGATTCCATAGTAAAAAGCACAGCCCTTACCCTCAAGGAGCATATATCTCATGGCAGACAAGGCATTGTGATGATGTTCTTATGACAACATGCAATAAATAGTTGTCAAATGAATGAATGAATGAATGAATGAATGAATGAATGCACAAGTAAGTTGCTCTCCCTGTGCCTTTGTTTCCTCATCTTCAAAGTGTAGATAATAATGGTTTCTTTTTCAGAGGGTTGCTGTGAAGATTAGATGAGTTGTGAAGATTAGATGAGTGCTTGGAGTAGTGTCTGGCACATAACAGTGTTGAGAGCATTCCTATTTAATGTGCCTTGAGAATTCTGTAGAGAGAGTTATGTATGAGGGTTGTCTAGACCAGCCTGAGGGGAAGAGGGAGGGAATCAAAGATGTTTTCTCTGGAGGGAGGGAGTGATACCCTAAGCAGGGTCTGACAGCCCGAGTTAGACAGAACAAAAGGATGTAAAAGGATAGCCCAGGCAAAGAAAACTTGGAGAGTATAGGGTGCAGATAGCACCAGGATGATAGAGCGAGGTGCATTCAGGGAGTTTTAAGGTAAAAATGAGAGGATGACAAGAAACGAGGTAGGAGAGGCAAACTGAAGCCAGATTGTAAGGGATTTTCCTTGCATGTTGATAAGCAGTAGGAATTTCACTCTGAAGACAAACTATTGCTTCCAATTGAGATTGTGAAGGGTTTTAAGCAGGCAAATGAAAGAAGCATATTTCCATTTTAGAAAGCTCATTATAGCAGTTCTGTAAAGGCACCATGAAAATAGGAGCAGAAAAATCCTGAGGGAGGATATTCGGCAGTTCCCAAAGGAGGCACTGCTGGGCCCTGATGTGAGGTGGATCAGCGAGAATGGGAAGGAGGAGATAGATGGTTCTCCTCTTTTCTTTCTTTCTTTCTTTCTTTCTTTCTTTCTTTCTTTCTTTCTTTCTTTCTTTCTTTCTTTCTTTTTCTTTCTTTCCTTCTTTCTTTTCTTTCTTTCTCTCTCTCTCTCTCTCTCCCTCCCTCCCTCGCTCCCTCCCTGTCTCTCTCTCCCTCCCTCCCTCTCTCCCTGTCTCTCTCTCTCCCTCGCTCCCTCTCTCTCTCCCTCCCTCGCTCCCTCCGTCTCTCTCTCTCCCTCGCTTCCTCTCTCTCTCTCCCTCTCTCTCTCTCCCTCCCTCCCTCCCTCCCTCGCTCCCTCCCTGTCTCTCTCTCTCTCTCCCTCGCTCCCTCTCTCTCTCTCTCTCTCCCTCGCTCCCTCCCTCTCTCTCTCTCTCTCTCTCTTTCTTTCTTTTGACAGAGTCTCACTGTTGCTCAGGCTGGAGTTCAGTGGTGCAATTTCGGCTCACTGCAACCTCCGCCTCCCAGGTTCAAGCCATTCTCCTGCCTCAGCCTCCTGAGTAGCTGGGATTACAAGCCCGCACCACCACGCCCAGCTAATTTTTGTATTTTTGGTAGAGACAGGGTTTCACCATGTTGGCCAGGCTGGTCTCAAACTCCTGACCTCAAGTGATCTGCTTGCCTCAGCCTCCCAAAGTGCTGGGATTACAGGCATGACCCACTGCGCGCGGCCTCCTCTCCTTTTCTCTTAAACCTCACTACCCATTCAGGTCTACCTTCCTGGGATGCCTTTCCTAACACCTCCAGGCAAACTTAGCTACCTCTGTGATCCATAGACCCGTCATTTGTATCTTAGCCTGTGAGTTCCTCAAGAACAGGAAATGGGTCCTTTTCACTTTCATATCCTTATTTAGCACTGTGAGCTAGGACAGAGGTCTTGCAGGTGCTGTATAAAGTTTTGCAGAATAATGACTTTCGGTAGGGTGCGGTGGCTCATGCCTGTAATCCTAGCACTTTGGGAGGTTGAGGCAGGCTGATTACCTGAGGTCAGGAGTTCAAGACTAGCCTGGCCAACATGGTGAAACCTCGTCTCTACTAAAAATACAAAAAATTAGCCGGGTGCAGTGGCACACACCTGTAATCCCAGCTACTCAGGAGGCTGAGGCAGGAGAATCGCTTGAACCCAGGAGGTGGAGGTTGTGGTTAGCCGAGATTACGTCACTGCACTCCAGCCTGGGTGACAGAGCAAGACTTTGTCTCAAAAAAAAAAAAAAAAAAATACTTTCAATGAATGTTTTATAAGAAAAGGGATTAAGATTACAGACCCTCTAAGACATAATGAGTACATTTTCTAATCCTTTTACTTTTTCAATATGTTTAGCAAGCAATACAGTCTTGTCATAAGAGATATCCTCAGGATCCACAGAAAAAAGTTTGCTTTGCTTGAATTGTTTAATTTAATTAAAATCAACAAACATACTGAGCGTGTTAAAATGGAAAGGCACTGTGCTGTGGTATATGGTGACTGCAATTGTTTTTCCTCTAATAAATATATTAGATATTCCTTACCCAATACATAAAAAATGATTACATGATAAAATGTTATTTTATTTGAGGAGACAATTACTATTTTAATTAAAAATAGATAAGGCCAGAATAAATATATAGTTTATAGCACAAATTATTTTCCTTATTATTTCCTGACAGTAGAAAGCCATCACTCTTGCACTCTTGTTAGCATTATTTTTCACTTTATCTTGGATAGATTGATATAATTTCAATGAGTTAGATGCTATTGAAAAGCTCAGTGTTTTTCTTCTGGTCCTGGGCTGTACAGCATTTTTAATAATATCCACATGTACCACTGTGTAAATCATGCTTATGTGTAATACTACTATAGAAGGCATTTTTCTTTTCCTCACTGGTTGAGAATTTTTTCCCATTGGTTTTTCTTGGCTTTTTCTTTTCATTTTAAATGAAACCAACCCCAATAATTCAGTTATAATAGAAAAGACTAAAAAATTTAAGGCTTAAAAGAAATTAGTTTTTAGACAATGGTAAATGTTAATAAAATTAGACATTTCTTTTTCTGACACTATAAATTTTCCAGGATATTAATGTTCACTGCTATGTGGTGTTCTATATTTTCAGTAATGTGAGTAGTTTCATAGTCTGGAAGAAGATTTGTATTATGATCAAATTCTTGAGCCTACCTACAAAGGCACATTTTAATATCTGTGCTCTCAAAAGTCACAGGATAAAAATCTGTTAAACCCAGGAATACTGATAATATGTTTGAAACTATAACTAGAATGAAGTTTTATAATTCAAGAACTATGTGTGTAAATCATCAGGATTTTGCCATTAATAATCATTAAGCATCACGTTACTTAGATAAAGTCATATTGTGATCTATATAACTAATAATAAATGGTATTTTCTTAGGTATCTCAAAAACCGATATAATTTTTCCTCATTTCTCTTGAAAGCCCATCAGATATTCTTTAGCAGAGAGAAAATTAATAGAAATTTCCTTTAAATTCAGTAATATAATTCTAAAAGTTAACAAATTCCCCCCCAAATGTCATTCTAAACAAAAATTAATACTATACTTACAATAAACAATGAAAATGGCATGACATTTACAAAGACTGACATAAAATGTTTTCATTATCAAGATGCTGAAATCAAGGAATATATGTACAGCTAAGACAAACTTGTATTCAATCTATCAAGATTTTTAGAATGACTTACACGGTAAGCTCTATGTCAGCATCTGGGGAACCAAAGTCCCTTAAGGCATAGTCCCCATACTTGAGAAGCTCAGTCTCTCTAGGGCAACATCCACCCCTTTTCAGAGAAAAATTCTCTATGAAGTGGTAAATGCTATAATGGAAACACAAAGTAGGGTGGAAACTCAAGGGATAGGGGGAACAAATGAGCATCAGAGCGTGGATCCTGGTTTTAACTTTTTCATTGTGCTGTGTTTGTGTGTGCATGTGCATGCATCCCGGTCACATATATCTGACATTATGTAAAATTTAATCTAAATTGATACAATGTCTAGCCACACAAGTCCGAAATTAATAGTGCACACAGTTGAAACAGGCCCATAGATACTGTACACATAATCATGTATAATATGATCAAATGTTAAAAGCAATAATCAGAAACATTTTCAACAAAGCTGACAGGATATTTAAGTGGTAAATTAAGCAGACACAGTTTGTAGAATTTAAAAATTACTACTAAGATTTGTACTTCCAGAATAACTAAAGGTAATTCATTAGAAAAAAATTATGAAAATAAATTTTCTTTTGCTCACACTTAGTATCTTCAAAAGTCTATAGATCTTTGTTAGTAATTACTAAATAACTATTAGTGATACGAAGGGTCAATACTTACATTTTTAAAGCTTACGATTAAGTAATCATAATGAAATGCTTACTTGGTACATAGAACACAGGACCTACCATGAATAGTTTGGACATAACACAAACAAATCAAATGTGACGCTTACCTCCTTGTTCACACAACTGCTGGGCTAAAGCATCTTTGAAAATAACCTGGCCCCGGTGTGTTGCTGTAGCCCTGGAAACAAATAGGAAAAGGTTAATTCAACTCTTGTAATATGTTTGGTGAAAATGTATGTTTAAAACTTTTTAAAAAGCTTATTCTTAAACTTTATTGTGTGGATATGATATTTTTAATGAGTACATCAGAAGAGTGATATAAATAACATGGAATGAAAGCTTAAACCAAGGCACCTGGGTTGAGGACTGTCTTCTGGTTTTACTATATAAAGACACTGTAACAGTTGTGAGCTTGTTCTGAAAACAGCAGATGTGCGTAAAGCCTATAGAATAAAAAGTATGGAGAGGAGGCTTATTAAAATTTCTTCTTCAGGAGCCTTTGATATAAAATGTTTTGTGGAGCAATATTGATATTAGTACTGGAGAAAGAGGCTCTTAAGTTACTTTTTTTCTGAAATCAATAGTCACCGTAACTTATAGAGTTGAGACAGAGAATTACATTTTTAAAAAGTATTTTCTTAAAAAGAGGGCTATTCAAAGCTTTCATAATAAAATCTGTCATAACAAAATAAAATCACATGAAGGAGATTCACTATTTGAAGGAGATGTATATCTTTTACTTCTTCCAATCAAAGCTGCGTACAAGGACTGATGGAAAAAAAATAACATCCTTGCAGCAGATGTGTTATTCAATGGCTATAATAAAAAAAGTCTTATTAAAGGAATAATTATGCTTTATATATGAAGGGTTTTCCCTTAAAAAGAATCTTTCTGGCACAAAATGTATTATTTAAACAAATTTAAAACAGAAAATCTTGTCTCTAAGAAACTTGATTTTAGAAAATAAGCCATACACAAAACTTTTTTTAATAACAAAAAAATTAGCATGAAATCTTAACTTTAGTTTTAGCCAAAACCATCCTAGGGCAAAAATAATTTGATTTAACTATCATCTGCTGAAGATGGATTATGTACAAGGCACTGTACTAGCTCACGACAGGGCGAAGTTTAGCCTATGTATTCCCCCTTGATATGCGTGCCCTTCCTTCGGTCAACATCTTGTTGTTTGCTGGGCCCAGTAGGGCTTCCTGGCTCCCAACATTCCTTGCTCTGGCCCACGTGTGGATGCACCTTTCCCCTCCCTTCTGCAGACCTTTCTGAATTCCATCCTGATTGAATTGTAAGTAGACCCTAGTGTCAGTCCCCGTGGACCCAAGTCTCTGAAGGTAATCTGATAAATTAATCCATGTTGAAGTGTTAATGGGTGATATCACTTCAAGCTAACATATTTCAGCAGTGAAAGTGTTATACCTTCACACACACACACACACACACACACACACACAATGGCACAATAGTGAGAGTTTTGAATGGTGGAAGGGAGATACAATTGGAGAGAAAAATCACTGGGTGGCCTTCAACTCACACCATATGTGAAGCTTATAAGGGGCGTCAGCCCTTGTTGTTGCATATTAATCATTATCAAAATTACACAAAAACAGATGCTACTATTCTTTTTAAATATTCACATAAGTTTATAGGTTTTTCTTTGCTTTCAGAAAGCTGAAAATGTGGAGAACTAAACATAGGGCCAATCCAAGCCATAAACATGGCCTAGAGGCTCTCTAATCAGTACAGATTTTATGACCAGAGGGAACACCGTAACTTTTTTACTTAAATACACTGTTCAAACCAACCAATCCAAGAGTGTCTGAGTTCACATACACTTCCAATAGCAACACAGTGATCACCAATGTAGAATTTTAACGTGACATTTGCTTTGGAAGGGACACATTTTCTGAAATCACTAACCACCAAGAAAAGTCCTACGACAGGCAATGTTTAAATAACTGTTCGTTTTTGTTGTCTTCTGGTTCTAAGTATATAATATTCCTATCATAATATTTCTTATTGGTCCACAAGCCTACTTGTCATTGTGCCAGCCTATGCTCCCATGAACACGATCAGCCAAATTATCAAAATAAGATTCAGGTAACAGAGGTTTCACCTTTTCTCTAAATATCAGATATACCAACATCTGCTAGTCACTTTATAGCATCTTGTGAGGAGTCCACACTGTTTTCCCCATTACTCAGTTTCCTCAGATTTATTATTTGTTGCCTTCATTAATATTCTTACTTCTGCTACTTTGGTTCAATAAATCTCATAAATTTCTAAAGAATAATGACAGAGTAATTGAACCTGAACGAACCTTTAAGATCATCTGGTCAAAACGACTTTAGCAGTGGTACTCATTCTTCAAACAAATATGGAATTCCAATGAATAATAGAGAGGAGCCCTAGCTTTTCAAAATTACGGGGCTCCACACTACCTATTTCCCAAATCTTGCTATCGTGCTTCTCTGGAACTCTTAGGGTTTAAGGGAGCAGAGTTTGAAAACCACTAAACTGGTCTAATTCTTACAGTATATGGATCAGGAACGTGAGGCCAGGCAGGATATTAACCTACTGAAGGTTACACAGCCCATTAATGGTAGATAAGATCTGATTTCAGGTCTTAGATTCGAGGCCTTGGATTCTTTCCCTTGCATCAGCAGTTTTCCAAATGTGTTCCACAGTGATGCCCTAGGGGTCTCCATGAGAGTCAAGAGAAGGAGGGGCAACAGCCAATGTTCCAGGCACCAGCCAATTCAACCAAACCGTCTAGGCTTTATATGTTCTAATTATTTAATTTTCTTTAAAGAAAGGGCTCAGTAATTAAAAGCTGGCTTGAGAAGCACAGCACACCATGTGCTCAATGACATTATCTGAAGTCCCCTGCTTGGGAAAAGAAGTAGTAGTAATAATAATAGTGGCTAGTATATATACTTACTGTTATTCTAACAACTATTATGAATTGAAATTTACCCCCTAGGCACTGCTGTAGGGCTTTACATAAATTAACTCAGTTAATCCTGTTAACAGCCCTACAAAGTAGATACTCTTATCCATTTTTCCTCGGACACAGAGCTACTGCATGATTTACAAATGTCACACCACTGGTGGCAAAGCTGGGATTCAAACCCAGGCAGTTTGAGTGTAGAGTCTTTGCTTTTAAGCATTACAGCAATATTTCATTAACCTGGTTCAAAAATATGATGGTAGCTTTCAATCTCTTTTCAGAGGAAGAGCCTGCTTTCAGGGAGTGATTTTCTTTTTTCCTTCTTTCTTTCTGTTGAGATGGAGTCTTGCTCTGTCGCCAAGCTGGAGTGCAGTGGCGTGATCTTGGCTCGCTGCAACCACCACCTCCCAGGTTCAAGCGATTCTCCTGCCTCAGCCTCCTGAGTAGCTGGGACTACAGGCCTGCGCCGCCATGCCCAGCTAATTTTTGTATTTTTAGTAGTAACAGGGTTTCACCATGTTGGCCAGGATGGTCTTGATCTCTTGACCTCGTGATCTGCCTGCCTCAGCCTCCCAAAGTGCTGGGATTACAGGTGTGAGCGACCACACCCGGCCCAGGGCCTGATCTTTAAAGAAATGTCTTCTCTGACTTGTATTCTCTACTCCAACCCTTCAGGCTAAAGCCATTTTAGTTAACCTCCTTTTGGACAAACTTCTCATCATTTCCGTTGGAACTCTGGCCTCTTGGCCAGCAACTCCTTGCACTTTGTCTTTGAAAATACCATTTCTCTCTCTCAACCCCTTCTCCCACAGTGTTCTGTGAGCCCCTCGACTTCTTTTCAACTTTTTATTATTTAATATAAAATCTAAGACAAGATACATTAAATGCTTATTGGCATATATTTAGTCTTCACCTAGTACATAGTATTTGTCCAATTTTAAACTTTCTTCCATTTTATAGGTTTCAATTAATCTTTTTTAAAAAAATGTTTTAACATTTATTTTAAGTTCTGGGGTACATGTGCAGGTTTGTTACACAGGTAAACTTGTGTCACTGGGGTTTGTTGTACAGATTACTTCATCACCCAGGTACTAAGCCTAGTACACATTAGTTATTTTTCCTGATCTTCTCCCTACTCCCACCCTCCACCCTCCAATAGGCTCCAGTGTGTGTTGTTCCTCTCTATGTGTCCATGTGTTCTTATCATTTAGCTCCCACTTATCAGTGAGAACATTTGGTATTTGGTTTTCTGTTCCTATGTTAGTTTGCTAAGGATAATGGCCTCCAGCTCCATCCATATCCCTATGAAGGACCTGATCTCATTCTTTTTTTATGGCTGCGTAGTATTCCATGGTATATATGTATCATATTTTCTTTATCCAGTCTACCATTGATGGAGCCCCTAGACTTCTATCAGCTTACTGTAGTCCCCTTTCAACTCTTTGTCATATTTCTTCCAATGAAGACCCCTTGCATCTTCCTGTATGCTACTGCCATAAAATTACTGGATGACGTTCTCAGCCATGCTGCTGCCCAAACCCTGGAACATACGTGGATACCCAATACACACATGTGTGCTGACAGATAAACATCACTTGCATCACTTTCTTTCCAAACCCTTAGAACCCTCAGATAACATTTTAATCTAAAATGATCCCACCCTATAGAAGACGCATGGTTAGTATTTCTAAAGGTCTGCATATTGGCATCTTATCTTGGGGAAAAGAAAAAGCAGAAGCCCAAGTGACCAGCAATAACACAGGCTCCCTTGCTTTATCCCATGAGCCATCCGCACTGCACTCCTTAGGGTGGGATTAATGTCAATATGGCAAGCCTATTTGAATGTATTTAGAGCTGTCAAATAATTCATGGTGGTTTACCCACAGAATCACAGCATTTATTTCAAATCTTCTATGGAAATATATATATTCTGCTATATAAATATATATTATATATTCCAAAATTGCTAAAAGCACAGTAACTCACAATTAAGTCTCTAGAGGTTGGGTCCTCCAATTTTAAAAATTACATTGACAGATAAAATTGTATGTAAAGCTGTGTATTAAATCTAGCTAATTAACATATGCATTACTTCCTATAGTCATCGTTTTTGTGGTGAGATCCACATCCACTCTTTTAGCATTTTCAAGAGTACAATACTATAGTCACCATGTTGTGCAATAGATATCTTGAACTTATCCCTCCTGTCTAACTGAAATTTTGTATCTTTGACCAACATCTCCCCATCTACCTCCCCAAACCACCCAGCCCCTGATAACCCCCATTCTACTCTCTACTTCTATAAGACCAACTTTTTTAGATTCCACCAAGTCCTCCAATTTGTAACACACAATATATTTTAAAATAAGAATACAGAGTTATGGTACATGGTGACAAGCCTGATTCATTTCCAGAATTGTTATTTTATGTAATTTACAGCTGTCTCTCGGGGGGAAGGTCCATCACACTGATGGTGTTATTAACTATGCTGGTACTATTTGCACTTAATTTTACATAATTAGAAATAATTTTTCTTAAGAGTTCAGGAAATATCCTCATTGTTTACTATTTTGGAAAGTAGACCAAGTTTCTTAAACACGTTTCTAATAAGCACTTATCTCCTTCTTGGGAGATGCACAGATCTCTAAGGCAAACTTGCCAACAAGAGCCCCTATTAACTAAGTAATTTTAAAATCCCTTTGGACTGTTACTACCTAACATTTTAAAAGCTCTATAGATTCTCCAAAATGAAGAAAGTTCATTATGATCATCATATTCAGTGCTTGAAAAAGCATTTATTGTCATGATTTAAAAAAAGCCTGTGATATTTTCAACCTAACTAAACAACAGAGTAGCTGTATGCCCAAAGCATTTAAGAATTAAGCGTGCATTCTGCTGCGGCACAGGGCTGAGGTATAGTCTCTGCAAGGAGAAAGACCAGTGACAGAACACAGTTAGGTGCCACTTATGAGCTACATGACTTTGGACAACTTCTTTAATCACTCTAGGCAACAGACTCCCTATCTGAGGATAGGGATAACTTGAAATAATAACTATTACTTCAAGATATTAATATTCACTCTTAAATACCTACAGTCTCTCCACCTAAATAGATTTCAAGCTTCTGGAATAGGAATCAGTAAATAAAAAGAAATTATCCCCCACAAGGCATTGGTCATAATGATTTGAACATATGAAGGAATCAGAGGTATTTATATTTTTGACTTATATTTGTATTTGATTTATATTTTTCACTCCATAATTTGCTTACCATGTATTGCCATCTAGTTTACAAAGAAGGAATACAAAAGTATTTTAATATACTTGCTATAATGCCTAAATTCCCAAGTGTATTACTATTTGTTGATTTCATGAATCAATTTGCTCATAGATTAACCTAAAGAATCATACCAGCTGGTTCATTTTTAAACCTATGACAATGCACTTTACCTCCAGGGGTGGGTTGCTTTTTCTATCTACTGCTTTGTTAATGAGGTCTGGTATATTAGTTGACTTGTCCATTTTACAGCTGGAAGAGCATTCGTTAATCAGCATTCTGAAGTTAGTCTTGTGTAATTCAGTATGCCTGTGCCAAGCCACCCTTCAGGAAAGGTAACTAAATATGTGGAATATGGGGGAAAAAAGAGTTGATCTGAGTTCGGTAAATTTGATCTTCAAAGGAATCAATTCACCCTTTAAAATTCTTATCCCTTTGTATCAGCAAATTACAGTACTTTCTTTTCTCTTTCTTTCTTTTTTTTTTTTTTTAAGACAAAGTCTCACTATGTCACCCAGGTTAATCTTAACTCCTGGGCTCAAACAATCCTCCCACCTTGCCCTCTCAAAGTGCTGGGATTAAAAGCATAAAACGTACAGTGCATTCTAATTTGGGGATATATATTGATGTTTATCAAAATAAGAAAAAAACTCGCTTCAAAACCCATAAAAAAGAGAAATGAATAGCTTCAAGGAGTAATTATTTTTGTTAAACTCTCAACTTCAACTATGGCAAAGCCATTGCAAAATAAGCAAAGGATTCTGTATGTTTTCACAATGCTTTTGCTATCTTTACTGCCCTAATTGTTTTTATAGTTACATCTTTTATTCCTAAGCCACAGAATTTTTTTTCTGTCAAATGTATAAATACTTTATCTCCTTGAAAACAACAAATTTCAGTATTAATGTTCATTATCCAGTAATCACAAAGTCTACCTGTCCTTAAAGGTTACCAAATAGATGGTTTAACCTTGATTTGTGATCAAAGTGTACTTTTTATTAGCAAGAGAAGGAACATGCAGATGAAATCCTTTAAGTATGGCAAATCAATGAATGGTTAATAGTAACTTAGCTTTCTTCCAAAGTGATTCAGCAAACTCCTGAAATGGAGATGGAGGCTTTACGTTCATCTGACAGTATTTGTTCATCCATGGTATTGTAAGCATTCAGCCACATGTAGTATGAACTGTTTTACTTAAAGTGTTTTTAATAACATCACTAAATGATTTTGCATTGAAATAAAGAGTAATCATTTCAGTGAAAAACACTTGGTAGTTGCAGGATATGTAACAGCAAAGAGAAGGAGACATTTATCATTGGCAGAGTTATATATCCTTTGTAAATCACCAATGAAGTGAATCTGGGGAGGGAAGATACCCACAAGCAGATTAAACCACATTTTATTTTGTTCATATGCAGAAGAATGGCTCGTCTAGTAAAAGGAAGAAATGACAAATTTCTCATGATTATCACAAAGTTTTAATGAAAGGGGACGTTGATTGGACTGATGTATGTATCAAGGAGGATCACCATTAAGGTGTCAAATGTGTCAAAAGTTCCCAACTCACATTTAGGATTAACTTTAATTTCCAGGAATATGTAATTTATTTCAGGAGAAAATAACTTTATGAGTAAAGTCAAATGAGAAATGCAGATTAAAAAATTCCTCAGCAGCCCTCACCTACGTCAGTAAGAGGTGAAATCCTCAGAGCAGCCCAGCTAACAGTGACCTGGCGTAAGCATGTGAAAGCATCCACATTTCGAAAACTGAATGCAGGAGTGCTGTCTACCAAGAGTGAGTGACTTTTTATTGTTTAAATTTAAAATGGCTCTATTTGGGTTTTATCAGAAATTTTCCTGGTTTTTCCTGGTTCACAACTAATGGATCCTTGATTATGAATAACGGCAAAAAGGATACATAATTTTTTCTTAATAAAAAGATGATGTTCTCTCTGCCTCTTCTAATAATTATTCAACAAACCATTATGGATTATGAACCTGAAGGGGTGTTAATTATTAGTCTGCTTTAGGTGCTCACATTTCTTACCTTGGCCCTGTTGGCATATGATATAAACTCAGAAAACATTCTTTTTGGATTATGTCTTCTTTGTTATGTTATGTGTACCCTAGGCACAGGGATTTTAGTCTGTTTCCTTTTTAATATTTTACCTGATAATTGACATAAAGCATCCATGCAGTAAATGTTTGTGAAATGGGTGAATGATTAATGTATGTTACACTTGATACAGAATGTTAAATGCTTTAAAAAGTAACCAGCAAGCTACTGCATAAGAAACACTATGAAAAAGATGATTAGATGATAATAATAGTCAAGACAAACATTGTTATAAGTAAGATTTATCTTGGAAATCAGTTAACAGCAAGAACAGTAAAAGTAAATAAGCTGATGTATTTGCTTTATTATTACAATACGTTTCATCATTTAACATCTTCCAGAGTATCCTTAAACTAACTGTATTCTGGAAATGCCTTCTAAAACATTAAAATAAAAATGCTTTCCACACCACCTTTTAAAATCATTAAAATTATTTGAGAGGCTCTGCTGTTTTAAACACCTTTTAATTAAGTAAGCCTATGGTCACTTGTCTCAGAGGCATTCTTAGGCAAGGCAAGAACAAAACTGGAAAAATGGCATGTCAATTCCAAAGAAAATCCTAGTAAAAAACAATGTTTTCTGCTGGATATGAATTAAACAGTCTGTAAATTTGCTGAAAGATGTATGCAAAGTATTTAAGTATCACATTTAAGTGGACTCAAAGAAAGAGCACTAGTTTCCACAATAGAAGAAGCGGAGTTTTGCTCTAGGATGGGCATCCATTACCTCCATGATTTATACTGTGTCACTTAACTTCTGTGTGTCTTACTTTCTTAATCTATGAAATAAACTGAATGGACTGAACAATTTTAAGGTTCAAACAGCAGATCTGGAATCAGAAGATGTGGGTTTGCACCACAGCTCAATGATTTATGTTGATCTTATATGAGTGTTAATTTTCTGAGATAGGACTAGAAATGTTGTGCTATTTATTTTCAGGGCTGTGATGAAAATCAAATGTGATCAACTCTGTGAAAATATTGTGGAAAATATAAGGAATTATGATGATAATGTCTGGTTGGTCACTTCAGAATATAGCACAGAATTGAAAGGGAATTAAAGGAGCACATTCTATAGGATTTAAGATCAAAAGCTGTTTTTGATCTTAAAAGGAAAAAAAGGGAAGACTGTAAACTCCATTTTTTTTTTTGACTGTGATGAAGTCAATGAAAGCTCCAATAAGGGATATGATTTCTAACCTAGTTAATTAATCATAACAAATTAGGACAGTAATGGTGTTTTCCTGCAAAGAAATCCTGCCAAAGTACATACAAGTGTTGCTTTGAAGGAAATAAGTTGTAAAGCAAGCCTCTACTATAGCATACAATATTAAAAAACTTTTTTTCCGTTATAAAGGTAACTTGTATTATGAAAAATTTTAAATACATAAAAGTATTAATGTGAAAATAAAATTAGTCATATTCATACTAAGGAGAGATAATCACTATTCATATTTTAGTAAATCATATACCCTTGTAGTTTTTAAAATTAATATAAAGTTGTTTAAAAAATTGCTTCCCTAAACAGCTGTTTTCTATTTGCTTATGTTTAATATTTATTATAAATAGTTGCCATGTCATTAAGTACTTTTCAAACAAGATTTTTAAAGGCCAACCCATCAATGTGCTGTATTCAGGAGACCCATCTCATGTGCAAAGACACACATAGGCCCAAAATAAAGGGATGGAGAAAGATTTACCAAGAAAATGGAACCAAAAAAAAAAAAAAAAAAAGCAAGGGTTGCTATCCTAGTATCTGATAAAACAGACTTTAAACCAACAAAGATCAAAAAAGACAAAGAAGGGCATTACATAATAGTAAAGGGATTAATGCAACAAGAAGAGCTAACTATCCTAAATATATATGCATCCAATACAGGAGCATCCAGATTCATAAAGCAAGTTCTTAGAGACCTACAAAGAGACTTAGACTCCCACACAATAATAGTTGGAGACTTTAACACCCGACTGTCGATATTAGACAGATCAACGAAGCAGAAAATTTACAAGGATATTCAGGACTTGAACTCAGTCCTGGACCAAGCGGACCTAAAAGACATCTACAGAACTCTCCACCCCAAGTCAACAGAATATACATTCTTCTCAGCACCACATCACACTTATTCTAAAATTGACCACATAATTAGAAGTAAAACACTCCTCAGCAAATGGAAAAGAAAGGAAATCATAACAGTCTCTCAGACCATAGTGCCATCAAATTAGAACTCAGCATTAAGAAACTCACTCAAAACCTCACAACTACATGGAAACTGAAAAACCTGCTCCTGAATGACTACTGGGTAAATAACGAAATTAAGGCACAAATAAATAAACTCTTTGAAACCAATGAGAACAAAGACACAACATACTAGAATCTCTGGGACACAGTAAAAGCAGTGTTTAGAGGGAAATTCATAGCATCAAATGCCCACAGGAGAAAGCAGGAAAGATCTAAAATCAGCACCCTAACACACAATTAAAAGAACTAGTAAAGCAAGAACAAACAAATTCAAAAGCTAACAGAAGACAAGAAATAACTAAGATCAGAGCAGAACTGAAAAACCCTTAAAAAAAAAATCAATGAATCCAGGAGCTGGTTTTCTGAAAAGATTAGCAAAATAGATAGACCACTGGCCAGACTAATAAAGAAGAAGAAAAGAGAAGAATCAAATAGTCACAATAAAAATGATAAACGGGGTATCACCACTGATCCCACAGAAATACAAACTACCATCAGAGAATATGATTAACACCTCTACACAAATAAACTAGAAAATCTAGAAGAAATGGATAAATTCCTAGACACATACACACTCCCAAGTCTAAACCAAGAAGAAGTCAAATCCCTGAATAAAACAGTAACAAGTTCTGAAATTGAAGCAGTAAATAATAGCCTACCAACCAAAAGAAGTCCAAGACCAGATGGATTCACAGCCAAATTCTACCAGAGGTATAAAGAGGAGCTGGTACCATTCCTTCTGAAACTATTCCAAACATCAGAAAAAGAGGGAATCCTCCCTAACTCTTTTTATGAGGCCAGCATCATCCTAATACCAAAACCTGGCAGAGACACAACAAAAAAAGAAAATTTCAGGCCAATATCCCTGATGAACATCGATGCAAAAATCCTCAATAAAATACTGGCAAACCGAATCCAGCAGCACATCAAAAATCTTATCCACCATGATCAAGTGGGCTTCATCCCTGGGATGCAAGGCTGGTTCAACATATCCAAATCAATAAACGTAATCCATCACATAAACAGAACGAACCAATGACAAAAACCACATGATTATCACAATAGATGCAGAAAAGGGCTTCGATAAAATTTAACACTGCTTCATGCTAAAAACACTCAATAAACTAGGTATTGATGGAATGTATCTCAAAATAATAAGAGCTATTTATGACAAACCCACAGCCAATATCATACTGAATGGGCAAAAACTGGAAGCATTCCCTTTGAAAATCGGCACAAGGCAAGGATGCCCTCTCTCACCACTCCTCTTCAACACAGTAATGGAAGTTCTGGCCAGGGTAATCAGGCAAGACAAAGAAATAAAGGGTATTCAATTAGGAAAAGAGGACATCAAATTGTCTCTGTTTGCAGATGACACGATTGTATATTTAGAAAACCCCATCGTCTCAGCCCAAAATCTCCTTAAGCTGATAAGCAACTTCAGCAAAGTCTCAGGATACAAAGTCAATGTGCAGAAATCACAAGCATTCCTATAAACCAATAATAGACAAACAGAGAGCCAAATCATGAGCAAACTCCCGTTCACAATTGCGACAGAGAATAAAATACCAAGGAATACAACTTACAAGGGATGTGAAGGAACTCTTCAAGGAGAACTACAAACCACTGCTCAAGGAAATAAGAGAGGACACAAACAAATGGAAAATCATTCCATGCTCATGGATATGAAGAATCAATATCGTGAAAATATACTGCCCAAAGTAATTTATAGATTCAATGCTATCCCCATCAAGTTACTATTGACTTCCTTCACAGAATTAGAAGAAAAAACTACTTTAAATTTCATATGGAACCAAAAAGGAGCCCATATAGCCAAGACAATCCTAAGCAAAAAGAACAAAGCTGGAGGTGTCATGCTACCTGACTTCAAATTGTACTACAAGGCTACAGTAACCAAAACCGCATGGTACTGGTACCAAAACAACAGATACATAGACGAATGGAACAGAACAGAGGCCTCAGAAATAACACCACACAAATACAACCATCTGATCTTTGACAAACCTGACAAAAACGAGCAATGGGGAAAGGATTCCCTATTTAATAAATGGTGCTGGGAAAACTGGCTAGCCATATGCAGAAAACTGAAACTAGAACCCTTTCTTACATCTTACACAAAAATTAACTCAAGATGAATTAAAGATTTTAACGCAAGACCTAAAACCATAAAATCCCTAGTAGAAAACCTAGGCAATACCATTCAGGACACAGGCATGGGCAAAGACTTCATGACTAAAACACCTAAAGCAACAGCAACAAAAGCCAAAATTGATAAATGGGATCTAATTAAGCTAAAGAGCTTCTGTAGAGCAAAAGAAACTATCATTAGAGTGAACAGGCAACTTACAGAATGGGAGAAAATTTCTGCAATCTATCCAACTGACAAAGGGTTAATATCCAGAATATACAAGGAACTTAAATTTACAAGAAAAAAACAACCCCATCAAAACGTGAGTGAAGGATATGAACAGACACTTCTCAAAAGAAGACATTTATACAGCCAACAAACATATGAAAAAAAGCTCATCATCACTGGTCATTAGAGAAATGCAAATCAAAACCGCAATGAGATACCATCTCACACCAGTTAGAATGGCAATCATTAAAAAGTCAGGAAACAACAGATGCTAGAGAGGATGTGGAGAAATAGGAATGTTATTACACTGTTGGTGGGAGTGTAAATTAGTTCAACCATTGTAGAAGACAATGTGGTGATTCCTCAAGGATATAGAACTAGAAATACCATTGCACCCAGCAATCCCATTACTGGGTATATACCCAAAGAATTATAAATCATTCTACTATAAAGACACATGCACATGTATGTTTACTGCGGCACTATTCACAATAGCAAAGACTTGGAACCAATCCAAATGGCCCATTAATGTTAGACTGGATAAAGAAAATGTGGGACATATACACCACACAATGCTATGTAGCCATAAAAAAGAATGAGTTCATGTCCTTTGCAGGGACATGGATGAAGCTGGAAACCATCATTCTCAGCAAACTAACACAGGAACAGAAAACCAAATACTGCAGGTTCTCACTCATAAGTGGGAGTTGAACAATGAGAACACATGCCCACAGGGAGGGGAACATTACACAGTAGGGCCTGTTGTGGGGGCGGGGACAAGGGGAGTGATAGCATTGGGAGAAATACCTAATGTAGATGATGGGTTGACGAGTGCAGCAAACCACCATGGCACATGTATAACTATGTAACAAACCTGCATGTTCTGCACATGTATTCCAGAACTATAATAATAATAATAAAATAATATTCCACTGGATAGCTATATCATAGTTTCTTTATTCTACTGTTGTTGGAATTTTACTTCTATATAATTTTAAATAATGAAGTGTATAAACCTTTGACCATATCTCTTGCATTTTAAGATGTATTTCCAGGCCTGGGGTAGTCAAAATATGGGCATAAGCACTTAATGCTTTTGTTATGAACTTCATGTTTGTGTCCCACCCTCCGCCCCTCCAAATTCATATGTCATTACCCTAACTCCCAATGTGATAGAGTTTGGAGATGGGGTCTTTGGGAGGCTGATGAGATCATGAGGGTAGTGCCCTGGTCATAGGATTGGTGTCCTTTAAAGAAGAAAATAGGCAGGCGTGGTGGCTCATGCCTGTAATCCCAGGAATTTGGGAGGCTGAGGCGGGTGGATCATGAGGTCAGGAGTTTGAGACCAGTCTGGCCAATATGGTGAAACCCTGTCTCTACTGAAAATACAAAAATCAGCCAGGTGTGGTGGTGCATGCTTGTAGTCCCAGATACTCGGGAGGCTGAGGCAGAAGAATCGCTTGAATCTGGGAGGCGGAGGTTGCAGTGTGCCAGATCGCGCCACTGCACTCCAGCCTGGGCAACAGAGCAAGACTCTGTCTCAAAAACAAACAAACAAACAAAAAACCAAAAAAAGACAGAAAGAAAACAATTCCATTTATAAACTCATTGAAAAGAATAAGGTACTTAGTCATAAACTTGCAGAAGAAGTGTAAGACTTGTACATAACTACTAAACATCACTGAAAAAAAAAGATGGAAATAAATGGAAAAACATCTTATGTTCATGACTTAGAAGGTGAACTCTTAAGATGGCAATACTACCTAAATGGATCTACAGATTCAGCATGATACCTCTCAAAATCTCAGCTGGGTATTTTCCAGAAATTGATAGCTAATTCTAAAATGTAAATGCAAGGGGCTCAGAAGAGTCAAAATAATCATGATAAAGAAGAAAGCTGGAGGACTTGCACTTCCTTATTTCAAAATTTACCACAAAGTTACCATAATCAAGACAATGTGATACTGCCATAAAAACAGATGTATAGATCAATAGAACAGAATTGAGAGTCCAGTAGTATACTTTTACATTTATGGTTAATTTCTGACAGGATAATTCCATGAAGAAAGAGGTCTTTAAAACAAATAATGTTCAGTCAACTGGATATCCACATGCAAAAGAATGAGGTTAGACCTCTACCTCACACCATATACAAAAATTAACAAAATGGATCATAGATTTAAGTGTAATATAACTAAAACTGTAAAACTCTTAAAGGAAAACATAGGGATAAATCTTCATGACTTGATACTTGGCAGCAGTTTCTTAAATATAACATGAAAGGTGAAAGAAAAAAATAGATGAATAGAACTTTATCAAAATTAAAACCTTTGTGCAACAAAGGATACCATTTAAAAAGTTTTTAAAAAAAAAGACCCACAGAATGAGAGAAAATGTTTGCAAATCATATATCTGATAAAGAAATAGTATCCAGTATATATGAAGAACTCTTTACAACTCAATAAAAAATAAGTAACTCAATTTAAAAATGGGCAAA
The DNA here is from genome assembly GCF_000001405.40 of Homo sapiens. Taxonomy (NCBI): domain Eukaryota; kingdom Metazoa; phylum Chordata; class Mammalia; order Primates; family Hominidae; genus Homo; species Homo sapiens. Next base: position 103,791,916 of record NC_000007.14, read on the forward strand.
CAATTTGAACAGACATTTATCCAAAGAAAAAATACAAATGGTCAATAAACACATGAAAAGATGCTCAACATCATTAATATTAGGGAAATGCAATGAAATGAAATACCATTCTACTCCCACAAGATAGAATAAAAAAAGATAGACAATAATAAGTGTTGACAAGGATGTGGAGAAACTGTAATCCTCAAATATTGCTGGTGGGAATAAAAATGGTATAGCCACTTTGGAAAACAGTTTGGCAATGCCTCAGAATGTTAAACATTGAGTTACTGTGTGACCCAGCAATTCCACTTGCAGTTGTATACACAAGAAACACATGAACACATGTTCACAGAGAAAAAAATGTATACACAAATGTTCTCAGAAGCATTATTAATAATAGGCAAAAGTGGAAACAACCTAAATGTCTGTCCACAGATGATTGGCTAAATAAAATGTGGTATATATCCATACAACGGAATATTATTCAACCATAAATGGAAATGAAGTACCGTTCATGCTACAATATCAATCAACCTTGAAAATATGCAAAGTGAAAAAAATCCAGTCAGAGAATCCTATATATTATATGATTCCATTTATATGAAATGTCCAGAATAGGCAATTCTATAGCGACAGAACATAGATTAGTAGTGGTTTCCGGGGGATGGGGGGATGGGGGGATGGGGAAATGTAAACTGACAGCTAATGGGTGCAGGGTGTCTTTTAGGGGTAATAAAAATGTTATAAAAATTTTTATAATTGTGAAACTTTTAGTATATCTGTGGATATACTAAAATTTTTATAATTGTGAAACTTTTTAGTATATCTGTGGATATACTAAAAGCCACCTAATTGTATAGTTTAAAGGGATAAATTTTATGGGAAGTGAATTATATCTCAATAAAGCTGTTATTAAAAAATAAAATGGAAATATATTCTGGAAGGCTGTAGATAAGCTAATAGGAAATGGAAGCATAATAATACTGGGGACAGTCTGGTGTGTTCTGGGGACATCTGTTTTTTGAGACTGATATTATAATGGAAAAAATACATTTTTGTTGCTTGAAACATGCAGAGAACAAAACTAAATTAGTATTTTTTAAATACTGTGGTCCTTCAATGCTTCATTAAAAAGAATGCAATAGGTGACCCAAGGAAACTATAAAGCCTCAAATTGCAACCAAATTTCAATTGAACCAAAGTTGAATTTCTATATATTACATGCAACTTTGAGCCCAGGGAGAGAATAATTTTTCTTTTGCAATGTATAAGTAGTTCTTCTTTTACCTGCCTCAGGACACATTTAGATGAAAGAAAACACATTAAATTATTGATGTAATGATTAATTAAAAGTCCCTTTAAGTCATCTAGCATATGTATAGCAAAGCCCTTTGGCCTCACTCAGGCAAATCTACAACTCTTACAAGTATATTCCAAAGCAGTCATGTGTACCATGTTTTGATAAATTAAAGAATTGAAGTAACCAAAATGAATGCTGAGGATGTTGTCTGGATTACAGCTGATTTTATTCTGTGTCCTCCTCACCTAGAAATACACTCCCTTAAGTCTACATAGAACCATAATTAGACTGACTCTTCTCAGTGTTTCATGAAAATTCCAGCATTGCCATGTTGCTAAGCATCCAGGTGATAGTCCTGGTGATTATTACCAGCTCTGTCATTAGTAAATCCAATTTTAGAATAGTAAAAGTTCCAGCACAAGTCTAATAAGAAACTTTAGAGGCTAGTGAAAAACAGACAGTGGCCCTAGCAGGTGTATTTTCAGGGAAAGCAAAAGGAACAAGAGATGGGAAAGGACAGTCAGAGTGACAGTGGTTGTCATCGGTAGTACAAGTGAACATTTTGCTAAACAGAAGGTTGTTTATTTGAGGCAGACTCTTGCTTTGTCACCCAGGCTAAAGTGCAGTGGCACAGTCTCGGTTCACTGCAGCCTCTGCCTCTCAGGTACAAGTCATTCTCGTGCCTCAGCCTTCAGAGTAGCTGGAACTACAGGTGCACACCCATACGCCCGGCTAATTTTTGTACTTTTAGTAGAGATGGGGTTTCACCATGTTGGCCAGGCTGGTCTTGAGCTCCTGGCCTCAAGTGATCCACCTGCCTCAGCCTCCCAAAGTGCTGCAATTACAAGCATGAGCCACAGTGCCTGGCCATAAACAGAAGTAATATTTTTTAATTTTGTAGGTAATTTTTTTTAATTTTAAGGGTATTTAAAATGCTGATACTAAACTATCTAGACTAGTGATTCTAGAAATGGGCAACTTTAAAAATATACACATTGCCATGCTCCACTCTTGACCGCTTAATTTAGAATCTCTGGGCTCAAGGTTCAGGCACACATGATTCCAACTGTAGCCAGGCTCGAAAACTACTAGTCTGAACAGACGAACTGCTATATATCCCCCTATGAGTAGGACAGATTTCATGCTTCCTCTAAGTAACAACTTCCATTCCTGTCACAACCATCACTATCAGCAAGCTGTTTTATTCCTTCTTTCCCCAACCAAAGACCCTTTGGTAAGGATTAAACTTTATCCTCTTGGCCTGGCAGTGGATTATCTTCCAGTCCCCTTTGATTTTTCACTTTCCTTGGTAGATGCATATCACATGCATATCTAAGTTGCAACAACAACAACAAAAACAGGCAGAAAGAATAATTTTTCACTGAAGTAGGATTCTCCCATGAGCCAAAAAGGACACCATATGAAATGATGCAATTCCCGAGTTGTCTTTGGTAAAGTCATTTACAAACTGAACAGGCAGAGCTTCTCAACCTTAGCACTACTGCACTACTGGACATTTATTTAAATTGGATCATTCTTTGCTGTAGGGGGGCTTTCCTGTGCATTGTAGAATACTTAGCAGCACCTGTAGCACCACTAGATGCTAGGTATGACAACAAAAAAATGTCTCCAGATATTATCAAATGTCCCCTGGGAGCATAGGTAAAATCACAGCTGATTCAGAAACCCTGGTATATAGGTTTGTAAGAACTCAGCCCATATCAAAATTTCAATATTTACACAGAACATCGTGCTTACCATACTGAATACATATGCATTTTGACACTTACACTATGATAAATGTTTCAAATTTGGCTCATGTCTAGGAGTTTAATTTTCTATAATATCCCCTAATGCCAACTAGTATTTTCTATTGAAGTCTAGGTGTTTAATTATATATAATATTCCCTAATGCCAACTAGTATTATCTATTGAAGTCAATTTGTATGGAACAATCATAACAAGCTTCCTGCATTGCTTTGGGCAAAAGAGAAAAGAAAGATTTGACAAACACACACTCTGCAGTAGATATCTATATAAATGGTCCTCACAGGCTCAAGCTAAGTATTGGCTTTAGAAAGTTGTCTTGTCTGACTCACATTTTCTGTGAATTTACTGTGTTGACTAACACAGCCCTTAGGCTTGGGCAAGTCAAAATGTGCAGTGTTTTTGTTTAAAAGGTCTTTCCTGGAAGTGAACAAAATATTGTTACAGGAGATCCAGTGTGGATAATCGGGAGGGGACAAAAATATAAGGTATAAACATGAAAGTTCAAAGCCAAAACTGTAACAAAAAAGCCAAGAACTTCCTAACAGAGCAAAAGAGACTGAATCAACTCATCAAAAAATTAGGTATTTTAGAGTAGAGTCATATGCTTTATGAGTTTATTTTTCCCTTTGCTGGGAAGACATGAACAAAACATCCAATTTCAGGAACTTCACTACTTTGTTTTTGCAAACAAAGGCAGGTTAAAGGTATAGTCAAAAGTGAAAAGTAAATCATGGAAAATGAACATTTTAAATTCCTTTGGAATTACAAAGCACAGTCCCCTTACTAACAGCAGGAAAATAATGGCCCATCATTACAATTTTGCCCCAGTAAACATACACTATTTGGATTACATTCTGGATAAGTAGCAACAAGGAATACCATTTTGACACAGCTAGGGCTCTTGTAAGTCATTCTCTGCCTTTCTGTAAATATTCCATTTTTGTATAGTGCTAAAGAAATCACATTTTCATTTTTCTGTAGTTCATTATGGCTCATTGCTGTAGCAACTGCCAAACCAGTCAATTTGTGTAAATAATAGAACAAGCTTCTATTGTCTCTCATCTGACACAGTGCCAACTAGTTGGTCTACCTATTTCAATATGGAAATCATGTTTTTAAACTCTTTATATAATTTAAATATCCCTGGAGTTATATGCAGTAAATTATTTTGGAACACTGAACTGAGTGTATGTACTCAAGCACTTATCCCTTTAAATTAGGTCATACAGAATACTGATTTCCATATTACCATTACATAAAGAAGAAACACTATGTGAGTATTTGGAAACGCAAATGAGTTTGTTATTTTTCTGATATTTTAAAACAATAGCAATTTTGTGACCTTAGTTCTTCTTAATTACTCATCTCCCAGCACATCAATTAATGTTTGCCTAATTCAAATTTCTGGAATCTATCATCATTCCCAGAGATGAAAAACATCTGTACTTCTTGTTTTGCAATTTTAATTTGTGGTTTGGATTTTGTCTTTCAGTATCATTTGTTGTAGTGAGAAGAATAGAAATAATCTTCTTTCCCTGGATACAATTCATAGCATCCAAAATTTACCAAAGAGAGAAATAGTCAAGAAACTTAGAGTCTGTAGAAAGTAAATGGATACAGTCTGGGTGTGGTGACGAACGACTGTAATCCCAGTACTCTGAGAGGCCATGGTGGGCAGATCACTTGAGGCCAGGACCAGCCTGGCCAACATGCCAAAAACCTGTCTCAACTAAAAATACAAAAATTAGGCAGGCGTGGTGGCACATGCCTGTAATCCTAGCTACTCGGGAGGTTGAGGCAGAAGAATCGCTTGAACCTGGGAGGCGGAGGTTGCAGTGAGCCAAGATTGCCCCGCTGCACTGCAGCCCAGCCCAGGCAACAGGGCAAGAGAGCTAGACTCCATCTCACAAAAAAAAAAAAAAAAAAAGAAAGAAAGAAAAAGAAAAAGAAAAAGAAAGTAAGGATACATAACTATGGAACCATCCTTATATACTTCTGTGGTAAGACCTGCCTGCCTAAAATTTCTTACTTAGAGATTTATTCTTTAGAATATTAATTGATCTCTCCGTAAGTTCCTTTTACTCCTTTAAATGTTTTATTTGGGAGTCATTTTATTTTATTTATTTCATTTTTTTGAGACAGAGCGTCGCTCTTGTCACCCAGGCTGGAGTGCAATGGTGCTATCTTGGCTCACCGCAACCTCTGCCTCAGGTTCGACCTGCCTCTGCAGGTTCAAGTGATTCTCCTGCCTCAGCCTCCCGAGTAGCTGGGATTACAGGCACCCACCACCATGCCCAGCTGATTTTTGTATTATTTTTAGTAGAGATGGGGTTTCACCATGTTGGCTAGGCGGTCTCGAACTCCCAACCTCAGGTGATCCACCTGGCTTGGCCTCCCAAAGTAGTGGGATTACAGGTGTGAGTCACTGTGCCTGGCCAGGAATCATTTTAGACTGATGGAAAAGTTGCTAAGATTAGAACAATGCCAAGATAGAACAAGAGAGTTCACAAATGCTTTTCACCCAACTTTCCCTACTGTTAACTTCTTACATAACCGTGGTTCATTTGTCCTTAAGAAATTAACATTCCGATTTTACTAGTTTTTTTATTTTTCTGATAATATCCTTTATCCCTCCAATATCCAGTCCAAGATACCATATCGCAGTTAGTGAGACCCCTTTTGTAAATACAAAAATTTCCAGGCAGTGTAATTTATTAAATTACCAACCAACCCTATTATGAACTCATTTATTACATCAATTTTCTTCTGGAAGGAGAGATAAGGGCAGCATGAAAATCCGGGGCATGTGGTGTATATAAAGGAATTGTGAAGGGAAAGAAATGCTGCCAAGAAAGGAGGTAACAAATCAAAGCCAAAAGACATTCAATTTTGCCTGGGGCTGGCCCTGTGCAGCTATGTGTAATTAGCTTCCTCAATCACTACATCTGACAAAGTCATTTTCATTTGAGAGAAAACAACAAATCATTAATTATGGCAATAAGTCACGGATTAAAATATTTTTGTGTGGATTCTACATGCACTGTGATTTGTGCCTTTGGTCAGCCATCATTTTGCTTCTTTAGGCTTTCCCTGCTCCGTACTCTTGGGAGTTAGTTCCATGTGAAGACATCTCTGACTGCCCAGCCCTGGACAGTACTACTCACTGCCTTTGCCAAATAAATTCTGGAGCAGTTATGTTACTGAATATACCTCATTGTGAGCCTTTACCAGCTACAGTCTTCTTCTGATAGCAATTTGAAAACAAATATGTATTTTAAGGAGAAAGGTATTGTGATTAAGAACATGAGCTCTGCAGTCAAATCTAGGTTCAAATCTTAGCTACAATACTCCATAGTATTAAGATCTTTGGCAAATTAAGTAATGTCTCTAAGCCTCCATTTATTTATCTGTAAAACACTGGCAATAATGAGGCCTACCTGTTATCGTTGGGAAGACTCAATGAGCTAATGCCCATGAATATCTGCCTGGCAGGTAATCATGCCTGTCACTCAAAAGGTGAAGCTAAACCAGTTATAAGGCCAGGAAGAAGAATATAGCGGTTTGGCCTGTTACCCAGTAAGGTTTAGAATTTATCTGACTTCTCAGATATAGGATCTTAGGGGCCAGTCATCATTCCTGAGCACCCATGTTGTTCTCTATAAATCTCCTCAGCCAGGCAGACCCAGGACCCCTTTCCCATGAGGACATCTCTAGGGCATTGCTTTGCCCGCTTCCATGCTATCTCAGTGTTTAGGGCTTCTATCTAGGTGCATACCTCCTTAGAAGTAGGTTATAATGCCAGGCTCTATTTTAGGTACAGGAGATAAAGCAACGAACAAATGTTTTTGTGTTCTCAAGTTTATACCATGGTCACCCACAGCTAGAGCTTTAGCTCCAAACCAGCCTTCCTCCCGCTTCTGTGTTAGCTACCAAAATTTTCTGTCACTGGGCTCCAACCAAGGGAAACCCAAGTATCAGTGACCCTCGGTCTTTGCCCAGGGCCTATAGCCATTCCCTCATGTAGCATCAGTTTCTCAAGCACTGGTTTCAGACCTACCCCCTCTTTTCTTTTTGCTTCTCACATGTCTTGGGTTGCCATGAGAGCCACACCTAGTAACAAAATTGCAATTTACAGTAAGAATATCCATGAAGTTACAACCTTACTAGTAATATTGAATTGAAATGGTGCCAAAATTATCTATATTAAGTAACTAATTTAGAGATTCCAATACTTTGTACTTCCAGGTCTCTTCAATCTTGAGTAGGAAACACACAGGAAATCACACAGCTATGATAAAGATGGTCTCAAATAATGCATTATCTACCCCTAGTCTGCATTTTTATATGACTAGGTCTAGTTACATAGGATGCTACTACAATTAGAACCATGGCAAAGTGATACTGCTCAAAAATGGTGCCCCTGTGGGAAGAGAGCAGTGCTTCTGTAATTCATGTTACTCTCTTATCAGTATTCTTCTGTCACCTCTCACACTTACAGCCCAGTTCATGCTTTCAGTTCCTCTAACCTAACCATCTCCTACCTCAGAACATTTGCACATGCTGTCCAATTATGTCTGGGGGAATCCTCTTTCCTGGCCAATTCCAAGTTATCCCTTAGTCATCCCAAGATGTGGTATCATCTTAAACGTCTTCCTCAGAGAGGCCTTTCCCAAACTAAACTAAATTCCCCAACTAAATCAAATTTCTTATTCCAGCTGCTCACTGTAACTTTGACTCTTCTTTCATGGCATTTGTCACAGTTATAATTAAGCGTTCTATTTGTGTATAGCAGAGTGGTGAAGAGCATAGGCCCTGGAATCTGAGTCTGAATCTGATTTCAGTACTTACTGAGGCAAAGCACATTAATAAGTGACTTAACCTCTCTGTGCCCCACTAATGATAGTACCCACCTCATAGGGTAATGGTGAAGGTTTAAAGAATCAACAAAAACCACGTGATTATCTCAATAGATGCAGAAAAGGGCTTCGAAAAAATTCCAAGGTACTGACGGAACATATCTTAAATAATAAGAGCTATTTATGACAAACTCACAGCCAATATTGTACTGAATGGGCAAAAACTGGAAGCGTTCCCTTTGAAAACTGGCACAAGACAGGGATGCCCTCTCTCACCACCCCTATTCAACACAGTGTTGGAAGCTCTGGCCAGGGCAATCAGGCAAGAGAAATAAATAAAGCGTATTCAGTTAGGAGGAGAGGAAGTCAAATTGTCCCTTTTTGCAGATGACATGATTGTATATTTAGAAAACCCCATCGTCTCAGCCCAAAATCTCCTTCAGCTGATAAGCAACTTCAGCAAAGTCTCAGGATACAAAATCAATGTGCAAAAATCAAAGCATTCTTATACACCAATAACAGACAAACAGAGAGCCAAATCATGAGTGAACTCCCATTCACAATTGCTACAAAGAGAATAAAATACCTCAGAAGTAACACCACACATCTACAACCATCTGATCTTTGACAAACCTGACAAAAACAAGATATGGGGAAAGGATTCCCTATTTAATAAATGGTGCTGGGAAAACTGGCTAGTCATATATAGAAAGCTGAAACTGGATCCCTTCCTTACACCTTATACAAAAATTAATTCAAGATGGATTAAAGACTTAAATGTAAGACCTAAAACCATAAAAACCCTAGAAGAAAACCTAGGCAATACAATTCAGGACATAGGCATGGGCAAGGACTTCATGTCTAAAACACCAAAAGCAATGGCAACAAAAGCCAAAATTGACAAATGGGATCTAATTAAAGTGAAGAGCTTCTGCACAGCAAAAGAAACTACCATCAGAATGAACAGGCAACCTACAGAATGGGAGAAAATTTTTGCAATCTACTCATCTGACAAAGGGCTAATATACAGAATCTACAAAGAACTTAAACAAATTTACAAGAAAAAAGCAAACAACCTGATGAAAAAGTGGGCAAAGGGTATGAACAGACACATCTCAAAAGAAGACATTTATGCAGCCAAAAGACACATGAAAAAATGCTCATTATCACTGGCCATCAGAGAAATGCAAATCAAAACCACAATGAGATACCATCTTACACCAGTTAGAATGGTGGTCACTAAAAAGTCAGGAAACAAGAGATGCTGGAGAGGAGGTGGAGAAATAGGAATGCTATTACACTGTTGGTGGGACTGTAAACTAGTTCAACCATTGTGGAAGACAGTGTGACGATTCCTCAAGGATCTAGATCTAGAAATACCATTTGACCCAGCCATCCCATTACTGGGTATATACCCAAAGGATTATAAATCATGCTACTTTAAAGACACATGCACACATATGTTTATTGTGGCACTATTCACAATAGCAAAGACTTGGAACCAACCCACATGTCCATCAATGATAGACTGGATAAAGAAAATGTGGCACATATACACCATGGAATACTATGCAGACATAAAAAGGATGAGTTCATGTCGTTTGCAGGGACATGGATGAAAATGGAAACCATCATTCTCAGCAAACTATCACAAGGACAGAAAACTAAACACTGCATGTTCTCACTCATAGGTGGAAACTCAACAATGAGAACACATGAACACAGGGTGGGGAACATCACACACTGGGGCCTGTTGTGGGGTGGGGGGCAGGGAGAGGGATAGCACTGGGAGAAATACCTAATGTAAATGATGGGTTGATGGATGCAGCGGGCCAGCATGGCACATATATACCTATGTAACGAGCCTGCACGTTGTGCACATGTACCCTAGAACTTAAAGTATAAAAAAAAAAAAGTGACAACCTCTCTGTGCCCCACTAATGATAGTACCCACCTCATAGGGTAATGGTGAAGGTTTAAAGAATTTATCCACACAAAACACTTATCCTGGCACATAGTAAGTTCTCAGTATGTGTTAGCCACAATAATAATTTTGATTTAATATAGTAGTAATTAGTAGTACTAGCAGTAGCAGTAGTAGTAATACAAGTTCTGTGAGGGCAGGGACAACTTCTACTTGTTTACTAATGCACTGGTACGTATTTACATATTTCTGGGGCTTGGCATAATTCGTGGCACATAGTTAAGTGTCAGTATATATTTCTTGAATTACTGAATTAATGAGAAACAAAATAAATACAAACCAGGTTTCCTCTTGGTCAGAAGGTTGTTTGAACATGAAAATAAGAGAACGAAAGTAAGAGCAAGATGAAAGATCAGTAAGTTTCACAAATTCAGGAGAAAATAAATTAAACAATCTTATAGCCCTCAAAATTTAGTCACAGGGTCTTGCAAAACTTTTTAGAGGGAAAAAGAAAAATGATCAAGTGCTAAAGTTTATCATTTTCAATGCCAAAGTAGAATTAAGACATGACTAAATAAATCAAAGTCAACTGATATTTGCTTCATATGATGTAATATGTATGTTACTGAAAAGGTGTATTAGGACATTTAAATATTAAGTACACAGTTAAAAGGATTATTACTGTAAAACAAATCACAATGCCCTAATTGGCCTTTTTTGGTGGACTTGGGTTTTTATATATTAGATTTACTCGTAGACCAAGATTCACCAGAATTTAAATTAATTTAAACATAAAAGTGCTGTAGAAGTCACACAAATTCAAGATACCCAAATGTGAAATTTTGAGAAGCATCTTGTTTAGTAGCAAAAGATAATATTAGCACTGTGCATTAAATCCCTAAGAAAATAAACTAGACTTCTAAGTACCAATAAAATTGCAAGTCTCCTTATGAAATCAGAGTACGGGCTTCATTTAAAGGCACAGATTGGCTTTAGGGATAGATATATAACTACATCTGAAATATCCAAGAAGGGATTTAAAAAGTGTTCCTTTCACATAAAATGTAGATATAAGAATTCCTGCAATGCTTGTATTACTGGCTGAAACAAAAACAAAACCTCCTAATCACCACCATCACAATATAAAACTGCTTTAAGAATGCCAGCAACTTTTTCACATGAAGTAAATCAACAGCATTTGTTTTACAAAGTAATATAACACCGTAATATTATTTTCATTTCTCCAATCAATATGTAGGATGAACATTCCCAGGCCCTATTTCAAAGTGAATTTACATTTGGGTCAAAATAGAATCACCCACATAGATACATGAAAGCCACAGTGTTGAGTCTGTTTTGTGGGCCAAGAATAAGCTCCTTTCTTCCCCTAAAACCCTGTCCAGCTTAATGATTGCAAGACTAAAATACTCCACCTTTACTCCTACTCAAACTTACTTTATAAATGCATTTACGATTGCTGCGTCTTCACTTGCCATTTCACTAAAGACATTAATCTTTTGTTCACACTAATGTACTCACAGTGATGATGATTAAAACACCTTTATATATTTAGTAATTTTAAATACATCTTAACTCTTAATTCATTGACTTTGCTTAATGCTTCTTTATATGCTAGATATCTTTAATATACTCAGTGTTCTTTCCTTATATAATAAACTTTAAGAAGTCAGAGATTGGACAATTAGCACAGTATTCAATAAAAGACACCTGGCTGGAGTGATGATAATTGCAAATTATGACACTAACTCCATGACTACCTGGTTGTCCAATGGTTGATTAAATAAATACTCTTTGGCACTTTCTAAGACTTTATGTTATACTCTATGGGGGATAAATACCCAGTAAACCTTGTTATCAAGTTGCTTAGAGATTGAAATTATATACTCAGCTTCTAAGGGTAGAAGGAACTTAGAGGCTTATACAGTTTTTCAGGCACTCCTGCAAATTATAATGGGTAAAGATCATTATAAGACTCTTGATGACAACCTTGACTACCACATTTCCAGGATAACAGCAACTGGCAAGGTTACAGCTCTTAGGAGTCTGTCATTTTTCTTCTGCTCCTCTCCTAGCAACAGATGCAGTTACAGGAAATGCTTTAGAAACTGGGGTTCACTAGATATTTTTAAAGGTGGAAATTTTTATAAAGGGTGGAAAATGCACCTAAAAATATCTCAAGGCCATAAAAACCACTGAGAATCTTTGAGTTCTGTGTTTAAGATCTTCAAATGACGTGTCATTGGAAAGAAAATCTCCATCATGTAATTAGCTTCACCTTCAGTACTGCTCAGAGAGACAGAGTCTTTATCACATCTAGGCATTTCCTCATCTTGCAGAGGGAAAAAATTCCTACCATTGCAATATTTTTAAATTATTCATATCTTTAATCTTTCTATCTTGCATTTGTTTATGGAAAATTTTTAAAAAGTTGATTCAGTTTGGGGTTAAAAGTAAGGTTATTTCAAGTACATATAAGAATTATTCTAAATTATGTCTAACATACCTGCATGATTGATAACAAAGCCAAAATATTAATGAGGATAAATCCCAAATGTTGTCTGAAGTTGCTGGAAATTTTTTCTATTTCAAATAAAACGGCACTAAATAGTGGTATGAAGAGAAACCCATCATTTATGCTCTGAATGTCTGACAAATTCGGAATAATGCCTGTTATACTATGCAGGTTCACAGCCTGTCAGGTAAGCATTTCTTACTGTGTGGCAGCGACAATGCATATATTAGCTATGTAAATGGAAAATCTACACACAGCTTCCAGGTTAGAATATGTTTAAAGAAATATGGTCATAAATAATGCGTAGTAACACCAAATCTGATTCTGCACTGGCTGGGTATCCACAAATTATTTATAAGGAATAAGAAACAAGATCTTTCAGACAGATCTAATAAACTAATGCATGTTATCACTAAGAAATAATGTAGAAAATAGTAATAGGTTACTTCTTGTAACAAATCAAACTCCTTAATCTTAAATATTAGTTGCAAAAATAGGTTAGAAAACAGCGTGCCCACATTATTCAGTGAGGAGTGGCTTTTTGCAATGTATTTTCTCTCCATTTTTCTTTTGCTAGATATCACATCCAGCCAGCATAGTTTTAATGATAGTTTTAATGTGGGGAAGTAAACAAATTATCATGGATGAGTAACTTGCAATTGTTGCTCATCAGGAGGTCTAGCAGGGACTTGCGTTTCATGAAATAATTTAATATCTAATCGGGTATCTAATATCTATTACATATGCATTATATATAATCAGGTATATAATATATATTCCCTCAGGTTGAGTGGAAAAAAAAAACAACTCAATGTCAAGAAAACTGGATTCTGCTCTTGATTTTGCCACTAACAATCTGGCTGAGTGAACTTGGGTAAATGGTATAACCTGTCTAAGCACCAGATTCTTCATCTGTGAAATGGGAATGATAGCTGCTTGCCTATCTCACAGGATGCTACTGTGAGTACCAAATAAGGCAACAGATGTGAAAGTGCTTTGTAAACAGTAAAAGACAAAATACATGTAGAGAATTAAAATCTAATTTCCCAAAAGTCTTTCTAACCAACTTTAGATATACGAACGTGCATGTGAAATGAGTACATATGTGTGGCACATCCATGCATAAAATCATATAACTGACAACTATATGTGTTGCCAACTTTCAGATTTGTAAAACTGTCATTAAAATTTGAACTCTGTTTTCAATGTTCTAGTCCTCTGGTCTAAATACTTAAAACAACATGCCAAAGTGTGTGTCAGAGACATGAGTGGGTCCACCCCCTCACAAATCCTCCTGAATCCTCCAGCCAATTTCCTTCTAACTGGATTGTAATCTGAAGATTCTTCTCTTAGACTTGGCCTGGTGCTCACTTAATCTTGGAGATGTGCAAGATTGTTCACATTTTGCTGGGTCACAGGCTCTTTTTACTTATCAAAATGTGCTACAATTGGTCCCTTAGTCATTTTTAAAATGAAGTATAAGCCAAATTGTTGGCTTTTCCTTAAGGGACATGCAGAATACAGACACAGAGGAGTCTAGAAGAATGCTGAATAACAAGGAGGGGCTAGAGAGGACAGTGATTGCCATCCCAAGAGCCTTTCTTAACAGCTATTCCATGGGGAAGGAGCATTGACTCACTATGGTCCATAGAATTTTTTTTTCACACAAAAGAGAAAATATGTGGAAGAAAACATGAATTTTGAGTTGATAAGTAAGGAGAAGTCAAGCTTTTACAATTGCAAGGAGTTTTTACCTATCTTGGAAAAAATGCTCTACGCATTGGTAAGGAAAATATAGTATGTATTTTTAGAGAAATCTAAAATAGTCATGCTTAATTTTTCAGGTGACAAGGGCATAATACTACCATATGTAATCAAGAAGAGAAAAAGAGCCAAACATTTCACTAACGTCTGAGCTAAACACCAGATGACTGTTATATCTATTTATAATTATTGGGGAGAGGGACTTCAGCTTAGTCCAGTTGTGAAAATAATCATTATCCTTGCTATTGAGGGGGAATGGAACTCCCTCTAAGCACTTTCTTTCTTTTTTCTTTTTTTTTAGACAGAGTCTCGCTCTGTCACCCAGAATGGAATGCAATGGCGTGATCTCAGCTCACTGCAACCTCCACCTCCTGGGTTCAAGCAATTCTCCTGCCTCAGCCTCCCAAGTAGCTGGGATTACAGGCACCCGCCACCACACCTGGCTAATTTTTGTATTTTTAGTAGAGAAAGGGTTTTTCCACATTGGCCAGGCTGGTCTTGAACTCCTGGCCTCAAGTGATCCACCCACCTCAGCTTCCCAAAGTGCTGGGATTACAGGTGTGAGCCACCATGCCCGGCCATAAGCACTTCTTATGGAAAAATATGATTTATCTCTCCCACATTCTAAGAAAGAAGAAAAACAGTGACTTGAGTAACCATCAAGAGAATCCGAAAAGTGAATTATTATCTTTTTAAAAAATCAATTTATCTTCTTCTTGGCCTTAAAATCAAGTACTACTACAACTAAATCCATTAGAGTCAGTATAATCCTTTCAAGATAGATGAAGCCAGGAAAAGAGCCTCTTCCTTCCTATCCTAATATCCACACTTAATCATTCAACAAGTTCTTCCTGACACCTAGTGTTACAGGCTCCATGCAAGCACTGGAACTAGGAAGAGGAATAACATACCCCTTCAAGTCAATGGCTTTACAGACTAAGGTAGAGAGACACATGAAATGACAATTACAGTGGAATGTGGTAAGTGCAATGGCTGCACAGGAAGATCCTAATCTGAATGGGGAGACTGAGAGGAGGTACCGGAGCTGAGCTTTAAATGGCAACTGAGAGTTTGCCAGGCTTTAAAAATGTGGATTGAACACAATATTAGTTTCCACTTCTTCCTGAAACCTGCTAGAATACAGTAAAGAATTTTTTAAAAGCATACACCCAAAGAGCCAAGAAGACAAGAGAGATGACAACAATATAAAAATGTGAGAAACTGGGAAGCCAACAGATAAGTTGCAACTAACCTAACACACTAAAACACTGAATCCTAAGCCAGCAGTAGGGTAAGTGGAAAGAGGCTCAGAAATTAGTGGCACTGGATACTTTTTGAAATTAGGATGGAGATGAGACTGAAAACAGACACTATTTGCTGAAAGTCCATTCGTGAAGCTTTTTGTTGTTATTTTATTTTTCAACTTTTAGTTTAGGTTCAGGGTATACATGTGCAGGTTTGTCACATGGGTAAATTGCATGTCACTGAGGCTTGGTGTACCAATGATCCCATCACCAAGGTAGTGAGCATAGTCCCGATAGGTAGCCTGCCAATCTAGGCTTCCCTTCCACCCTCCCCTCTCAAGCAGTCCCCAGTGTCTATTGCTCCCATCTTTGTGCCCATGTGTATTCAGTATTTAGCTCCCACTTGTAAGTGACAACATGTGGTGTTTAGTTTTCTGTTCTGCATTAGTTTGCTTAGGATAAGGGCCTCCAGCTGCACCCATGTTGCTGCAAAGGGCATGATTTCATTCTTTTTTATGGCTACGTAGTATTTCATGTGCATATGTACCACATTTTCTTTATCCAGTTGAACCAAAGGGCTCCTCTCTGCAATTCTATGCAGCCCCATAACAGGCCCTCATCCCACCAGCAGAAGACTGTAAGTTTATTCTCCAGAGACACTAGGCACAACTGAGGATGGGATACTCTTCTGAGAACAGAGATAAGCAAAAGTTTAGATGTAAATGAGATCCTCAGCTTTCTTCCTCCTCTTGGATTTCATAAGGCTGGAAATTAGGTATAAATCCTCCTTCAAGAGGTTGGAAAGTCTGTTTAAAAGATTCTGGCCTAAGAGAAAAATCTGAAGATACTAAAATATGAGAGTCTCCAGGTAATCAGCCAAGTCAGAGCAACCAACAATAAAGATAACCATCAAAAACCTTTCTATGGACACATGGACACAGGAAGGGGAACATCACACACTGGGGACTGTTGTGGGGTGTGGGGAGGGGGGAGGGATAGCATTAGGTGATATACCTAATGCTAAATGATGAGTTAATGGGTGCAGCACACCAACATGGCACATGTATACATATGTAACAAACCTGCATGTTGCGCACGTGTACCCTAAAACTTAAAGTATAATAATAGAAAACAAAACAAAACAAAACAAAAAAAACCTTTCTTCAACTCCTGCTCCCCCTGGCATGGAACTTCCAGGTCAACAATCACTAGACTTTTTAGGAAAATCTGTATTATGAAAGAGATCAATACAAACAGCAAGGAAAAAAAAATACAACTTTAAGAAAATAGAGAATATACAGTGATACAAAGAAAAAATATTTTATAGAAGTTAAAATATTTCTATGAAAATAGAAATATTCACAAGGAAAAAAATCTCTTGGAAATTTGAAATACTATGGCAGAACTGAAAGACCAATAGAAGATTTGGAAAATATAGCTGAGGAAATTACTCAGAAAGTACAAGTAAAAAGAGGTAGAAATAGGAGGACAAAAAAGAAATTTGGAAGATCTATCCAGAATGTTTAATGTTATGATGGAGGCATTCCAGAAAAAAGAGAAAAGAGAAAACTGAAACAGAAACGGGGTTAATCCTCAATGACATAAAGCAATAAAATTTCCTGGTCCTCAAAAACATGAGTTTGCAGATGGAAAGGCCCACTGAGTTTCAATGGTAAAAACAGAATCATAAAATGTACATCATCAAGAAATTCCAGGTTCCTGAGATCAAAGGGAACACCCCAAACAAGTGTAAAGAACAAAAGTTTCTTCCCTAGAAAGCGTTAAGAATGGGAATGGCCTTGGGCTTCTCAAGCCACACAGAAAGCTAGAAGTCAGTGCATTACAATTCTGAGGAGCATTGCCTTTCCAATTCTGAGGGACACATTTCCAACTTAAAGTTCTATGCACAACCAACCTATCATTCAAGAGGGTAGAACTAAAACATACTCAGACCAACAAAGTCTCAAAAAATGTTTCTGTTGACTCAGTGAGGTACTGGAGGATTTTCTCCAAATAACGACAGTGGTAACAAAAGTGGGGGTGAGGGTGCAGGTAGTAGAAAAAAAGAGAAAGATGTAAAACAAAGGAAACTGGAGGTCCAAAGCAGCGGGAGAGAGAGAGGGAAACCCCAGTGTACCACCTGTGCTACAGGCCTCGCGAGCAGCCAGCCACCTCCAGGAGAGATTTATTCAAGAGGTTTAGACTGATGGAAACTGTAGTGGGTTTGAACGTGTTGAGAGAAGATTTATACAATTAGGGGAGGTATAAATGCTTAGAAAACAAAGCAAGTGAAAAGCAAGGCAATTACTAATTCTAGGAAAATAAAAAACTTGGGTTTGGAAAGGAAAAGAAATTACAGTGCAGTCTTTGACCCGTCTGGGCTGTGAATGGTATTTACATAATCAGCATTGTAGACCATTAACATTGTAGATCATTAACATGACAATCTAATTGTCATTTGTAGAAAGTTAATAGATAATGTCTAAACTAGAAAAAACAAGAATTGGCAAAATAAGCATGTTATTTAGAGATATGGAGGAACATTTAGAAACAATCAGCTAAAAGAGGATCCCTGCTGTGACCATAAGCATCAGAGACACACATAACAGGGGAAGTGTGACTTTTATGACTTCCTGGGTGAGACTCATATTTTTTAACCCACTAAAACTCAAGTTTTCTCTTGTGTGCAGTGGAACCTATTCCTAAATTATACAAATTCCAGAAAGTAGATTTCCTGGCTGATATTGTTTACAGAAAATCTCTACTTTTAATAAATTCCCCACTTTTAATTAATCTCACAATTCAGACCAAAGGAACTACTTCAATTACCTTGCTGTTATCATTGCCCTTCTGTAGTAATTTTTCCCCTCCAAGGCACCCTACTCCCTAATACTTGTACATTTACTTTCTTTCCCTTCTGCTGACATGCCCGGGGCGTCTTCTGCTTTCATGCGTGCATTTACTCTGCCCCTTGCCCCAAGCGTTATGAAATCAATTACTTATTAAGCTACTAAGTAATGTCATTTCCTCCCATCCTTTTGTCACTCGGGCCTTGAAAGCAATAGGTCATCCATCTTCTTTTCAGTTCAAGGCCCAAATAACTAGGTCTTAACAATCATCACGACCTAAAGTTAGGTCTAATCAACTGGAACCAGAGGAAGGAGGAGAAGACATTTGTGTCAGTTTCTTGCATATGTTGGAATTATTTTCTTTGGCAGAAATATGTCACATTCTTTCTTCGTGACAGTCAGCAGAGCCGATCACAGGACTACACAGCAGGCCAGTGACAAGGCGCGCCAACCTGGCAATCTCGCTATTATCTTAGTGCTCCTGGTTGCAGCACTGCTGGAGACAGATTACCCTTCCTTGCAGGAAAAAAAAAACAAAAACAAAAAACCTTGCCTCTTCTGAATGGATTACAGTGCATGTGCACAGTGTTTGTTCAAAGAATAAATACTGGTCATTGTAGCAATAACAACAATGCCAGAAAAATTCTCCTGACACTGGAGAGTTAACTTTCTCTCCCTTTTTAAAGAAATTACCATATATCTTGATTTCTCTTCTTCTGTATAGTTGTTTGCTTCCAAACAAGAAAGGAACTGACTTTCCTTGCTGCATATTAAGCTGTACTATGTTTTTGCTTGGATTGGAATAACAAGAAAAGATAACCAGGTCCATTTTCCCATAGTTACTTAAGCACTTTGAAAGTTACTAATGAAAATAAATGTTAAGGTTTAAAATAAAAACTATTTTGATTTGGCATTAATGTTCAATTATTTATTTTTTAGAAATCTTATGCAAAAGGTATTTTTAAAAATAGTTATTATTGATTCATATGTAACTACTTAAGGCATATACGAAAATTACAAATGATGTAGCTGTTTGTTTATTATACTTCTCTCAGTGTTACTTTCTAAAACATATCCTGCTTGTGGGGCAATAGAAGCCAATCTGCCTAAATAAAAATAAATTGCCTGTATCTGAAAAATGGCAAAGTGTAGAGCAACCTATTATTTTCACCTGGTGCATAAAGTCATGCAGAAGGGCCTGGGTTTAATCACAAGAGGTACTGTAAAACACATTTGTGGCATCTGTAACCTAACTCACACCCACATGAGAGATTGGTGCATCTTATGAATTAAACATAAGTCCTGATTTATGTTCAGTTATCCCTCATATCAAAAACTACAGTTGCAGAGCCGTGTCGCTGTGAATTCATTTAATGATATTGATGAGATAGCCTGCACAGAGACTGCAAAGTAACCACCAGTGCATAGCACGGGCCTATAAATCACTTCTGCAGAGTGGCTAAGCAATAAATAACAAGTCATTAATTCACCGTAAGTTATGCTAAGAAGCTCAAACTACATACGTACCAGATTGTAAAGAAATGCCTCTAGTACAATATTAGAAACAGGCAATGTTTGGTGTTAAAACAATTTCATAAGGGCAAAAATTCATTGAGCAGAATTAATTCCTTATGGATTTCCCTTGGCAGACATAAACCAACACAGATTTTAAAAATCGACCCCCAAAACATCCTTTCATCCAGAAGTAAATACATGTCAGGTATTAAATCCAATGCAACTTTTTTCAGAGCCCAAATTATGAATCTATCCAATGAATGATATAATGGTATTGGCATAAAGCCCTTGGATAAGCTAATAGCATTTCTATAAAGAATAAGCTGGTGAGAATGATGCTAGTTATTCAAATGGCTTTGCCTTGTTGCATCCATAGGATCTGTAAAAATAGATAGCTGTGGCCACAGCCACTTTGTTTTCTTATGTGGATGAGAAAACATTTGCTTTCAGGTGACTTTCACTAACCGAGACGACTTTCACTTTCACTCCTTACAGGTGACTTTCACTAACCTGCTAGGTGACTTTTACTTTCACTCCTTAGGGTGATATCCCCAGTCAGCAACCTTCTAGTCAGCACTCCCCTAAGCATCCTTTCTCCCCAGACCCTCAGAAACTGAGTCCCTAAAGCTGCCCAGGACTTCACTATCTGGCCCCTTCTTGCCCTTCTGACCTTGTGCACAGAGTCTATGTCACATATTGGGCTGTCCTGCCCCCTCAACTCAGAATCCTGCTTTTTGCCACATTGCTGAAGTTTTTCAAACAAATTCATTTCCAGAGTTATTCTTCCCAGGTGAACAATGGGCAATTGAATGGAAATGTCGGAACAGCAACCTAAATGAAAGTGGTGACTCTAAAGATAAGAACCTCATGCACTTGTTCAGACAGGTAAGGGAGATATTTTGAGGAAAGAGGGTCTTCTATTGCAGTTTATAGCTGGCTAGCACTGGATTTCCCTGGGCTGTAGTATATTTGCACACATATGACAAAGGCCAATCTTTTCTTTTTCTTACTACTTTTAGATTTAAGTCTTCCCTGAATTAATCTGTAATCAAGTAACTCCAAATGAGCTCTCATCAGCAAAGAGTGTTTATCTGATCCTCTATGCAGAATCTCAATACAAGAATACTAAATACAGTAGCATTTTAACTATATTCCATTTCAAGCTTCTATCTAATTTTCTTCCTAATATCACCTTAGGCCTCTTTTGTCATTACTGCACTCTAATTCTAGCTTATCTAATATCAATGTTTAAAATTGCTCCCTCTCTAGACACATTTGCTTGAATATTTAAGCTCAATTCTTTCCTAGTTATTTCCTGTCTCTAACAATCTCCAGATACCTTTTAAATTTTGTCTTATTCTTCATCGGTTTTTTGCAACAAACATCTCTCCGTTTAGTATCATCTGAGAACTTAATTAACTTGCTCTTTTCCCTCTGTTTTAGGTCAATGATGAGGATGTTAATGTAGATACTACGTTTGTTTCCCTGGAAGGTTACTGGAAACCCTTTCTCTTTCTACATATTAATACATGGCCAATTGTCTTTTATGATCCTCTGGCTAGTCTCTCTCCCACCTCCATTATATGGTAACACCCACATCCTTGTCAATTTGAAGTTTCTCAGTAACACTGCATGGGAAATGAGAAAAGTTATAGCCAAGTGACAGTGCTTTGTGTCCTTACAGTTCCTAACACCCAGGAGTATCAAAGTGGCATACACTTAAGCAATTCTTCATGAACTTTTCTCTGAAATAAGTTAGGAAAATGCTAAATAAGAGTAACTTTATCTTCAGATGGAGAAGCTGAGGTAGAGAAGGCAATCACATCAGAACTTTAATGAGTCAATCTGATTACTTTTGTCTTATACTTAATTTAAGAATATTTATAATTTTAGAATATTTATAATTTTTGTACATACATATATATATGTACGTACAATAATGCTTCATTATATGGACATAACTGAACGACTGAATTTTCTACGTAAGGAAAATTTCCAGATGAATCCAGAAAACTGAATCTTATGCCATGAGCATAGCAAGAAAATCTTAAACATGGAGCACAAGTAATATTGTATCAGGAAGGTCTACAAGAAAAAGAGGAAAGCTTGAAGATTTTTCTCTGTATTTTTGTCTTCTTTTTCTCTACTGTTGTAGTGTAACATGCCATTCTGACTCCTTAAATGAATCACAAGACTATATCTTCATTCTTTTATTTAAAGTTTTTCTTTTCTTTTCACCCAGAAGTTTTTCCTAAAAACTCAAATCAATACCTATTAATCAATTTATTAACCATTTCCATATTCATGGACCCCACATGACGGTATTTTTAAGAGTTTATTTTCTCATTTTCTTTCTCTACCTTTACATATATAGTAGTAATCAACTTTGTGTGGTCATAGGAAGAGCATTGGTTAAGGGCCTGAATTGACTCAGGATAAGCCTGAGCTGCAATCCTGCACTTATTACTCTATGAACTATCTGTGTCAGGAGAAAACTATTTAAATGTGCCAAGCCTCTGATTCCTCATCTGCAAAATGGGCATAATAACACTGCTTATTTCATAAGACTGTTGTGAAGATTAAATTAGAAGAATGAGGCAATGAACCTAGCAGAGTGGATGGCAACAGAGAGAAGACATTTAGAGAGTTACATATGCTTAAAGAAAATGACAGATGAAAGACGGATCACCTGACAGATTTGTTCTGATTTGGAAGTTTATTCTGATTCACTTATGATTAAAGATTGAATTCTAGTTAGTGCTATACACTTAACAAATGCCTTTATTGGAAAGAATATAGTTATCTGCAAGTAAGCCTGTTCCAGAAAACCAAGAATATAAGGTCATGGTTCATATACATCAATAAATCCAAATGAAACATCCTCATCTTCATCAGTATTTGAGGATCAGTGTTGTGGTCTTCAAGTGCTATGCCTTGCTGCCTTGGCCACATTATTAGTATATGATGGAACAGATGGAGAGCAGAAGGGTGGAGCTCAGCCTGCAATGCCCTCTGAGGGCCCAGAGGATCATGGAGTGAAGGTTCATCACAGTGTGATGAAAAGGGAAGTAGAAGCCTTGGGTTCTACTGTGGGCTGTCACCATGTAGCTCTGTGACAGAGCTCACCCCTCTCTGGGCCTCAGTTTCCTCATTTTTAAAGTGAGAGTTTAGGTCTTTCTAGCTACCATTAGAACTTGAAATTGTGCCAGGCCAAGAAAACTTTGCTCTTGTCAATACATCTATTTAGCAATGTTTCTAAAAAGATAGTATTATCCAAGCTAATTTATACATCTTTGTCCAGAGGAAGGGACAGTTGCAAAGTCAATTAGGGATGGAAGAAGGTACAGAAATAAACATGGGCAGTCTTAAAATAGAAATATGTTGGAGTCTTTGCTGTATAATTTTCCATTGTCAGCTTTCAGCTGTCCAACTGTTATTCAAGCAACTTTATATACTGAAAATATTTGCTCATGAAAGTGATTGAATTTGTAGAGGTGCAGACAAGTATTATAATAAGATCATAGAGCTATTTCTTGAGTCAATTTTGCTATGGAATTTTTTTTCCATCTTTAAACATTTGAGAAATTCAGCTATCAGCCATATAATCATATGCTGTTTAATATTTAAACTTATAAGGTTTTACACATAATGAATCAACAGTTTTACTCTTTCCAGGCAAATAAAATAAATCTTTGCTCACTGATGAGGCTTCTAAGACAAGTAGCTGGGTGGACATCTTTAGGATGTAATCTTCCTCAGATTTAAAATCATAAGTGTGACTTGATGCATGAAACAAAAAGTAAGTTATCTATGAAAATTTAAAAAGATGAGTATCATTGTATTTCCTGCAATTTTATTAATTTCAACACTTGATTTGCCAGTGATTCATACTTCTCCATCAAATACTGGACATTTTGACAATTTTATATTTAAAAATAGAACTTCTACTTACAGATTAGCATTATGAGCTGTGAAAAGTAATTCCTGAGATCTGGCAGAGGTGTACTAAAGTGCTGTAATAACAGTTTTGGTAGTCCCTTTTTAAGACAAATGTCTATCCCCCAAAGACTTTCTAAAATTGACACACTGAGGTGTGTTACTCTGAAAATCTCCATGAGAATGCAGCATTTCTTATAGACATGAATTGTCCAAGACTTTGTCCATTCCCAGCATTGCTGTGCTGAAAAGCTCTGTGTAAATGGATTTGAACCAACAAAAATGTATTTCAAGGGTTTTTGATACTTAAATTCCTGATTACATCTTTCATTAAAAACACTTATTTTTTAAGTTCAATCATGTACAATATCTAGCAAGTTAAACTGTTATACGTCAAGTCCTCTAAAATAGAAAAAAAAGGCACTTCTGATTGCTCTAGAGTTTTATCTTCATTTTCTTAACGTCAAATTAGCAAAAGAGGAATATAGCTTTCAAGACAGGTTTCACTGGCCAGGTGCCATGGCTCATGCCTATAATCCCAGCACTTTGGGAGGCCGAGGTGGGTGGATCATTTGAGGTCAGGAGATCAAGGCCAGCCTGGCCAACATGGTGAAACCCCAGCTCTAGTAAACATACAAAAATTGGCTGGGCATGCTGGCACACACCTGTAATCCCAGCTACTCAGGAGGCTGGAGCAGGAGAATCCCTTGAACCAAGGAGGCAGAGGCTGCAGTAAGCCGAGATCGTGCCACTGCACTCCAGCCTGAGCAACACAGTGAGGTTCCATCTCAAAAAAAAGATGTTGCATTACATTAAAAAATGTCTAATGTAAATAATATTTTACTTTTCATAAAAATGTGAAAAAATCAATATGCACACAGTATCTCCCAAAAGAAAACAATGAGATTTATAGTGGTTATCCAGAACCATCTTTCTCTAGAAACACACACACACACACACACACACACACACACACACAACTAAGGCCTTCCTTCAGGATTGATAAAACATAGGTTCTACATGAAAATAATTTTATCTAACATTGCAACCATAACTCCAGGGATCTGTAAGACCAACATTCTCTATTCTCCTTTCAGTGGGCCTTGAGAGGCTTCTCCAAACTTGGGGATCATGTAAGCTACAATGACACTGATTTCTTGAAGATACACCCCATAATTGCTCCTTGAGTCTTCTTCTTGGAATAGAACTGATAACTCACAGACTATCATTTTGCAAAACAGCTCAGATTATTTTTCCTTGCTTATATTTCTTTTTTTTCTTGAGGCAGAGTCTTGCTGCGATGCCCAGGCTGGAGTGCAATGACGCGATCTTGGCTCACTGCAACCTCCACCTCCCAGGTTCAAGCGATTCTCCTGCCCCAGCCTCCCAAGTAGCTGGGACTATAAGAGTGCACCACCATGCCTCGCTGATTTTTGTGTTTTTAGTAGAGACGGGATTTCACCATATTGGCCAGACTGGTCTTGAACTCCTGACCTCAAGTGATCCGCCCGCTTTGGCCTCCCAAAGTGCTGGGATTACAAGCACGACCCACCACGCTCAGCCCCTTGCTTATATTTCTTTATGTTTGTATACATATTGATTCTGTTTTCCACTCTTCTGCTTACCATGTATACAATATCACAATTTATTCACATCAAGTTAGCATTTCACTCTCTAGAACAGTTTTGTGTCCCCCATAAACTTGAATATTTCACTGTAAATCCTCACTTCTAGGTGATTTATAAATCCATTAATTGAGACCAAGGACAGGCAGATACCCAGAAGAGGAGGACAGGATCTAAATATGTGGCCAGGCCCTCTCTATTTGAGATAAGGCTCTGCTTTTAATTTAGCAAAAGCAGAGATGGAGGTGAAAAAGACTTTTACTCAGGTGAAAAGGACTTTAAAGGCTCTCCTAAATGGTAAAAGTTGTTAATATTAATCATGCTCACATTTGTGTTTGTACAAGAAACCATGATGTCAAAGAAGAAATCTGTAGGATTTCCTTTGTGAAAAGCTTAGTTATATTTACATTAAAATTTTACTTTCCCAGTGAAAACTAAATAGACTATAGAAGAAAAGGTGCAGTGGCTCATGCCTGTAATCCCAGCACTTTGGGAGGCTGAGGCGGGCAGATCACCTGAGGTCAGGAGTTTGAGGCAAGCCTGGCAACAAGATGAAACCTCGTTTCTACTAAAAATACAAAACTAGCGAGGCGTGGTGGTGCGTGCCTGTAGTCCCAGCTTTTTGGGAGGCTGAGGCAGGAGAATTGCTTAAACCTGGGAGGCAGAGGTTGCAGTGAGCTGAGATCTGCACTCCAGCCTGGGTGACAGAGTAAGACTCCATCTCAAAAAAAAAAAAAAAAAAAAAAAAGAAAAGAAAAAAAGTGAATTTACATAATATAATAAAGCCAATTCTCACTTTTTAAAAAAAGATCAATATGCAGGCACAATCACCTATCAATCACACTAGTGATTCCACTAACTTACATTATCTTATGACACCTTACAAAAGAAAAAATGGGAATTTTATATTCAAAGTATACAGTTAAAAATAACACAGGATTTTTTAAAAATGTAAGTATCAGACAAAGAGGCTCACTCACTACTAATTAATACTAGTTAGTTGCAAGGCTATGCATTCCAGGGAGCTTTGGAAAAGAGACAGAATGCGTTGCTTTTCAACTGAATTAGTGTGCCTTACAAAATAAACATTTAAAGGCATTTATTGAAATCCAACAATGAAACAGAAAATACTGCAAAATGAGAAACAATGTTTTCTTAATTAATGTGATGACTGAGTAATCAGAATAGTGACAGGAACCTGGCATTATCTTAACTTATGAGTAATTATGAAACATTATTATACAGGACTCTTACTGTTAAAAGTTGAAAAGTTAACTACTATTAGTCTTTGTGATACTGGCCTTGATACAAAAATCATATATAGTTTTATGCATACGTCTTAGCTTTTAATTTTATCAGGTTGACTTCATAGTTAACCTTAACATAAAAATAACATACTTTCGTAATGAAAAGAGCATTAGTTACAAGGTTGTTCTTCACAAAGCTGTACAATAGTGAGTATTGGAAACAAGCAAAATGTCCAGAAATAAGAGACTGATTAAACAGATTATAATACATCCACATAGAATTTGAGCCAGATGATGTTGTAGATGCATATTTATTGGGAAAACACTCATAATATAATGTAATGTTAGAGTTTTTTTCAAGCTAGATTAGAAAATAGAATGTATAATAGAACCCCAAGTTTGTAAAAACTAAAATTGAACACACACATATTTATTGGGAAAACATTCATGTTACTTTTTTTTAAAAAAAGCTAGATTAGAGAATAAAATGTATAAGAGAACCCCAAGTTTGTAAAAACTAAAATTCAACACACACATATATCTAGAGAAATATACCCCAAGATACACACTGTTATCTCTGGGATAGTGGAAATATGCATATGCGTGTGCACATGTGCAGGTGTCAGTGTGACTGTGCGTCTCTGTACATATATGAATATTTGCTTAGCTGTATTTTTATGTACATAGGCATTGCTTTCATAATCAGAGGTAAAATTGTATTAAAACTCATTTTAAAATAAGTTTTACTGTCAAGTTTAAATATTAAAAATCAACTCTATTTATGACATATATTTATTTACTGAAATTCTTTTAAATTATAAGTCTAAACTAAGACATTTTGCATTCTAACCCAAATGTGAAATACAGAAAGCCAAAAAAAAATTAACTCAATGCTTTTACAAAAAAACAAAAACAAAAACAAAACTCAGAAAGATACAATGTCTGAAACAGTTGGTAGTGGGGTAAGTATATATTCCAGATATAATACAACCCTTGGATTAAACAACTTAACTGTTTAAATAAAAGCTCGATTGAGAGTTACCAAAGTGGAATATGGAATTGAAGTTACAGAATAAATGCTCTTCAAGAGAAGTCTCTGATTCCCTTTGATCTTTGGAGAGGTCATCTCCTCATGCTCCAAATGAGCCATTTAGAAATCTTCCCTTACTATATATTTGTATGAGATATCTGATTGCAGAACAAATCTGAGATCCATAGAATGAAATATTTTGCTTTTCAAATAATAAAATATTTCAAAAAATATTTCAAATAATGAAATATTTGAGAAACAAAATATAACATTTAAAAATCAGGAATTATTTTCACTGATCAATCAGAATTAAAAATCACTGATCAGAATAAAAATCAGAAATCCTTTCACTGATGCCTTAGAGCAGTTATTCATGCTCTCGGTTTCTTTTAATAAGTTTCTATTTTCCCTAAGTCCAGAAATATTGCTTTAATTCTTAATATCCAAGATCTTTAAACAGAAATGAACACTAAACCCTTGCTCCTATTTATAAGTTCTGGTGATATATGGATAATATAGATTTAATTGTTCATTTACAAAATATACAATAATAAAATCTCTATAAAACTATCCATTTCAATGTATCTTTAAAAAATTTATCCAGCATGGCATTTATTATAAATAAGGAAGTCTGAAAAATGTCAGATATTTCATTTAATGTCTTAGGGTTAAATAGTACCATTTAGAATTCCCTAAGATAAATTTATTTGGATTTATTTATAAAATTATAAAAGTAGTAATAGCACTTCATTTTAACACCAGAAAATCATCAACGCCATAGTTGGTATGATACTTAAAAGACTTGATGTTTTCACCTAATATGATTGTAAGGTACATTTTTCTGTTCCATCTTTCCGTCCCACACACAAATTCATTCCATGCCAAATCCCTTAAATTCCTCTTTTGAAGTTTAAAATTAATTCCCATGGTTACTTTTCAATAATCCTCCATCTTCTAAAAATGCAAAATATGTTTATACTTTTTGAGAAATTAGATGAAATCCCAAATATCCTATGTGAGTATGTGCTATGCTTTTAAAAAGAAAAGAAAAACACTCATTCTTAAAAAAAAAAAACTATTAATCAAGGAGTCTGATTCTGTAATTAATAAGAACAAGGTAACAATTTGCTTTAAGTGTCCATTCATAACGTTAAATCAGTGTTAAATTATAAAGAATTTCCATGGAAATGCACAAGACATCCACCTTGATTCTAAATGAAGTTCATTATGAACAGCTCTATTATACTGAATGGCAAATGAATTCTTAATAATGAGGCACTTGATGTGTTATCCAGAACTGGGGTTGACAAGAAAACCACTTAGCTTCACTTTCTAATAATATTATAGCAAGTAACTGATAATAGCACACACACACATACACACACACATGCACACAGACACACACGTTTAATTTTGAGAGAAAAACTTTAAAGCATGTTTATCGAACCTTTACAAATGTTTTATTCTTTTATTTTTTAGTGTTTTACTTATTTGTTAAAAAAAGTCATATCAAGAGTAATTTAAACAATACCGAACTTTTTAAATATAATGTTTTCTCTGTAGAAGGTTTTGCTGTTTCACAAGCTCATCTTGCCCTTACCATCAAAAGTCCATAACAACAGATGCTACAATAATTAAAAACCTATCACTATAGACTCTTCTATCACATTACAGACTAGGAAAATGAAGGAGGTTTATGGTTGTCCTTGTCTCACTTTATCCACCTCTTCGTGGTTGATGTGTAGGCTTTAATGTGCATCCTTGCACCTCTCCTTCGGCAGGAAGCCTGTCTCTGGGGATCACTTGCAGAAAATAGGACATTGAGTCCATAATTAAAGTAATCTCTTTCCAGGCAGATGCTGCAGTTGGCTCTGTTATCACATATTACAAAAGGCATCTTGAGGGTTATAAAATGTGCAGCAAATAGCTTTGGAGATGAGAAACAGCAATTTTTCATCTAATTTTGATCCACAGACATGTAAGTACTGTATTGCTACTTTTTGGTTTTGAGCCAAATAACTATTATGGTGCTGAGATGAGCCAGGCGGTAACCAAAATTAAAGAATACTTTAGCTTTTATCCTCAAAGTGAGAAAAGCTCTTTTGTAACCATCTTTGCACTTAGCAAATAAGGATGCCATCTCAAATCTGAGCATTAATGCCTGCAGGAGGATTTAGAAGAAAGGCTTATGTGGCTTAGCTTTACAGCCACACTTTCAATATATTTACTTAGGTTAAAACCAGGGGTTGATTAAGGGACCTACCATCTTTGCTCCTTTGCAACTACAGTGTACATTTTTAATTAGAAGGCTTTTCACTGTTTATCTTTCCTATAAAATTTAGGACATTGCTCTTTGAAATATATGTCAGCCTGGAAAACGAATATGCTCATGCTATTCATAATCCCTTCTATAAATACTAATAGTGGAAATACATGGAGGAGATTTGACTAACACATTTTTGTTTCCAGCTTTGAACTCATCAATGTGGATAACCAAAACCTCACTTTAATATTGTGAGGCGCTAAAATAGAGATGGAAATAATAATTTCATTTAATATTTATTTCTCAGTGCTAAATAAAACATCAATATGCACTGATTTAATGTTAAATAGGTTATCTTATAATTCCAGAAAATATGTGGCTTACATTTTTTTAATTTCCTCAAATTGTTTTTCTTTTAACTTTGTGATGACAAAGTTTTACATGAATTCAGGCCATCAATTAAAAAATATTGTTAATATTAACCTTCTAAATTTTTTATTAGTCTAAATAGCATTCAAAAACCATAAATATCTAATTTAACAATAGAAATATTGTTAAACTCTAGCAAGTTTAAACCTTCATAATATTTAGAAGAGGAATGTATGCAATGTCATTTGAATTAGCAAAGAAAAACTAACTGCAAATCAAAAATTCAAATTATTGATAAAATTTTGTTAAATTACCAAATTGGTATTTCCAGAGCACCTAAGATACTGTAATATAAAGCTAGCTGTCACCAGCACATGCCTAAAGGTAGAAATGGCAGAGTATAAACTCTAATTCTATAACATAATCTTCTGGCATATTCAAGCATTTTTCCACTCATGTAAGCATGTATTCATTCATCTATTCAACAACCAATGTTTAAAGAATTACTTTGGCCGGGCGCGGTGGCTCACGCCTGTAATCCCAGCACTTTGGGAGGCCGAGGCGGGTGGATCATGAGGTCAGGAGATCGAGACCATCCTGGTTAACAAGGTGAAACCCCGTCTCTACTAAAAATACAAAAAATTAGCCGGGCGCGGTGGCGGGCGCCTGTAGTCCCAGCTACTCGGGAGGCTGAGGCAGGAGAATGGCGTGAACCCGGGAAGCGGAGCTTGCAGTGAGCCGAGATTGCGCCACTGCAGTCCGCAGTCCGGCCTGGGCGACAGAGCGAGACTCCGTCTCAAAAAAAAAAAAAAAAAAAAAAAAGAATTACTTTGCCTAAATATTTTCATAATACTACCTGCAATTGAAATACTAGAAATACGTACTCAGTATTCTGCCACCTGAAAAACAGGTTTCAATTTTGTATGTTTCCTTCAGCTTTGTCTACACGCAAGTTATTTTGTTCTTAGGTAATTGCCCTTTTATCCCTAATAATTTTTTACTTATTTTGTCTGATATTAATATAGTAACAGTAGCTTACCTTTGGTTAGCACTTGCCTGGTATGTTTTTTCCATCTCTGTACTTTCAATGTTTTTGTGCCATTATGTTTAGTTTTATCTCTTAGAAACAGCATACTGCTGTATTTTTGTAATTGCATTCTCAAAGTCACAGTGTTTCGCCTGGTGAATTTAATCTGTTTATATTTATTGTAATTGACAATTTACTTAAAATTATTTGTTATCTTATATTACATTTTATACTTCTATGATTTTTAAATTTACCCTTTTCCTTTATTCTGATGTTTTAACTAACTGTTCTTTAATCCTTTGCCCTTCCCCTCCCTATTTTGGAAGTTATAATTTTATTTCTGTTCTTTACATTTACATTTTTAACAGTCAACTGAGCCCATAACCTTCTTGCAAAATAATTTGATGACATTTGAAAACTTTAATACTGATTTCCTTTTCCCTCCAAATTATACACTAATGTTGCTTCATGTATTTTAGTTATATGTTGCCTTTAAATTCTATCCTAAAATAATTATTGGTATATATGTTATACATAAATTTATTTGCATGCTCAATGCTTAGAGTTTCTAATGTGCTTACTAATTTCTTTGCTCACTATTAATTATTGTATCATACCACAATTTCTTGTATCCTACACCTTCCTTCTGGGTTTGTTTTCATTTTACTGAAGGGCATCCTTTAAAATTTTGCTTTAACATGGGCCATGTGCGGTAAAAATACCAAACTGCATTTTTAAAAAATTTATCTTGTTTTGCTTTCACACTTGACTGATAATTTATCTAGGTACAGAACTCTAGGATGACAATTCACTTTGATGATATTGTTCCATTGTCTTCTGGCATCTTTTGTTGCTGATGAGACCACTGTCAGATTAAATTTATAGGTAATCTGTCTTTTCTATTTTGTCACCTTTGATGTTTTCTGTCGTTGATATACTGAAGGCTTATCACGACCTTTATCAGTACTAATTTATTTTATTTATCTTGCTTAGATAGAAAACACACACATCTTCCTCAGTTCTAGAAAAATTTCTGCCATTATCTCTTCAAATTTGTCTTATTATTTTTATTCTCTCCTTCTAAAACTTCAATTAGATGTTAATTTCTTCACTTGGAGTTCTGCACAGATTACTAATGTAAAGCTAGACTCCATATACTGAGGGTTTTATCTTCTTACAAGTAACTTATCTTGACCAAAGGCTCCACTCAGATGACAAATTTCTTTGCTGTTTTCCCAGTCAGGCTTCAATCAGTGGGCCCAGTTCCAGCTCAGTCTCCTTTATTATCTCCTGCTGTCTTTTAAGAAGCTCCTGACAATAGCTCCAGGCCCCATATAGGTTAAAACTCCAGATCTAGGACCTAAATCAGGTTTAAGAGACCTGCAGGCCACCACAATGTCAGTTCCTATTTCTTGACCCAGCTTTGATATGTCTCCTTTCTTCTGGAAACCAGTGTTTTCACTTTCTTTCAAAACAGAGTGTGTGTGTGTGTGTGTGTGTGTGTGTGTGTGTGTGTGTGTGTGTGTTTGCTTCATTTTAGCTAGAGTTGCTATTTTATTTCAGTGGGAAGAATTTCTGCTATGCCAGTTCAGTCTTCCATGATGCCAGAAATCCTCTACAAACATATTTTTATGTGTCTGAAATTGTACCACAGAAACAAATATTTTGTTTATGTCACTTAATATTCCAAGCATCTCTCATTGCTATACTATCTTCATAAATACTAATTTTTAAAAGAAATATAGAGTGGTAGTATAGGATGGTGGTTTAAAGAACACGTTTTGGATCAAAACACACCTGTCTTTGCGAGTTTTTGAAGCTCTTGCTTCAAATAATAGGTGGTTCTAGGAGAGTAAAGGAACTTAGTAGGCTGCCTGGTACACCAGTACTCAATAATTAAAATTTCTTTATTATTACTATTATGACCATCATTATCATAAAATGGGGTTTCAAATTCCATTAATGCTCATTTTCATATTAATAGTCTTCCAGACTAGCTAATTTTTAATATTAGGTACATGACAGTAAGTTTTCATGCGTAAGGGCACATTTGAAAAGATGCAGAATCTAAAATCTTGTAGCAGGGAAGTGGAAGATCAGCAAGGGGAAAGCAGGGACTGAGATCCAGGCATGGGGCAGACAGAGGAAAATGCCTTAGCCCAAGGCAGCCAAAGAGCAGCACTAAGTCCTGGGCACTGTAAGGGATGATAACCAGAGGCAATTCTCACTTGTCATATTTGGCTACCATTGCCCATAAAATAAAAAACCATAGAAACTGCTGCACTGGCAAATAAAACTAAAATGAAAAATTAGGTAACCAGCTGTTTACATAAAATTGTCTTATTTGGTGAGTTTAGAAGTTATGATGGTTCAAGTTCACATAACAATGGCAAAAAACTTAGTTTTGCTTTCTTCCTTCTATGTGTCCTTTGAATTGCATGGTTAATTTCTGTAAATGTCACGGTAATATTTGGGGAAATGATAACAGATTATCGAATCTTGTGCTACACAACAGAACTTTCTGTAATAATGGAAACGTTCTACATTTGTGCTGTTCAATAAAATAGTCATTAGCCATATGTGGCTACTGAGAACTCAAAATGTGGCTGGTACAACTGAGGAACTGAATTTTTTATTTAATTTTAATGAATTCAAACTTAAATAGCCACATGGCTTATAGCTACCATGTTAGAAAGTATGGTTCTAAACAAATTTTAGAATGTGTGTATGTGTGTGTGCCTGTATGTGTGCTATGGTTTAAATGTGTACCTCAAAGTTCGTGTGTTGGAAACATGATTCCCAATGCAACAGTGTTGAGAGGTAGGACCTTTAAGAAGTGATTAGGTCATGACAGCTCTGCCCTCATGAATGGATAAATGCCATTATTGTGGGAGTAGAGTAGTTACCTCAGGAATGGGTTCCTGATAAAAGGATGAGATGGGTTCCTGATAAAAGGATGAGATGGGCTCCTTTCTTCTTTCAGGTATGCTCAGTTTCTGCCATGTGATGCCTTCCACCATGTTATGACACAGGAAGAAGTCCCTCATCAGATGCAGCCCCTTAATCTGGGACTTCCTAGTCTCCAGAACCATTAGCCAAAAATCTTCTATTGTTTATAAATGATCCTGTCTCAGGTATTCTGTTACAGAAGCACAAAACAGACTAAGACAATGTGTGTGTGTGTGTGTGTGTGTGTGTGTGTGTGTGTGTATACACATACATATTTACATATCTAAATAGGTCACAGAGGGCAAAATAAGTTCTTTAAAAATTTTTATCTGAAAGAAGCAATCAGTTTTATTTCACATTTTTAATAAGGCCTTAATATACAGAGACTTTACTAAAAATAGAGCTTAATAATATGCTGCTGCTTGTATCCAAATAACTACACTGGCAAACCATAGAGTTGTCGCTGCCATGGAAAAAATTTATTCACCTGTTTCTCAGACGTCTTTGTCATCACTGTTTTTGACTGTGTAGGCAGTTTGGAAAAACGAAATTTCACACTTCTAAAACTGGTTTAATCAATTCTAGTGATAGGGAAATAACCCAAATCTCTGGCCATACCTCATTTTAAAAAATTTCTACTAGATTTAAAGAACTTCTAATAATTATAACAGATAAATATTTTAGATTTACTGACTTTGGTCTTTTTGCTTTCACAAACGTTCTATGTGGTTTCAAGTAAGAAGTGCCAAGTACAATAGTAATCCCATCTTAACCACAAAGCCTTGTAATAAGGAACACCTTGTGGATACCAAGTTCAGTCCATTTACTTGAGTGATCTCCATAAGTTCTCACACCATTACATGAGATGAAAAGAAAGGAAGAGGTTGTTTTGCTATAGCTTTTTTTTTTTTTTTTGCTTCTAGACTCAACATCAGGATAAAACTAACATTTTTCTCTAAAAAATAAAAAAGCAGAGATTAAAAAAAGGAAGAAGAGCAAATCTGCTAACACAACTATTTGCTGCGGCATAAAATTCCATAGAAACAGGTACATCTTTGGACTGTCGTTAAAAAATATTTTGTTACTGGAATAGAAAATTTTCCCATGTTAGTAAAGCAGTTCCACTTCTCTGACGGTCTTATGATTTTGATGCAAAGCAGCATACTGTGGAGACTCCAGAAGAGTCCCCTAATATAACCTGTGCTGTTTATACCATGACTTCTTGGAAGGAGGAGGAGACAGGAAAGGAGAAAAGAGGGGGGAAAATGAAGGGAATAGTTTTGCCCATTGAATGTCTGTTAAAATAGATATGTTGTACAATTAATATAACAAAAATAACTTCTTCAAGCCTTCTTGGAGATTTATTGACATATTTTATCTCAACCATACTTCCTAAAATTAAAAACTAAATCCCTAGGAAGCATTCTGACCTCAAGCATTTGACCATTTGCTGAAGTGCTGATACATATAAGAACACACATTAGACCCTGAACTTAGGCTTTCTCATTGTTCAAGCCTAACTGGCTATTTAAATGTGATGAAAAACAGGGGCTTATGGGGAAGTGAGAACTATCAGTTAGGCTCCTAGCTGTTTACCTTTAAGGATAGACAATATTTCTTTTATCTTGTCATCTAGAGGTATATTTTTGAGCAGCACTGACATTGTCTCAAGTTGGGAGATGCCTGCTTAAAAACAGAAAACTAGACTGTCAGAAAAGAAAAAAAAGACGTGATTTAAAAGAAAGATGAAATTTCTCCTTTAGAAAATAGCATATCCAGTTTTATCTCAGAGCATAGGTACAATCATTTCAGACTTAAATGGGAGGTAATTTATTTTTGCAGTAAGCTATGTATAATCTAGAAAGTAAAAGAATATTTGTATGCATCCATTGTTGGCATCCTTATCCATAGGTATGAATGCACTTCCAATAAACACACCCATGGGGGAATCCCTGATCTTATTTCAAATGTTTAAGTAACAAGGCAAATACATCTGTGATGTGTCCGTCTGATGAATGGAAATAAATGGGCAACCATGCAATATTTTCTGAAGAATTCTCCAGACAGTCTAGAATGGCTCTCACCAAAAATTAAAGGCATCTGAGATACACTCAAGGCAGCACTTCAAATCTCTGCATCTGTATTATTATTTTGAGCCTGGCAGGTGTTCAGAAACTGCTAGTGTCTGCAATTTTTAAAATGATTTTTTTTGCCTTCTCGTTTAGTGTACTTTAAGAAAACTATCCCTCTAGGAGATACTTCCTTTAACATATCAAATGTTCAAATATGATCCTCCTGTGAGTGATCCTTCTTGCTGACCTAAGTTCATTATTTGTCCATGCTCAGTATCTTAAATAGAATATTGCTTGGTTTTCATTCTGTTTTCAGTTTTGAGAAAGTTCACATAATATTAAATCATCACTAATTTAGGCACAAACCTGATCTTCTTTTATGTTCCATTTTAATCCTAATATTATGCTAGTATCTCTGTCCAGACAGTTAAACCTAAACCTAATTGTGATGAATTTTGCCTGTAATTCACACATTCCCCACATGAAATCCCCTTGTGATGAAGGATAGGATATGATCAATATCCATATATCATACATATCAAGATCAAACCCATGTTCATCACATTTCAGAATTTTAAAGTGGCACCTCTCATTATTTGAATGAATTCAATAATATTTCTATATTCATATAGAGATAGATTTCAAAAGTAGATAGGAAACACACGTGGGCCACCTTGAAAAGTTAGAGAGATTCCGATGCCATACTGCAAACTCTTATTTAATTTTCGTTGTATGACTATTGTATTTTACCACGATAAAATAGACAAGTGGTCATTTTAAAGGCAACTGGAGTGAAGTAGCAAAAACCATCTGCTTTGAAACCAGACTGCCTTTGAATCCAGGCTGTGTCACTCACTAGGTGAGTTACCTTAGGCAAGTGATTTAACATCTCTGTCCTTCAGTTTCCTCATCTGCAAACTGAGATAATAATAGTACCGACTTTACAGAATCACTGAGAATTAAATGGATTAAAAGAGGTAAATAGAAAAGTGGCTGGCACATTGTAAATTTTCAAAAATATTATTAATGTTGTAGTTGTTATTTTACAACCCCCTTTCCCTGGTAGTTTCTTGCTAATTTTTAGGGTTAGACGGTTTGGAGATTGGCTTTCTTTCTTCTTTCTTTCCTTCCCTCTTTCCCTCCTTCCTCCTCTCCTCCTCCTTCTCCTTCTTCTTTCCCTTCCCCCAGGCCCCTTGGGACTTTGGGGTAGGGGATTTATATCCAAGAAATTTGGATAATTAAGTGCCTCTTTTAACTTGAGACTTACTAGTCACTGAAGACTATAATCAGATATAAAAGTAAAAACAAACCATATTGCCACAGGATCTGAATACCCAGCAAACCTTGAAGTAAAATTAACACTTAAAATATAAATTTTATCAAGAGGTGTCATAAAAGTAATGATAAAATAATTTTGGTCATTTTTCTACATTTGTACCAGTATAGCCATCACTATATCCTGAAATCATCCTCTCCTCTATGTCTCTCACTTGATTATTTTTAACAAGAAAGGCCATACACAGGCAGCCCAAATGACTATGTGGCTAAGTGGTTTACCAATAAAACACAGTTTATTCAGACAACATGCCTCTTAATCTTCACCGGGAAAGGCACACACAGCACATTATATAATCATCTTGAATTTCAGTTTAAATGCTTCCTAATTCTTACTACGGGATTTTTAAAAAAGGATTTTAAATAGGTAACTAGGGTTTCAAAAATCACAGAGTTTGCATGATACATTGGCTGTATTAAAATGAGATTACAGAATTGACTGTAGTGTCAATTCAATTGCCAGCTTTAGAAAGATCAGGTAAATGGTAAATGATAAATGTTAACTGCTGGGTTTCTTCCAATATAATGCACCATCAGTTGTAAGACGTTAAAAAATAAAGTAGACACTGCCAATTACAATTGTAGGATGCCATCAAATGTAAAATACAACCCTACTTCAGAGATGCCAAAAATGTAAAAAATATCAACAAAACTGTAACTTACAATCAATAAAATATAATATCATTATTAGCTACTAACAAATATTTATTGAGCACATTCTATTGGTCTATAGTTCAGCATTAGAAACTATTAGGTATATAAAAATATTACACACTGTCCCTGACCTTAAAATCCAGTTAGTAAAAGAAAACAAGCATGTGGAAAATTAAATAATGGTATGAGTTAACTAGTAATATCAAAAAGTCATACAGAATATACTACAAAATCATATAAGCATGGCTAAAGTTTAATTTCTAAGAAATAATCTTTCTTACCTTAAAAAGTAAAAGCCTTACTTTTTGAGGTTAATCAGAAAAGAGAACCATGGTATATTTACCCTCAAATGCCAGAAGCTGTGTTTTTTTTTAGTTTAATATTTAAAATTAACATTGAATATTAGCAATCCTCTTCGAGGATTCCTGGGCGCTTGCTAATTACAGATACTAACTCTTATATATAGCTCTACTCAATATGTAATAAATATTACCGTAAAGAATAAAGGTAAAAAATTGCAAGAATTTAGTTCAGAAAATTTCAAATGAATTCCTTCAGTGGCCCATGTTCACTTTTAACTTCTCCTGTACTCTCTCACAAACTGAGCAGGAAGAGATCAACAAAAGCGTCTTGCCCACAAAGGAAGCAGCTACTCTATAAAGGTTTCAACATTATCATGGCTTATGAGAAAAAGGACTTAACCATTTGTCAAGAATGTTAAAAAGTGCAAACAGTAGCATCAAAATTTTATTGAGAGATATGGGTGAGGATGTGTAAACTTTTTTGTAGTCAATAAAAACTGACGAAACTGTATTTTTCCAACTAACTGCTAAGAAAACACTGTTTGAATCTAAGACTTAAAATACCTAAGTTATTTCTCAGAAGAAAATAGAGTTTTATATCTCAAAAGTAGTGAGATCATAAGCTATCAAATATCATTCTTAAACAGATTCAATTAAAAACATATCTGTTTGAAAGTAGGCAGTTCTATATTGCTGATATAGATATACTTTGTGTTTTGTCTTTCAAAAAAGCAACTTTTGTTTTAAATTAAGAAGTTATGTATGGCAAGAATTCGATTCATCCTTGCAAGTGCCAATATGAATAAGAGAAAGCATACCAAAAGAGTCAGTGATCACTATTAAGTTAAAGGTAATGACAACATTGAACATCATATAATTCAAGGGGAATTTTCCTTGACATCTTACATATAAGACACTGTAGCAACTAATGGAGAATCAAAAAGAAATAAGAATTTGTCCCTGTCCAATCTAACAGAAAAGACAATAACTTAATTCAAATAAGTATATAGTAAAATATAATCAGCTCTACAATAGAGTTATAAGAAAAATGTGACTATACGCGTCAATTTTGTTGTTGATACCTTGGCAAGTTTTACAGAAGAGTTGGCATTTAAAACAGGTCTTGAATAGGTAAGATTTTAACAATTGAGGTTGAGATTGAAAAGCATTCCAGGCCAAGGAAAAAGCATGGAGAAAGAAAGTTACAGAATCTGTAAGGGAATTGTGGGAAGGCCTGCCAGTTCAGGCTCCATCAGGAGGTGCGTGCCAAGGGAGATAACAGAGAAGATAATAAACAAAGACATTGGAAGAGCCTTCAAACCTATATCAAAGGTTTGGTCTTCAGAAAGGAGTTTGAGGCTTAGCCAAATTTTGAGTAATCAAGGCTGTACCTTCAGAAGATTAACTGGACCACAATATGTAGGATATACTGAAGGAAAAACGGGCGAGAGGTGAGCTGACAGACAAGTTAGGAAGCTACTGCAATCATCTTAGCAAAACATACTGGAAGGAAAATGTTCACTCACTTATAAAAAACTTTCTGAGGGAGAAAATGATGGGTTTAAATATCAACCAGTTATGTGAGATGAGTCTGATGGTGGCAGCTTGTGTAACTCAGAGGATAGGCAGAAAGAGTATATATTTTAGTGATGTCTGACCCATAGAAACCCCAGACACTGAACTGTTTGTCATCAAGAGGGAAGAAAAGGCAGTGGTAAATTTTAGAGTACACAGGTTTTACGGGATTTTGTCTGAGCAGAAAGTCTGAATAGAAAACCATTCAAGATGCCTTCCAGCTCTGTTTTGCTTGACTGCCTATAGAACAGCTGTTTCTGAACTGCCTTTGACTTTACACCATTGGATTATTCATCTATTCGACAAATATTTAGTGAGGGCTGACTGTATGCCAGGGACAGTTCTAGACAGTTGGGACAAATCAGTGAAGAAAAAACAAAAACACAAAAAAAACAACGAAAAACTGAAAAACAATTCTTGCCTTCAAGGCTCTTGCATTTTAGTAGGAAGTGACAAATGAGAAACAATGTTTGTAGCTAAATAAGTGAAGGATATCACGCATTCGAAGTTTAAAAATGCTATGGGTGGAAAAAGGACCCCTGAATAAGAAGGATGAGGCATGGTGACTGCAGGGTGAATGAGGGGTAGGGGTTAGGGGTATAGTCCACATCAACAGATGTTACAGTCACAGCCTTGGAACCATAGTGTAGTGTTTATCTAAGGATGCTCTTGAGAACACTGTTCAGAACATCCTCTAGTTTCCTCTGAATGAAAGCACCTGGGAGAGTTGTTAGTTTCTACAGAGTACCTGACTTCTGGCCACCAGGAATTTCCTAAATGATCCCATTTTCTGCTTGGCACTAATGGCCAGAAAGCTCAAAGCTAAATCTGTGGTCTTCTTCCAAAAGGTAGATAAGGCCTTATAGCATTTTGTAACCCGTCTTCACCATATTTTCTGAACATTCATTTTCCAATTGCTCTGATTTATTCAATTATTTTTGTCTTTTAAAAATTGATAACACTTATTGCATATATTTATGGAGCACAATGTGATATTTTCATATATGTTTACATTTGGGATGATTAAATCAAGCAAATTAACCTATCCATTACATCATATGTCTTTTTTTGTGATGTGAATGTTTAAAATCTCTTTTAGCAATTTTGAGATATGCAATACATTAACTATAGTCACCATGCTGTGCAGATTTCCAAATTTACTTCTCCTAACTGACACTTGGTACCCTTTAAAAAATTTCTCCCTGTTCCCCACGTCCCCTACCCTCCTGTCCCACCAATTCACTTACTTTTATTTTATTCTGTATTTTTGTCAGCTAAAATCCAATTTAGACCTTTGGAGGTACATATAACTATGCAAAAATAAACTGCTAAATTTACTTTTTAAAAAAGTTTTTACCTTTTTTGGCAACAAAATTAGTGATTTTAATTAGGGTTAAACCTGTCAAAATAAAACACTTAAATAGTTACTCTATATGTAATCCCATGAGAAGTCCTAAGTATTTGCCTTCTGTACGTATGGCAGACACTTTGGGTACTTACATGAAATTCACACAGCCTGTGCCCGCAGGTGGAGCAATCCAGATGAAACTGAGGTTGGTTGTGGGCAGGTGACTCACGTGAGAGGCTACCACACTGCACATAAACTGGTTACCAAACTGGTGGTCAGACATGATCCCTAAGAGAAAGGAAGGAGAGTTGTTACAAAGACAACAAAACAAAGATCTTCCTATCATGGCATCACAGTATTTTCTGAATATTTTTCTTTCATGTTAAGGTTCTATGCTATTTGGCTTCCCAATAAGTTATGTAATTTTTCACTTTTTATTGCTACAGGGAAATTAATCACTTAAAATATTATGGTTAAAGGAGTGACCTGCTGGAATCATTGCTATAATATTTGCTTTGCTTTGATTTTGTTGATTGATTGATCTTTGCCTATCACCAAAAACCACCAGGACCAACCTGCAGTTGAACAAGGTTAGATTTATTGAAACTGTCTGCAGCAAGGGAGACCAAACGCCATAGGGAGGTGGGAGGCATCTCAGTAAAAGGATGTCAGGAGAGGCTTGTTAAAATATTTAGGCTTGTGTTAGGTTATTTCAGAGGGCAAGGTGATCAGGTTTGCTTGGAAAACTCCCCAGTCCTATTTGGGAGGTTTCAAGAAAAGGTCCTTTGCCTCTGGATTGGGTGCTATCACCCAGTCTTTTCACTGAGTATCTTAGTTTGTTGTTGCTGTTTTAATCTCAGAGACATGAGGGATGGGGTGAGGCTAAATCTGTGATTGGCAGAAAAGCAACAGCAGTCCTATTTGCATGGATGGGGATGTTGGTCACTTTCGTGGTTTGCTTCATGTTCTTAGTCTTGTCTGTGTTCAGCTATGTTAAAGAGTGGTCTTGTTTTTGCCTCATAACATCACAGTTGTAAAGTGGTCTTGTCTAATGTTGATGTTCTGTGACTTGCTCATGTTCAAAATGAGAACATCATGGCCTAGCTGTGAACAGGTCAGCTCCAAGCTGAGCTATCAGGGGATGCTTTTCTTTTTCTAATAAGGTGATTATCTTAGGTGTATCTCAGATATAAAATAGTAATAAATAACTCAACAACTAAAAAACAAACAACCTAATTAACAAATGGCCAAAAGACCTAAACAGATACCTCACCAAAAATGATACACGGATGACAAATAATCATATGAAAAGATATTCAGGATCATATGTCATTAGGGAACTGCACATTGAAACAATAATGAGATACCACTACACACATATTAGAATGTCCCAAATCCGGAATACTGATACCACCAAATGCTGCTGAGGATGCAGAGCAAAAGAAACTCTCATTCATTGCTGGTGGGAATGCAAAATGGTACAGCCTCTTTGGAAGACAGTTTGGCAGTATTTTTACAAAACTAGACATATTTTTACCATATGATGTAGCAGTTGTACTTCTTGGTACTTATCCAAGTGAACTGAAAATATATGCCTGACAAAAACCTGTACAGGGGTGTTTTCAGCAGCTTTATTCATAATTGCCAAAAGTTGGAAGCAACCAAGATGTCCTTCAGTTGGTGAATGGATAATGTGGTACATCTAGACAATGGAATGTTATTCAGCACTAAAAAGAAATGATCTATGAAGACATGCAAAGACATAAAGGAAACTTAATATGCGTATTACCAAGTGAAAGA
This sequence comes from Homo sapiens, assembly GCF_000001405.40. Taxonomy (NCBI): domain Eukaryota; kingdom Metazoa; phylum Chordata; class Mammalia; order Primates; family Hominidae; genus Homo; species Homo sapiens. Next base: position 103,835,185 of record NC_000007.14, read on the forward strand.
ATCTAATCTGAAAAGGCTACATAGTGTATAATTCCAACTGTATCACATTCTGGAAAAGGTAAAACTATGGAGACATTAAAAAGATCAGGAGTTGCCAGGAGTTAAAGAGGGAGGTAGGATGAACAGAAAGGGCACAGAGGATTCTTAAGGGAACGAAACTACTCTGTATGATACCGTATGGTGGATATGTGTCCTTATAAATGTATCCAAACACATAGAATGTACACACCAAGAGTGAACCCTACTGTTAACTATGGACTTTGAGCAGTAATGATGTGTCGATGTAGGTTCATTGATTGTACCAAATGTACCACATTCTGAGGCAGGATGTTGACGGTAGGGGAGGTTTTATTGTGTGTAGGGATAGTGGGTGTATGGCAACTCTGTGCTTTTTATTCAATTTTGCTGTGAACCTAAAGCTTCTCTAAAAAATAAGTTTATTATTTAAAAAATTACTAAAAGCATTGCCAGAAATGGGAAGTTAAATTTTAAATTTCTCTCATTTACTGGCTTTGTGACCTTGGACAAATGATTTACTCTCTTTGAGATCCAGTTTTCTTGCCTGTAAAATGGAAATACCATGCCTTCTATACCTTAAAGTTGCTATAAGTAGTAAATGGCCCAATACATATGACAGCACCTAGTACCCTATCTGGAAGCAGTGGTCTCTCATAAATCTTGATTTTCTTCCTGCCCACCAGAGTGATCTTTCTAAAATATAAACTTGTTCACACTGTTAATATTTCTCTTTACAAAACTCTCAATTACCCTTTTTTTTTTTTTTTTTTATAGGCGGAGTCTCACTCCGTCACCCAGGCTAGAGCGCAATGGTGCAACCTTGGCTTACTGCAACCTGCAATCTCCACCGCTTGGGTTCAAGTGTTTCTCCTGCCTCAGCCTCCCGAGTAGCTGGGATTACAGGTGCCTGCCACCACAGCCAGCTAATTTTTTTTTGTATTTTTAGTAGAGATGGGGTTTCACCATGTTGGCCAGGCTGGTTTTGGACCACAAGTGATCCACCCACCTTGGCCTCCCAAAATGCCAGGTTTACAGGCGTCAGCCACCGCACCCGGCCTACCTCATATTGTTTGTAGCTGCACTGTCTAATATGGTAGCTGCTAGCCACAGCAATTATTTAAATTTAAATTAATTAAAATTTGATACAATTAAAAATTCAGTTCTTCAATTGCACTAGCCACATTCCACATGCTCAATAGCACATGTGGCTCATGGCTGCCACACTGGACAGCACAGAACAGAACATGTCCATCATCATAGAAAGCTCTATTGATGTCACCGGCCTTCAAGAAGACTCTGAATAGTTAAGACTCTGAATTTGCCTCTCACTGCCTTCTCCAACCTCAGTTTCAGCACTTCTTGCCCCCATGTCTTGCCCACCTTCTTGCACTCTGCACACCCAAAATGCCAAATGAACCCTCCTCTATCTTCCTGCAAGCTGTACCCTCTACCTAAAATGCTCTCTCTCCTCAACTGCTCTCAACCACCTGACAGATCCTACATGAAGATTTGGCTCACTTTCTGCTTTTTCAAGCCTCTCCTGTCCACTTCCAAGCAAACCCAGGTAGCTACTCCTATGGGTCCCCACTGAATCTTTTACTTAATTCCAACACAGCACTTAGCCCAAGGCATTTGGAATATTCTGCTTCTTAACTTTCTTTACTTCTTAAGCTCCTTAAAAGCACAAAGCAGGTCTACTAATCCACATTCCTCTAGCATCTAGTACCTTACACATAGTCAAACATTCATTTTTGTTATATTTTGGCCTTTGGTCTCTTGCTTTCCTTTGAAAGGACTCCTCAATCCCCAAGATTTAAAAAATATTCTCCTATGTTTTCTTTCTACTATTTTATTTTCACATTGACATCTTTAATGTTTCTGAATGTTATTTTGTTGTGTGGTACAAAGAAAGGATTCGACTTTTTTCCCTAAATGGTCCTAGGTTCCCATCATTCTTCCCCTGGCATATCAGGATTACTCTTCACAGGTCTCTCTGTCCTGTCTCACTCCCATGTTCCATCAAAATGATTTCTCTAAAAGGCATACATGATCATGTCAATCCCTGTGAAATCTACTTACATGGCTCCCATCAGATTCTAGAGAAATACAAACTTCTTAGCATCAGTTAGAAGGTTTGGGAAAATCTGACCCCTACTTGCTCTCCCTGTACACATTTACCATCCTTTGTGAACCAGCAATGCCATCACTCTCAAGCACTAGTGGCTGAGCCACCCTCACTCTCACCTCTAAGCACATGCTCTGCTTTCAATACAGCAGGCCCCAGACTTTTGCTCTCCTCCCACCCATCCTTCTTCTCTACTAGGCTAACTTCTATGTGCTCTTCAAGGCAAGGCTCAATGTAGTCTCTGTCTAACACCAAACATTGAGAGAAATCACTTACTATGCTAGGCCTAATGATACAATCAGACATGGCCCAGTCCTCAAAGACTTCCCTCACTGCCCCTCCCTCTCTCACTGCCCACTCGCTGCCCACTCACTGCCCCTGCCCCATGTTTGGACAGATGTCCTCCCTCTGTGGCATCAGAGCAGTTCATACATCCCTTTACCTCAGCACTTGACCATCTCCCCAAGTTGTCCATGTGGGACACCGCTTTTAATCTTTATATCCCAAGTGCCTGCCACAGTGTCTGACATATCACAGATTCTCAAGAAATATTTTCTGAATACATAGAAACGGTAAAGACTGTAAAAAAGAAAAGAAGGGCCAGGCGTGGTGGCTCATGTCTGTAATCCCAGCACTTTGGGAGGCCGAGGTGGGTGGATCATGAGGTAAGGAGATCCAGACCATCCTGGGTAACACGGCGAAACACCGTCTCTACTAAAAATACAAAAAAAATTAGCTGGGTGTGGTGGTGGGCGCCTGTAGTCCCAGCTACTTGGGAGGCTGAAGCAGGAGAATGGCGTGAACCTGGGAGGCGGAGCTTGCAGTGAGCCGAGATCACGCCACTGCACTCCAGCCTGGGCGACAGAGCGAGACTTCGTCTCAAAAAAAAAAAAAAAAAAAAAAAAAAGAAGTAATTTCTGAATAAATACAACTTATAATACAAATTATTTATTCAGGAGCAGGACTGGAAAAAAAACAGAAATTATAACACATATTTCACATTAACTAAATACAATAGAATATTCCACAGTATAAAGTTGTTCAGAATAGGTCATAACTGGTCTAAAATATAGAAAAACAAATCTATGTTTTGACATATCCAAATGGTGTTCTTTTTCCCATGCAAGACTCTACATTTTTAAGCTGAATACTGAGACAAAAATCATCAAGCCAGAGAAATCACAAGGTTGGGGAGAATAAGAGAGTCCCAGGAAAATCACAGAGTGCCCAAGGAGACTCAATAGCGTGACTCAGGAGCTGCCACTCCCCTCTGGTCAGGCATAAAGCAGGGATCAGGTGTATGGAAAATGACAAGTCTGCAGGAGTCTGCCTGGCCAAAAAGGAAAACAAAGTCCTAGCCACAGTCCTGTGGGAAGGGAAACAAATCAAGCAAAATAAGGTTTCAGCGTTATAGAGCCTTAATAACAGGAATCATGGTCAAATGCCTCCTGATTCCTCAAAACCCCTCTTCAAAAATGAGTCAATGTCTAGGCCACATATTACTTGACAATTTTATAAGTTGCTACCTTAACGTCCTACCTTGGGTGAATATGCCATAGAACAATATTCTTGCAATCTAACATTCTAGCATAGTTCTCCCAGTTGGCTGCCCAGTGGCACCAGGAGATTTAATAAATACTGTTACCCAGAGATTCTGAGTTAACTGTTTTGAAGTATGGTATGGGTATTGAGATTTTGTAAAGCTCACCAAGCAATTCTAATGTCTAGCCAATAATTTGCATTAGAAATGTGCCTTAGTAAAATGTGTAAAATTCAGGGCTTAGAGTAACACTATTCATATCATTATGGTGTCAATGTACAGTTTGAAGAAAGCCAACAGTATCTTACATAATGTCTCTGGTAGTAACACAAAATAACCTATCCTCTCACTCACTAATCCTAAAACCATCCCAAACATGTATTCTCTGGACCTTTCTATGCAACTTCAAACACTATGACTATACAGTGGTCTTTGCTTTTTTTTTTTTTTTTTTTAACATAGAACACTGGCATATTATACTGCTACACATTGTAATTGGCATTTTCTTTGAGAACATGTAAACATCATCTAGAGTTGCAACTATTAGAAATCCATTGATCTAAAATCAACCAGCAAGAAGAAAATTATTTACAGAATTCCTGTTTTGCAACAGACACTGTGTTAGGCTCTACGGAGGTATATAAAAGAAATAGAGAACATAGTCCTTGCCCTGATATGACTTGAGCTGGGAAGAGAAAACTGGAATAAACTAACATCTTAAATAAAGCAGCTAGAAAAGAAGTAAGTGCTACTTGGGTGGTACTGATAAAAAATACAATATAAGAGTGAAAAGTTATTAATAAGGACAATTATAATAATCACAACTAATGCTTATTAGGCACTTACTATGACCTGGCACTACTCTAAGTGCTTCATAAATATTAACTTATTTAAGGCCCTTCACAACCCTATGAAGTAGGAGTGTTACGTTCTTCATTTTACTAATTAAGACACTGAGAAAATAGAGTGATATGGTTTGATACTATGTCCCCACCCAAATGTCATGCTGAATTATAATTCCCAGTGTTGGGGGACAAACCTGGTGGGAGGTGACTGTATCATAGAGGTGGATTTCCCTCTTGCTGTTCTCGTGATCGTGAGTTCTCACGAGATCTGGTTGTTTGAAAGTGTGTAACACTTCTCTTTCTCTCTCTCCGGCCATATGAAAACATACTTGCTTCCCCTTCACCATCCACCATGATTGTAAGTTTCCCAAGGCCTCCCCAGGAGAAGCCTGCACAGCTTGTAGAACCATGAGCCAATTAAACCTATTTTCTTTATAAATTACCTAGTCTCAGGTAGTTCTTTATAGCAGTGTCAGAATGGACCAATACATGGAGATAAAAGAATCGGTTTACGTTCATTCAGCAAGTGTACGAAGTAGCCTGGATTCCAGTCAGTGCCCTTAGTCAGAAATGGCTCCTATCGGAGTGTGAGACTGGAACTGGGTCTTAAAGAAAAAGCTAAGATTTTCCGTATTTGTTTTTATTTACACAAAGCAGTAGAGCATAATCCAGAGATGGTTCCCTCAGTTCTGTTACACACTACTGTATGACCTCTGTCAGGACACCCCCTCTCAAGCTTCATTCTGACATCTCTAAAATGCTGGTCATGATCACTAAGACTCCTTTCTTTTGGGGCTCCTCATTGTAATCTATGAGTACTATTTAAATGAATACAAGAAAAATGGGAGAACATGACACAAAGGCAGACATAATGAGCAAGGGTGCGTATATAAACTGAGAACTAGGAGAATGAGAGAACTCAGAATCAGCTTCTCATGTTCTATGAAATGCAATTTACTGCATCCACCATGGTGATCTTTTTAATGCCTTTTGTACCATGAAAGAGATATACCACCTAATTAATATATGTAAGTTGGAAACCATTCTGGGGATAATTAAAATTTTGAATTTCATAATAAATTTAAATTTACATTCTGCTTTCCCTGCTGCATGCTGAATAATAGGATCCATATTGAATTTTTAATATTATTTGGAAAAGGGAAAACAGGATCCATAAAACAATAATTTAACTATGCTTTTTCTCAAAGAGATATGTACATATAATGTATATGTGTGTATGGTGTACTTATAATAATGATTTTATTTTCATTGTTTTGGTTATATGTAAACTTATGCAAAAAATGTTCATATGAAATTTCTTCTCCAGAGAAAGAGGCTATACTTTTTCAAGAGAATTGAGAGAAAATAAACAAGTCAAATGTGGCTCTCCTGATGTAGCTTTGGGCAAAGAAAGTGGAGTTTATCCTTCAAACTCCAAAGTTCTATAAAGTTGACAACTTTTTTGAGTAAGACTTTAAAGCATCCATTGTTACAAAATGTTTTTCTTTTGCATATTGTGTACAAACATCTTAAAAAAGAATCATAACTTTGCTGTAATTTCTGTACCAACAATCAATATCACTCTGTAAAGCCATGATTCCTTTAATAAAGTATGGATGTTTTAAAATCATTGTCATACAAACCTTGGGTATCTAGACAACAAATATCAAATATTTGTCTTCTTTGTCAAAGTTGTGGTTGAAGGATAGGAATCAATAGCAGAGTTTCCTTTATCCACATTATACTTCAGCAAGATTTGACTCACAATGTCTTTAATTAGTTTAAAGTTGCCCCCACACTCTCTTTTAAGACAGTGACATACATTTCTGTTCCTTCCAGGATGTCATTTTCCTTGACAAGTCCTCAGTTATTTTAAGTTTGTGACTAAACCTTGTGTGAACCCCGTTTTCCCCCAGGAATACTTTTCTGTGCTTTTAATGTGCACTCTTTGAGTCTTCAAAACGGTAACTAGAAGTTCTATGATCCCCCATCTCTACAAGAAAATGTACATATGTTCATAAAAATGTAGGCTACTCGCTTCCAAGAAACACAATGAATATTTTATTACCAAAAATAACCCACCTATTGATAACATTACACATTCATGTTGGGTCAATTCTATATTTCATAGATGAAAGATGTGGATTACTCAAATCTCTTTAGTTTATAATTTGCCATGGTTAGTGTTAAAGTGGGTTCAACAAGCCTTGGTCTATTTTTCATGGGTTTCAAGAACTAAGACATCTGTGGATAGGGTATTACCAAACAAAGGGCAAGTACATTAAAATTATGATTTTTTTATGTGAAAAATATAACCCCATATATAAAAATGATACAATTGTAAAAGAAATATTTTATTATTTCAAACACTTTCACAAAGCTTGGTACGATATTTTTTCAGGAAGTTTAGCAAAGTTATCACCTTATGTCTACATAAGAAGTGTAAGCTAAGAATGGCACAAATATCTAAGATGATTTCCATTTCCTTTCCTTTTCATCATTTGCTCTTTCTTTAAAAGGGATATCTAAAGGCTTCCATCAGTTAATAAAAAAAAAAAACACAGACTGTTCTGAAAATGTAGTTTGGAAAGTTAGTGTTATATTGTAAATGAAAAAGAAAAAATGAATTATAGAATTCCTTTTTATCCCTCTTTAATCTGTTAATTCAAATATGAATAACTGTCTACTTACAGAATTTGGCTTGTCTATTATTTTCTTTCTTTCCTAGGTCAATGTACTCAGACATTTCAACAAAGCCAAACATGATTTCATATGCTGAAAAGTAATCATAGAATTTCCTAAAAACACCCTTATTGCAGCTTATCTGTGAAGTACCAGCCTGATGAAAATAGGTATGAAAACAATAGCTCTTAAGTAGAGTAATGCTACAAGATATTGAATAGTACGTGCACACACACTAGCACATATACACTGTGTATATTTACTTTTCAAAGCACTGATTTGATTATTTGGTTTCAGATTTAAGTTTAAGAAGCCAAAAAGCACTAAAACCTTTTAAAAGTCATTCTGGAATTGTGTATCTATGGACTTAAGTTAGAAATGGAAGAGAAACTACCTATTTCCACACCTCTAGTTAGTTCTATAAATAGAGCCAATTCTAAGTCAACTTGATTCTTTCCTTACTCAGTGCACTTAAAAGATGAGATGTCTTGATGCTGCCTCCCCATTCCTCTCCCAGAACTACCATTTACTGAATGCCTCTCTGTGCCACGTTTAGAGAGGCAGGAGAGGGGAAAAGTTGACAGCATAGAAACCCTGTCTGCCTATGTTTAGAACCTTGCTCACTGCCAAGGAGTTGTGGAATCTTGGGCAGGTTACTCTATCATTCTATTCCTCAGTTTCCTTTCCAGGAAAATGAGGATGATAATAATAGGGTAGCTGTGAAGAGTAAGTGAGTGTACGGCACACAGTGTTGTACATGTTGGCTATTATTATCATTCCCATTTTAAAGATAAAGGAACCAAGACTCAGGAAATTTTTTTTTTTTAGGAGACAGGGTCTTGCTCTGTCACCTAGGCTCAGGTGCACTGGTATGATCACAGCTCACTGCAGCCTCAACTTTCCAGGCTCAAGCAATCCTCCCACCTCAGCCTCCTGAGTAGCTGGAATTACAGGCACACACCACTACGCCCAGTAAGACTCAGTAGATTTAAGTGACTTGCCAAGGATAATAGGACTAGTGAGTGGCATCTGAACACAGGTTCCACTACATTGTCTGCTGGCTTCCTCCCCACATCCCTAAATAGTAGTACATTAGTTCTGGGAAGACATGTGTCCTGATCCAATAGAAACCCTGTCCAAATCCAGTTATAGAATGCAAACCATCTGAGAATAAACAGGAAGAGAGCCCTTCCTATAAGGCACAAGCTTAGGCTCTCTGTCTTTTTCTCCAAATGCCTAAATTTTTCATCAGTTATTATATACCCTTTGTCCTCTTGGTAGACACATCTCTGAGTTAGATACAGATATGAGTGAGACATTTCTAAGTCAAATGCTGTTCTCCCAAGGGGCAAAGCCATCCAGTTATACTTGGGTCTGTGTGACCACTGAGTTTGACAATACAGCATCCTTTTCAAAGAGCTGTGCAGACTCTGCCCTGCCTGTCTGTAATGGAAGCTCTCTGATCTGCTGGCCCAAAGCTTATCTCTGCTGCCTTCTCTCCTAACACTGCATACTCTCCCTCCCTGCTTAACAGCTGCATGGTGGTAGATAATCACTTCGCACTGCCTGCCCCCAGCCTCTCCTCAAACTAACGGCAACATGCTGGCTACCTGTCCAGAAATATATTCTGCCTCACCACCTGGTGCCTGCTCCTGTGACCTGCTCTCTTGTGTGTTTAATTCACAACCCAACTTCCAGTTTAGGAGTCAGATTTTACACATATGCAGGCCACAGAAAATCAAAAAGGAAGAGGCTTTACAGATACAAATCCAAGCCATGTAGGAGACTAAAAAGAGTCTCAACAAAGCTTTCTTTAAAACAAAACCAAAATAAAACTATCACCAGGTCCTAAAAGCTACCTCCAATATTCTCAAGCCTGTCTTTTCTCTCTCTCCTCAATGCCAAAGAAATGCCCAGTTGACCTATCTGGGAAGTTTACTACAATATCAAAATTACTACTCAGCACCATGATTCAGACTTCTGCCTACCCTAATGCTCAAAAAAGAGAGAAAGAGAGAAGATTCTGGACAAACTAATAACAGCTAACATTTGCTGAGTATTTAATGATGCAGGCAAAGTTCTGAGTGTTTTACAAAGATTAACACATTTTTTCATTAAAAACCCTAAGAAGTGTTATTATTATTCCTATTTTATACAAGTTTAAAGGGGTTAAGTAAGTTGTCCATATCACTAGTGACTTCAGTGACTACTAGTCACATGGGATTCAGCCCTGTCAATTTTTAGTGGTGTGATCTTGAACAAGTTACTTAAACTCTCTAAGTCCCAGGATCATTATTTTGTTATAGATAGATAATAAGATCTACTCAATAGAACTGTGGGAATGATTAAGTAAAACAATTCATATTGTGAGGATTAAATGCTAAATTTCATGTAAAGTGATTAGGATAATGTTCATTAAATGTTGAAATTTTATTTGCAGAATTAAAGAATATATCTCAGTCCCCTCTGTTTCTACTGCACTCAAATAAAGTGTCCATTTAAATAGGTAAATGAGCTGGAGATCACTCATGCTGAGCATGAAACCCCAGCCAAAGTAAGGAACAAGAGGCAATGATAACCCTTGTCTAACTCCAGAAACGCTCTGCATGTAGAAACAGGATCTGATTATTTTAACTGTACATCCAGACTGGCTAAACTAAAAGAATTATCCATAGCAATGTTTTGTCTAAATAACCTGTGATTGCTGCCATATAGAAACAGCTCCAGGTAGAACCGTTTTATCAAAAAAAAATTTTTTTTTTTTTGCTAAAATTAATGTTCCCATGGTCTTCACTCTCATCCTCTTTTTTTTATTGTTGTTGTTGAGATTGAGTCACCCAGGCTGGAGTGCAGTGGTACAATCTTGGCTCACTGCAACCTCTGCTTCCTGGGTTCAAGTGATTCTCAGGCCTCAGTCACCTGAAATATAGGCATGCGTCACCACGCCTGGCTAATTTTTGTATTTTTAGAAAAGACAGCATTTGCCATGTTGGCCAGGTGGGTCTCGAACTCCTAACCTCAAGTGATACACCCACCTTGGCCTCCCAAAGTGCTGGGATTACAGGCACGAGCCAAGGCACCCGACCCACTCTCAACATTGTGGTTGACCACTGTAGCCCATACTGGCTGCTGTCATATCTGTAAAGTGATCTGTCACCCATTTAGTTCATGACAGTGTTCTCAATCTATTTTTCAACATCATCCATCTAAAAAGCCTTTTTAGACATTCTCCTAATTTTCCCCATGTAATTTTTTTAATGATGTAATATCATTAAAGTCTCAGGATACAAAATCAATGTGCAAAAATCACAAGCATTCCTGTATACCAATAATAGGCAAACAGCCAAATCGGAGTAAACTCTCATTCACAATTGCCACAAAGAGAATAAAATGCCTAGGAATACAACTTACAAGGGACGTGAAGGACCTCTTCAAGGAGAACTACTCAAGAAACGACTGCTCAAGAAAATAAGAGAGGACACAAACAAATGGAAAAACATTCCACGCTCATGGATAGAAAGAATCAATATCGTGAAAATAGCCACACTGCCCAAACATTCCATGCTCATGGATAGGAAAGATTCAATATTGTGGAAATGGCCATACTGCTCAAAGTAATTTATAGATTCAAATCTATTCCCATTGAGCTGCCATTGACTTTCTCCACAGAATTAGAAAGAAACTATTTTAAATTTCATATGGAACAAAAAAAGAGCCCATATAGCCAAGACAATCCTAAGCAAAAAGAATGAAGCTGGAGGCATCATGCTACCTGACTTCAAACTATACTACAAGGCTACGGTAACAAAAACAGCATGGTACTGGTATGAAAACAGATATACAGACCAATGGAACACAGCAGAGGCCTCAGAAATAATGCCACACATCTACAACCACCTGATCTTTGACAAACCTGACAGAAACAATGGGGAAATGATTCCCTACTTAATAAATGATGTTGGGAAAACTGGCTAGCCATACGCAGAAAACTGAAACTGGACCCCTTCCTTACACTTTATACAAAAATTAACTCAAGATGGATTAAAAACTTAAATGTAAGACCTAAAACCATAAAAATCCTAGAAGAAAACTTTGGCAATACCATTCAGGACATAGGCGTGGGCAAAGACTTCATGACTAAAACACCAAAAGCAACGGCAACAAAAGCCAAAATTGACAAATGGGATCTAATAAAACTAAAGAGCTTCTGCACAGCAAAAGAAACTATCATCAGAGTGAACAGACAACCTACAAAGTGTGAGAAAATTTTTGCAATCTATCCATCTGACAAAGGGCTAATATCCAGAATCTACAAGGAACTTAAACAAATTTACAAGAATAAGACAAACAACCCCATCAACAAGTGGGTGAAGGATATGAACAGACACTTCTCAAAATTCATGTGGTCAACAAATATAAATAAAAAAGCTCATCATCACTGGTCATTACAGAAATGCAAATCAAAGCCACAGTGCGATGCCATCTCATGCCAGTTAGAACGGCGATCATTAAAGAAGCAGGAAACAACAGATGCTGGAGAGGATGTGGAGAAATAGGAATGCTTTTACTGTTGGTGGGAGTGTAAATTAGTTCAACCATTGTGGAAGACAGTGTGGCGACTCCTCAAGGATCTAGAAACAGAAATACCATTTGACTCAGCAATCCCATCACTGGGTATATACCCAAAGGGTTATAAATCATTCCACTATAAAGACACATGCGCATGTATGTTTATTGCGGCACTGTTCACAATAGCAAAGCCTCGGAACCAACCCAAATGCTCATCAATGATAGACTGGATAAAGAAAATGTGGCACATATACACCTGGAATACTATGCAGCCATAAAAGGATGAGTTCATGTCCTTTGCAGGGACATGGATGAAGCTGGAAACCATCATTCTCAGCAAACTAACACAAGAACAGGAAACCAAGCACCGCATGTTCTCACTCATAAGTGGGAGTTGAACAATGAGAACACACGGACACAGGGAGGGAAACATCACACACCAGGGCCTGCCAGAGGGTGGGGGGCTAGAGGAGGGATAGCACTAGGAGAAATACCTAATGTAGATGATGGGTTGATGGGTGCAGCAAACCACCAATGCATGTGTACACCTATGTAACAAACCTGCATGTCCTGCACATGTACCCCATAACTTAAAGTATAATAACAAAAAATGATATAATATCATGTAACTGACAGATAGGTCAAACTTGGCATTTCTTTGGCAGAGAGAAGAGAGGAGAAGAGACAGGCTTGAGAATATTGGAGGTAGCTTTTAGGACCTGGTGATAGTTTATTTTGGTTTTGTTTTAAAGAAAGCCTTGTTGAGGCTCTTTTTACTCTCCTACATGGCTTGTATTTATATCTCTAAAGCCTCCTCTTCTTTGAGTTTCTGTGGCCTGCATATGTGTAAAATCTGACTCCTAAACTGGAAGTTGGGTTGTGAATTAAACACACAAGAGAGCAGGTCACAGGAGCAGGAACCAGGTGTTAAGGCAGAATATAGTTCTGGACAGGTAGCCAGCATGTTGCCGTTAGTTTCATTTAGCAAAGAAAAGAAAAGACAAAGAATAAAATATTTGATAAAACATTTCTACCTGGAGCTGTTTGTATATGGCAGCAGTCACAGGTTATTTAGATATAACATTGCTAGGGATAATTCTTTTAGGTCAGCCAATCTGGAGGTACAGTTAAAATAATCAGATCCTGTTTCTACATACAGAGGCTTTCTGGAGTTAGACAAGGGTTACCACGCCTCTTGTTCATCACTTCTACTAGGGTTTCATGCTCAGCGTGGGTGATCTCCAGATCATTTACCTGTTTAAATGGAAATTTTGTTTGAGAGCAGGAGAAACACAGCACTGAGATATATTCTTTAATTCTGCAAATAAAATTTCAACATTTAATGAATTGAAGCCCTGGGTACAGCTATTGACATTTTCAGTTGGAAAGCACAGAATATAACCTAATTGAGGGGATTTTAAGACATATAGCTTTTCTGGGAGGCCTGGAGAAGTAAACTTGGGTGTTGCCCAGCAAAGAGTCATGTCCACCCCACCATGGGACAGGTCCAACATAAAAACAACAGCTACTTCCCCCCGAATCAACAGAACTTTCACCGCAGTTATTCCTCCAAAATAAGAATCTTCACTTGATAGAATACTGATCTCGCCATACTGGGTCCCCAGGTCACATTGCACTCTTCAATATCCAGTCTCATGAGGCTGAGTCTGATAGGTGTAAACTAGGTGACACGCCTTCACCCCAGAAAGGAAGGAACTATGGGAATTGTATTTTGGGAAGACTATACTCACAATGTGGGAAACTATATAAAAATGTTGGGCAATCATGGATGGTACATGCCCATTACAGAGGGCAAGTTCAAAATCTACAAAATTTTGGACTTCTTGATCCAAAAGTAGCTAAAATAACTGATAGTTTTTAAAAATTATGGCCTTTAGGACCATTTCCAAGAACCTACACTTTGTGTACCTCACCCCTTACCTTGAATGAGCATTCTGCAATGGGAAGATATTGTTTATCACAGTCAATCTACTTGATGAACAGCAGCAAAAGTTCCCCATACCCTACCTGGGACAGCCTAACAGACTTCCCACAGCCTACCAGGTGTGACAGGGTCACATCATGTCAGAAGATGTGACAGTGCTGTCTGACCCCAGATGATGGCATTATGGACTAAATGTCAGATCCTTTTAACAGTCACAGTTCCTGCTAAATAATGAACATTAATTAGTTTGCATAATATTTGTAATCTCAGTCAAAGCAATGCTATCATGTCTGGGAGTAATTATTGACTACTTTTCCTACTCAATCAATCAACAAGGAGTCATTATTGATTACTTTCCCCACTCCGGTCAACCGATCACCAGGTCTTTCTTATTATATCTTAAGATTTTTTTCAACAGAGTCTTCTCTTGCCTATCCTTCTCACCACTGCATTATTTCAGGCTTTCATTACCTCCTTTTTGACCACTGCCAACAGCTTCCTCTTTGAGTTCAGTTTTGTTTCCTCAGGGAAATTCTCAACACAGCCATCTTTCTAAAATGCAAATATGATTTTCTCATTCTACTGATACTCATATTTATAGATGTAGGTCTAAATTTCCTCAATGTGACACCCTGCGTATCCCCTACCTACATCTCTGGGCTTATCTATCATGACCCTTCTTCAAACTTCATACTCTGTCAAGATGAGACTGTATATAGTTGTAAGTACATGTCTCTCTTTTTGCTACTACTCTCCCTGCATAGAACTGGAGTCAGTGAACTATGGACCACATGTCAAACCTGGGCCACAACCTACATTTTACAGCCCTTGAGGTAAAGATGGTTTTACATCTTAAAAATTTGTAAAACACAAAGAATATGCAACAGAGACCTACCACATATATCCTGAAAAGCCTAAAATATTTACTATCTGGCCATTTACGGAAAAAGTTTTTCAACTCCTGACCAAAACTGTCTTCTTTCTCTCTGTTATGGCAAAACTCCTACTTATCACTTAATAAAACATATGAAATCATAAATCATCTCTTTCAAGAAATTTTCCTATGCAACTCCTTCCTGTACCCAAGATTAATGTTAGGAACATCTCCATAATTTCATAATACCAAGTGAATGGTTCTATCATTGAACATACCAATTGCATTACAGAGGGTTTTATCTTCCCAATGATGGTTATGTGTTATGACTTTTTCTATCCACAAAATATATCATAGGTTCATAACAAATGTCAATGGAATAAACTTTGTTGAAAAGACATTACAATTTATATGAGAGGACCCACAGATGCTCTGAAGGAAGCAGACTGCTCCTGCAGGACCCAGGAGACACCCCAAATACTGTGAGTGCCCCAACTGTGGAAGTGGCAAAGGGAGACCCTCCTCTCCCTAACATAGGCCCCCATTGGAGAAGCTGAAGGTCTGTTTGCGGGAGAAGTTTCCAACTTTACCTAGAGCTGAGTCAAGTTAAAATGCCAAGTCAAGTGAAATCCAGAGGTAGGGGAAGCAGCAGAAAAGCCCTGGGAGCTCGCTGGGTTGCCAGGCGGCCCATTCCTGCCTGGCACCACAGGGATCCATCGAGAGGGTAGCCAGAGGAGCAGAAGGTAAAACTCCACAGGGAGAAGGAATTCTCTAGCTGAACTTTGTAGCAATTTGAATGGGGCGAGAAGCCTCCTGGCCAGAACTCAGGGGAGGGCACAAATCAGGCATGCAGACTTCACAGACGGGGGAAGAACTAAAACCTCTTTCTTTCGCAGCTGGAAGGCATTTCTCAAAAGAAGATATACAAATGGCCAACAAACATATGAAAAAATGCTCAACATCACTAATGATCAGGGAAATGCAAATCAAAACCACAATGTGATACCACCTTACTCCTGCAAGAATGGCCAAAATAAAAAAATCAAAACACAGTAGATGTGGGTATGGATGCAGTGTACAGGGAATGCTTCTACACTGCTGGTGGGAAAGTAAACTAGTATAGCCACTATGGAAAACAGTGCAGAGATTCCTTAAGGGACTAAAAGTAGAACTGCCATTTGATCCAGCAATCCCACAACTGGGTATCTACCAGAGGAAAAGAAGTCATTCGAAAAAGATACTTGCACAGGCGTATTTATTGCAGAACAATTCACATTGCAAAATCGTGGAACCAACCCAAATGCCCATCCGTCAATGACAGGATAAAGAAATGGTGATGTACATATATATATGATGGAATACTATGCAGCCATAATAAGGAATGAACTAACAGCATTTGCAGTGACCTGGGTGAGGTTGGAAACTATTATTCTAACTGAAGTAACTCAGGAATGGAAAAACCAAACATCGTATGTTTTCACTGATATGCGGGAGCTAAGCTATGAGGATGCAAAGGCATAAGAATGATACAATGGACTTTGGGGACTTGGGGGGAAGAGTGGGAGGAGGTAAGGGATAAAACACTACAAATATGGTGCAATGTATACTTCTCAGGTGATGGCTGCACCAAAATCTCACACATCACCACTAAAGAACTTACTCATGTAACAAAATACCACTTGTACCCCATTAATTTATGGAAAAATAAATAAATCCCCCCAAAACAGAAAAACAATTTACGTTATATGCAAGCAAGCAATGTAAATGGAAGGAGCTCTCCGTAGTACTGAAGTCTTTGCTACAGCTTCTTCCTGTGGGGTGCCCAGAAACTTAATTGTTTTCAATTCCTCAATTACCTTCACCAGCCCGTATCAATGCTTTTTCTGCCACTCTTCAGTCAACTTCCTGTAGGATCCTAACTAATTATTGCCCAACGCCCATTCTTTTCCAGGCAACATACATACCTCTTGGGGAAGGCATTAATTGCTCACCAAATAGCTGTATGCTCCTACACATTATCCAGCTCCTTTGCAGTTCAAGTAGGCATTATTCAATCGGATATTAGCAGAAATGAAGTATACTATTCCCTAGTTGAAACACGGAACAGAAAATGTGAGCCCTCTGTGTTCTTTATTCCTTTGTCTTGATGATAACAGAGGCCACATGCTGAGATGGCACAGCCACAATATGGAAATAGTTAGACTGCTGAGTCCCTGTATAAAGGACTACTATGTAAGATTGTTGAGTTAAGCTGAGATTTGGGAGTTAATTTGTTACCACAGCAAGATGGAACTTACCTGATTAATACACCCTTTTAATATAACACTTGTCATAGTCCATTTACTTCTACTTACTTTACTAAATTATAAGTTTCTTGGGAGAAGTGTTTTGGTCCTAGTGATTTTGAAGATCATCACCAATGATCATCACCCAATTGCTAAACTAATGAATAGACTTCTGTTTTTCTCTTCTCCATGATATTTCATACCCTCAAACAGAACAAACTATTTTTTTACAACAGTCAAAGAAAAACTGTAATGAATGTAAGCTGTATAGTAGTAGTCAAGAACAAAGATTGTGGAGACAAATTACCTGTGTTCACATCCATTTCTGTCATATACTAGCTATGTCCTTTGGTAAATTATATGTAAACTCTCCATGCTTCTCTTTTCTCACATATGAAATATAGAAGACAACACTTCACTGGGTTACATAATCAATGTATGTAAAGTGTCTAGCACATAGAAAGTACTATGTAAATGTTGACTATTACTATATTGCTAAAACTTTTTAGGAGCCCTAAATTTCTATCTATGTCCTTAATGACTGACAAAATCAATGACCTTTCTTTTCTGGCAAAGAAACTTCATTCAGTAACTCACCTTTGTTTTTGTTGTTGTTGTTGTTGTTTGTTTGTTTTTAAATAGAATAAATTAAATAACATTAAATCACATATAATACCAAAAAATTAGAGTTCAAATGTGTATCATATTACAATTATTTCAAGAACTTTATTATATATTGGTAGCAGATTATGTACCATAAGAAAACATCAACAGTTAATTAATTCTGATGATAAAATATATTTCATCATGTTTGCAGTTCTTCTAATTCCAATAGTGCCTAGACAAGACAAATAACAATACTTTTTAAAAAGACAAATCTTTTTAAAAGAATTATTTTTCACATGATGTATACTACTACTTTCACTTAAGTTTTATTAAAATTCACACTCCACTGAGGCAATAATTTGAATAATTTGGATCAGAAAACTGATTGTTTCATACCCCTTGAGGCTAAGTGATTACAAATGTAGTCTCAGAAATTCTGAAGTTCCCTCATATTTAAAATAGATTGCGGGGAAAATAGACAAACTCAGCTCTCTAAAAATTGCTATAATCTATTAACTTGAAGTTAGGCAGAGCATGTTGGATTGACTAAAAAATGACATTGAGATTATTTGAATACACATTCACTTGAAAGATCACAAAGAAAAGATTCTTAAAAATTTGGGTTATTTGTTAAAATGTAAATTTAATTTTGTTTCTCCCCTGTAGCTTTCATTTATTTTTAATAAATCACAGGTGATGATGTGAACCCTTCAATATTGCTTTTTCATTCAAATTCTATCATTCCAAGCATCAATCTGAATGAGTATATTTCTACCATATGGCTTCTTTTAGGCTTTATGTAGAAAATATTATCTTTCATGTGAATTTGTAATCAAAAATTGCTTCTTACATTATTGGCAAACCTGACATCATTTCCAGTTTGTATTATTCAAGAGAAACAAATTTATTTTTAAATTTGGAATTATTTCACCTACAGTTTCTAATTGAAAAGAACAGCAAATAATTTTTTTTTTAAATTCATTTATATACCTCTACCTATAGTTGGGAATAAAATATGAGAATTTTTATATTTTAATGTCAAATTTATATGTCTCATAATATACAAAATATGTTAGAACATGAGTTTATTATATAATTTGTAGATTAAAAGTTAATAGACAAATATGTAATTATACATGCATGATAAAAAAGTTTACTAATAGAGGAACCCAGTAAAAAATGGCTACCAAATACAAAGTTACAGCTAAGTGGGAGGAATAAGTGTCCTGTAGCACAGTTGGGTGAGTATGGTTAACAATAATTTAATGTATATTTTCAAAAAGCTAGAAGAAGGGATTTTGAATGTTCACAACACAAATAAATGATAAATGTTTAAGGTGATGGATATGTGAATTACCCCAATTAGATCACTACACAGTGTATATATGTATCGAAATGTCACTCTGTATCTCACAAATATACACAATTATTATGTGTCAACTAAAAATAAAAGGAAAAATTCATTATTTTCTAAAGTTAATGCTTATGTAGATTCACCAACCTGTTTGCTTTTATCGATTCATCTGTTGTAGTCCTTGCTGAAGCACATATTTTAGAGGTTATTTTAGTCCTGGTATGAAAATGACTTTAGTCACCATTACTCATAAATAATCGTTTGGTTAGGTAAAAGACTGAGTTGATGTTTATTTTCCCTTGTACTTTAAAGTCACGATTGAATTACATTCTGAACTTTTTTTGTTTCTGATCAAATGTAGGCTGCTAATCTAGCTGTCATCTCTTTGCTGGTAGTCTTTCTTCTTTTTTCTGATTGCTTTTTTAAAATATTTTTATTGAGGTATAACATACATATAATAAAGTACACAAAATCTTGAAACAAATGGCTACAATTGCTTTAGAGACTTCATCAGGTCAGGGATGAATTAAGGGATTAAGAGACTTAGTATGAAAAAATATCATCTCCCTTGTGACTTTCTGAGATGAGGGAACCATCAGATTCTTAATTTATCCTCTTGTGGTCAGAAAGGAGATACCAAGTATAACAGTGATGGGAATAAGAATACAAAAGGCCTTGATTTGAGTCTACTGCGGTACCCTTCAAGGGAACAAAGAACGTGTCAGGAGGAACACATCCACCTGAACTTGGCAGAATGTGTCTCTCTCATCTGTTGTGGAATTGTAATCTAGCCTGAAGATTCCGGATTTCTGCCAAAAAGGGCTAAAGATGCCCTGAGGGCTGAAGACAATGAAAGATTAGTGCACAAACATCAATAATGCAAAGAACACTATTGTAAGTTTCATAAAAGAAGTATGAATTATTTTGTGAGACCAAAGAGATGGCAAATGCAACTGCTTAAGAGGGAGAATTAATGTATAGCAGCATTTAAATGTATAGAATCAAATGAATGTATCAAATGAATATATCAAAATGAATGTACAGAATTGAATGTATAATATAATTTGAATGTAGAGTATCTGGTGTACAGACTCTATTATAGCAGCATTTGAAACAGGTCTTGAAAGAAAGAGTAAAATTCTCTTGGGAAGTTTGTTGCAAAGGGAACAGCATGCTTGAAGCGGAAAAGTGCTGTTCCCATCCAGAGAACTAACAGGAAGAGTGATGTGGCCGAAATACAGTGGTGTGCACAGGCAGCACACTGTGGAAAACACTGGAAAGGCAAGTGAAGTCAGAATGGGAGGCCATCACTTGCGTCACTAAAGAATGTGTGCCACTGCAGACACAATGGGAAGTGACCACTGGAAATGTGTGTATGTGTGTAAGAAAGTAAAATAGTAGTGGCATCTAAAATGGATGGGTGCAGACCAAGAGAGCACCAAGGAACATGCCTGGAAGATCCCTGCAAGAGGCCAGGCAAGGCATGAGAAGGGCAAGGATTCTATTATTAAGAAGAGAGGCAGAAAGGATTTTGATTTGAATTCCTTGCTTTATGCCATTTATTAGTTTTCTGTAACAACTTATTATAAAGTGAGCGGCTTAAAGCAACATAAATGTATTGTCTCACAGTTCTGGAGTCTAGGAGTCCAACATCAAGGTGTCAACAGGGTTAGCTCTTTCTGAAGGTCCTGAGAGAGGATCTGTCCTGAGCCTCTCTCCTAGCTTCTGGCAGCCTCAGGCATTCCTGAGCTTCTCCATCTTAACATGGCATTCTCCCTGTATCTCTGTATCCAATATGACATCAATCACATTGGATTAGGAGGCCACCCTACTCCAGTATAACCTCATCTTCACTTAACTAATTATATCTGCAATGACCCTGTTTTCAATTAAGGTCTCACTATGAAGTACTAGGGGTCAGGACTTCAACACAGCATTTTGTGGAGATACAAGTCAACCCACAATATGCCTCAAGGGAATGAAGAAGAACCCAAGGAACTGCAGTGTTCCTATTCAGAAAAATAAGAGTTTGACAGTGAAAGCATGAACGGTGTTCTGTGAATCAGAGTTGGGTAGAAGGGCTATTCCTTATGAAGATGCTATCAAATAAGGATAACTCATTTCCTAAATACTGTTTGATTTTACCATTCAAACTTGCCTAAAATACAAGGTATAATAGAATATAATGCCACATAAAACGGGGGAGGGGCAAACTGGAAGAATAGACAGCAGCAGTGGGAGGGAAATTTACATCACAAAGCAAATATGGGCTGGGCGCGGTGGCTCACACCTGTAATCCCAGCACTTTGGGGGGCTGAGGCAGGTGGATCACCTGAGTTCAAGACAAGCCTGACCAACATGGTGAAACTCCATCCCTACTAAATACAAAAAATTAGCCATCTGTGGTGGTGCATGCCTGTAATCCCAGCTACTTGGGAGGCTGAGGCAGGAGAATTGCTTGAACCCAGGAAGCGGAGATTGCAGTGATCCAAGATTGCCCCATTGAACTCCAGCCTGGGCAACAAGAGTCAAACTCCACCTCAAAAAAAAAAAAAAAAAAAGAAAGAAAGAAAGAAAAAAGCAAATATGTTGACAAAAATATCTAGAAAAAAATTCTAGCTTTGCAATTGGAAATCGTATATAGGAGTAAGCATGGCTTTTTCAATTAAGCATGTCTGTGCCTTTAAAGAGAGACCAGTGCTGCAGGACACTTATTCCTCCTTCCATTTAACTGGAACTTTGTATTTGGTGGCCAAATATTTTTTACTAGATTCTTCTATTAGCAAATTTTTTTATCATGCATGCATAATTATATATTTGTCGATTTATGTACTTTTAATTTGAATATGTTCCTGTTCTAACCCATCATCACCCATACTTTAAAATATATATATTGAAAAATCACTGGCTAAGGTAAACTCTGAAAGAACATATAAACATTTACAATATAATGATCATTAAATTTGTCATTTAAAGGCTTTCAAATAGGAGGAAGTAACTGTACCTAGCAAAGGTTATTAGTAAAAACTATCCTAGTTGGTTACTTGCCAACTCAATTAACTGCATTACCCCTCTCTTGCAACATATGTTATTGTCTGCTTATATCATCTGCTCATATGCCAAGCAGAGATTAGGTCTGCATTATAACAATGTAGTTTCTTAGAAACATGTCACAAGAGGCAACATCAAGATCTCTTTCTAAAGACTTACTGCATAGCTAGGGAAGACCTCTATCTAAGCTATCATTGAATATAAATTTTATGAATGTTTTTAAGAAATGAGGAGAGCACCATAGCAGTATTGTGATTGCAATCACATTCCTTGAAAGGCTGTGGTTGCAAAAAGCTCACCCATAGTCTCCAGTTTTTAGAGGAAGTTGAATTGCCCTCTTTTAAGCAGACTGTGTTTTCTTCTCCATCCAACATGCAGGGGTGTAATACAACCTCACCTGGGTGTAGAGGGATTTGCAAACACAATTCCAATTACAAGGAACAGGATATGCACACGTAAGGGCCTGCCCAGAGAGCTGCGAATTCACCTTCTAATTTGCAGTGTTGCCCCCAGAGGCTGAGTATGAATCTGCCTGCATATGGTGAGTATGTGGATGCTTGTGCCCAGTGCACCAGGTGGGAGCTATGGAGCTCACAGTCAGGGAGGCTGAGCAGATGATTTACAGCTGACATCTAAGTGCTCCTTAGAGGACCGCCAAGCACTGCACTAAACACCACCAATCAGGCAAATCCAGTCGTGGTAAACAGGCTTGGCATGAACAACAGAAATAAAATATGCTAATCAGTTGTCCTACTCCATGAAAATAAGTCAGCAGGGAAGGAATTGGGGGAAAAAAGCCACATCTTTAAGACTTTGCAGAGGGTTTTGGTTAATTTTTTACATTTCTCTCTAGATATAACTTCACTGATATTTTTATCCTATTTACAACATAGTAATGTTTTATAAAACTACCCTCTTCAATGGTTTCTTTTTTTTTGAAATCTTCAAATCCCCTTCTATGTCACCAGAAGTTAACTATGGCATCTGAATAAATGTATACATGTATATAGTGTCTAGTTTGTTCAATAGTCTCTACAGGACGCAGTGTAGTGTAATGGTTAAGTACAACAGGGCTGGCACTCGGCAGCTTGGGCTCGAATCCTGCCTCTACCACTTCCTAGCTGGGTGGCCTTGGTCAGATTTCTTAAACTCTCTAGGCTTCTGTTTCCTCATCTACAAAATGGGATTATAACAATACCTGGTTTTTAGAATCACTGGGAGGGTTAAATAAGTCAGTATAAGCAAAACTCTTAGTATAGTACCTGGCACATAGTAAGTGCCCAGTAAATGTTAGCTACTATAATTCAATATACTGTCTGTTCACCTTTGACATGGTAGTTGTATTATTAACAAATATAATATTATAAAATTTGAGTAACCAAGCCAAATACTCTGATGGCTTGTAATGGGGGCTAGGAGTTAGAAGCATTTAGAAATAAGATAATTTTCATGGAACTATTAGAGGCTTTGCTTTTGTTTTGCAGTTGGAAGAATATATTATGAATCCTAAACATCATTAAAACAATATGGCATATAATACTTAGCTTATTTACATGAGCCTTTCCTTTCTGACCTGCACCAACACTGTCATTAGTGCATCCTTTACTGTACATCCCTATTTCATCACCTTGATTACTCAGGCTTGAACACACAAAATGCAAAGACGCTTCCATGGTGTAGTAGCGGTGCTCTAACAGCTTTCATTTTTCATTATAGCAAATGTGGACAATGTGATACAAATTTTAGTTACCAATGAATTGAGTCTTTTATATCTAGCTGGCCTTAGAAATGAATAGCCCTACAGGAACAACAACAACAAAAAACTCCTGTACATTTTACTATACTTAATGAAGATGCAAACACAGGCTTGCCTAGAGAACAGAGAAAGAAGAAGACTGGAGGTGAAAGACCTCAATTCCATATTTTCAGCTCTTCATGACTGTGAACAGTCATTGGAGAATGTAGCAAATACTTGCTCCTTTTCACTTTAAAACTGAAGTGGTAAAAATAAACAGGTCAGGTGACTGGGGAGAAAGAAGTAGAGAATAATACATACATTATCAGATTAGCTTTAATAAGAAAAATATGTATGTTTTGGGAATTTCTCAAGTGTGTGCAGAATTCTAATATTAATACCAGTCAAAGAATGGACACTTCAGTGTCACCATGATAACACCTGGCACATTTGGAATCTTCAAAGGTTTCATATTTATTTTATTTATTTATTTGTTTTGGGACAGAGTCTCACTCTGTTGCTCAGGCTGGAGTGCAGTGGTGCGATCTCTGCTCAGTGAAACCTCCACCTCCCAGGTTCAAGTGATTATCCTGCCTCAGCCTCCTGAGTAGCTGGGACTACAGGCACCCACCACCACGCCTGGCTAATTTTTTGTATTTTTAGTAGAGACAGGGTTTCACTGTGTTAGCCAGGATGGTCTCGATCTCCTGACCTCGTGATCCGCCCACTTTGACCTCCCAAAGTGCTGGGATTATAGGCGTGAGCCACGGCACCCGGCCAAAGGTTTCATATTTAATCTTACGAAGATTTGATTAAAGATAATATAAATAGAATATTAATTGGGTTTTTAACAACATGGCACACACTATATCCAATTTCATTGCATTCCCCATAGTGAAACAACTTTATGGCACTTGAACTTTTCTTCACAAATTATAGAGTTCCAAGCCTAACTTTGTTTTCATATCAAATGTTTAGCAAGTTTTTAAAAATGTGAGTAAGTGGAGCATAGAACACAGTAAGAAAGGTTTCAAGATTTGTTTGGCTATCACTGAGATTACACAGATAAAAGAAGATATCCAATGTAAGACACCAAGATGACTTCATTAAAAAAACATGTTCACAATGACAACAATTAACATTCCTCAAATCCCCATGAACAAAATATCAACCCTATGTAAGTAAACCATTAAGCTCTATCCTCTAAAGGCATGTAGTACAATTACTTCTTTTATTGGCGTTAAACATGCGAGCTTAGCCACAATAAATTAAATCAGTCATACGTTGTTCATTATATCACAAATATCAATGGAAATTCTTAATATTCCCAGATGTTTCTATCAATAGAAGTTGGTAATTAATGATGACAAAACAAAAATCCAAAATAACTTTATACTCAACTCTCAAAACACTTAATATTCATCATATCATGAATTCTGTGAGGCAAATATTTTAACACTTTTTTACTATATTCCCTAAGGGATTAAGGTATTAAGTTTTTGTTTTAATTATAATATGTAGCAAGCCAATTATTATATGGAATAAGGCAGTAAATGAGATCACGCTGCTTTATTGTTCCTTTGATAGTACTGAAACCTGAATGTTTAGATGCAGAAAAATGTGTAATGAGGACTTGTTGAAGAACTCTCTCAAGTGAGGAGGTAGTTTCATTAGGCTAAAAATAATAATAAAATTAGAACTACGTTTATTGATGCTTACTATATAACTTGGATTTTAAAAAAATCCTCACTGCAACTCTGTGAAATAGCAGCAGCAGTATGGCAGACGTGGCTTATATTGGCTAGAGAAAGCTGATTGTACACATCTCTTCCCAAGATCCACCTGTCTCGGCCTCCCAAAGTGCTGGGATTACAGGCATGAGCCACCGCACCCGGCCCCAATTATAATTCTAAAACAAAAATATCAAAAAGAGTTCTATGAGAAAAACTAAAACTTAGCAATGTATTATCATCATCATCATCATCATTAAAAAGATAAATGACTTGCTGACTTCTGGTCAACTTCCTCCAAGTAATCAACATAACTTTGCTATGAAAAGTTCATGACACCTTGAGGATAACTACCATGTTTTTAGCATTGTAAAATTTAATAACAGGAATATGTATATAAAATGCAAAAATAACAAATATAACAAAAATAACAACAAAAATCTTATATCCTAGTTGAGGACAAACAATATTAAAGCACAAGACAGAAGATAATTGCCAATTTACAAATGCTAAAGTAATGACAGAGTAGGATGTATTCTCTTCTCCTTGCATAAAGTGAGGAGGGACTTTTAAAATAATAGTTTCTTTTTTTCTGATATACACAGTTATTATCATTGAAGGTACTAAGATTCCTAGAAGTTGGTGTTAAACTACACTTTCAATTCTCTGTGAAATCTTATCTCAAGCAACTACAAATATTATTCAAGTTTTTTAAAAAAATAATTGTCTCAAATCCCTGGTATACTAATAGGCTCTTGGGGTTCAAAATGAGGAAAGAATGCAACATACTACAAATTATTGCATTATTATCAGTTTGGGGATGGGAAGGGAAGAGGTGGGACTTCAAAAAGCCTAAAGGTTGGCAGAGCCTATGCTATGAATCACAATATTTGGAAATAGGTAAATTTTAGGTGTCTCAGTAATAGGTATATTTTAGAGAGTGGCACGCTGCCTGACTATATACTAGGTAACATGTAGTTGCTGCAGTAAGGCTGGCCATTTTGAATCAGGGAAACTCCTGCTCACCAAAAGGAAAAACCTGTTTACATTCCAAAGCAAAAAGAGAAGTTCCACATACAGGAAGTTGCCAACAGTGTCACATATTGCGAAGAGACCCAGAAAGGTGAGAAATCAAAAATAGGTCATTGGATTTGGCTCATAGAATGTCACTGTTGACTTTTATGAAAGTAAAATCAATAGTATGATGGACAAAAGAAAGCTTTATAATAAGTTATGAAGTGGGGAGTAGAAGATGAGGAAGTGAAATTACTAAGTGTAGTATTTTTACATAAAGTTTGGTGATGAAGGAAAGCTGGGAGGCATGATGATAGTCTTAAGGCAATGTAAGATCAACTACAGGGTTTATTTTTTGGTTTTGGTCTTTGGAGGATGTTTGTAAGCTAAAAAGAAGCAGAAGAGAGGAAGAAATTAAAAATAAAAACATAGAAGTATGCAAAAATAAGGTGAAGCTTTGCCAGTGGAGGGCTTATGAATGAATTTGGTGGCTGCCCATCAGTTACAGCTCACTGTGGTCATAACTCCAACCTCTCTTGGATAAGGTCAAGATGTAGGAAATCCGAGGAGAGTGAAATAAAACAAGTATAAATTTTCTAATTAAAGAAGGAAAAAGCTAAGATTATTCAGGTAGTACAGAATGGCTGACCTTTCAGTATATGGATCTGAAAGTGCTTGACTGCCAGTAAAGTTGAAATATTGCAGCATTATCTGAGTATTTGTATGTGATTGCAGTTGATAGATGTTCATAGTCTTCAGGTGGATAAAAGGCAGCTGTAGCTGAAAATTAATTTGTAATTTTGGTATTGGCCATCCTATTATAGAACTAGTCTCTTCCATTTATGCTTTTGTTCTATCTATCTATCTATCTATCTATCTATCTATCTATCTATCTATCTATCTATCTATCTTCTCAATCTTTCTCCCTCTCTGGCTGTCTCACCCCATGTTCTTCCCACCCCTGTCTCTCTGTTCCTTTCACTCTCATGCCTCTTTATCTTATTTTTTCCCCATTTCTCTTTTAGTGTTTTCACCTTTCAGGTTCTCTGATGGTTCCCACTCGTATCTCCAGTGCATGTCATATGATGGGTCTTCATTACATTTCTACTGAAATAAAAAAATTTAATTTCATGCCACAAAGTCTTCTCTAAAGTCAAATGTATTGAAACAGAAAGCTGAGAAAGAACAGAAATCTAAGCCTTGGATGTCCATTGGCAGCCAGGACACTGTCTTCCAGCAGTTGGGTGACAGGAGCAGATGGTCTAAAGGTTGGTAAAAACACTTGATTTGTTGCAAAATAGGCAGGAAATCAGAGAATGGACGTGGCTGTTCTCTCGGTAGAAGAATGTAAGGATTACTTAGGGAGAGCCACATATTGAAGAGTGACCATCTATTCAAGTTCATCTCAACAGTTACTGGGGGTCAGAATGTCCAACAGGCTAGGCAGCTAGAGCGCTGAAACAGGCCAAACACCAAGAGGGCAAAAGGAAGAAAAGCTTTAAGAACTCAGTCATCTACTATTAAGACAATAAAGCTCATCAAGAGAGACTGAAACGAATAAGCAACAATGTGCGCCACCAGCAATGATCAGCTTGGCAACTCTGATAAAAAGAGGTGGATCATTTTGAGTGAAGGTGTCAAGATGCTTATGAATCTAAAAGAGACATGACGCATAAAAGCAAGAGGAATAATTATAATCATTATAGTATCTTCAAAAGACATTTTTGACACATGAACCATATGAAAGAATCATAGAATGTTAGAGCTGGAAAGGGCCCTGGAAGCATCTGACCTAATCTCCACCTTTTACAGGTAAGGAAATTAAGGCCCAGAAACATGAAGTGATTTGTCCAAGGACACAGAGGTCATTAGTGAGAGAGAACAAACTGGAATGCAGGTCTCCAAGGCCCAGGCTGCTATTCCAAAAATCCTGTATCCCTGCAATGGGAGTAGTTTTTTAAACAGCCTCACATCAGTTTTCTTAACCACATCTTCACATCAGTTTTCTTAACCACATCTTCACAGGACACTAACCCTTAGAGCTTTGAGGAAGAATTTTATAAAAAGCTTTGGAATGGGGCTGAAAGAGAGGGCATCCAAAGGACCCCAGGTGCATTCAGGACATTTCCTAACCTAAATCTCCTCTGAGATTAGTAAAATGGACATTATTAGCCCCATTCTACAGATGAGGAAGTTTCACTCCAAGACCATACGATGGAATAACATCTTAAATTTCACATGAGATAAATCCTTTGCAATCAATTTTTTTTTTTTTAGAAAAAAATCCTCTAAGTTTTGCAGCACTGGAAGAAATCACTGTTTTGTTGGCTGAGCACCAGATTAGGTAGCAGGCTTTCAGGAAGATGACATGTTGCACAAAACAAATGGACTTTAAATAATACACTTTAAACAATAAAGTTACACCCAGCCTGGGGATGCTCACACTACTGGAGCCATGTGAGAACTCAGACAAACTGAAGGAACAGCAGATTCACATCTTGCTTTTCAACTTCACTCAGAAGTGTGTGCTCTCTAGATGGGCAGGTAGATAGGATCACTCACATCATTTACTTTTTACTCTTCTGTCTCTGTCAACCGTAATTGAAATCTCATAACTTAAACACACCTATAATGCAACTTTAAGCGACTAGCCCAAGTTCACACAGCTAGTGTCATCTCAGACCTACATGTATGTGGTATCTTGAAAAAGTTAATAACTGTTTTTTTTAATTGTAGTAAGAACACTTAATACGAGGTCCACCCTCTTTAACAAAATTTTAAGTGCCCAGTGCAGTGCTGTTAACTGCAAGTTGTACAATGCTGTGCAGCACACCTCTAGAAGTTACTCACCTTGTATAACTAAAACTTTATACCTCTTGAACAGCAACCGTTTCCCCCTCCTCCTGGCACCTGGCAACCACCATTCTATTCTCCGCTTCTGTGAGTTTGACATTTTTAGATCCTGCACAGAAGTGGATTCATGCAGTATTTGTCCTTCTGTGACTGGTTCATTTCACTTTGCACGAAGTCCTCCAGGTCCATCTGTGTTGTCACAAATGACAGGATTTCCTTAAATAAGCAACCTAACTTTATACCTTAAGGAACTAGAAAAAGGGCAAACTAAGGCTAAAGTTAGCAGAAGGTAGAAAATAAGGATTGGAGCAGAAATAGAAAATAGAAAAACAATAGAAAAAAACAACAAAACTGAGTTTGGCTTTTAAAAATAAGTAAAATGGACAAACCCTTAGCCAGACTAAGAAAAAGAGAAGGTTAAAAAAAATTGGAAATGAAAGAGGAGTCATTACAATTGATGCCACAGAAATGAAACGGTAAGAGACTATTATGAACAATTATACACCAACACACTGAGTAACCCAAAAGAAATAAATTCTGTGAAATCCCGTCTCTACTAAAAATATAAAAATTAGCCAGGCATGGTGGCAGGCACCTGTAATCCCAGCTACTGGGGAGGCTGAGGTAGGAGAATTGTTTGTTGAACCTGGAAGGCAGAGGTGGCAATGAGCCGAGGTCATGCCATTGTACTCCAAACTGGCCAACAAGAGGGAAACTGTCTCAAAAAAAAAAAAAAAAAAAAAAAGAAAGAAAGAAATTCTTAGAAACATACAAGCTACCACGATTGAATCATGAAAAAATAGGAAATTTGAACAGAACCAATAATGAAAAGAAAATTGAGCCAGTAATTAAAAAATTTCACAATGAAGAAAATCACAGGACCAGATGGATTCACTGGTGAATTCTACCAAACGTTTAAAAAGAAGTAATATCAATCTTTCTTAAATTCTTGCAATAAATTGAAGGGATACTTCCAAACTCATTTTATGAGGCCAGCATTACCTCGATACCAAAGCTAGATGAAAAAGTATTACACTAAAAGAAAACTACAGGCCAATATCCCTAATGAACATAAATGCAACAATCCTAAAACAAAATGCTAAGAAACAAAATTCAACAGCTCATACAGGACCATATTCCATGATCAAGTGGGATTTATTTTGGGGTGGCAAGGATAGTTCCAACAAACACAAATCAACTGATGTGATATACCACATTAACAGAATGAAGGATGAAAATCACGTGATCATCACGATAGATGCAGAAAAAGCATGACAAAATCCGAAATTCTTTCATGATAAAAACTCTCAAAAAACTACGTACAGAAGGAATTTACCTCAATACAATAAAGGCAACATATAAAAAGCCCATAACTAACATCATACTCAATGGTGAAAACCAGAAAGCTTTTGCTCTAAGATCGGGAACAAGGTAAGGATGCCCACTCTCACCTCTTCTATTCAACACAGTACAGAAAGTATTTATTGTGAAAGGCAAAGTGTGGGAAACCCTGCACTTATAGTTAAGGTACTTTGATATAACACCTAAATCTGATATTTGAAAGCCATGGAACCTTGATCAATGTACCTAACCACTTGAGTTCAGTTTATCTGCAAAATGAGATTATTACTAATATTTTATTGACAGTATGTTACATGGATCAAATGGGATAATGCCAGTTAAAATGATTTGCAAGCTGACAGCCATAACAAAAGCAAGAATTATTATTTTAAAATAATTCTTTTAAAAAATAAAATAGTTTCTGTCTTTGAACTAGTGCTGGAAATGTGATAAGCTTCCCAGCCTATTACTAAGCAAAGAATAAAGACAATTTCACCATATATAAAAGAGCACTACAGCTTTAATACAACAACAACAAAAACCCAGGTTAAAGTTGAGAAAAACATATCAAAACAGATTTGCTTTGCCTTTCTGGTTCTCCCAAACCAAGCTAAGGTGCAGTTTGAGGACTTGCTTTCGGGTATGTTTGACAGCAAGCATGAGCTGGCTTCTCTTTAGGGATGGATATAGCTTTGGTAACCCAATTTTTTAACTGCATGGTTAATTATATTTTCTGAAAACTAGATATTTGTGATTGTGCTCCTGACATGATTTGGACCCCAGTAAATCATTTAGGTAATCAAAATAAATAACTAAATGGTTATTTTTATTTTTGTAATTTAAATCAAAAGAATAGGTGTTGTAATTAGAACACCTATATTTCTGATAGGCATCCCTATCAGAAAGATTTTTATAACATGTATCCCAAGATGTCTTTATTTTACAAAATAATGCACTAATTACTGTACCATTGTGTGCATTATAAACATACCCCAAATTAGAAATCCTCAAAGGATGAAATAACGAATAATATATAGGTAGAAGTTCTAATATTTTCTTTACATCATCCAGTGGATCATCCTGTCTGCCCTCTATCACAGCTACACAGTCTGCTCCTACCCTGACATACATACTCTAGAGACACAGAATTAGACAGTGCTTTGTTAATTAATTAGACAAGCAATCATTAGCTATCCTATTTACTGCCCTAACAGATCAATACGTTTCAAGGATTAAACACCAGGAGATATGTAAAATGTAGCTGTACTGTTTAAAATTAAGTAACCCTAACCAAAAATGAGACCTGTTAAGACTGAAATTAGATTACTTCTATCTCACAATCATCACTGAATAGATGTTACATGAGTTCTGCAACAGCTGAATAAGCGACAGTTAATATTTACCTGAAGCAATTTAACTAAACATTTCTGTGTGGATCTTGTTACAAAGTAAATATTATTTATGTGCTGTTATCCCTGTGCAGAGCGCAGTCAAACCGTGAAACAGTACCTTCATTTAAAAAGAGAAACTCAATAAACCAGACCATTTATATTTCCCAGTTTGATAATAGTTCCCCAAAATGTCAACCCCTAAGAGAAAGATTAGTTCATTATATTGCCTCACTAAAAAAAAAAAATACAGGTTATCTGTCCTTGGGGCATAAAAATATGAAGTCATAGAAGACTCGTGCTACTTTTTGTTTTGGAATATATATTACAAACTATTTTCAATGTACTGGATCAAAACTGTGGAGGAGCTTCCTATGCAACTATTAAACTTACATAAGAAAAGAATACAAATTTAAGTGGGAAAATCTGAAAGTATTTCCTAGAAGAAAAATCAGTATTCTTTCCATTGAAATAAACCCAAATTAATTTGGGAGTCAGAATTCTTACCTTTAAATATGCTATTTAAAAAATCTTGGTGTTGTTCCTGATTTAGCTTATTTTCCTCTGTGCCATCCTGAAATTTAATCTCTCCTTGACTGCAGGAGGCTATGATGTTTAGTAATCATACAAGTGGATATACTCTTTATTTCATTTTACAGAATAGTAAGAGAGAAAAAAAATGACCGATTTTTTTTCTGTGATAAAACAATGTGTACCAATCACAAACTGCCTAATTCATATTCCAAACCAAAGTAGACCCCAGGCAACGCTGTGAAGTCAGCCAAATCCATCCACTGTGTCCTCCCACCTCCCTTTTCAAAGTCTTTTTTCCTCCTGGCACCAAGTGCCCTCCTGCTCTGTCCAAGTGCTCCACAAAATTCAAAGCTCTATTTTAAGAAGAAATTTGGCCCTTCCCAAAGGCACCCCTAAGGCCACCTCCATGCATAATTGGATGGCACTCCATATGGACACAAATACAGAGAGCTCCTGGATTTTCACAATGAGGTGCCACCTGCATCTATGCAACCTAAAACACATGGATCTCTTCTTAATCACTAAAATAGGATATTGGGAACCAATTTGGAAATTCAGCCTCAAACCGAGCAAGCTAAACATTTGGTTGAACCATCTGATATACAAAGAAAGCTTCCCAGGGCCATGTTAATATTTTTAGGCTTCCCAAACTCTATGTCTGTGTTAAGATAAGTCAATTTAAAAGGCAAAATAGTATTTTCTAAACCTACCTCCATATAGAAATGAGTATATTTTGTTAAATTTTATTGTACAGAAAACGTAAAATGAGAAACTCCACATGAAATTGTTTCCACATCATTTCAGAATCTTCATCTACTAAGAAATTGTCCTTAGTTTAATTATTTGTGCCATAAGTCTCTCCCAGAATTTAGTGCTAGGGAAAGTCTGTCCATCCAGATCACCCTCCATAATCAGACAGGACTAAACAACAATAATAATCTTTCCTTTTTTTGCCCGGTATGCTATGGAACTCAGAGTTAAATTTAAAATCTCCAGCTATGATCTTGGCTTTGGCTATTTCTCTCTTAGGTCTTTCAAACGCTTTGCCTTATTAATTCTGAGACTGTTAAACAGTACATATATATGTTATTTAGGATCACTTTTTACTGAAACATGCCTTTTATACTCACGAAATGTTCCTCTTTATCTTTGTAATAACCTTTGTCTTGACATTTTGTTTTGTATTAATATAGCCAAATAAAGTTTTTATACATATTGTTTGCAGAGTATATATTTTCACTTTCAATCTATTTGCTTTTTTTCTAATTAAAATGCACTTCTTGTGACAAGATACACATGGACCTTGGTTTTTATATCCAGTTTGAAAATATATGCCTTTTAATTGAAGTGTTTATACTTAGTGTAATTATCGATATGGTTGGGTTTAAGTTCAATGCTTTTTATTTGTTCCCTCTGTGCATAAAGGGTTGGGGGCAAGTGGTAATCTTACAAATTTTGTGAAGTGTAGGATGGGGAGTTTCAAGTTGTAAAGTAAGAAGTTCGAAGTGTGAAGAAGGATGTGTACAGGGTCAGGTGTGAAGTGATACAATAAACAGGCATCTTAAGCCCCACATTTTAATGTTGTTTTTCTTTCTTTCTTTTAGGAAATTACAAGGATTAAAAACTCACTATACTTAATATTCACCCATTTTTATACCATTTCCAGTGCTCTTCTTTATACCTTTTTTTACTTCATATAGATCTAGAATTTCACCTACTATTATCTCCCTTTATCTAAAAGAATGTTGTCTAGAATCCCCTGTTGTACAAATCTAATGACAAAGGATTATTTCAGCTTTCACTTATTCAAAAATATCTGTAATTTTTATTTTGAGGATATTAGTATATTTATGATGCATATAGTGTTCTGGGCTTACAGTTTTATTTTTCTTTAGCAATTTAATAGTGTCACCAAGTGTCCTGGCTTCCATTGTTTCTGATACGAAATAAGCACTTTTATTTACGTGTAAGTTATCTTTCTTCCTCTGGCTGCTTTAAATATTTTATCTTTAGCTTTGATTTCTCATTGGCTATAGTGTGCCTAGTTATGAATTTCTTTGTGACAAAACACTGCATAACATTTGCTGAGCTTCTTGAATTTGCAAATTAATGTTTTTCAACAATTTGAGACATTTTTAACCATTAGTTTTTCAAATATCTGTATATCCAACTTTAATTCTCTGTTTCTGGAAGTCCTATTCTTCATATTTTGGACCATTTCATATTTTCCCACAGATCCCTGAAGTCTTTCTTCAAACTCTGTCGCATTTGATCTGTACATTGAGTAATTCCTATTGACCTGTCAAGTACACTGATTCTTTCTTCTGCCATCCTCATGTGCTTTTAAGATCATCCAATGAACCCTTCATTCCAGCTTTTGCACTTTGCAGGTCTAGAATTTCGGTTTGGTTTTTTTATTACAGTTTATTTTTCTCCTAAGATTCTCTATATATGCTAAACTCAGACCATGCTTTTTTTTGTGCTTTGAACATATATTGCTTTAGTTCTTTGTACCTATGTATAATATCTTTAAAGTCTTTGTTAAATTCAGCATCTGGGCCATCTCAGGACTGGTTTCTATTGAATGCTTTTTTCTTGATGATGGCTCCTGCTTTCCTGTTTATTTTCATATACATATTATTAATGATACAATGTAGAGAATCTGGTTTCGGTTTTTTTTTTCTGAAGAGTTTTGATTACTTTTTGGCAGGCAGTTCAACTACTGGCTGATGAGCTTAAACTTGTGTGAGCTCTGCTTTATAAAATCTTTGCTAGGATGGATCTCTAGAATGCCCAGTGAATTTCCTAGGTCCCTCTAACGTGGCAAGATTCAGCATCCAAGCTCAGTCATCCTTGAGGATCTCTATCAAGTACTGGTAATTCTAGAGGAGGTCTTACTCTTGGTCATGTCCTTATTGCCAAAGCATGACCCTTCTGGCCTTCTGGTATCTCAGCTAGATGCCCAGAGGTGTTTTCAAGGTACTAACCTAATCTTTTCACTTTGGCAAGACCAGACCTTCAGTGTCCTCCATTCCTACTCACCTTCTAGTATCTCTATTTTGTTCTCAACCCTGTAGCAGCCATTGTCTGGAAAGCACCGTGTGGTCTCTTCCTACATGTGTGCAGCTGAGCCCTGAATCAAGAACTCATGAGCAATATCCATCCACAAAGACTTCTGCAGTCCTCCTGCTGAGCGGCTCCCTCCTGGTGCCTAGCTCCACAGATTCCTGCCAATTCACCTGTCTCGAATTGTGATCTCTACCTCTTCATCTCAGCAGGACCACTGTGCTTTTTCTGGACTCCTGCTCACTGCTCTGCAGTTAGGAAACTGTCTCAGGCAGAAAACAGGGGTGATCATGAAGCTCACCTTTCCTGTTACACTGCCTGTTGTCCAGTAAGTAAAAACCCAATCTATTTGGTCCAGTTTTAAGATTGATTATGGTGGGTTATCTAGTCAGGTACCAGTTGGCTAAAAAGGAAGTGCCTCAGGGTTAAATTTAGTACTCAATTAAAGTAATTAACTGAAGAATTAAGGTGTACCTCTAGCTCTTTTTCTATTTATTTTTTATTCTTTCGAAAAGAATAAATGAATGAAAGAAACCACTTTTCATTCTTTAAGAACTATCTTTTGTAATTATTTTTATATTGTAAGTAGTTGTTCATAAGTGGGGAGCCACAGATCACAAATAAATACTAGCAACCAAATTTATATTTTACTACTTATCATACTGTTTTCAGTAATATAAACACTAAAGTAACATGTAGATCACAAAATCTTTAACTACCAAGAATGTATTTCCCAAGCAAGAGACTACATTTGCCGTATTAATAGGACAGTCATGGATTTTTAGGTCTCTAGTTTCAGAGGAAGCATGACCACTTTGCCTCAGTGACTTAGTTGTTTACTGGCATACTGCAGACCATGGAGGGCAGGAGTGGAAAGGCAGCAGTGAACCAGCTAGTCCATTAAATGCTGACAACAGCAAAGGGTCACAGACAACTCTTGTGGGAAATATTTTTATTTTAGGCCTCAGGTATAAAGTATGAAGAGAATACGATGAGAGAGAGAAGGAGAATGGAAGAGCAAAACAACATTTTGGCAACCACTATTTCACTAACATGGTATCAGTTCCTCTTTGGAAGAGAGGGCAATCCTTGCTTTGCTCATTGGTGTATTTCAAGATTTCTTTATTTCTGGAGACCTACCAGAGATTTTAAATAGTAGAGTCTATATTAGAAATATTACATTCATTTTACTATTACGCAAAGTAAACCAATGAGATATAATGCTAATTATTCACATGATCACTTATTACTTACATTCTATCTACAGTATATGAATATATATATATATATATTTTTCTTTTTTCTTTTTTTTCTTTTTTTATTTATTTATTTTTTTATTATACTTTAAGTTTTAGGGTACATGTGCACATTGTGCAGGTTAGTTACATATGTATACATGTGCCATGCTGGTGCGCTGCACCCACTAACTCGTCATCTAGCATTAGGTATATCTCCCAATGCTATCCCTCCCCCCTCCCCCCACCCCACCACAGTCCCCAGAGTGTGATATTCCCCTTCCTGTGTCCATGTGATCTCATTGTTCAATTCCCACCTATAAGTGAGAATATGCGGTGTTTGGTTTTTTGTTCTTGCGATAGTTTACTGAGAATGATGATTTCCAATTTCATCCATGTCCCTACAAAGGACATGAACTCATCCTTTCTTATGGCTGCATAGTATTCCATGGTGTATATGTGCCACATTTTCTTAATCCAGTCTATCATTGTTGGACATTTGGGTTGGTTCCAAGTCTTTGCTATTGTGAATAATGCCACAATAAACATACGTGTGCATGTGTCTTTATAGCGGCATGATTTATAGTCATTTGGGTATATACCCAGTAATGGGATGGCTGGGTCAAATGGTATTTCTAGTTCTAGATCTCTGAGGAATCGCCACACTGACTTCCACAATGGTTGAACTAGTTTACAGTCCCACCAACAGTGTAAAAGTGTTCCTATTTCTCCACATCCTCTCCAGCACCTGTTGTTTCCTGACTTTTTAATGATTGCCATTCTCACTGGTGTGAGATGGTATCTCATAGTGGTTTTGATTTGCATTTCTCTGATGGCCAGTGATGATGAGTGTTTTTTCATGTGTTTTTTGGCTGCATAAATGTCTTCTTTTGAGAAGTGTCTGTTCATGTCCTTCGCCCACTTTTTGATGGGGTTGTTTGTTTTTTTTTGTAAATTTGTTTGAGTTCATTGTAGATTCTGGATATTAGCCCTTTGTCAGATGAGTAGGTTGAGAAAATTAACAAACTATCTCTCAGACCACAGTGCAATCAAACTAGAACTCAGGATTAAGAATCCCACTCAAAGCCGCCCAACTACATGGAAACTGAACAACCTGCTCCTGAATGACTACTGGGTACATAATGAAATGAAGGCAGAAATAAAGATGTTCTTTGAAACCAACGAGAACAAAGACACAACATACCAGAATCTCTGGGACGCATTCAAAGCAGTGTGTAGAGGGAAACTTATAGCACTAAATGCCCACAAGAGAAAGCAGGAAAGATCCAAAATTGACACCCTAACATCACAATTAAAAGAACTAGAAAAGCAAGAGCAAACACATTCAAAAGCTAGCAGAAGGCAAGAAATAACTAAAATCAGAGCAGAACTGAAGGAAACAGAGACACAAAAAACCCTTCAAAAAATCAATGAATCCAGGAGCTGGTTTTTTGAAAGGATCAACAAAATTGATAGACCGCTAGCAAGACTAATAAAGAAAAAAAGAGAGAAGAATCAAATAGACACAATAAAAAATGATAAAGGGGATATCACCACCGATCCCTCAGAAATACAAACTACCATCAGAGAATACTACAAACACCTCTACGCAAATAAACTAGAAAATCTAGAAGAAATGGATAAATTCCTCGACACATACACTCTCCCAAGACTAAACCAGGAAGAAGTTGAATCTCTGAATAGACCAATAACAGGAGCTGAAATTGTGGCAATAATCAATAGCTTACCAACCAAAAGGAGTCCAGGACCAGATGGATTCACAGCCGAATTCTACCAGAGGTACAAGGAGGAACTGGTACCATTCCTTCTGAAACTATTCCAATCAATAGAAAAAGAGGGAATCCTCCCTAACTCATTTTATGAGGCCAGCATCATTCTGATACCAAAGCCGGGCAGAGACACAACCAAAAAGGAGAATTTTAGACCAATATCCTTGATGAACATTGAGGTAAAAATCCTCAATAAAATACTGGCAAACCGAATCCAGCAGCACATCAAAAAGCTTATCCACCATGATCAAGTGGGCTTCATCCCTGGGATGCAAGGCTGGTTCAATATATGCAAATCAGTAAATGTGATCCAGCATATAAACAGAGCCAAAGACAAAAACCACATGATTATCTCAATAGATGCAGAAAAAGCCTTTGACAAAATTCAACAACCCTTCATGCTAAAAACTCTCAATAAATTAGGTATTGATGGGATGTATTTCAAAATAATAAGAGCTATCTATGACAAACCCACAGCCAATATCATACTGAATGGGCAAAAACTGGAAGCATTCCCTTTGAAAACTGGCACAAGACAGGGATGTCCTCTCTCACCACTCCTATTCAACATAGTGTTGGAAGTTCTGACCAGGGCAATTAGGCAGGAGAAGGAAATAAACGGTATTCAATTAGGAAAAGAGGAAGTCAAATTGTCCCTGTTTGCAGATGACATGATTGTATATCTAGAAAACCCCATTGTCTCAGCCCAAAATCTCCTTAAGCTGATAAGCAACTTCAGCAAAGTCTCAGGATACAAAATCAATGTACAAAAATCACAAGCATTCTGATACACCAACAACAGACAAACAGAGAGCCAAATTATGAGTGAACTCCCATTCACAATTGCTTCAAAGAGAATAAAATACCTAGGAATCCAACTTACAAGGGATGTGAAGGACCTCTTCAAGGAGAACTACAAATCACTGCTCAAGGAAATAAAAGAGGATACAAACAAATAGAAGAACATTCCATGTTCATGGGTAGGAAGAATCAATATTGTGAAAATGGCCATACTGCCCAAGGTCATTTACAGATTCAATGCCATCCCCATCAAGCTACCAATGACTTTCTTCACAGAATTGGAAAAAACTACTTTAAAGTTC
Source organism: Homo sapiens (assembly GCF_000001405.40). Classification (NCBI taxonomy): domain Eukaryota; kingdom Metazoa; phylum Chordata; class Mammalia; order Primates; family Hominidae; genus Homo; species Homo sapiens. The sequence goes on from NC_000007.14 coordinate 103,874,868, forward strand.
ATATGGAACCAAAAAAGAGCCTGCATTGCCAAGTCAATCCTAAGCCAAAAGAACAAAGCTGGAGGAATCACACTACCTGACTTCAAACTATACTACAAGGCTACAGTAACCAAAACAGCATGGTACTGGTACCAAAACAGAGATACAGATCAATGGAACAGAATAGAGCCCTCAGAAATAACGCCGCATACCTACAACTATCTGATCTTTGACAAACCTGAGAAAAACAAGCAATGGGGAAAGGATTCCCTATTTAATAAATTGTGCTGGGAAAACTGGCTAGCCATATGTAGGAAGCTGAAACTGGATCCCTTCCTTACACCTTATACAAAAATCAATTCAAGATGGATTAAAGATTTAAACGTTAGACCTAAAACCATAAAAACCCTAGAAGAAAACCTAGGCATTACCATTCAGGACATAGGCATGGGCAAGGACTTCATGTCCAAAACACCAAAAGCAATGGCAACAAAAGCCAAAATTGACAAATGGGATCTAATTAAACTAAAGATCTTCTGCACAGCAAAAGAAACTACCATCAGAGTGAACAGGCAACCTACAAAATGGGAGTATATGAATATATTTTTGACTAACAAATTCCAAATTCCAAACATCTTAACAGACTACATTTTTGAAATACTGGTCAAACATTAAATATAGGTTGGCACTATACTTAACAGATATTTAATGTGTTACACCAGAAAGATGCTAAATATCAATTGTAATCTAAGCAAACTTAAAATGCTGTTTTAAAACTACCAGGTGGATATAAACCTACGACTTACTTCTTAAATGACCACGGCAAAAGAAAATATACATAAGACTTAGGGATTTTTTTCAGGCATAGTCTGGAAATGTCAAAGATTGCAACCAGTTAAAACTCAAAACCCTGAATCTGTCTTTCATAATTGATGAATGGAAATCACCTTGGGACCTGCTAAATGAAATTTCCTTGGAGAAAGATGATTCTGAAATGATTCAAGAGAATGAAATTTCCTTGCAGTAAGATGATTCTGAAGAGATTCAAGAGGCTTAGGGCATAATTCATATTTTAAGCACATGTGAGAGACAACCCCCAAGAGTCAATGCAACATCACAGAAAAGCCACTTCCCTGCAAGCATTCTTGAGGAAGCATTCTAAAGACAACATAAAAACAGGAATTCCCAAGTAACCACTATGTTCTTGTTGCAGGGTGGAAATTTCTTTGTTTGATTATGTACTCCTAAGGGGCTATGAATTCTAGTTTCTGTCTTTCACTTTCTCTAACAATTGGTCATTACTGATACTTTTTTTAGGAATAACTTGTACGGAAAGATGAAAAGAAAGGCATTTTATTAAGGAATTCAATTAAGATGAAACGTTAGAATGTATCTTTTTTACCCCTGCAAATACATTAGCTTCATCCTCTAAATACAGATGTCTGTGAAAGGCCATACACAAGGGGAGGCTCACACAAGATAAAGATATGGAGCAGTAATTTGGGGGTTTATCATATTGTTGAAAGCTCTGAACACACACACAAATAAAATTACTATTTTCCTCAATCACAGTTACCTCCTGTCCTTCCAAAAGTATTTATTGGTCTATGCACTTTTGTTCATGCTTAAATATATAAAGCACAAAATACTATCAAATATGTTATTACTAACATTAAGCTTTTATTGCTCTTGTTTCTTCTATTGACATTAGTAATACTTTATATTATAATTACACTAAGCATTAATAGGGTAAAGCCTGATGCATGGTTGATTTTATTTGCACTGTGTGAACATGTGACTTACTAATCTCCGTCTAAAAAGTTTGATAATGAGAGCTCTTTTCAGAAATATACTATGTGATGCTTAATGCTAACTTAAAAATCCTCATTCAAAATATAAAAAAATTATCAGAACACATGATAAAATGTCTGCTCTTTTTTTTAAAAAAAAGAATGAAAAACTCTTGGTTAAAAAGCACTACTTTAGGCTTAAATTTTTTTTTTTCAAGTCAGTTACTTTCACTTATTGCTTTCTCGATAGAGAAAATCTAACTCAAGGTCACTAACAGCCTCTATGCTGCTAAGCCCTATGGACACTTTTCAGGCTTTACTTCACTTGATTTCTCCATAGCTTTGACCTCCTCACTCCCTCACCCCTTCTGGAAATGCTCTCTTCCTCAGCCTCTGGGATATTCCCCTATGCCCTCACCCAGTGTCTTCTATCTCTTACCTGTCTCTTCTCAGGGCTGTTTGCAAATTCCTGTTCTGTCTCTCCCATAAATATTGGTACACCTCAGAATTTAACACACACCTCACCTCTCTTCTCCCTTTCTCCTGCAGGGTGATCTCATCTACTCCTATGGCTTTACTTGTCATCTATGGAAAACAGTTCATTTCCAAGTTTATATCTCAGGCCACAAACCTCCCCTGAGCTCCTTACAGTTGCATATTGGACACTTCCATTTGAATATCCCAACATGTCTGCCTCAATTTATTTGCTCATGATGTGCTCCCTGCCAGAGTGAAGATCATCACTTTATACTCAAGTCAGAAACCTGAGCCTTACTTTTGACCCTTGACTCTCCTTCAACTCCAGCTTCCAAAATTGTAGATTTTATTTCTGTAATATTTCTTAAGTATATGCACTTCTCTCTATTCCCTCTGCCACCATCTTGGCTCAGCTCTTCTTTCTTTCCTGGATTACTGCTGAGTCTCCCTCTTCCATTCCTGACCTTCTCGATTCAATTCTCCAGATTTTTCTAAAGTGCAAATTCATCATACAACTTCCTTGCTAAAATATCAAGTCCAACTCCCTAGTATAACCCATAAGACCCTTCAAAGTCTGACTCTAGTTTTTTTCTCAGGACTCCATCTTCCATCTCTTCTCCAGCCATCCTAAACTCCTTCCAGTTATTCAAACTGCAGTACTCTCTCCTGCCTCCAGGCCCTCCCTTCTTCCTTCGTCCTTCCTCCTCCTCCTTCTTCTTCTTCCTTTTCTCTGTCTCTCCCTGCCTTTTTTTTTTTTTTTTTTGAAAGGGTCTTGCTCTGTACCCTGGCTGGAGTGCAGTGGTACAATCTTGGCTCACTGCGACCTCTGCCTCCTGACTTCAAGCAATTCTCCTGCCTCAGCCTCCCAAATGGCTGGGATTACAGGCATGCACCAACACGCCCAGCTAATATTTTGTATTTTTAGTAGACATAGGGTTTTGCCTTGTTGGCCAGGCTGGTCTTGAACTCCTGGCCTCAGGTGATCTGCCCACCTTGGCCTCCCAAAGTGCTGGGATTACAGGCGTGAGCAACTGTGCCCAGCCTGGTCCCTCTTTTTAAAACACCACTCTCTTACCTGATCCCTCAATTTCACACCCACAATTAAGCATCCTTTATGACTCAGCTGAGAAGAAACTCTGCCCCTCTTCTATCCTCCTAATGTAGGATTTGTTCTTACCCTGACATTTGTACAGCCACTTTACCCTCAAGCTACCACTGTGACTTAGTCAACATTGTATCTTTGATGTCTACTTTGATAAATACTTACCAAATTGTGGGATATTTATCAATTATTGGTGTTTATCTCCTTCTCCCAACTTCTAGGTATACATATCTCAGAACTGTTCCTGAGAAGTGGCTCATCCAGTAATGTGATGGAGGGGTCACTGCCTGCTCTAGAAACAAGAGTAGGTGTTCACTAGAGACCTCACCTGGGGCGCTGACTAGAGGTGTGTGAATGGGGCTCCAGCAATGCAGGCTCTGGCACACTGATGGGAATGAATGCATGACAAAAATTCCTTCTTCAAAAAAGTTAGCTCCAACAGATATATCAAAAATTACACAATCATTTGTACCCAGGATGGGGGGCAGGATATCAAAACACTAGAATTCAGTAAAGAAATAATGTCTAATTTATTTCCTTGTCTTCAAGTAGATTCCCAAAGTCCTTTTAAAAATATCTGTCTAAATGTTTGCTTCCAACAGAATATATGCTTCTGACTGCAGACCTAACCCAGATTGATTTTCCATTAGTTACCCATTTCCTGACAAGCAGGCAGATAATCAGAGTTTGGTTCTACTCTTGGTCAATCTTCAAACACTAGACTTGGAGTGAAGTCATAACTCAGGCTTTTACTAACAAAGTGAACCTCAGGCTGAGACCCTAATGCTTATCAATGCAAAGGAAAACAGACATGTCTAAGCTGTTTTGAATTTCAAGCTATGTGTAAACTATTGTTAACTACATCCTCTTCAGACATGAAAAGGAGTATAACTTTATGGTTAAGAGGCTGAGCTCTGCAGTTAGAGAGGTCCAGATCCTAATCTCAGTTAATTACCTGTATGATTTTGGGTAGGTAACTCAAACTCTCCTAGCTTTAATTTTTACACAGATTATATCTCTTTCAAAGTATTTTTTAATAGAATAATTGAGCTAATACACACAAAGTGCTTAGCACAATACCTGAAACAAGTGTTAGCAACCTTAATCATATTGCTACTGTTCCCTCCTCTTATGTTTTACAAGTCAGGCAGAGATAACTGGAGTTATCAAGGGTAGAAAGAACATCTCTGTTTTTAATGTTCTGATGTTTGAATGAAGTGCTATTGGATTGCCTACCACAGTGAGGGAACCAAACCACACTTTCATATTCCACTGGAGGGAATATTCAGTCTTCCTAATGCCAAAACATTTGTTTCACATTTATTCAGAGGAGAGAATGACCTGCCAAAACACCAACAACTAGGCTTCCTGCAACATGTGAATAGATCTGACAGGTGTCTCCATTCCAAACACTGACCAGGCCAGTGGTAGCTAGAACAGATGGCCCAGTCTGCAACATACGCATTTTCATCATTTTGCAGTTTCTCACAGGTGCTGGGAGTGGGTGGGATAACTCAGTGTTTTCTAATGTTTGGATAACCTTGACTGCTGTCTTTCCCACAGGCCAGTTTTCTTTAGGACATATTTTAATTTTTTAATATGTGACAACTAAAGCACTGGTAGGAAAAATAAAAACATTTTTCTAAAAACTGAGCTTGCACATGTATAATCATGCAGCTGGCTTCTTCCCAGCCATCATTAATTTTTTTTTCCCTTGGGCCATTTTTCTCACCTACATATCATTGCAATGTTTATCAAAATATCACAAAAACTGCTTGTAAGCATTTTCCACAAGCTAGGCTTAATGTGTGTTTAAATAAGACATTCCCCCTTTTCTGAAATGAAAAACTACAAAAATACCATCATTCTGCCCAACAGTAGCCAAGGCTGAGCCCACTTGTTCTTCATCTCTGTTACTTCCAGACTAAAACAGATGGCTGATTTAAGAAGCAGGTGATGTTAACATCCACCATCACAAGCAGAAAGACAGCAAAGCATGCCTAAGTAAAAAAGCTTACACATTCTTGGTGTAATTTATTAGTAGCTTTCATTTAGAACTTGAAAAAAGGTTTAAAACATAGAATAGAATTTTATAAATGCAAAAACTTCACATCTTTTTAAAGCTATTTTTGCTATTATTTTATTTTTAGCTCATCTGTGATGCAGATCATGAGTCATTACCATTATAAAGCTGCTATTTCAAATGTGAGAAAACTAAGGCGCCAATAATTATAGGTTATATATATTCAATGTCCAGTTCATTTGTCTAAATTCAGTGGAAGAGTCCCTCCTTTGTCATCATCATCATTATCGCTGTGTATAGTGATTAAGAGCACGAGCTCTGACAAGGGGGACCAAGGTTCAAATTTCTGCTCCTTTTCTTCTTAGCTGTATGGCCTGGAACAAGATGCTTAACTTCTCTGAGTTTCAATTTCCTCATCCAGAGGCCTAATAAGCACTTAATAATGTATTTCTTCTTCTTTTTTATTTAGACAGAGTCTACCTCTGTCATGCAGGCTGGAGTGCAGTGGCAGTGGCACAATCACGGCTCACTGCAGCCTCAACTTTCTGGGCTCAAGCAATCCTACCACCTCAGCTTCCCGAGTAGCTGGGACTACAGGCATGTGCCACCATGCGCAGCTAATTTTTTTTCTAGTTTTTGTAAAGATGGGGTTTCACCATGTTGTCCAGGCTGGTCTTGAACTCCTGAGCACAAACAATTCACCCACCTTGGCTTCCAAGTGCTGGAGTTACAGGTGGAAACCACCACACCCAGCCTATTTCTTACCATTTATCAGTTACTATTAATGTAATATTAAAGCATGCCAAGGACTCTTTCATCTTAAGCAAACAAACCAACTCTCTCCACCCTCATCTTACTGTAGCTACTGCTCTCTTTTTTCTTTCTTTCAATTCCCTACCACCTATTAAGTGCTCTATCCATTGTAATGTGGCTTCTGCTTCTACAAAAACTGGCCTTAACAAGGCCACTGAGCACCACTTCTCATTGCTAAATGTAATGAACACTTTCCATTCCTCATCTTTCTTTATCTCATTACAGCATTTGACCCTGTTGGTCACGTTATCCTAATTATAAAACTCTTCCTTTGATTTTGGTGATAACCCTCTCCTGATTTCCTTTCCTACCTTACTATGCCTGGCACTTCTGATTTCCTACAAACTCCTCTTCCTCCACATTCTTAACTGTTGGCATCATCATCAGAGACAGAAAGAGCTTTAGGTTCAACAAACCTAAAGCTCTTTCTTTATTTCTGCACCCCTTCTTGCTGCCCCTTTATGTCATTGACCTACTTCCAGTTCCCTGAATGCATCATGTTGTATCCTGTTTGTCAGCCTTCCAAATGACACTTCTTTTTGTTATGTTCTTTTTCCTCCCTTCACTTGTCCTCTGTATTTGTCCTTCAAAACTCAGCTCAAGCATCACCTTATGCTCCAGCCATTCCAGCAGAGACACCAGATTTGCAAGTGAAAAAGTAACGTCATCTCGGATGTTCCACCCTCAGCAGATGCCTCATGGAACACAGACAAGCTAACTCAAGAAGCCCTGCCCAAAGTAAAACATCACGAATGAATAAATGTTACTGTTTTAAGCAACAAGGTTTTGGGTGGTTTACTAGGCAGCAATGGATATACAAAACACCCCCAAGCCCACTGGATTTTAAGCTCCTAAAAGGCAGAATCATGTTTCATTGAATATTGTATTAAAACCAATGCATCCCCTGGTTCATGAAGTGCCAATGAATGAATGAATCAATCAATCAGTCAAACAACCAACGAATCAACTAACCAATGAATGAGCGAGTCCATCAACCAAAGCTCCCTAAATGTATTCTTTCTACCTTATTTTAATTAAATGATTCTCTGAACCAAAGCACAGGGAAGCCAACAAAATGAAAGAAAAGGAGAAATAATGAAAATAACTAATGCTATGTTAAACTGCTGTTTCTGGAGCAACTTTCCAATCTAAATCTCTAGCTCTGATCTCTATCATAACTACAGTCTCACTTCTGTTTCCTATACATATTTGCTCTTGAGTGTGTCCCTGCTCTTTAACCTCAAAATTCAACTGCTACAAACCCTAAAACCAGGGCCTATTTGATCATTCTGGCTATATTACTATGACTCTTCATTCTCTAAATCTCAGTTATCTTTGAATGGGATAATTATTTATCTCCCTATCAATATATCCAGGCTTTAGTTCTCATCAATTTGGGTCCGTAAATTTTTTTTTATTTTTTGTATTTATCCTGTCCTTTAAAAATCCTCCTGCCTGCTGGTTTTTTTGAAAATCTTATCAAAATAGGTAAACCGCTAACCAGAATAATAAAGAGAAAAGAATCAAATAGACACAAAAAAAAATGATAAAGGAGAGATCACCACTGATCCCACAGAAATATAAACTACCATCAGAGAATACTATAAACACATCTACACAAATAAACTAGAAAATCCAGAAGAAATGGATAAATTCCTGGACACATACACCCTCCCAAGACTAAACCAGGGAGAAGTTGAATCCCTGAACAGACCAAAAACAAGTTCTGAAATTGAGGCAGTAATAGCCTACCAGCCAAAAAAAGCCCAGGAGCAGACGGATTCACAGCCGAATTCTACCAGAGGTATAAAGAGGAGCTGGTACCATTCCTTCTAAAACTATTCCAACAAAAGAAAAAGAGGGACTCCTCCCTAACTCACTTTATGAGGCCAGCATCATCGTGATACCAAAACCTGGCAGAGACACAACATAAAAAGAAAATTTCAGGCCAATATCCCTGATGAATATTGATGCAAAAATCCTCAATAAATTATTGACAAACCAAATCCAGCAGCACATCAAAAATCCTATCCACCACAATCAAGTTGATTTCATCCATGGGACGCAGGGCTGGTTCAACATATCCAAATCAATAAACGTAATCCATCACATAAACAGAACCAATGATAAAAACCACATGATTATCTCAATAGGTGCAGAAAAGGCCTTTGACAAAATTCACCACCCCTTAATGCTAAAAACACTCAACTGGGTATTGATGGAACATATCTCAAAATAATAAGAACTATTTATGACAAACCCACAGCCAATATCATACTGAATGGGCAAAAGCTGGAAGCATTCCCTTTGAAAACCGGCGCAAGACAAGGATGCCCTCTCTCACCACTCCTATTCAACATAGTATTAGAAGTTCTGGCCAGGGCCATCAGGCAAGAGAAAGAAATAAGGGGTGTTCGAATAGGAAAAGAGGAAGTCAAACTGTCTCTGTTTGCAGATGACATGATTGTATATTTAGAAAACCCCATCGACTCAGCCCAAAATCTCCTTAAGCTGATAAGTAACTTCAGCAAAGTCTCAGCATACAAAATCAATGTGCAAAAGTCACAAGCATTCCTAAACACCAATAAAAGACAAACAGAGAGTCAAATCATGAGTGAACTACCATTCACAATTGCTACAAAGGGAATAAAATACCTAGGAATACAACTTACATGGGACATGAAGGACCTTTTCAAGGAGAACAATAAAACACTGCTCAAGGAATAAGAGAGGACACAAACAAATGGATTAACACTCCATGTTGCTGGATATGAAGAATCAATATCGTGAAAATGGCCATACTGCCCAAAGTAATTTATAGATGCAACACTATTCCTGTCAAGTTGCCATTGACTTTCTTCACAAAATTAGGAAAAACTACTTTAAATTTCAGATGGAACCAAAAAAAGTCCATATAGCCACGACAATCCTAAGCAAAAAGAGCAATGCTGGAGGTATGATACTACCTAACTTCAAAGTATACTACAGGGCTACGGTAACAAAAACAGCATGGTACTGGTACCAAAACAGATATACAGACCAATGGAACTTAACAGAGGCCTCAGAAATAATGCCACACATCTACAACCATCTGATCTTTGACAAACCTGATAAAAACAAGAAATGGGGAAAGGATTCCCTATTTAATAAACGTCATTGGAAAAACTGGCTAACTATGTGCAGAAAACTGAAACTGGACCCCTTCCTTACACCTTACACAAAAATTAGTTCAAGATGGATTAAAGATTTAAATGCAAGACCTGAAACCATAAAAACCCTAGAAGAAAACTTAGGCAATACCATTCAGGACATAGGTATGGGCAAAGACTTCGTGTCTAAAACACCAAAAGCAATGGCAACAAAAGCCAAAACTAACAAACGGGATCTAATTAAACTAAAGAGCTTCTGCACAACAAAAGAAACTATCATCAGAGTGAACAGGCAACCTACAGAATGGGAGAAAATTTTTGCAATCTGTCCATCTGACAAAGAGCTAATATCCAGAATCTACAAAGAACTTAAACAAATTTACAAGGAAAAAACAAACCACCCCATCAAAAAGTGGGTGAAGGATATGAACAGACACTTCTCAAAAGAAGACATTTATGCACCCAACAAAAATATGAAAAAAAGCTCTTCATCACTGGTCATTAGAGAAATGCAAATCAGAACCACAATGAGATGTCATCTCATCCCAGTTAGAACAGCAATCATTAAAAAGTCAGGAAACAACAGGTGCTGGAGAGGATGTGGAGGAATAGGAACACTTTTACACTGTTGGTGGGAGTGTAAACTAGTTCAACCATTGTGGAAGACTGTGACGATTCCTCAGGGATCTAGAACCAGAAATACCATTTGACCCAGCAATCCCATCACTCGGTATATACCCAAAGGATTATAAATCATTCTACTATAAAGACACATGCACACATATGTTTCTTGCAGCATTGTTCACAATAGCAAAGACTTGGAACCAACCCAAATGCTCATCAATGATAGACTGGATAGGCAGGCATAGTGGCTCACGCCTGTAATCCAAGCACTTTGGGAGGCCGAGGCAGGCGGATTATGAGGTCAGGAGATCAAAACCATCCTGGCTAACACGGTGAAACCCCATCTCTACTAAAAATACAAAAAGTTAGCCAGGCATGGTAGCGGGTGCCTGTAGTCCCAGCTACTTGGGAGGCTGAGGCAGGAGAATGGCGTGAACCCAGGAGGTGGAGCTTGCAGTGAGCCAAGACAGCACCACTGCACTCCAGGCTGGGCGACAGAGCAAGACTCCATCTCAAAAAAAAAAAATTATAGACTGGATAAAGAAAATGTGGCACATATACACCATGGAATACTATGCAGCCATAAAAAAGGTTGAGTTCATGTCCTTTGCAGGGACATGGATGAAGCTGGAAACCATCAGTCTCAGCAAACTAACACAGGAACAGAAAAACCAAACACCACATGTTCTTACTCATAAGTTGGAGTGGAACAATGAGAACACATGGACACAAGGAACGGAACATCACACACCGGGGCCTGTTGTGGGTTGGGGGACTTAGGGAGGGATACCATTAGGAGAAATACGTAATGTAGATGACGGGTTGATGGGTGCAGCAAACCACCATGGCACAAGTATGCCTATGTAACAAACCTGCACGTTCTGCACATGTATCCCAGAACTTAACGTACTTTTAAAAAAGAAATCCTCCTGCTCCATCATAGTTCACACTCTCATTACCCACTACTCTAATAGCTTTCTAAATGCCTTACAAGTTTTAAATGTCTAACAATTAAAATGTTGCGTTGAGATACTTACATTTCCAAGTAATGAAGTGTCCAACCTAAAGTGCTTTTATAACTTAAACATTTAATGTCAGGCTAAGTATGCTTTTTAAAAAAAGAAAAAGAAGAAATGGTGATTATTTTAATCACCATTTTTCTCTTCCAAAAAGAAGTTATATTATTTGTAACGGTGAAAGTAAATAGATCTTAAAAACAATTTATGTGAAGTGACTAAATATTAGAGACCATTATTTTATGAGTTGTGTTTATGAACAGTACTATTAGGATAGGTGATAGATGATGACTCCACTGAGGAAGCAATTTAAACTTGTTTTTGTTATTCTTAAAGCCAAAATGAAATAGGCAAAAGGAAAGGGAAAAAAACCTACATTGGGACCCCATCTCTTTGGTATACATGAGTTTAACCTTTGTTAATAGGATAGAGAACTCATTATTCATATCAAAAGGAAATGGACAAACATTTTATGCCTGATAAGATTTTTTTCTTTATGCATCAAATTCTTTAAAGGATATCCAACTGAAAGATATTCTTCATCGTGGGAAGTTTGGAGAAGGGATTTATCCATATGCTAAAATCTATCAAAGCTATTTTGTGATTCTGTACTAACAAAAGGTAACCCCAATTAGCCTTTTTCAATCAAGGGATTATCTTTCATGTCCAAATTAATGCACATCTTGATTTTAAGCAATGGTGAATTATTTGCTTTGTGTGAACATGAAAGTCATCTTGATATTCAGAACAGAAAAAAAGTAATTCTAATTAAGTAAATCCCATAATGTTATAATCTTATCTAAAAAACAGCTGTGAGATAAGGATACCTGTTGGTGAACTAACAATTGTGATAACAATTAAGGTCACCTAAATTTATCAATCCCTAATGAAATGTCATATTTTCCAGCCAATGTAAGAATGTATCTCATGGCCAATAATAATTCTATACTCACAATGTATTTGTCTTCATAATAGGTCCTACAGAGTATATACTTTTAGGCAGCCACCACCCTTGAACTCACTTGCTAGCAACCTAGTAAAGATAGAAAGTGGACAGGAGGAAATTAAGAAGAGGAACAGACAAATACATGTAGCAGGATAATATACAAATAAAACTATGAAAAAGATAACATAAAAACCAGCACAAAGTGATTTTCTGTTTCATGCAGATGTATATATCCAGATTACTACTGAGAGGTCTTTATTAATTAACAGAATAGTTACTCCAAAGCCTCTGCTTGTTCTCATCCTTGGACAATTCTGGCAATTTAATTGCCAAGGAAGAAGCATGTCTGCCTTAACACAAGGTGGCTGCTAAAGAGCTGAAATAGAGTTTGGGGGAATTTAGAAACTACTTCCTCTTCAGCTTCACTATTTGACACCCCAGACAGCCTCATGATTTACACCAATCTTGGTGTTGGCTGATTAACAGTGACACGGAAGTGAGGATTAGTTATCTACCTTATGATGGGCCTCAGGAGGGTCTCGGTTCATAGGCCCTAGCCATTGCACGTCAAAGGATGCAGAATGGAGGTGTCTGCTCCTGGTACAACACACAAGATCAAACCAAAAGATGAGTTGCAGAAGAGAGGGAAGTTTGCATGGATGGAAGGATACTAACTCAAATATTGGCAACTGAAAGGGAAATTACATAAGGGACATCCAAAGTGCAAACAGAGGATTGGGTCTCCTGTGCAATAAAAATTCAAAAGAAAAATGAGGTGGGGGTGTAACACGATCATGATTTACAGTCCACTCTGGCTATGGCAGATGGGATGAGAGAATTAGGAACTGGATGTTATATGAGTAAGAGATTTCTGTGGTCAGACATGAGATCAACACAGTCTAGAAAAGAAGGGGATACAAGAAATGTCAGATGGGGAGGAGGTGCCCTGTCTTTCCCCTAATTAAAGTGTTTTGGTGTGTACATGGGTGTCTTGGTGGAAAGGAAGATGGGTAGTAGGATTTAATGAAGAAGCACCAGAACTGGGGAAGTTCTTCCATTTCCTTCCCTTTGACATTTTCAGAAGAGTTCTAGGAAGAACATGCTCATCTCTCATTACATACAGCCATAAAATGGCAAAATAACTAGGATAGAACTAGCCCAGGGAGTTCCAGGGAAAACCCTTGGTGACATGGATCAACTGTGCTCCTTTTGTGCTTAGAAGTTAGTGAAGAAACAGTAACTAGACTCAGACTGCCAGCATTTTCACTACCTTACCCTGCCCTGTAGGGGCTCTCTATTGCTTCCAGATAACCCTGGACATCATGGGAGTTCTAACTCATCCTCCAGTCTGTCTCAAAAATTTATACAAATGCTCTTTCCCCTAAATAAAATTTCCTGGTCTCCCAAACTGACATCTGGACCTGAGCTCTTTTATACCAGCTCTTTTAAGAAAAAAAAATATATATATATATATCACCCGAGAACCTGAAATCAAGTAAGTATTTATGAAGTGAAGGTATAGAGAGACCTAGAGAGGAATCACAAGAAACTGCTCTTGCTCTCCCCACCTTACCAGGCAACTTTATTAGCCTCTTCCCACAGCTGGGGCTTGGACCAAGAACCTGAGATTGGCCACTGAAAGCCACAGGAAATTCCAAAAGCTGAATCAGAAACTACTTTAGTGTTTATATTTCCTCGATGATAGTACACTTATAAACAACTTTTGGCACCACCTAATCCCATCTGATCATTTAACAAGGTTTCTAAGGACCATTTATTTAGCATTTTGCTAAAGAGATGGCCTCAAAATCTAGTAAAGAAGACTCCCTGGCAGAGCCACTACTTGCCTGTCCTTGGCCTTCGTAGAAAGTATAAAGATACCCCCATCTCCATCAAGGAAGCCCCATGATGCCACAGCTTGGTAATCCATGAGTGTATTCTCCTAACAGACACAGGCCTGCACCAAAGCAGAAGACTTGGCAAGCACAACATGAGCCAGATTTCAGCCCCACTTGTCAGGAGGCTTAAAGCACAAACTACACAACACTGCGAGGCAGCACTCCGTTTCCCAGATCCCAACCACTTGCACTACATCTCCGGATGACTCCTGCTGACCCACACTTATCATCCTGGATTTCTGGTTCTCAGATCCCAGGAGGGTTCTGACATTCTCACTTGGCCTGCTAATCACTGACCCCAACTCATGACCTCAACATGCAGAGGACTCATGCACTGCAGCTCCTTGTTCTGACCCTTGTCAACCAGCTCTGTTTCTGACGAGAGAAAATGCAGAGGCCAAAACAGCCAATTATAGAAACTTATCAAGGGTGATTGTGTCAGGAGCAGAGAGACCGTTTATACCATCTTTTAACTATTCTAAACCCTAAGATCCCAGACTGCTTTAGAACATGAAAACAATCTATACTTCATGCAATGTAAGTAAAACACTCTTGCTTTTCTGATATCACACCTTTAGGAGGTGATCAGCTTTGCTGGCAGCTCCTGAGCTACACGGGAATGTTCATGGCAAGAAGTTGGCCAATTCTACCCATTAAGAGCACTGACAACAGAGGACAGAAGGTCAGCCACCCTTATTTCTCTTTTGGGAATGCTACCAAGAACTTAATGTGTAACTTACGAGTTAAAGTGCATAACTCACGGAAAGTGTGAAAAGCCATATACAATTTTATACTTCTGAGAGTCAAGAGGGTTTAGTGAGCCTAGCGTAAGGCTACCAGAGGGAAATCTTTTTACTTTTCAGTCACCGTTGATACAAACGGGCTTAGATGGAGTCAGAGCCACTCCTTCCCCAGAAGATACTACATCTTCTCCAGCATTATCTTATTCTTTCCACCTGACAGATTGAGAAAGGGGGGCAGGGCAGGCAGAGACACTGAAACTACAAAGGGGTTTGACACTGTAAATATTGAGGAAGGTTCTGTCAAACAAGTAAGTTTTCTACAGTTATCTACAAAGACTCAAACACTCCCTTGTTAGAGGAAAATAAGACACTATAAAAAGCACCAACCCTAAAATCCTAGCATAAAACCAGGCACTAGAAACATTTTCCCAACCTCCTCCAAGCAGGTAGCACAACACAGAATTTGTGCCAGCTAAAAACGTGACCTTTCCAATTCTGATTTAGTTGGCAGTTTTAGTGTGGAGTTCTCTGAACTCTGGCCAAATAGTTACCACCAAATGAATTCTTTTTTCAGTTCTGTGAACTTTTTGTTAATGCACCCCTCCTCTCTCACGTTTGACTTCACTCCAGCCCTTCCATGGCACCTCTGGCAAACACTTTTGCAGTCTGCTCATCACTATGTCTCTGGTTTTCTTCTCCTATGTCTTACAGGTCTTCACCATTGATACTGCAGTTATACCTATGTCTTGGATCTGCATAGGCACTCTGAACTTTTTTTTTTTTTTTTAAGGTTTTTCTTTCCAGTTAAGCAAGACGGTCAATTCTTCTCATTGCAGCTTTGGCCCAATGTGTCCATCAGACTGTAGAAGATTGTCATTGGGATTCACACTATAACAGGTGTCCCCAACTGCAGGGCCACGGAGCAGTAGTGGTCCCTGGCCCATTAGGAACCAGGCCACACAGCAGGAGGTAAGGTGAACAGCCTGAGCTCTGCCTCCTGTCAGATCAGCAGAAGCATTAGATTCTCACAGAAGCACAAACCCTATTGTGAACTGCGCATGCAAGGGATCTAGGTTGTGTACTCCTTACGAGACTCGAACAATAAATGTAATGTGCTTGAATCATCCCCCAAACCATCCCCACCCCCTACTGTCTGTGGAAAAATCATCTTCCAAGAAACTAATCCCTAGTGCCAAAAAGGTTGGGGACCGCTGCACTATGATACTCAATTAAGGGGGACACCAGGGCCTTACAGCATTTAAGCAATCAAGCCTCCTATATAAGCACCAGGCCATGGTAGGACCCCAGAGTCCTGTCCTGTCTCTGAATCACAAAGTGGGTAGCAGCAATTGAAAGTGGAATTCCATTGTCCAGGCACGATGGCCCACGCCTGTAATCCCAGCACTTTGGGAGGCTGAGGCGGGCAGATAATGAGGTCAGGAGTTCGAGACCACCCTGACCAACATGGTGAAACCCCGTCTCTACTAAAAATACAAAAATTAGCTGGGCATGGTGGTGCGCACCTGTAATCCCAGCTGTAATCCCTCAGGAGGTTGAGGGAGGAGAATCGCTTGAATCTGGGAGGCAGAGGTTGCAGTGAGCAGAGATCACACCATTGCACTCCAGCCTGAACAACAGAGCAAGACTCTGTCTCAAAAAAACAAAACAAAACAAAAAACAAAAAGAAAGTGGAATTCCATCCAAGTGTTTATTTGCTAGAGAAGACATTAACAACTGACATCTAGCTGGGTCATCATTTTCTCTAAAAAGTCTTCCTCACCCATTCTGCTTGAGCTAGAATAAACTCTTCCATCTTAAAAACAACACTGTTCATCTTAGACACTTTAGGGCTTATATTAATTGGGATTATATGCATGAAACTGGTTTGTAAATTACAGCATATCATACTAATGTTCTGGTCAGGATGGTGATTCTTATCTTATTGTGCTGGCCATGGTAATTAATGTCTCCTGTGAAGCAGGAGGCCCAATTCCAATGAGTGCACAATGACTCTACATCAGGCTCAGTATTCTCCCGTCTAGCATAACCCCTACTATAATAGTGAGCATGTTCAATGCTTAAATGGGTGACTCCTCCTGCAGATTTTATTCCCAGCTTTTTGGCGAATTTCTGCTAGTTCCCTTCTCCTCTACTCCACCTCAGCAACACTTCAAAGGACATGCTGGGCCTTATCCTCACTTGGAATTGTTGCACCTGTGAAGTTTCAACTCCCCACCATCCTGGATCTTCCCACATGCTCCTCTTCTTCCAGTTCTTACCACCTTATCTCATGTTACTATCTATTCATTATTCATTTTTTTCAATAAAAATTGTATCACCTATATGACCACATTGAGCTCTCTGATTTATTTACTTCTCTTAAATTCCATTCCTAATACCCTCAAGCCTCAGTTTTTTTCTAACCAGTTCATATCCAATGCACTCTGGACACTTTCTTTCCAGCATTCTAGACACGCTTTCTTCAACCCACAGGAACAGAATGAACAAAAGGAAGGAAGAACATCGTATGTAGGGTAAGAGGAAGAATGTGTCAGAGGCACAGAATGGAATTATTGCTGGGAAGCAACTGTCCCATCTAGAACTGTATCTTTCAACATCTCCTTCCCCTACTCCAACGTATTCGGACAAAGCCATACAACTATTTTTCACTCATATTCCAAATGATGTATTACTCTGAGCCAAGACAGTTAAGAAGAAGTCACACCTTCTTTTCTCTGCTTTCCTTCTTTAATCAGTTGGAAATTGATGTCCAAGGTGACCTTCGAAGCCTTATGGAGACAGTAGAGCCTCCGTCATTCAGGAACCGAATGACTATGTGGAGCAAAGCCTTCCATGCTGACCAAAAACACCCATGATGGGCTGATACACAAGTGAGGACAGAAATTCTATTGTTTACACCATTGAAATTTTACACACACATGTGACAGCACCCACTAATTTCCTAACAAATTAAAAGGGTGAAAGGGAAGATTAAAAACATTTATGAAGAGCATGTGTTACACATTAGTACTTTTTTC
Organism: Homo sapiens; assembly: GCF_000001405.40. Lineage (NCBI taxonomy): Eukaryota > Metazoa > Chordata > Mammalia > Primates > Hominidae > Homo > Homo sapiens. The sequence continues at coordinate 103,892,466 of NC_000007.14, forward strand.
CTCTGTGATTTCATACAATTCTTCCCCATGACACCACAGTCATGGGGAAATATATCCACTTTCCAGATGTGTATTAGGGAATATGGGTAACTTTTTTATAAGATCACAACCAATTTCTGTTCAGATTTATTTTGGAGTCTTTAGAGATTTTATATAGAGCTAACACATTTGTAGTATTTTATAATCAGGAACTCATAATATTTCCCAAATATTTGAAAGAACAATTATGAATAGGGAGCATAAAACCCTTATTCAATAATTGGAAAAATACTTTAACATACACTTTTATGGTACACTTTAAAATATCATTTCCAGTAGAGACTCATACTATCACTCTGAAACTAGGATCACTGTAGGAAATTCCTGTAGGCATGTAGGAAATAACATCTTTCAGAATATACCTATGATCAATCACTAATCTCTATTCACAAATATAACAGGAAAGCTGACGGCTTAGCCAAAGGGGTCTTTAGTTCTGAGCTCAACAAAGAAATTTTGAAAGAGAAGAGAGGGGGACTGACAGGTTTCTGTGACTGATCATGTAGAAAGGGTCTTCAAGGGAGACCAAAAGGAATTCTCAGTACAGTCCAAGTTCATGGGTAGAGGAGAAAAATACATTGCACAGACAGAAGAGAAAAAAATTAGTTTCTCTTTTCTGCTCCCAAAAGCTGTGTTCACAGGTGACTCCACATGAAGATGGAATGTAAGGATGCCAGCACTCAGCTAGGGAGAGCCAGACCCCCCAGAAATTCCTGTACAGGATGCAGAACTCTCAGGTGGGACTCATGAAGTTAGAAGCCCAAGAATGTGTGTATCCAGGCTAGGACTTGTCTCTTTCCTTCCTTGTCTGTCTCCAGCTCTTGATCTCCTTTATAGGGTAATTTTCACAGGGAAATAAAGTTCTTGTCACTTCCTTATTGCATGAGAACTATTAGAAAAACACAAAACTGCATTGGAATATGAATATTGAGAGCTCATTAAGTCTTAAAATGTTTATCATTCCAATGTTTCCTTAGCCAAATAAGGTAATGCATGACCTTGTTCTCTGAGGAGGCTTACTAGTCATTGAAAGTACAAATGCAAATTTTATATGCTAAAGATCTAATGTATATATAGATATCCGAACATAAATGTACATACACTTAAGCAACCACAGTGTTGGAGAGACCTTTTAAAGCAGTGAGTACTTTTCGAACTTCTTTTAATACCACAGTCCAGAGCAGACAATAGACATTTTCCTTTGCAACCAAAGACATGCAAGTACACCCTCACATAACCAAAAAAATTCAAGAAACAATACTTATGTTTGTCATGACATGTTTAAACATTAACTGCAGAACAGCACATAGCCCCCAAAGGTTGAGGATCACTAAGATAGAGTAATGTGTATAATGAATCAGTACCTTGGTTAAGTGATTCCCCATCATAAGAGCAGACTAATATATAAGTAAAACAATCACACAGCACTTATTCTCCTTCCTGTGTTCCTTGAAGAGAAACTACTCTCAGGCATAGCCGAACGCTGAATAGAAGGGAATAAATTATAACTTATTAAAATTCCTATTTCAATAACTTCTAAAATTTTCAGTGTGTTAAATGCGCATGTACAACTATTAAAATGTTACTGCTACAAAGTCTTCCTCATGCATTTTCTTTTATTTCAAGAGAAACTAGCAAGAACATTCTTCATATCTACCAATCTATGAAACCAGAGTTTTACCACATGTTCTACCACCTCCCTATCTTTTGAACAATTCAGCATTTCGTTATTTATAAAACTTTTCCAAGTTCTACAAGATTTTTGACCTATAGTATACTCTTCACTGCATTAAAGATTTTGCAGAAATAGTTTTAATCAACAGCATGCATCATAAATAATTGAAGTTTTAGGCTTTGCCTAGTGACTAAAAGACTCCCCCAAACAAATGCAATTTCAAAACACTTAAATCTCAAGCAGTGCATATTAAATGCTTGACAGTACCCACGCCTTCATTAGTCTAAATAAAAAGTTGAAAGCAGATTTAAAAGCATGCTATTTTTTACTAAAACTGTTAACTTTTTAAAATGGTTTAATGTATGTGTTTTCAAATACGTTCGAAGAATGACATAATGGTAATTCCTGCATTAACAAAAAAAAAGAAAATGGGAAGTCAAGTTTTTATTTTCTTCTTTGTGAATCTCCAGTTACCGATTTCGTGCACTCAAGTCCTAACTCTAATATGCAGAAAAATGCAGAGGCAGCTGTGGACCAATTTCATATGGAAATATTAAGGCTGAGAAAGCCCATGCAATTATTAGGATCAAGAGAAAAGCAAATTATGAAGCCTCAAATTTTGTATGTAAGCAGCAGATAAGCAACCAGCAGTTGGTGTGTTTAATACGGAAAGCCAAAGTAACACTACATCTTTAATGTAATGACCTGACCTCTGCCCTAAGCACTCTAATGCAGAGCCAAAATCATACACTTACCCTGCTCATGCTCTGCTCTGGCTCAACCATGTAATCTTTACATAATGTGTATATTTATTTTTTTATTTGACAGGAGAACTTCATCTGTAAACTTTCTTGACTAAAATCAACTTGGCACCAACTCGTCAGTTAATTAACTGTTAACAGATTCTTCTAGGTACGACTATTACATGGATATTTTATCTTCCTGTTAATTGGTAATTATGCACTGGCAAGAAAAACAGTGTTTCTTTCCAATTATCGCAGAACTCAGTGATTATTTAAACTTGGCTAATTAGCATTAGAGGGCTGTACATCTTCTGGGCAAATTGTGTTTGATAATCCTTATTAAAATATACATGGCGGTTGTTGACTTGTAACAGGAAAAAAAAAAGTGGTAGTTCAAAGGGTATTAGATACCACACGAGGCAAATGGGGGCCCATTAAAATTTCCCCAACTGCTCTAATGAGAATGCCGAGGGTCATTTCTGCCTAGTTTACCATCTGTTTGGTTTCTGGCATGTGGCTCTGGTGAGAAGGGAGTGTCCGGAAGCCCATTTGGCTTATCACAGTATAATCCAGGGGTCTGAAGCAATTTCAGTCATTTATAAAGTGGTACATTGAAGTCAGAAACGTATACATGCAGAATGAAAAACTTTTAAGTGTAAAGATGATGCTACATCATGAAAATGGTCCTGATTTTTTTTTAAACAGGCAGGCACTGCTTAAAAAGAAACTTTTAGAAACATTGTGTATCAACTCTAGTATCTACTTTGGAACTCACCCAAAGATTGTGAGATTGAAAAATAACTACTTTTTAATAGCTAGGCTCTATCACCTGGAGCATACGTTAAAAAAATTGCATTGAGATAGGCAATGGCTTACTAGACGGCATACAGAAAGCAATTATCATACAAGAAAAAAATGATAAATTAGAATTTATCAAAATAAACTACTCAACTTAAGGCAACATGGAGAAAAAAGAATAGGCAAGCCATGAATGGAAAAATATATTCACAAAACATACATCTGATAGAGGACTGATACACAGGATATATTACAAACTACTATTACTCAATAATAAAAAGACAACTCAATTTTTTTAAATGGCTGTAAGATTTGAACAGACCCTTGACAAAAGTGGCCATTAAGCACAGGAAAAAGTGCTCAGTATCAATAGTTATCTGGGAAATGCAAATTAAAACTACAGTGAGATAACACCACACACCTACCAACATGGCTAAAATTAGAAACACTGACACCACCGAATGCTGAAGACGCAGAGCAATTGCAACTCTAATGCTATGTTGGTGAGTGTGTTAAAAGGTACACCATTTTGAAAAAGAAGTCTGGTAGTTTCTCACAAAACAAAACCCAGCAACGCCACTCCTAGGTATTTGCCCAATAAAAGTGAAAATACATATTCACAAAGAGACTTGTACAAGAATGTTCACAGCAGCTGTATGCATAATAACCCAAAACTACTAACAACTCAGGTGTCCAATAGCAGGAGGATGGAAGAACAAACATAAACATACTACTCAACAATAAAAAAGAACAAACTACTGAGTAAAGAAGTTGGCCAAAAAAGTACATACTGAATGGCTGTATTTACATAAAGTTCTAGAAAAGGCAAAACTAATCTATGGTTGAATAAAACAAAACAGAGATTGCCTCTGGGTAGTGGGGTGAGAGGTGACAGAGGAGAGATATGAGGGAACTTCTGAGATTAGGGTAATGATAGGGAAGGGCTGGGGTTACACAGGCGTGTACATTTATTAAATCTCACCTCATATATCCTTAAGATGTGTGCATATCATTGGATACAAACTTTACAAACATGGTATTTGCTGTAAAATTTTTTCAATTTTGATGTACGTTTGAAATTTTTCATAATAAAATGTTGAACAGTAGACTGATACGACTTCAATTAAATACATATTAAATTACTATATTAGTCTGTTCTCATGCTGCTAATAAAGACATACCTGAGACTGCATAACTTTTAAAGAGGTTTAATGGACTTGCACTTCCACGTGGCTGGGGAGGCCTCACAATCATGGCAGAAGGTGAAGGAGGAGCAAAGGTATGTCTTACACGGCAGCAGGCAAGAAAGCTTGTGTAGGGGAACTCCCCTTTATAAAACCATCAGATCTCATGAGACCTATTCACTATCACAAGAACAGCATAGAAAAAACCCATCCCCATGATTAAATTACCTCCCACTGGGTCCTTCCCACAACACGTGGGGATTATTACAATTCAAGGTGAGAGCTGGGTGGAGACATAGAGCCAAACCATATCAATTACTTCTTAAAATAAAATCAGTTCATTAGCTGAGTGTCAACACACAATATAAAACCATGCAAATATAACTGTTGAAACAGCAATTTCTTTCATCAAAGTTGACAGCATTCCTTTCACCAATTCACTTGGTGACATCAGCTTTGGACACAGGAGAGTAGGTGCTACTGCTTGTGTGTTCGTCTTCTGTGCTTCTACCAGTGTGCTTACCTGGTGTGTGCTCACATGTGTATTTATGTGGTGTGTGTCCCTACATTTGTTTATTCCATTTGAACCTGTTATTCTCCTAATATTACTTCATTAAACGTTAGTTAAACTGATGAAAAATGAATATTCCTAAGAAGAGAGTTGTTTATATACAAAACTAGCTGGAATGTTTTGGAAAGACTTGACAAAAATAAGCTAAAGAAATCTTATTTTAAAATTATGGTGGAAAAGGCACCTGTTAAAGATTGCAAAATAAAAGCCATAAGGATCTAGAATTCTGCACACAGACTCCTTCACAAATCTGGTTCATTTTCTTGCTCCACTTTAAAGAAACCAAAACTGGAAATGTGGCTTACGTAACAAAATCCTAGTGAAACTCCAATCCGTGGATCCATATTTAAAGAACAATTCTCAGATGACATCTGAAAACTGGCAAATTTATGACCTGGCCATCCTATTTAATATCAAGACCCACATAAGTACTTCCAGTCACTCTCTCCCTAGCCTACTTCCTCCCTATTGGATTGATCGCTTTTTAACAAACTAATTAAAACTACAGTTTAATTAGTTATTCATAGAAAATAAACAATGAGCATGTCTAACCAATTTATTAACTGACTCAATGCTAGTACTGACCATGTCAAATAACAGTTTCTTAAGTAGGTGAGTGTGGATATGGGTGTGTAGTTTTCTACAGCTTCTTAAGTAGGTGAGTGTGGATATGGGTGTGTAGTTTTCTACAGTTTCTTAAGCAGGTGAGTGTGGATATGGGTGTGTAGGTATTTGAAGAAGGAAGGTAAATTTCTAAACTGTCTTTATTTCAATTATGCAGTAATCATTTTGTCCTACCATTATTATTTAAAAATATTATTTTAATGAGAGTATACTAGTCCTTGCTCTTAATATGATAACTTATTTAATCATTTCCCTATTATTGGGCATTTAGAAATTTTTCAAAATTTTCCTATCATAGTGTTTTGATGAACAATGATATACAAACTGTTTGTATTTCCATTCATAAAAATTTATAAAAGATTCACAAAAGCAAAATAACTTACATTAACATTTTAATGGCTCTGTTTATATAGTGTCAAATTGGTTTCAGGATAACTAAACCAATATACACTAAAAACAACAATAAATATCTATTTTTTAGCACTGGTGCCACTATTGAGTGTGCGTAATTTTAAACATCTTTGCCAAAGTTAAATAAGGGTGTCTCATACTGTTGTAATTAAGCATTTTTATTAGCAGTAAGTTGAATATTTTGCTCACATATATTGAACATTTGTATTTCTTTGTAAATGCTCTGAGTTTTTGAGACTTTTCTATTAGGAAATTGGTTGTTTAAAAGCTAAAGGCTCCTTTAAAGCTAGAGCAAAATGTTTGTTCATCATTTTAATTTTTAAAAATTAGCATTTTTAAATTACACAAGCAATTGTTCTTCACTGTCAGAAAATTAGAAAGTAGAGAAGAAAAGTATTAGATGTTTTAAGATTAAGCCATTCTTATAGTCCAGGGATTTAAATAAATCAATTTAGTCATGATGGATTATTCTTTAAAACGGTGCTTCCCAAACTGTCCCATACAAAACTAGTTCTAAGATAGATAGACCACTAGCCAGACTAATAAAGAAGAAAAGAGAGAAGAATCGAATAAACGCAATAAAAAATGATAAAGGGGATATCACCACTGATCCCACAGAAATACAAACTACTTTCAGAGAATACTATAAACACCTCTACTTAAATAAACTGGAAAATCTAGCAGAAATTGATAAATTCCTGGACACAAACACCCTCCCAAGACTAAACCAGGAAGAAGTAGAATCCCTGAATAAACCACAAACAAGTTCTGAAATTGAGGCAATAATTAATAGCCTACCAACCAAAAAAAGTCCAGGACCAGAGAGATTCACAGCCAAATTCAACCAGAGGTACAACGAGGAACTGGTACCATTCCTTCTGAAACTATGCCGAACATTAGAAAAAGAAGGACTCCTCCCTAACTCATTTTATGAGGCCAGCATCATCCTGATACCAAAACCTGGCAGAGACACAACAAAAAAAGAAAATTTCAGGCCAATATCCCTGATGAACATCAATGCGAAAATCCTCTATAAAATACTAGCAAACCGAATCCAGCAGCACATCAAAAAGCTTATCCACCATGATCAAGTTGGCTTCATCCCTGGGATGCAAGGCTGGTTCAACATACACAACATACACAAATTAATAAACGTAATCCATCACATAAACAGAACCAACGACAAAAACCACATTATCTCAATAGATGCAGAAAAGGCCTTTGACAAAATTCAACACCCTTCATGCTAAAAACTCTCAATAAACTGGGTATTGATGGAACATATCTCAAAATAATAAGAGCTATTTATGACAAACCCACAGCCAATATCACACTGAATGGGCAAAAGCTGGAAGCATTTCCTTTGAAAACCAGCACAAGGCAAGGATGCCCTCTTTCACCACTCCTATTCAACACAGTATTGGAAGTTCTGGCCAGAGCAATCAGGCAGGAGAAAGAAATAAAGGGTATTCAATTAGGAAAAGAGGAAGTCAAATAGTCCCTGTTTGCAGTTGACATGATTGTATATTTAGAAAACCCCATCAACTCAGCCCAAAATCTCCTCAAGCTGATTAGCAACTTCAGCAAAGTCTCAGGATACAAAATCAACGTGCAAAAATCACAAGCATTTCTATAAACCAATAACACAAACAGAAAGCCAAACCATGAGTGAACTCCCATTCACAATTGCTACTAAGAGAATAAAACACCTAGGAATACAACTTAGAAGATATGTGAAGGACCTCTTCAGGGAGAAATACAAACCTCTGCTCAACGAAATAAGAGAGGACACAAACAAATGGAATAACACCCCATGCTCATGTATAGGAAGAATCAATATCATGAAAATGGCCATACTGCCCAAAGTAATTTATAGATTCAATGCCATCACCAACAAGCTACCACTGACTTTCTTGACAGAATTGGAAATAAACTACTTTAAAGTTCATATGGAACAAAAAAAGAGCCCGCATAGCCAAGACAATCCTGGGCAAGAAAAACAAAGCTGGAGGCATCATGCTACCTGACTTCAAACTATACTACAAGGCTATAGTAACCAAAACAACATGGTACTGGTACCAAAACAGTGGTACCAGATGGGGTTTTCTAAATATACAATCACGTTATCTGCAAATACAGACCAATGAAACACAACAGAGGTCTCAGAAGTAACACCACACATCTCCAACCATCTGATCTTTGACGAACCTGACACAAACAAGCAATGGGGAAAATATTCCCTACTTAATAAATGCTGTTGGGAAAACTGGCTAGCTATATGCAGAAAACTGAAGCTGCACCCCTTCCTCACACCTTATATAAAAATCAACTCAAGATGGATCAAAAACTTAAATGTAAGAAATAGGACCATAAAAATCTTAGAAGAAAACCTGGGCAATACCATTCAGGATGTAGGCATGGGCAAAGATGTAAATAGATGTTCTTTGGGGTGAAAAAAAACTCCATGTTAAGATAAATTTTTGAAAGAATGCTTATCATATGGTATTCTTGAAAATTCACACTGTCCATACTGTTACAACTCAACAACAAAAAGACTGATAGCCTAATTTAAAAATTGGAAAAAGACTTGAATGGACATCTCTCCAAAGAAGATGTACGATGGTCAATAAGCACATAAAAATATACTCAGTGTCATTAATCATTAGGGAATTGAAAATCAAACCACAATGAGATACCACTTCATGTCTATGAAGTTGGCTATAAATAAGTAAAACACAAAAAAGCAAATGTTGGGAAGGATGTGGAGAAACTGAACCTCTCATACATTGCTAGTGAGAATGTAAAATGGTACAGTTGCTACATGAAGCAGTTTGGCAGTTCTTCAAAAAATTAAAAGAATTACCACAAGACCTAGCAATTCTACACCCAGGTATATACTCAAGAAAATTTCAAACAGATGTTCACACAAAAACTTGTACACAAAGATTCATGGCAACATTATTTGTAATAGCCAAAAGTGGAAACAATCCAAATTTCCATCAATAGATTGAATGGATATAAAATATGGAATATCCATACTATGGAATATTATTCAGTCACAATAAGAATAAAGTACTAACACGTGCTTCAATATGGATAAACTTGAAAAACATGTAAGTGAAAGAAGCTAGTCACAAAAGGTCACATGTTGTATGTTTCCATTTATAGGAAATGTCCAGAATAGGCAAATCCAGAGACAGAAAGAAGACTAGTGGCTGCCTGGGGATGAGAGGTGGTAGAATTTGGGACTGACTCCTAATAGATACAGGATTTTTTTCTGTAGTGTTAAAAATCTTTTCAAATTAGTGGTGATGGTTGCATAATACAGTGAATATACTAAGAATCACTGAATTGTATACAAAATGCTAAATTTTATGTATGTGATTTGTGTCTCAAAAGAAAAACACACTACTGTTTAACTTTGTTTAACCAGAATATTCCAAGCTTTTTTTATATTGCAGTACTATTTTCCATGTGAGACTTATTAATATATCATGTAGCACTAATGTTTGCAACAGCACAGTGTGGGGAAAGCTGGCTATTAACACAATATTTTAAAATTCATTCTAAGATATGGCTGACATCAGCTCCTTGCTGAAAAAGGGATAATAAGAAGAAAGAAACAGAGAGGCTAGGGATAAACTTCATCAGCCTCATAATTACTCTAGAGCTGGTCGTTTGTCCCACTCTCTAGAAAAAGAAAGCCAAATCCCAGTTAAGTTCTTCTCTTATTAGTAACAGATTTCTCTGTTTTTGTTATTATTGAAATGCTATCAAATCATATAAAAGTCAGGTTAAAAAAGAATCTTCTCATAATCAAATAATTATCTTTAAAAGAAAACTATTAAAGCAAAACATCTTTCCAGAATATGATCTTTGATAACTATATTTATTTTACTTTTAATTTGCTATTTACAAGAGTTCAAGTGGAGAGGAACTTTTCTGAAAGAGAACCGGAAATAACATAATTAACTTGATAATAACAACAACATGGTTCTGATGTATGAAAACATGTAGGAAGAAAAGCAGGAGAAGAGCTCAATCTGAATTTTTACCAAAATATTAACAATTTTGCTATTCTGTTTTCCAAAATGGCAACTCCCACACTAACAAGTATCTTTCCATTCAGACATTCAGAGTCCTGAAAACAGTAATTTAGTTGTGTGCTTGCCTCAGAGAACAGCCTACATGTCTATTATGCTAAATGCAAAACTCAGCATTGGAGGGTTGAAAACAAACTACAAAACAGAAGACAAAAGTGGAAACAGAACTCTCATTTGGTGAAGTGTCTTTATTGGACTCCTACATCTACTTTCAAATTCATATGTTGCATCAAGAACTATTTTCTAGGACATGCCAAGAATTCACTTTCACTACTTTAAAAAATATCTCAATGATAATTATCAGAATCACATCTAGGAAGCAATAACATTACACAATTATTTTAAGTTTTTCTTGGATTTAACTGCCAGGAAAAGTCAACTTTATCCAAGAGTATTTATAAGTCAATGAGTGTGAACATGGAACTCATTCATCATTATCTGGAAACCCCAAAAAAGGGCTGGAAAACCTCAAACCTCAAGAGTAAACCACACTACAAATAAAATGACTGCGAGGTCAGAGTCAACCTTTGAAGTTTATTCCCTGAAGCGTATACTTCAATCCTGTCTCCTGTTAAAATGAACAGTCTGACATACTCAGAAAAATGCCACTCTCCTTAGAAAACAGCATCTCTTATCAGCAAAGACCCATGATTCCTAAGTGTTTTTTTTTTTTTCCTCAATTCGTATTTAAGAAAGAGAGAGAAAAGTATTCCTGATTCTGTTTTTATCTGGTGAGGGATAAGGCTTCATTTACGGAAACTTATGTTCCAGAATTCTTAAACTTTGGCACATGAGAAAGTATCCCATGTAATGACCTCCTGCTGTGTTCCTGTTCATTCTCTGTCAGTCATCAGAGCAAATGTCTGCTTTAATAACAGAAATAAAGTTATGCTTTGCCAAGACAGAAGAAATATCTCACAAATACATTTTTAACACGAACAGGCAAAATTATAACATTATTTTCAAAAATCATAACTTACAAAGCTTAGTGGCAACTTCTGTCAGAGAATCTGCTCGAAAATGTACATTTCCTGATGTTCTTTTTTTTGTTTTTGATATGATTATATATGTTTCCTATATATGATTTATATACATATCAATTTTCTATATGATTCTGAGCATATTCATTTGAACAGATATAAGGAAGAGAAAGGAACTAGAAGAACTGCTCTTCCTTAGGGATATATTTTTAAAGTATCTACAATGGTTTCTGAGTACATATCTTTTTTTGTTTTTGTTTTTTTTTAAGTTCCGGGATACATGTGCAGAATGTGCAGGTTTGTTACATAGGTATACATGTGCCACAGTGGTTTGCTGCACCTATCAACCCGTCATCTAGGTTTTAAGCTCCACGTACATTAGCTATTTGTCCTAATGCTCTCTCTACCTTCACTCCCCACCCCCGACAGGCCCCAGGTGTGTGTTGTTCCCCTCCCTGTGTCCATGTGTTCTCATTTGTTCAACTCCCACTTATAAGTGAGAACATGCAGTGTTTGGTTTTCTATTCCTGTGTTAGTTTGCTGAGGATGATGACTTCCAGCTTCATCCATGTCCCTGCAAAGGACATGATCTCATTCCTTTTTATGGCTGCACAGTATTCCATAGTGTATATGTACCACATTTTCCTTATCTAGTCTATCACTGATGGGCATTTGGGCTGGTTCCATGTCTTTGCTATTGTAAATAGTGCTGCAATAAACATACGTGTCCATGTGTCTTCATAGTAGAATGATTTATATCCCTTTGGGTACATATCCAGTAATGGGATTGCTGGGTCAAATGGTATTTCTGGTTCTAGATCCTTAGGGGATCGCCACACTGTCTTCCACAATGGTTGAACTAACTTACATTCCCACCAACAGTGTAAAAGCATTCCTATTTCTCCACAGCCACACCAGCATCTACTGTTCCTTGACTTTACATATCTTATCAGGACTAAATTCCTGTATCTATGATCTGTGAAGTGTCCAGAGAAAACTGACATGAAAATTTTATTAAGGAGTTAGGAAATGGATGAGTCTCATGTGGAATGTGTGTTTTTGTTTGCCTAAAGGAAAGAAAACAAGTGACTTAATTACTTTTTAACAAATGCTTATCATTTTCAATTTTATAAGAAATTATATGAGAAAGGTGCTGAAGTTAAAGCAAGGGATTGCATCTTCATACAAGAGAATCTTCCTTAATCATTTCAATTGACATAATATTAAAATATATTCCCAAGAAACTGTAGACTTATCATTTCTGGAAAGAAAATGAAATAAAAACTGGAAAGAGATGAAATAAGAACCTAATAATGTAACATTAAGACACCAACATGCTGTAAGATACGAGGCTGGACTGCCAATCCCTTGAAGTTCTTTCCTTTTTTTTTTTTTTTTTTTTTTTTTGAGATAATCTCGCTTTGTCGCCCAGGCTGAAGTGCAGTGGTGCAATCTCTGCTCACTGCAACATCTGCCTCCGGGGTTCAAGTGATTCTCCTGTCTCAGCCTCCTGAGTTATTGGGACTACAGACATGTGCCACCACACCTGGCTAATTTTTATATTTTTAGTAGAGACAGGGTTTCACTGTATTGGCCAGGCTAGTCTCAAACTCCTGACGAGTGTTCCACCCACCTCACCCTCCCAAAGTGCTGGGATTACAGGCGTGAGCCACTGCTTCCTGCCCTCTATTTTCTTAATTCTATAGAAGATACTTAATCACTGTCCTACCTGCAAATATTAGTGTCTGCCACCTCCAGGAGAGAAATGGACAAAGCGGTAGCCAGGATGATCAATTTCCCCAGGACCTCTTTTCATAAGATTAACATATATTTGTATAGTTTTAAATGCATGTATAGATGTGTACACATATATGGACAAATATAGATTTAGAAATATCCTCAAACTTAAAGACAGTAATACTTTCCTCCCCACCCGCCACCCCACCTGGCCCAGTCTATACCCAAACACTTGTGCAGACACATGCATTTACTAAGGGCAGCTCAAATACCTTACGAATCCTCAAAGATTGTTATTGGTCTATTCATTCAGTAAATATTTATTGAGCACTGGTAATGTGCCACAGGAGTGAAGATGACTTCACAGGAGTGAAGATGACTTCACAGGAGTGAAGATGACTAGGTTATCTCTTTGTCTTCGAAGAGACTTAAAGGTTTTTAAACAAGCAAATTTGGTAGCTTGTTAGAGGTGACTGGTGGAGGTCCGAGAAGACGGAGAAGCACAGAGGAGGGAGTGGAGAATTCCACGGAGGTAGCGGGAAGGGAGGAGCAGAGGGGAAGGGTTCTAAAGTTTTAATAGAGGAGGTAAGTATGGAAGGGGGCCCTAAAAGATGGCAGAGGATTTGCCCCAGAGACCGAGCCAGAAAGAATTCCAAGGGACACAAACAAGGGCAGTAGACGTTTAAAAGAGCTGGAATTTTGAAGCTGTGTGTGGGTTATTTTAATTAGTGCAAGGGGGTATATGTGCATATGTAGTGGGAGTAGGTGTCTGGAAAAGAGGCTGAGAAGAGGTGTGGGAAAGGACAGCAGGGTTAGAGCAGAGAGGGCCTTTTCTCAGTCAAGGTTCTTTGGGTGATGATAAAAATCAAGTCAAGCTGGCTTGGGCTGCAAAGGGAGTTTAATGACAGGTTGCAGGGCTCAGTCTGAATTACAGCTCTGCAACTCCCTAAGCAAGCATAACCTCCCGCAAGTTACTTATGCTCTTTTTGCCTTGGGTTCTTTATCCATAAAATAAGGAGAATTATAGTAGAATTTTTTTTAGGATCAAAAGAGTTAATACCTGTAACACACCGGGCAGATAGCAAGTGCTTGATAATGTTAGCTATGTTTATGATTTCTTAGAATCCCCAAATATCTAAGCCTGATGAAAAGTAAGCCTAAAATAGGAGCCTGGAAAGCTCCGGTACCTCAGGCAGCATTCTGACTCTCTCTCTCTCCTCCTCTCTCTGCTCATGATTCCTCTGAGCCGTTATAGAGCATGGCTGCCCATAGCTCCTGAATGTTTACTTGTTCCTTGGATTCAGCTCATAAAGAGTTGGACTGGAATTGACATGTCTCAATTCCTAACTCCCATGCTAGTATATTTGACATAGCTTGGCTTTTGTACCTTATGGTTTAAACTAAGGCCAAAAGGTTAGGGTAAAAACATGATACAGTGGCCTATCTCTCCTGAGTGGCAGAAAAGGAGGGCAGAGGAGAAATATGTCTTGATGTCTAAGCAGAACTATTTTCACATCTGAGCCACAGAACAGGCTAAGCAATTTTAATCTTCAGAGGTTTTGAGCCACGGATGAATATCTAAGGAATGTGGTGGTCTTATTTCTTTGTGTCCTCCTTAAACTATTTTTTCCTATTTACACAGCCCTAATTCCTTTTAAGAATCTGGTAACTGCCAAATATCCATCCACTAAACAACAAAAGACATATCCATACAATGGAATATTATTCATCTATAAAAAGAAGTAGTGATATATGTTATGCCAGGATAAACCTTGAAAACATATTAAGTAAAAAAAGCCAGGCACAGCCAGGCGCGGTGGCTCATGCATGTAATCCCAACACCTTGGGAGGCCGAGGCGGTTGGATCATGAGGTCAGGAGACTGAGACCATCCTGGACAACGTGGTGAAACCCCATCTCTACTAAAAACACAAAAATTAGCTGGGCATGGTGGTGCACACCTGTAGTCCCAGCTTCTCGGGAGGCTGAGGCAGGAGAACTGCTTGAACCCAGGAGGTGGAGGTTGCAATAAGTTGAGATGATGTGCCACTGCACTCCAGCCTGGGCAACAAGATCAAGGCTCTGGAAAAAAAAAAAAAAAAAAAAAAAAAAAAGCCAGGCACAAAAGGCTGCATGTTATATGGTTCCACTTAAATGAAATGTCCAGAATAAGCAAATCCGTAGAGACAGAAAGCAGATTAGTGGTGGCCTAGGGGCTGAGGGGAGAAGAGAATAGAGAGTGACTGCTAATGGATACAGGACTTCTTTTGGAGGTGACATTAGCTTTCTGGAATTAGTGGTGTTAGTTGTACAATCTTGTGAATATACTGCAAATCATTTTAAAGGCTACAGCCTTTAAAATGGTAAATTTTATAGTATGTAAATTATAGCTTTAAAAGAATATCTGAGAACTGGATATGATGTCAGAAAGCCTGTTTTTTTTTCTTTTTTAAAAAAAAACTTATTTTTTTTTAATTTTAAGTTCTGGGATACATGTACAGAACATGCAGATGTGTTACATAGGTATATGTGTGCCATGGTGGTTTGCTGCACGCATCAACCCGTCATTTAGGTTTTACGCTCCACATGCATTAGGTATTTGTATTAATGTTCTCCCTCTCCTTGCCCCCTTACCCCAGCAACAGGCCCCAGTGTGTGACGTTCCTCTCCCTGTGTCCATGTGTTCTCATTGTTCAACTCCCACTTATGAGTGAGAACATGAGGTGGACACCTGGTTTTATCCTCACACTTACACTATCTCCTGCAATAGTCATCACTGGCCTTCCCAAGCATTGCTTCCTTACCTATACACTGGGGGTGGCGCTGATCCAGGCTCTAGGGGAGGTCCATTCCAGCTCTGAATTCTGTGGGTAAGAAACTTGAGTGCAGCTCCCCAAAATTAAAGTGAACTTCTCAAAACTCTGTCACTGGAACAATCTTCTCATTCTATTGCCCTTCTCAAAGAAAGGATTCTTACTTCATTCCGAGTCTTTAAATACCTATTTTGAGCATATAATATATACTAGGTATTTGAACTGATAATCTCATTTAATCCAACCTACAACTTTATGAACTGGGCACCATGGTTATTCTTGGTTTACAAATGCAGACATGGAGGTAAGTATGTTGCTCAAGTTAGCAAGAAACAGGGCTGGGCATGGAACCTGAGCTGCCTAACTCCTGAGTTCACGTACTGAGCCACCACGTTGAACTGACTTTCTCTACTAACTCCTCCACCTTGGCTCAAATCTCATGCCCTTGAATATCTGCTTTAACAATTTATTGGTTAATTAATTCAATAGCTGTATATTTGTCATGCTCACTATTTTAGTAAGCGATTCTTTTCAAGTTAGCTATTTGGAAGTTGGGAAATATCCCTGAATTATTTATCATATGTCAAATATAAACTAGATAAAACTAGTTCTTAATGAAGGTAAGAATGGAATACTCAAATGGAATGAATAAAGACCAAATGTAAGTTAATATCCTGTTAAAAGGAGAAATTAATGGCAATTTCATCTCTTGTCAGCTCTGCTCTTTGTACATTGGCTGGAGTAATTTGTTTAATTAATCTGGAGTCTTCTTGTTAATTACAGATCATTTACCATACCCAATAAAACATCATGCCTTTGAATTCCTCAAGTATGCTTAAATTGCATTTACTTCCGTGTTTCTTTGTAAAGAGGCAGACAAAATAAATTTAGCCAGGTTATTCTAAGTAAAGCATTAGCTTAATTTAGGCTAGTAAATAAGTACCACTACTTATACAATACTCTATTTAATGAAATTGTGAATGGCTGTCCCTCTTCATGAATATTAAGCCCTAAATATGTTCATGCATTCATAATATACATCTCAGTCACACAGACAAGACACCTAAGATTCAACTGCTGCTAATGCCCTGGGGAGTATGGGCCTTGGCGATAATTAGCAAGTTTGTAATAGGTTCTACTTAGTCTTAATGTGAAGGATAATGAAAAGTTAGCATACAGGCCCTGCATTTCTATGTTCAGTGAAAAATAAAACAAAATAGTAAAAACTTCATCCTGGCAATGAAACATTACCATAAAATCTAAAATTACTAATGAAGTACAATTTTTATTAACTAGTGACCAATATAAGATTTACTAAAGTTTGAAGTTTTTCTTAAAATATTTAAATAATTCACTCGGGAGGCTGAGGCAGGAGAATTGCTTGAACCTGGGAGGTGGATGTTGTAGTGAGCTCAGATTGCGCCACTGCACTCCAGCCTGGGTAACAAAGCAAGACTTCATCTCAAAAACAAACAATATATATTAAATATATTTAATAAATATATATATTTAATATATATAAATATATATTAAATATATTTAATAAATATATATATTTAATATATATAAATATATATTAAATATATTTTTTAATATATATAAATATATATATTAAATATATATATTTAATATATATAAATATATATATTAAATATATATTAATATATAATATTATATATAAAATATATATATTTAATATATATATTTAAATAATTCATTTTGTAATTATACTCCTATCTACCTAAACTGTCAAATCACATTGAAAATAATCTGATAATTAAGTTAAAAATTTCCAGTTCTGTGCAGAAAGTCATTGGTAGCTTGATGGGGATGGCATTGAATCTGTAAATTACCTTGGGCAGTATGGCCATTTTCACGATATTGATTCTTCCTACCCATGAGCATGGAATGTTCTTCCATTTGTTTGTATCCTCTTTTATTTCCTTGAGCAGTGGTTTGTAGTTCTCCTTGAAGAGGTCCTTCACATCCCTTGTAAGTTGGATTCCTAGGTATTTTATTCTCTTTGAAGCAATTGTGAATGGGAGTTCACTCATGATTTGGCTCTCTGTTTGTCTGTTGTTGGTGTATAAGAATGCTTGTGATTTTTGTACATTGATTTTGTATCCTGAGACTTTGCTGAAGTTGCTTATCAGCTTAAGGAGATTTTGGGCTGAGACAATGGGGTTTTCTAGATATACAATCATGTCGCCTGCAAACAGGGACAATTTGATTTCCTCTTTTCCTAATTGAATACCCTTTATTTCCTTCTCCTGCCTAATTGCCCTGGCCAGAACTTCCAACACTATGTTGAATAGGAGTGGTGAGATCATGACTTTCTTCACAGAATTGGAAAAAACTACTTTAAGGTTCATATGGAACCAAAAAAGAGCCCGCATCGCCAAGTCAATCCTAAGCCAAAAGAACAAAGCTGGAGGCATCACACTACCTGACTTCAAACTATACTACAAGGCTACAGTAACCAAAACAGCATGGTACTGGTACCAAAACAGAGATATAGATCAATGGAACAGAACAGAGCCCTCAGAAATAACGCCACATACCTACAACTATCTGATCTTTGACAAACCTGACAAAAACAAGCAATGGGGAAAGGATTCCCTATTTAATAAATGGTGCTGGGAAAACTGGCTAGCCATATGTAGAAAGCTGAAACTGGATCCCTTCCTTACACCTTATACAAAAATCAATTCAAGATGGATTAAAGATTTAAACGTTAGACCTAAAACCATAAAAACCCTAGAAGAAAACCTAGGCATTACTATTCAGGACATAGGCATGGGCAAGGACTTCATGTCCAAAACACCAAAAGCAATGGCAACAAAAGCCAAAATTGACAAATGGGATCTAATTAAACTAAAGAGCTTCTGCACAGCAAAAGAAACTACCATCAGAGTGAACAGGCAACCTACAACATGGGAGAAAATTTTCACAACCTACTCATCTGACAAAGGGCTAGTATCCAGAATCTACAATGAACTCAAACAAATTTACAAGAAAAAAACAAACAACCCCATCAAAAAGTGGGCGAAGAGCATGAACAGACACTTCTCAAAAGAAGACATTTATGCAGCCAAAAAACACATGAAAAAATGCTCATCATCACTAGCCATCAGAGAAATGCAAATCAAAACCACTATGAGATACCATCTCACACCAGTGAGAATGGCAATCATTAAAAAGTCAGGAAACAACAGGTGCTGGAGAGGATGTGGAGAAATAGGAACACTTTTACACTGTTGGTGGGACTGTAAACTAGTTCAACCATTGTGGAAGTCAGTGTGGCGATTCCTCAGGGATCTAGAACTAGAAATACCATTTGACCCAGCCATCCCATTACTGGGTATATACCCAAATGACTATAAATCATGCTGCTATAAAGACACATGCACACGTATGTTTATTGCGGCATTATTCACAATAGCAAAGACTTGGAACCAACCCAAAAGTCCAACAGTGATAGACTGGATTAAGAAAATGTGGCACATATACACCATGGAATACTATGCAGCCATAAAAAATGATGAGTTCATGTCCTTTGTAGGGACATGGATGAAATTGGAAATCATCATTCTCAGTAAACTATCGCAAGAACAAAAAACCAAACACCGCATATTCTCACTCATAGGTGGGAATTGAACAATGAGATCACATGGACACAGGAAGGGGAATATCACACTCTGGGGACTGTGGTGGGGTGGGGGGAGGGGGGAGAGATAGCATTGGGAGATATACCTAATGCTAGATGACGAGTTAGTGGGTGCAGCGCACCAGCATGGCACATGTATACATATGTAACTAACCTGCACAATGTGCACATGTACCCTAAAACTTAAAGTATAATTAAAAAAAAAATTTCCAATACTATATTTTAAAGATAGTGTTGAAAATACTAGTTTTATGTTAATTGCTTAATCTCTATTAAAAATATGACATGAATAGCTGAATGTTTAAGAGAAAAAATTACAAAGAAAAAATTCCTACACCTGTTCACTACATTCCCCCCCAACTTGGATTTAATCAAATTTTGTCACTTTAAGCTTTTTTTTTTTTGAGACAGAGTCTTGCACTGTTGCCCAGGCTGGAGTGCAATGGTGTGATCTCGGCTCACTGCAAACCTCCACCTCCCGGGTCAAGTGATTCTCCTGCAAGTACGTGGGATTACAGGTACCTGCCACCATGCCTGGCTAATTTTTTGTATTTTTAGTAGAGATGGGGTTTGACTATGTTGGCCAGGCTGGTCTTGAACTCCTGACCTTGTGATCTGCCCCACTTGGCCTCCCAAAGTGCTGGGATTACAGGCGTGACCCACTGTGCCCAGCCTTTTAAGCATTTTTTAACTTAAATGATTGTATTTAGAATTCCTAATTATTACAGAACAAAGAAATGAAACACATAGAAAATTACAAGAGTTTAAGTAAAAAAGTGCTATAATGGCTGATGTATTAGCTGAGCAAGATTATCTAGGAAGTACAAAGACCTTAATTTATGGAAGGTCTAACAATTTGAAATTTGGCTGCATTCATCAGACCTGCAAACCTGATTCTCAGGTTTCAGAGCCAGAATATAAAAAATTGGGTAAAATCTCTATCTTTTATAACCAGAATTCTAAATCTTGAGTAAATGCATTTCAGCCCTGGAAAAGGAACAATTTTGTATGAAAGGATATTCAAATAATCCTTCATTGAGCGACCACAATGAGCCTTGAAGATTTACATGATTGAGCTGGAATTCAAAGTCAAAGACAAGAGAGAATCATTTTTTTTTCTGGGATGCACAAAGAGATATCCATAATTAAACATCACACTTCCCAAGGGCAGCATGTTTTCTTATATTGACAAGTAAAATGAGGTATTTCAAATCAGGCATTGCTGGCTTACAGTCATCTTTTGCATAGCTATTGTCTTAACGTATTTCTGGCTATTAGGCATTTGTCTATTTTTGGTCAGTGAGGCATGCATGCTAAAGAATTCTGGCTTTGCATAAAAAGCTGTAGTAATGTTAGTGGAACTACATTTCTACAGCAATATCTTAAGTATAATTATGGACATTTTGGCTAGTCATACACACATTTTACATTCAAAGAAGAGTAGCTGTAACTTTAGTGTAATTAGTACAATTAAAATAACTACTACAAGTAGGAAAAAAACTTTCAGAAGTACCTATTTAGACTTACTAAATGCTTTACTCTGCCTTATTTGTCACAGCTAGTTAAACATATTGCACATTAATCCTGTGATATGTTGGGGAAATGCCAAATAAACCACATTTGCTTAACATTCCATCAAAAAAGTCAGAGACTAATGATAGATTATGTATTCAATAACTCTTTTGTTCTAGGTCAAAAAGTGCCACATTACTTTAGCCTGACCCTACCATAACTACTAACTACCAGAAAGCAGCAATATGTAGAAATTATGCCTTCTATAATTTTCCTCTACTTTCCTACC
The DNA here is from genome assembly GCF_000001405.40 of Homo sapiens. Classification (NCBI taxonomy): domain Eukaryota; kingdom Metazoa; phylum Chordata; class Mammalia; order Primates; family Hominidae; genus Homo; species Homo sapiens. Next base: position 103,913,611 of record NC_000007.14, read on the forward strand.
CTAATCAAATTAAATGTTTAATTTTGTTTTTAACTTGTAAAGAATATGTTAAACTTAGATCAAATACCCCAAAAATTAATGTGCTTTTTTTCAAAAGTGGCCATTTTATTTAAAAAGACATTTTACCTCCTGCTTTCCATTCTAAACATTATTCATGAAAATTAACTTTGTTATATAATATCCAGGCATATTATCAAATTTTACTTTTAAAGTTATTTACTACTGTCACATAAATACACATAATATTATTTGGATATTATCAGAACTTAATAAAATATCTCACCTACCTATACATCCATATAAAACATATGTCCTATAAAAATGCAAAGGATCTAGTGTAAGACCTGAGCTATGGAAGTCGCTGATGGGCTCTGCCCAAGCTCAAAAGTGTCTTTGGACCATTAAACCAATGATACAGGGTTGCCTGTGAGAGGAAGGCTAGGTGCAATTCAGGCTAATCAAAATATATTCTAATTCAAGTACAAATCGACTTTTTACAGCTTTCAAAGTTACCATAGGAAATGTCTTGAAGACCAGGTCTCTTAAATAATTTGTAACAATTTTATTCTTTGTTTGTTTGTCTTACTAGCTAAAATCTGAGGCAATATGATATATGCATTTTATATGTTCTCTCAAAATGTGCTTACAACACACTTAGGAATGATCTTTAATGATTTTCCTTATGTAAAGGAACTGACAAATGACAGTTTGTCAGTTCTGACAAACTGACAAACCATCAAATGATGGTTCCCCGCAATGACAAATGATAGTTCCTTAATTCAGCCAAGTCTCCTCAAGTCATCTCAACCTATATATCCCAGATTAATTACATTTCAGAACTGGTTTTTTCTTTTTTTGCTCCCCCTATAGGAAGTGTATATAAGCCCTGGACTAAGGAAATGGTCTGCTTCAGTTTCCAAGATTATAATCTGGAAAAGCTAATTTTATCGAGTGTTTTTTTATGTGCTAATGGCTTTACATAAATCACTTCCTCCTTTAATTATCAGGGCTACCCAGCATCTTATGAAGAAGGTAACCTTATCATCATCATGTCATATATGAGAAAATTAAGCTTAGAGAGGTTAAACGACTTGGCTGAGGCACATAACTAAGAGATGAATACTGCATCTACAAGCAGGTCAATGTGACTCACAGCCTGAACTCTTATCCCCCCACATCTGGCTCCTTCTTGTTGCCGATGCCCGCCTGTACTTTGGACACCTTACACGCCTTGCCATATCAGAATTTTTAACCACAGAACAATCTTTCTGAACCCCCTACTGGGCTCTCCAGTGTTTTCTCCATACTGACCTCAGAGTGATCTCTTTAAAATGAAAGGTTTGTGGAATCACTCCTCAGCCTAAAACACTCAATGCCTTTCCTTTCACTTAGGATAAAGGCCCCAAACTTACAATATCCTGAATGGTCTGGCTCTAGTCTCCTATCTAGCCGTATCCCCTTCCCTCTTGATTCCAAGTCCAGCCACTCCAAGGTTTTCTTTCAGTTCCTAGAACATAGCCAGCCTCTTCCCACCTGTGGCCTTTGCACCTGCTGTTCTTTCCTTTGGGTATGCTGTGCCCCACCATCCACAGACCTTTAGTTAATAATCTCTACTCCTTCATAGCTCTACTCAAATACCATTTCCTCAGGAACACCTTTCCAAATTACACCACACTTTACTCAAGACTGGATCTAGTTTCTCTGTCATACCCTTTCCCAGCACTCAGTACACTTCTTTGCCAGCCCCTAGCAAGGTTTGCTATGACATATTTACATGACCATTTAATCAACATCTGTCTTTCCAATAGAATAGAAGTCCTCACACTTTAACATGGATCAACATCACCTGGAGTGTTGATTTCAAAAAATGATCACAGGATCCCACCACTAGAATTTCTGATTCACTGTGTTTGAAGTCTACAATTCTGCAGTTACTGCTTTCCAGGTGATGCTGATGGCTGGATTGGGCACTGATCCAGTACAGTGGTTCTCAATCCTGGATAAACATTAGAACCACCTAGACAGCTTTAAAAAATCACCAATGCTCAGGCCCTCACCCCCAGAGGTTTTAATTGGACTAGGCTGGATCCTAGAAGGTCTTATTCCAAATATTGCATACTTATACTAAAAAAATTTTGTTTACCTAAAATTCAAATTTAACAAAGTGTCTGGTAGTTTTACTTGCTGAATCTGACAACTCTACTTATGAATCCTGCTGTAACAAAACAGGTGGTATGTAATATACTTATGTACTTATATACATATGACTATGACCTGACCCTTCCTCTCTGCAGAGCAGAAAAAGGATGGGACTAAATAAGTGGAATTTGTAGATCTAAGAGGACATTTTTCCCCTGAGGTTTGGACCTTAGAAGTAGTTACCAACAGACTGTGAAATCTAACCTGGGATCTTTTTAAAATACAGCAAATTCTCAAATGTGAAATCATTTAAAATGATGACTGAATGACTTCGAGGTTTCCTTAAGCTGTGGGCTGTGGACCTCATCTTGGGCAAGCAGTGACAATGCAGCATCAACACTGTTGCTCTGACATCAGCCAATGACTCATCTGGGCAGGGCTACTGCTGGGACTTGACACTTCATATATCAAAAGGAGGTAGAAAATTTATTTATTTGACAAACATCATAGAAAAAAATAAAATGTTGAACACATAACTTTGTGTCTGATAATGCAATTCTATCCTTCTCACATCTATAGATGAAGTCCTGTGTAATCTTTCAATTTTGGAGTAAGATCAGTAATTTCATATCCTACATAAACTGATATATTAAGTTTGCATTTTTGATGCTGTGAAGGATCTACTTAATCCCAGCCTGGCATGTTTAACAGCATTATGGGTAAACTAGAGATTCCTAAGTTGAGACTCCTCTGAGATTAATGGACATCACGTGGTCTTCTGTTTTAAGGCCTCTGATTTAAGGACAGGTCTCTGATTTAAGGACATTCAAATATTTTAAGTATTAAATAGGATTCTTCTAAGAATACTCATAGAACTCAATAATTTTATCAAATATTGCTATCTTCTGCTTTATACAATGTTCAGTTGCCAGATTTAACACGACACTTTTCATTAACCATAATATTTTAAGAACTGTTTATGAGAACAGATTACTGAATGATTGCGTGGACATCAGAGCAAATTCCAGCCACTTAAGTAACAGAATATGGAAATTTACATGAACCCCAGAGGACCAAGTATAATTGCGGCAGTGGAGGGAGAGAATGAAAGAAAGTTCATCATGCCAAGATCAAGGTTAGCTGCACATTTACATGACTTATTTCAATTCACCCAACATCAAGCAAACACACACAAAAACAAAACACTTCAGATTATTTTCTTGGAAGTAATAAAGGTCTAACACTGTTAAAACAGATACTTTAAAACATAAGACCTATGACTGTATAAAATACCCCCAAATTTCTGGTTTGTGAGAATAGCTTACCAAATCCGAAAGCACTGGAACCTCCAATGCTCTGTGATGCCTGAACACTTGTAGATGTGTATAGTCCTGTCACCAGCAAGCCGTCAAAAAAGGTGCTTGTTGAAATTGTCACTGAAATGTAAGAAAGAAAAAAAAAACTCTCAATACAGTCAGAATAACACAATATATTTCTGAAGTGTTAGACATTGTCAAAACAATCTTTACTCATTAACAAATTATTTTTATACTATACCTAGTTGGTATTTTTTGTATGAGAAATTACAGAGGAGAATAAAGAAGCTCGGAACTCCAGTGTCTACAATTGCTGGTCCTAAATTTAGAACATCAGTCCTACCTTTCTGCATTCATTTACACATTTCTTATGTGAACAATCATCTGAAAATAATGTAATATTGAATAGATGGTTTCCCCACCTCCACTACCACCCCTGAAGGCAGTCAAAGGCATTGCTGGAGTTTTGGCATTATGATAAAATGCTTTTTTTTTTTTTTAAGTCTTTCATACTGTGGGAAACAACTATACATCAGCTGAAAGAAGAACAGTAAGATGAACCACATTTCTTATTGTGAGTCCATATTTCAAAGATGAGTTCCCTGAAGTTTTCCAACAAAAGCCGACTAATTTGCATGAAGACAGCCAGACTTTTTCCTCTCGTGAAGAAGAAAGGAAGATCACTGCATGCTTTAAGTTTGAGAACAAAGTCTGGAAGAGGAGTGGTTTTATAACCATAAAATCAGGACGTTGCTGGGAAGAAAAGGGTAAAATTAAATATATACGTATGCTACTCAGGCTTGGCTTCTTCAAATTTTATCTTGCTCACCACCCTAAAACCTGACCATAATTTCCTGCTTGACGTAACATTTTCTCCTGCATAGGTTTTATAAGATTGAGATGATGCCATTTGTAGGAAGCAACCAAGGGAAGGTAATAATATTATTTAGGTAGTGCACAGTACAAGGCTGTCATCATCCTTGGTGGCAATAAGGAGAATGACCAGAGTCACATTAACTTTAATGAGAATGTTTAAATTAAACTCCAGAAAATCCGGTGAACAGAGCTAAATGGTCTGAAACATCCATATTACAAAGCATAAAACAAGACACATATCAATAGAATAGCCTGACATCATGCTACTCCCATAATGGCATGGGGGATTGGAACAAACCACCTTCTCATCCTTTAACAAGAAATAATAGCTAATATTTTTTAGTGCTGGCACATCAACCACTTAGTTGGGCACTGAGGTAAGTAGTTTACATATATTATCTCATTCAATTGTCAAAACATACCTATAAGAGGGATACTATTATTATTTCCAGCATACAAAAGAAGAATGTGTAGAACAGAGCCATTAAGAACCTGGCCCAGGACCATCTGATATCATCTAAAATGTTTTGATGCTGTCTACATGGGTTATTTCCTGTTTCTTCTTTGCTCCCCTCAGATCCCAAAGTGGCAAAGTAACCATGGCCAAACTCCATCAAGGCAGGCATCTCAAGTATTTCGTTCACTGATATATCTCGAGTGTCTAGAATAATTTATGGTACTCTTAGGTGCTCAATATTTAGTGAATTATTAATGAATAACTTATTCATATAAAAGTAGTGCAAGGTTGTTTTATCTTTAGCTTGTTTCCAGAGGAAAAGTATGTTATGAATCCTAGACTTTATACATCAGATGAGCCCCACTTGGAAAAGCCACATGGAAAAAAAGAAGACAGAGAAAAGTTGGCTATTTAAATATGTAAAATGCTTTCCAGAGTGCAAGACAGATCAATGCAGAGAGAAACTGACTAAAAGACCAGCCAAAGACATTTTTTAAAAGGCGTAAGTATGCATAAATTTTATCAGATGCTGTATGCTTACACGAATCATCTAAAGAAAAAAATACTTGTTTGAAATGAATTGATTATAATCTGCTTGCTAGAGTTCAGAATTTTTTAGGAAAAAATGATATTTGCCTTTGGAAAAACGCTACTCTTTTGACAGTGGAATAAGCATTCCTTTTCCTCGTTTAAGCAGATGTGATGCATAATCCATATGTGAACTGATAATCGGTCTTTTTTTTTTTTTTTTTTTTTTTAGAAAGAGGAGGAAATGTTGCCCAGACTCTCATGGGATTTAAGGCATATCTTTCTGGTTACCAGGCTTCCACTTCTTCAAGAAGATAATGGGTCCAATCTCTGTGTGTAAAAACCACTGGACACAGTGTGAATTCTCTTAACATGCAGACCATTTCAGAATGTCTGCAGCCCACATGTTTTCACTGACTGGAACACTGGTGGTGAACCCATGAGCAGTATAAAGGAGCATACTGAAAACTTCACACCAAGGAACTTCGACTTTGAATCTATGTCAGGAACACCCTTCTCTCCATCCCCTTTCTTTCTCTTTCACAGAAAGGCTTCCACTTATCTCTACTTGCAGCCCTCGGTTAATCTGCCCAAGTTTCCTGTGACATCGGCCCCTGCAGTTTTTGGTTTTCACATGGGGCCCTCTCCCCCAACCTAAAAGGGAGAACCCTTTAGTGTCTGCCTCATTCCTTTCTACCAAGCTATGTGACTCCACACGCGCACCAGCTCTAATCTTTCCTCTGTGCCCTGACGACTTTCTTTCCTCTAATTTCACTTGACTCACTTTTCAAGCACTATTTTAGCCTCTCTAGTCTTAACTCATCGCTTACATCCACAACCTGGTGCCATCCAGGCAATTGGAATGGTTCTTGAAAGCGGAAAAGTGATTTATGACAAGTTAAAGGGAAAATTTACCATACACAGAAATAATATGGGACATGATTTTAAAAACTGAGGTTCACACTTGTGAATGTAAAATTATTTAAATATGTATATGAACTAGAAGGAAACTTATAACTTTCAGGTCACCAATTTGGCCCATTGATGAAGCTGTTTAAAGACAGAGATAAAACTGCTGTCTACTATTTAAAATAAACAAGCTCTCCATGAATCATAGGATTATCCATGTGTGTAGATCTAGATATACTCATTTGAAGAATGTGAAATACACTAATTCCCACTACAGACATTTTTGCAGTTTTCTGATACTCTGATTCAGAATGTTATGGTTCCAAGCTGCATAGTTTAAAACGTTCCATAGTGATTGTCACTTTAAAATGTTTCCTTTAAAAATATTTATTTATAAAGTAGACTTGCATAAGTAGAAGTTGTAGGTAAAAGACATAAATTTGGGTATATTAGGATGGGGATAATTGGACAAATTTTTTATATTCGAACTACTTTTAAGAAAAGTAACTATTGGGCTATATGTGTCTAACTGATATCTAACTCAGACCTGTTAATAAGCAAATCCTTCATGCCCTTTCCAAGATTATCAGTCAAATGATCTAATTAATGTTAAAATGGGTAACAAATAATATTTTCCATGTCAATTCACTTTCAAATTAGCATATTATGTACTATGAACAATTGCCAAGTCTAAGTAGTGGGTATACACATGTTTGTTGTACCAGTCTTTGGTTTTTTTTTTTGTTTTTTTTTTTTTTGAGAGAGTCTCGCTCTCTTACCCAGGCTGGAGTGCAGTGGCACAATCTCAGCTCACTGCAGCCTCCACCTCCTGGGTTCAAGTCATTCTCGTGCCTCAGCCTCCTGGGTATCTGTGACTATAGGGGTGTGCCACCATGTGTGGCTAATGAATGTATTTTTAGTAGAGACAGGGTTTCACCATGTTGACCAGGCTGGTCTTGAACTCCTGGCCTCAAGTGATCCACCTGCCTCAGCCTCCCAAAATGCTGGGATTACAGGCATGAGCCACCATACCCACCTGTTGTACTAGTCTTTTAACTTTCATTTTAGAAAACATTTATATTAAAAAGTTGGTGAGGAGAAGAAGAAATCTGTGGTAAATGCACTTCCAGTGAGTAAACTAAGCCAAATAGTAAAATGTACTAGAAGGTACGTAATGCATTCAGACTTAAAGAATGAAGCAAGGTGTATGATTGATTGAGACAGAAAACTAAGCAACTTCTATGAGCTAAGACTTGTGTAAGCACTGTAATTTGGGTTTTATTAACTAGACGGGCAGAGATATTTAGAAATAGTTCTCCCTTGACAAAAATGTTTATAAACTCCATCTGACATCCTGTCAATTCTAGCTATTTTATACAAATTAAAATAGATCACCACTATGGGATAACACCCACAAGTTATCCATATCAGACACCAAAGGTTTACATAAAATCATTAAATAATAATCTAGTGAGCTTAAATAGGTAAACTCCTATTTAAACAATCCATTCTCCCATATATTCAGTCTTTATTCATGGCTTTACAAATTTTTATGGTCAAATTTGTAAAATTCTTTCCCAAGGGACTTCTTCCCTCTTGGAGTCAATTTTTATATCTTTCATAGTTTTGCATTAAAATGTCAAGAGAACTGGCTACTTTATTACAGAGGAAAATATCAATATTATCGATTTCATACAGAATTCTGAACTTGCCAGTCCATTTTAAGGGGGAAATAAAGCATGTATATTATTATCTATAATTAGAAAGCAAATGCATCTTAGATCACATAATTCCCTTGTTCAATCAACATCTCTAGCTTCCTAATGTCCATAGATTAAAACCCTAAATCTTCAATGTGGTTTCAAAGACCTTTGGGTTGTGGCCATAACTAGTCCCTCCAGTCAAATTTCTCCATTTCAGCTGAAAACATCTGATTAAAGGATGTTAACTGGATTAAACAGTTAAACCAGAACACGTTCTATACTTCTCTGCCTCCTGGCCTCTGCTCTTACCTAGAATGACCCCTTGCCAGGTTACCTTTTGTTAAGGTATTCAGGTGCAGGTTCAAATGTCATCTCTCTCATGCAGTCTGTTCTGACCTCCTGGGGAAATTCACCTCTCCCTCCTCAGTGACCCCAGAGCTCATTCACAGACTACTTTCCCCAGAGTTTGGCTCAAGGGAGAAGCTCAACTTTTGTTGAATTCAACCACATAGAAACATTTATTACAACATAACATATAAGAATAAAATAAGATAAAATTGAGAGTGTAATGTAGCCAGTGTAACCAAAATTGTAAAATCTAACTTCTACAGAAAAAACTGGGCCATTGTTATTCTTAGAGATACATGAAAAATAAGTTTCCTCTGAAAAGTAAACAAAAAAATAAAAAATAATGCAGTATTCAATTATAGTACTCAAAAACCAGGTAGGTCTAAGAAAATTTTAGTTGGATTTTACATTTAACCATAATAGCTTTTCTTTTATATATCTGTATTTTGTATGTGAATATATATATACATATAAATGTATATACCAAATTAATCTTCTGATAATTTTTGTCACTAAGACTTTACACCATTATCCTCACTCTTAAGTTACACTGCCATTTCCTCAAATAAAATATAAGGGATCAAAAGGCTGAGCAGGTTACAAATATCTCTTCCACATCTGTGTTAAATTGGCAATGAGCTTAGCACCAGGAGACTATAAATATGGATTGCTGGGGTGTGACTGCGGAATGAAAACATGATGTAGTGACACAATTCAATTCTTATCAGTGGCTCAAAGAGTACCTCTGTCTTGAAATGACTAATTACAGAGTCAGTTATTATCTATTATAGCTTCTATTAAACATTCCCCACGAGACCCTAATACCATTCTTGCAGAAAATCACTGTAAGATGAAAGTCTAAAAGAAAATAAATTTAGACATTTAATGATGTTTGCATTTCATTCTAAAGCTTCTGGTCTACAAATGCTCTATGGTCCATTAAATTTTGATCATTTCCAGCATATTCCATTACTACTTTATACAAAAGACCTTTAATATGTGCAGAAAAGAAATTAAGTAATACTCGAAATGATGTTCCCATTTTTTTTTCAGAACGGCAAGCATCAGAGGATAGCAAATTGCAAAAAAATTGAAATTAGGTACATAAGCATTAGTGATGATGCACCAATTGCAAAGTTTCCATTTCTTGATTTTGTATATTCTGAAGATGAAAAACGCCAGCAGAATCTAATATTGTCAATATTTAAGAAAACATCATTGCATTTTGCCTTATGAAGAGAAATTCGTTTGCTTTTTGAATACAGAACAAATTAAACAGCCTAAGGAACAAATATCTTTCTCTGAAGAAGAAATAAACTGAGCATATTTGCTGCAAAATTTCATCAACACTGTATGTTCAACTACTGATTCTTCCTTAAAGTGCCACTAGCTCTGGGCACCAAATAGAGACCATAAAAAAATACATTATAATTTCCATTCCAAACCTCTAGAAGAACATGACCCTCGCACTACTTCTCATTACATATATTAATTCCATTTTGACATGGTTTTGTGTGGATTTCAAAAATTAAGTCAGGTATTTCAATAATAGCATTCCCAAACCAACAACAGCAAAGAAAAAAAAATCATCCCAATAAATGTAAAAGAAATGACTGGAAGTCAAGATTCACTGAGTGAGGACATGAATCCATAGAAATGAAAAGAGATCTTAAATAATTAGATCAGGATAATAAATTCAGTTTATTCCAGGAACAAATGGACTCCAATCAGCCTTTTGTGAGGGGTAGAGAGAGATCGTTCCTACCTTACCTATCTATTCCAACAACAAATGATAAGGGGCACGATGAGGAAGTAGCTGGCTGCCCACCTAGTATAGTCTCCTGTCCATCTCCAGAGGAGCATTGCTAAATGTACCATAGCCACCCTTTCCTACTTCCAAAAGGCTTTAGATGGCTGACCTAGATCATCTCTAAGAGCTCTTTACCCTCAGATTTAATACACACTTCCTTAATAATAATAATAGCTAAACAATATTTGAGCACTACATGCCAGGTATTGTTCTAAATCTTTTATAGGTATTAATCTTTTCAATATCCTATGTGATAATTACTATAATTATACCCCTTTTACCCATTAAAGCTGAAACAAAGAGGGGAGGGCTAAGTTATGTGCCTTAACTAGCATGTGAAAGGTAGCTCTAGGACATGGAGGTCATGTTCCCCAACCTGAACGGACTGCAGTAAGTAGAGCAGCCTCTATCTCGTGCTATGCCCAAGAGGGTGGCAGGTGCTTGATCTTTTCCTGGAAGGCAGTGCTTCCATGCCCTGGGTACATGGGTATAGTCTCCTGGAGTATCCCCAGCAGGCTGCTCTGTAGAATGTACTTAACCTTGATGTCTGCTGTACTAATTATTATTACAGCCATTTATTATCATTATTATTACTCTTCTTTTTCATTTTATATGGATCTGTGCTGTTCTTTGAGGGGGAGAAAGGAAGGAGAAGGAGTGGCCTCCAGGGAGGACTAAACGCAGTGTGATAAAGGACTAAGCTTAAGATCAAAATAATAAGGTCAAAGAGCCCTGGATCAGCCCACCTCTGAAAGCAAGCGGAGAATGCCGTGCAAATGCTTTGCAGCTTTGTCTCCACCTGCAAGGAGAGGAAAAACTGAGCAAGATCCAGGAATTCTAGCAGGTGCAGGACACCCATCATATGCAAAACTTAATGACCGATGAAAACACCTTCCAGGGTCTGGAAAATGTTCTTTGCTGGCTAGAGGAGGGGTACAGCATCTCTGTGGAACGCTATTATGATATACTTATTACTGATTCAGAGATTCAGATGAACCACACGTAGCCTCTAAGTCTTATTTTCTGGCACCACCAGTAATAAAAGGAAATCCACTGAAATTTTTTTTGCTTCCTTTAAGTTCTTGGGAGATAAAACAGGTGCAGTCAAATGTGTTTGTGAATTTATTATTTTAAAATTAAGCCCTTTGGAAGTAAGTTTAGATGAGAGCACTTGGTGAATATAAATCTCTCCTACTCAATCCCTCTACATTGCCTTTCCTCTTCTTTATGTTCCAAACCCCAACCCACCCTACAAGCACTCTCTCTCTGACACACGTGTGCATGCGCATACACATACACACACACACACACACACACACACACACACACACACACACACACACGCTCACTCAGAATTTCTAAAAATATTAACCTTGAGGTAAAAATCTCACATCTTATTCAGGTGATCCCTTCCCTAGACTTGGAGACATAGGTCAGAATAAACTACCTGGAATGAGGTCCTGAACAATATTTTTGAAATCTCCGAAGACTGTCCAATCTAGCCTAAATAAAAATTCCTAAATAGTAATAGTAATGATAAAGAATTAAAATATAATTTTACAATTCTCTACCCATTTTTAGCCCCAACTGCACTTAAAGCAGGAATAATTTCATTTTATCATCCACTTTTGGCCTTTATAATTTAATTCTGAATTTTTAAAAAATTCTACAAATAATGATAATTAGTTTCTATTATATAACCCAAAATTTTTTTCTTTATAAATGACACTTTATTATAATTCAGAGAACCACAGACAAGAGTAACTGGTATTTGTGATTTATCTCTGACCTTATTTTTCACGTTACTTTTATATGAGGCTGGATAATACTCATCCATGAAAATTTCATATTGTTGGCCCTGCACTCAATAAATTATTAAAGTGATGTGAATAGGAATGTGGTGTTCAGGTTTTCAGCAATTTTCATCCTTTTGTTCTTGCTTTTTTAAAGGAAAGACTATCTTGTCTAAAACTCAACATATCTTTGTAAAATTTAAGCAAAGATTAGCCTTAAAAGAAATCATTTTGGGAGATTTATTACTCTGAATTGCTGCAAGAAGTTTTAACAATGTTTTTCTTTTGAGGCATGGATAATTTTCTAGGTTGAGAAGAATAAGCCTAGTAATTCTTATAAGCACATACACAGGTGAATACATTACAATAAAATACACGGATGCCTAGAGAACAAATATATGTGTGATTTTTCTCCCCCAAAATCATCAGGTGTGTAAAGCTTTTATACAATAAAAAAGGCTTCTAACTTTTCTGTTTCTATTATGTTTTTTTTACGTTGTTTTGACCAAAGCTAACTAAAGAAAATTTGAACTCACGTAACAAATAACAAAGTAACTCCTAATAGTGCCCCAAGTAGTTTAAAACATAAATATATGACCCCCACCCCGCCTTTTTTTTTTTTTTTTTTTTGAGATGGAGTCTCACTCTGTCTCCAGGCTGGAGTGCAGTGGCACAATCTTGGCTCACTGCAACCTCTGCCTCCTCAGTTCAAGCGATTGTTCTGCCTCAGCCTCCCAAGTAGCTGGGACTACGGGTACGTGCCATCAGGCCAATTTTTGTATTTTTAGTAGAGATGGGGTTTCACCATGTTGGCCAGGATGGTCTCGATCTCTTGACCTTGTGATCCACCCACCTCAGCCTCCCAAAGTGCTACGATTACAGGCGTGAGCCACTGCACCTGGCCAGCTTTTGATTGTAGTTCAACATATTGAAAATATGCCATTACGAAATTCTTAAATATGTTCATATTTGCAACAACTTTATGCTTGTGCAAGAACATGCCAAGAGTGACCTTGATAATACTCGTGCGTATGTCATACATCTGTTGTTTGTAAAATGTATAGATCAACATTAATAATAATTGATAGAATTCCTAATACACATAGTTAAACCGAACGCAGCTCTAAAGTATCATAAGTTTTTTTTTTTTTTTTTTTTTTTTTTTTTTTTTTTGAGACGGAGTCTCCCTCTGTCGCCCAGGCTAGAGGGCAGTGGCCTGATCTCAGCTCACTGCAAGCTCTGCCTCCCGGGTTCACGCCATTTTCCTGCCTCAGCCTCCCGAGTAGCTCGGATTACAGGCATGAGCCACCACATCCAGCTAATTTTTTTTGTATTTTTAGTAGAGATGGGTTTTCACTGTGTTAGCCAGGACGGTTTCAATCTCCTGACCTCGTGATCCACCCCCTTGGCCTCCCAAAGTGCTGGGATTACAGGCGTGAGCCACCGTGCCCAGCCTAAGCTTTTTAAACAAGTTTTTCTACAGTATTCTCTTTTAGTACTTCCATATGTTCATTTCAATATACTAAAACTAATCATAAGCAACTGTCCTAAAATAAAAAATTCATTTAAATATATGCTGAGTATATTATATATGGCATACAAATGATTAACTATAAAATTCTATTACTAATTTATATAAGACAAATTTTAAAACTCACTTATTTTATGATCAGACCCTGTGGGTGTGAGACTATGTGTGTATTGTTCCGCTTATTCATTTATTAAGCAAATATTTATAAAGTGCCACTCGATACTGAGAACATAATGATGAACCATCTGTATGTTTATAAAAATAACATTTGAATTGTTCCTGTCCCTTTTAGAAGACTCTCTATTCCACATTTCAAAATCCAATTCATAAAATCTAAAATTGTTATTGCTGACATCGAAATTCACAAAATAAATGTTAAATTCACAAAATAATGTCAAATAAATGACGTTCAGGTACTAGCACAGATAGTTGCTCTAATATGCTACAACTGAATTCTAAGATTTTCAGATTAAAATAATTACCAAATAAGGATATAACATAAATGACATTTACACTGACAGATGGCATCTGATATTTGGGAAAGTATAAAAGATGAAATAAATGCACAACTAATTTGTGTAACATTAAATTGTAATTATAAATAATATTTCTCCTATGGGTAAAATGGAAAATGCTGTACTTTTTATTTTACAGCATGGCACTTAGTACAATGAGTCTTAAAATTTCTTAAAATAACAGAATATCTTTGTGGTTAAGTATAAGTTTGTGTTTTCAATATAGCTATAAGACAATTTTTCCAAGGATAAGGATGAAGAAAAACTCCAGGCGTGAATAATTACCAGGAGATGTCTTGAGGCCTAGGAGTTTAGGAAAAAGTTAAGTGATTAGTTATCTAAAGAGTGTTTAATGAAGGGACTTTGCAAAGGACTAAGTATGCTCTGCTGGCTTTAGTATTCCTCATTTTCTGGTATACAATTTCTAAGTAAATCTTAATCTACCCTTAGCACATATTTGGTTTTGATTTGTTGATTTTTTTTATTTTAGAAAACTGATCTAAATTCTTAAGTTGGTGACATGGCATAGAAAACCAGAGCTGGATGAAAGGCAAACTAAAATATAGATTTTTATAAACATATATCTTGCTCACAATTATCTGTACACAGAAATGCTTAAGATATAAGTTCTAAACAATTTCCAGTATCAATTAAAATACCTATTCAACACAGATGGACTCAAATTCTGTATGCTGGACTCAAATTCTGTAAGTGCCAATTTGATCAATACAATTATTACTTTTTAGTCAAATAATGAATATTTGTTAGAACTATTAGCCAACTAAATTCTCCCAAAGATCATTTTACTTTTATAACCAAAACTTTCAATCACCTGAGAAGCTTTTTAAAATTCAGACTCCCAGTTCCCAAATGGATTCTGTTTCTGTATTATTGGGATAAAGCCCAGGAATCAGCATATTTAACAATGTCCATCTAGGTGGATTCTGTGTGAGTGGTCCTGGGATAGACCAACTACAGTGATAGAAAAAGCTGCAAATCCACAGCTCTTAGGAAACAGAATTTCCAACGAAGGCTATCCATGGATGAAAAATTATAATTGAATTGAATTGAGGCTACATTAAGAATTCCACTACAGTAAGAAGCCACTTTGCCTTTTATTATACTGCAGTTTCCTCCTAGTGTAAATGTTGTTTAACAAGATGAGGATGTAATGGAACACCTGTTCTTAGGAGACTTCATGTATGCCAGAGAATTTTCTCTAACTGACGAGGACTGAAACCAATCCAGAATGAGGATGATGAGCCAACATTGCAGGGGATTTTGGGTGAGCACTAAAGAGCAATCACAGCCCTCTGGTGATGTTCTTGGCAAACAAGGTCACTGTATGTTCTGGCTGAATTGATAACAAAGAAAAGTACCTAAATATTTTCTGAATTTGGCAGGTATATGTTTAAAGAATATTTAGCCAATGTTACATATATTATAATAATTCAAGCCAAAAAAATAACTGGAGGTGAAGAGATGAGGTTAAGTCAGCATATCTTGTTGTGGGAAATCCTTGCTGGATGCCAGGGTGCAACCTGCTCTTTTCTGACTGCCTTTAGGTCATCAGAATTTCTTGAATTTACCAATGAACCAACATCAAGTTAAATGGCATCTGGTTGCTGTTGGAGTCTTTATTGCAGTACTTATCTGATCCATGAAACTGAGAAATAGTGGTCAGTGATCATGTGTAATTTTTTCAGCATAATGGCTGAAGAACCGAGCTCACTGCCAGTGTCTAGGCCATCTCATTACCTCTTTAACCACCTTGAGCTTCAACTCTTATCTAAAAATCACTTGTGTTCTAAACTTTTCATTTGGAATAACCTTGGTGAAAGAAGGTGAATAACCTTCTTTCGAATAGCTAGACTTTCCCACCACCAAAGTCACAGCAAACACTAAATTAGCAAATATTGAACCATTTCTCCTAGGAGACGTACAGAGTTAGGTTCCTGTGAGGCTTTGGTTACATGTTCATCAACTGATCATACATAGTTTTATGTGTGTTTCTGTTTCAAGACAACCTTATTTAATATATATTGTTGATTCATTATAACATTGAACTCATGGCCAACAGCAATATAACTAGTGCCTGAAGCAAGCTATCTAACACCCATATTTTCTCTATAAGGCACATCACTACCTTCAGCACTTTGGTACTACACCTGGGGGCCATTTTAAACAGTGAAATCACCAACAAAAATTTGAAAGATGCACTCTAGCCTGTGAAAACACTTGTTTACAATAGGAGAGCTGAGACAAGAAGGCAGAGCATTTGACTTCAGCTGGCACAAGCATTTGACTTCAACGCATCCGGCAACTCAAAAGTTTTCACTGCTCTGCACGTGTCTGCAAATGACTGTCAAAGTGCCACAAGTGTTGATTTTGAGGTCACAAATACATTTTAGTCAATAGATGAAATCACAAAGAAGGAACATGCAAATAATGAGGATCATTGTCTTATCTGCCCTAAGGCAAAGGCCTCATATATTGCTCACCTCATGCCAAGTCTATTAGCTTGGTAGGGTTGCCATAACAAAGTACCACAGATGGGGTGGTATAAACAACAGACATTTATTTTTCCACAGTTCTGGAGGCTGGATGTCTGAGAGCAATGTGTTCACAGGTTTGCTTTTCCTGAAGCCTCCCTCCTCAGCTAGCAGACGTCCACATTCTCACTGTGTCCCTGCATGGCCTTTCATCTATCTGCACATGTCTGTATCCACATTTCTTCTTCTTATAATGACATCAGTGATATTGGATTAGGGCCATCCCAATGACCTCATTTTAATTTAATTACCTTTTAATACATTTTGTCTCCAAATATAATCATATTATGAGTTACCAGGGATTAGGACTTCAATATATGAATGGCAGGGGGTTGTGGCGGGGGACGGGTGGGGGGTGTGGACAGTTCAGCCCCCCGTAATGCATTTCTTTCTTTTTTGACAGGGTCTCACTCTGTTGCCCAGACTGGAGGGCAGTGGCACAATCAAGGATCATCACAGCCTCAAACTCCTGGGCCAAGTGATCTTCCCTCCTCAGCCTCCTGAGTCACTGGGACTACAGGTGCACACCACCATGCCCAGCTAATTTTTAAAATTTTTCAGTATAGACAAGGTATAGATATGTGGCCCAGGCTGGTCTCTAACTCCTGGGCTCAAGCGATCCTCCTGTCTTGGCCTCCCCAAAGTACTGGGATTATAGGCATGAGCCACCGTGCCCAGCCCCATAACACATCTCTATTCATTGCTTTTCTTCATGCTTCATTTCCTTGCAGGCTTGGACTTCTCAAAAGCATTCAAGTTATGCTTCTTGGGTGTGAGCATATGTGTGTGTGTGTGTGTGTGTGTGTGTGTGTGTGTGTGTGTGTCTCCTTCTGTTCTTTTTAAATGACTTTTGAAATCCAAGCCGATCAGGACTTTCTCCCCTTTACTCCTCATTATAACAAGTTACAGTATATAATTAGGATTGACTTTTTAGAGACTGCTGCCCTTCCTGAGTCTTATAAAATTCCCTTTTGGAGCCTCTGGCCAGGGGATCAGATCCTTTATATAGTTTCAGTGCATCCTTAACTTTTATTAGGCGGGTACCAAGAATCCCCCAGAATCCCATCCAAGCCTCCCCATCCTGCCTCTCACCTGCCATTCTAGGCTTTCCTCTGACTCCACGCTCCGGCACACCTCTACGTGTCCAATATGTGAATACAAGGGTTGTTATCCCAGTTTCAGGCCTTTGTTCTCACCATCCTTTCCACCTAGAATCCTTTTCCTCTCAATCTCTTCCTGTTGAAATCCTCCCAACTTACCAATGCTTTGTCTAAATGTCAGCTCTTCTATAAAGCATTTGAGTCTTCATTCTTCCTCTCAGCTCTGTGAAGCTTACCACATTCTATCTCAAAATAGTTGTGTACACATCTGACATCCCTTGGTAAGGTGTAAGTGCCTTGGAACCTATGGCAATGTCTGATCCCTCATTGCATCCCCAACACCACTGAGCATAGTCCCTAAAAGGTTATTAGCAAGTGTTTTTAAAGCAGATATGCCCTGCTATTAGAATATGAATTTAAATTAGGTAAATACAGTTGAAGTCCCTTATGACTCTTCTATCTTGCTTTCCTGCCAATTTTGTGATAGCTATTAGAAAATCACCATCCACATCTGCCATCTGGCTGGTTTAATGTCAATTCGCACAGGATGTCATACTTCTGCCTCTTCCCTTAGTCCTACCCAAAAGTCTCCAATATGCTTCCACTGTCCAGGCAGCACTACACTCCTCCTTTGTACACAATTCTCTCAGAAGTAGACCTGGAGGTGGAGGGAACACCAGAACAGATGCAAAAGAAGTGAAACAGGCCAGGAAGGGCAGTCAATAAGAAGGACACAATACACTGTTGGAGGGAGTGTAAATTAGTTCAACCATTGTAGAAAGCAGTGTGGCAACTCCTCAAAGAGCTAAAAACAGAACTACCATTCAACCCAGCAATCCCACTACTGGGTATATACCCAAAGGAATATAAATCATTCGACCATAAAGACACCTGCACACATATGTTCATTGAAGCACTATTCACAATAGCAAAGACATGGAATTAACCTAAATGCCCATCAATGGTAGAGTGGATAAAGAAAATATGGTACATACACACCATGGAATACTACACAGCCATAGAAAAGAACAAGATCAGGTCCTTTGTAGGAACACGGATGGAGCTGGAGGCTATTATCCTTAGCAAACTAATGCAGGAACAGAAAACCAAATACTGTGTGTTTTGACTTATAAGTGGGACCTAAATGATGAGACCACATGAACACAAAGATGGGAACAACAGACACTGGGTTCTACTTGAGGATGGAGAGTGGGAGGAGGGAGAGGAGCAGAAAACAACAACCATTGGGAACTGGGCTTAGCACCTGGGTGATGAAATAATCTGTACAACAAACCTCCATGACACAAGTTTACCTATATAACAAATCTGCACGTGTACCCCTGAACCTAAAATAAAAGCTTTAAAAAGGGTTGCTAGGCAACCATGCTGATTGGCAGCACATGCTTCTGTTATTCCACCTGGTGGTGGAAGCAGCACCTATTCGTTGGCTTTGGAGTCAGAATGGCTAGCAGCAACAGAAAAGGGCACTTCACTGACATAGGATTCCCATTCATCTAGAGGCAAAAGCAAGCTACCAAAGTGGGCAACTGAAACTTAATCATCAGGTAAAACTTTGGGAAATGGTGTAAAACCCTTGCTTCAAAACTATCTTACTTGAAGGTCAAGGTGATGGCAGCTCCTGGGGGCAGTTAATTCCTTCCAGCAGTGCACACGGGCAGGAAGAAAGTGACCTTCCAGAGAAAGTCCTCTGGCACACAGATGCAGACATTGGCAGACAGACACGTGCTAGAGCTGCTGGGCTGGAGCACAATGAAATGGCAAGATTCAAGGGCTACAGGCAGAAGTGTGTTGGTAAATGTGCAACAACTGCCCCTCTAGGGCAAGACACTCTGGTTTGTGGTGTTTTATAAATACTACCAGTCCCACCATGGTGCATTCTAAGCTTCCAACTAGCTCACCCGACACTGAACTGGGAAGGACAACACAGCAGCATACCATTAGCCCACATAGAGTATTTTCCCCATACAGACACAGCAGACATAAACAATAGTAAAAGGTAGTAAAACAATTAGGAAGTGATGAGTTTTGAGTATGCATTACCTTTGTTTTTGAGATAATTATAATTTTGCATAATTTGATGTTTACTAATTACCATTTAACAACTGGCTTGCAAAATTCCTGAAAATTCAACCAATGGCATTCATGAGCTAATCAAACATGAGAGGGCACTAAAGTAGGTGTTCGTTTTGAAAATGTACCCTTTTGGCCAGGCATAGTCACTCATGCCTGTAATGCCAGCACTTTGGGAAGCCAAGGCAGGAGTATCACTTGAGCCCAGGAGAAAGGAAGGGAGGGAGGGAGGGAGGGAGGGGAAGAGAAGGGAGGGAGGGAAGGAAGGCAGGCAGGCAGGCAGTCAAGAAGGAAGGCCTTTCTATGCTGTATCCTACCTCTGAGGCACAAGCAGAACTGTGCACAAGCCCAGGTTGCCTAAGAGCTAGTTAGAGACGGGTCCATCATTTTGCAACAGAAGAGGATGTACTCAAGTTCAGCTTCCCACAGAATGGGGGTCTTCCTCCCCCAGTGGGGCTTGCAACACTCCCTGGGCCCCAAAGTTTCCAGAGGCTGGAAAGGCTAACTTTCCAGACAACTCAGCTTTCTAACCACGTGGCCTCATGCAGATTGATTATTCCTCCACTGACAAAACTGTTTTGTTTTTGTTGTTGTTGTTTTCCACTTTCTCAATAAATAGAGAGAACCACAGGGGAGCAGAGGGTTCCTTCGCTAAAACACAGATACACACGAAGGGTTCTGTGGCACCCTGATCCCTGCCCACCTTTCCATGAGATGATGAGAAACAGCCAAAAATCTTCGGTTCTTGTTCTTTAAGTGTTCTCAATAGTGCCTATTTTTTCATCCATACCATGACACTGTGGAATTTGTCCCAAATCTTTTTAGGACAGTTGGTGACCACAAAGTGACCCATGTTGCATGACACTTCCAAATCTCAATAAGATCTAGGAGACAGAGTACTGTCTTGTATTAAAATTTGATATTCACTCTGTGTATCTTTCCCACTGTGGTTGTTTCTACTTTATACCTGGTGTCCTCTGTAAAATCTCTTTTTTGTTTTTCAGATTATCTAGGCATTTGTCTCCCACTTCCTCATATTCAATGAGAATTGCATGCCTGCCAGACACATTATTTCTTGTTTCATGATACACTTTATCCTTTGCCAGGAGCCCATTATTCTTACAGCTTAAGCCATAGCCAGAAACCCAAATCCTATTTTTCAATACTTATCTATGTAGCCAGATGATCATATCCTACATCCCCCTTTCACTTCCAAATTTAGCTTCCAAAGATAGTCCAGCTTCCCAGCCTCAGAATCACAACTTCCAAGGCTGACATGGAGGGTCCATGTAATCATTGTGTTCATCAAGCACCTTAAACTAAAATATATTGTGCCCCCACACTGATAGACAATGAATAGCATCTCCTCCTGTTGCTAGGCAACCATGCTGATTGGCAGCACATGCTCCTGTTATTCCACCTAGTGATGGAAGCAGCACCTATTCACCGGCTCTGGAGTCAGAATGGCTGGCAGCAGCAGCAAAGGGCACTTCACTGATGTTGGATTCCCATTAATCTAGAGGCAAAAAGGATTCCAGAATGGGAATGGGAATAAGAAGAATGTTCACCTCATCTGCTCTAGGTGAGAATCATAGTCTTTGAAGACAGAACCACACTAGGAAGGGTCCTACACAGGAGAGCACTTTAACCTATTTACTTACCTAGACGTTTAAATAGAACAACTAGCAGCTAAAGTGCAAAGCCAAAGACATCTCCAATCACTGTGGCTACACAAGAAAAGCCATCAGACTGACATGTTTCTTTAGCACAAGACCTGGAACCGAGTGCTTCATAAATGTTTGGTGAATAAGTGAATGACATTTATCTGTATCCCAAGAATTTGTGTTGAAGTACATTCCAGTTTCTGGAATCTCCTAGGTTTTTAGTTGGTCTGTAATCATATTTTGTAAGTGATCAAATGTGCATATCTTTTGCCTCCATACTGCTGCATTTCTTCCCTCAATCCCCATTTACTTTTCAGTCAATTCCAAAGTAAGCTTCCATCTCAAATGCTCCACTAGAACAGCTCTCACTAACGTCACTAATGACCTTCATGGTGCTAAATTCAACGGCATTTTAGTTCTCATCTTACTTGACTCCTCTGTCCCGGTCTACTCTCTTCCCTTAGCTTTTATGAGCCTCATCCTCATTTTTTTTTTCCTGCATAACTGGAAATTCCTTCTTGTCTTTTATTGGCTGATACCTCCCCAACCCTAAAGGCCAGTATTATTTAAGACTCTGTCCTAGGCCCTCTTCCACTCCTATTCTATTCCTACTTCCAGGCAGTTGCAGCATCTTACATGCCATCTACATGCCAAAGGATCCCAAATCTCCCTCCTTTAAGCTCCAGCTTAACTCCCTGTAAGACCAGTAAGACTAGACCCGTATTTGACATCACCATTTGAATGTCTCAATGACATTTAAATTCAACCTGCCTAAACCTGAATACATAATTATGTAACATACTTATTGAGTACCTACTGTGTGTCAGGAACTGTTCTGGAGTTCAGAGACATCAGTGAATAAGTCTGTGCCCCTGACCTTATGGGGCATAAAAACACCCTCTATTCCACCACTCCCAATTTGATCCTTTCTCAGTATTCCCCACCTCCCTGTGGGGCACAGCTGTTCAACCAAGTGCAAAACCCAAGGACTGTAATCACCTTTAACATGTCTCTCTCTCTCTTCCCACCCTCAACCACACCCATTCCTAATACTGCCAATTTTATCTCTTAAATACATCTGATGTTGATTCAAATCTCAAGTCTGTTTATCTGCTCTATTACCTCCCTATTCATCTTGCATGAATTGCTTCAATGGCTTTTTTTTTTTGAGACAGAGTCTCACTCTGTCACCCAGGCTGGAGTGCAGTAGCACAATCTCAGCTCACTGAGACCTCCACCTCCCAGGTGCAAGAAATTCTCGTGCCTCAGCCACCCAAGTAGCTGGGATAATAGGTGTGCGCCACCATGCCCAGCTAATTAATGTATTTTTAGTAGAGATGGCGTTTCAACATGTTGGCCAGGCTGGTCTTGAACTCCTGACCTCAAGTGATCTGCCTGTCTCAGCCTCCCAAAGTGATGGGATTACAGGTGTGAGCCACTGCACCTCGCCTGGCTTCTAACTGGTGTTTCAGTGTTCATTCTAGTGTGCCTCTTCACATAGCAGCCACAGTGGTCTTTTCAAAAGGTAAATTTGATCATGGGACTCTTCTTCCTCATTCATACCCCCAGGTTAAACCTCTAATTCCCTTCTATTTATTCCTTGGATATAAGACAAAATCCTCAGCAATGGCCGACAAATCCTTGCTTACTATTCAGCCTCATCTTGAACAATAAATGCCCTCATTGTTCTATCCACACTTAACTTTTCCCTCCCCCAACTTTTCCCTCCCCCAAGAAATCTGCTGTTTCTTTTACTGGGAAATTCCTACGCACACACACACACAGACAGACAGACAGACAGACACACACACACACACACACACACACACACACTTTCCTGGTAAAATTCTATTTCTTATGCAATCATAGCAGATAAGAGTTCCCTAACTTTCCATGTGTTCACTCAGTTTACAACTATATTTGCTTTGAACTATTTCCAAGGATATCCATTAACCAATTAATGTTATCAAAAGTTAGCATAAGATACTTCTAGATAATCTTTTATTTCATTTGTTCTTTTAAAAAAATTGGTTACCATGTTCACCTTGAGCTTCTTCTAAAATTTTAGCTCTTTTTCACCTGTGGTTTTTAAATATCTTTTTCATCTTTATTTTACCCTCCTTATGGATGTGAATGTGTGTATTTATTGTCCTTAGCCTTAAATTTGCTTTTGTAAGTGATGGCATGTATATAGTAAATAAAATAAATAAATGAAAATATCTGACAGAAGTGGGCACGCAATAGATATTTAATTAATCAATTCATTAGAAGAAAGAAAACCTGGTCTCAAATCACCTGTCACACTAACTTTACTAGAAAGATCAATTTATCTTTAAAATAAAAAGATTAGAGACTGCAATTTGGAGGCCTACAGGCCAATGTGTCTCACAGACATGTTTTGTTGGGATAGCACAGTGTTTGAATAAACTTTAAAACTTGATGCCTTTAGGCTGGGTTTATACTTTCTAGTTTGTGTAGTCATTATCACTTCCTACTATATTATCCCTGATAAGGTCATATGGATATTATTGGCCCTGGAAGGCATTTGGATTTGAGGATCTAAAGGATGATGTGATCTTGAAGGTCTCTTCTAACTGTAAAAACCATGTATGTCTTTATTTTATGAGAAACATTTATGAAATGATGGGGAAAAACTGGATTTAGCTAACATCAAAATGTAAAGAATAACAGGTAAAACTCAGCTAATGTCCAGGTACTCTCAACAACACAGAATATTCTGGAAAATTTATTTACAAAAGATGAAAGAATGGCTTAATGCTTATAACATCTGGAGATCAGAATTCTGACATAGAGATTAAAACAAATATGTTAAAATGGTCTCATCTTAATAAGCTCAGAATTGCAGGTTAGCTGTTCGTGTAACACAAGACACAGCACAATCTGCCAGTCCTGGCAGCCTCTGCTCACTAACCAGGCTCAGTATAAACACCAGAGGCAAATAGAGATATATCTGACAATGAGACACAGATCTTTCACCCCATCCCCACTAACCTTCATTTTTGTGAATGAATTTTTTATTTTATTAAAATTCAACTGCCTTCATGCAAAAGCTACTTTAGAAAAACCCTAGTTCCTGGCCGGGCGTGGTGGCTCATGCCTGTAATCCCAGCTCTTTGGGAGGCCAAGGTGGTCACATCACTTGAGGTCAGGAGTTAGAGACCAGCCTGGCCAACATGGTAAAACCCTGTCTCTACTAAAAATACAAAAATTAGCCAGGTGTGGTGGCGCATGCCTGTTATCCCAGCTACTCAAGAGGCTGAGGAGGAGAATCGCTTGAACCCAGGAGGTGGAGGTTGCAGTGAGCCGAGATTGCGCCATTGCACTCCATCTCAAAAAAAGAAAAAAAAAGAAAAACCCTAGTTTCTGAAATTAAGGCTTCCTATATTGTGTCTCCCAGACATGTTTTTAGAAATATACCTCTAAAGACTGAGAAACAACCTTAATATCAAAATTTTTTCATATACTGAATAGCCAACTGTAAAACCTTTGATATAATTTTTATTTTAATTTTACTTATAATCCTTAAATTTCACATCATATTTCTCAAAAGGTGAAAAAATGATCTAAAACCTTGTCTAATCCTATTCTCCAAATGGGAAATATTATAAATAGGGATGTGCAAATTTCTAATAATAACTGAATTATCTAATTATGTTGTGTTTCACTGATTCAAATACATACTATCTTCCAACATTATTTATTTTTCAGATACAGGAATCGTAGTCTGACCCTCTTGAATAAATGAGTCACCACATTAGGACCTCAGTCATCTGTGAGGAAACAATGTGTCAATTAGATATGTCAATTAAGACTCAAATGTCACCTGGATCTATCTAGAGCAGCTTTCGGGAGTAGATGATTTTTCTCGAAAACAGTTATATAGATGCTTTGAAAAAGGTGATCATGAAGGGAAAACTTATTTCATTACTTTCCCAAATTTTTATGAGCTAAAAAAGTCATTCTCCTAAAGTTTTATAAGCTTTTTTTTTTTTCTCTGAAACAGAATTTAATTCTTGTTGCCCAGGCTGTATGTAGTCCAATGGCGTAGTCTCGGCTCAATGCAACCTCTGCCTCTCGGGTTCAAGTGATTCTCATGCCTCAGCCTCCCAAGTAGCTTGCATTACAGGCACCCGCCACCACGCCTGGCTAATTTTTTTGTATTTTTAGTAGAGACAGGGTTTCACCATGTTGGCCAGGCTGGTCTTGAACTCCTGACCTCAGGTGATCGGCCCACCTTGGCTTCCCAAAGTGCTGGGATTACAGGTGTGAGCCACTGTGCCCAGCCATACAGTTTTATAAGCTTTTATCTTCCAAATAAATTAAAGAAAATAAGTAAGGTATAATTTTGTAGTGATTAGATAGAAAATAAATAGAAAAATGAAGCAACATGTTCAATAAACATATAAAAATATACTAACCTCATTAACAATGAAAGAAAATCCCAACAGTAGTCAGATAAAAATTTTTGTCTATCAAAAAGCCCAAGATAAATACAGACAGACACAAACACACACACATGCATACCACGCACATATGATGAAATGAACCAGTATTAGAATATGAGCACTCATGAACAGTGGTGGGTTGGTATAACCATTCTTTGTGTACTTTGCCAATATGCATCAAGACCTTTAAAATAATCATGCTCCTTGATCTAGCAATTACACTTTTACAAATGTATCCTAAGGAAATAAACACACAGCCAGAGATTTATGTTTAATACTATATACCACAATGCTATTTACAGTAATGAAAAACTGGAACAGCCTAAATGTTCAATGTTCAAAGGATGGTTATATTAATTATTGTACAATCACCTGAGGATCTATCATGTAGCCATTAAAAAGCTTGTTTGTGAGAGATACATACTAATGTGGTAAATATTTGACAATAAAATGTTAAGTGGAAAAAGTAGGAGACCAAATTCTATGTAATGGTAGGATCCAATTCTGTTTAAAAGCATATTTATACATGTTCTGCTTGTTGAACTGGATGAAGGTTACATGGGCCTGTTTAGTTCGTGAAAACTCAACAATCTGTACATGTATATTATTTATTATTTTTCTATATCCATGATATACATTAAGAAGCCATTCGTTAATGGTTGATGTTTTATACATATACCCAGTCCAAAAAAATGGAAAGAAATATGAACAAAAAACCATTTTAATCTTCCCAGTATTTGCCTCGGTAATTTACTGGGGTTGGAGGAAGGCTCATCTGGAAAGCAAAAGCGCTCCAAGACCAAGTTTCACTACTTGTTGGCTGGGTTGCCTAGGGCTACATGACCTCTTTGAGTTTCACTCTCCTTATCTGTAAAAGAGGGTTACTGTGATTCAGGAATTAAATAAAACGATTTATATGAATTTTTCTAGAAGGCTGTATGGTCCGTTATTATGAATAATTGAATACATACAACAGTTATGTGTTCAAACTATTAGATTTGTTATTACAACCTTAAAACTACCATACAATGGGCATTAAGTTCTTGTCAAGAACGTGGTTACTGAAAGTAATCACTAAAAACACAAAGTATACTGTACTATGGCATCAACCTCCTGTCTTGCGACTATCTCTGCTGTCCAGCAGCTGCTATCCTTTCCATATCCCCTTATGTGGACCCCCAAGCTCTCATTCCCTGCAGCACCCAGTAGAGTTCCAGGGCTGGCCTGGGAGCACCTTGAGGCATAAACCTCTCATATCCCTGATAAAATAACCAAATCTGAAACCTGAAAGGAACCAAATTGCTTTAATTTGCTTCCAGATTCAATAAAATTGCTTCCTTTGGTGGTGGATTGGCTGGGTGATTGATTGGATAATGGATTCAGAGAAGAGATACCTGAAACCAAAAGTTTCCACAGTTATTTTGTTAGTGAAATAATCTTATGAGATATCAGCTGTGAGTACTATTTCCTTCCTTTGTTATGCTTTTGCCTGCTTTCTAACATTTTGAAGGACATTTTGGATTCCATCCAAGCCTGGAAACTTCATTGCTAAATTAATAGTAACCTCTAATTCTAAAGGTCAAGAATGAATTGAGGTTAGCTTCTACGCAATAAGCGTTCAAGGCCCAAATCTTCCTCCCTGGATGTTATTACCCCTGGGTCACCTCCCCTTCCCTTCCTGCCCCCTCACCATCAGGTTGACACGAGACTGACACGAGACTGGTACAATTTCTCTAAGACATACTACCCCTCAGAAGAGCTTAGACTTCCATAACTGTCACCTTGGGAGAGTTTTAACACATCTAGAAAAAGAGAAAGATGTATTCAAGTTTCTACTAGACTTACTCTGACCATAAATCCCAAATCCTCCTGTGTTTCCTTTAAGTGGTAGGTAAAACATTTTTAGGTAAGTGAACTTATTAAGACAAATATCAGTTGTCAAGATTGTTCGAAGGGCATGGAAGAATACAAACCATTTCTTTCCTCTTAAAGCAGACTGGCTTTCTCCCCATTCAGTCAAACTCACAAGTAAAACCCCCATCTAGAGCTAATTGATTTCTTATTTGGAATATCTATTTTATTTTATTAGTTTCTATCTTCAACCATACCTAGTCAAATGAAAATTATTTTTCATGTATTAAAATAAAGTTAAATGTTTTCTAATCATAAATTTAATGTCTACTCATTCTAAAATTTTGAAAAAAATTTTAAATGTTCTAGAAAAAAGATAAAATTATTTGAAACATCATCATCCAGAAATCACTGCTGTCAAGATTCTAGTCCAAACACATATATAAACTCATAACATTTAACAATGAACATTTGTTTACTACTTCCCTGGTAATCAAAGAGCTGGTGACTTTTGGAAACTAAAAAGTTACAAAAGAGGCTATGAGTAAACTGGTAACATTATCAGACTGTTTCAGGGATCCGCAGAACACTAGACCACTGTGACAGAGAGAGAGAACTTGCAAGGCATCAGTATCTCTTTAAATAAAGCTGACATGTACATCATAATGTCAAAATACTATATTATCATTATATTTACTATATAATAAATTATATGTAATTACTAATATATTAAGTATTAGCATAGTTTTAAGAATTAAAATACAATTTGATTTACTGTATTTTACACACTATACATTTTCATAAAGCAAAAACTAAATTTGTGCCTATAACACTTATTAAGAGATACTTTTTAAAATTAACATCAATCACCTCGCATACTTATAATTTTGTGGTGAGAACATTTAAAATCTGCTAACTTAGCAATTTTCAAGGATACAATAATTAATAGTTACAGTCACCATGCTGTATAGTAGATCTCCAGAATTTATTTATCCCGTCTAACTGGAACTTTGTACCCATTAACCAACATCTTCCACCCTCCCCGACAATCCCTTGGCAACCCCCATTCTATTCTCTGCTTCTGTGAGCTTGAATATTTTAGGGTACATATATAAATGAGATCACAGAGTATTTGTCTTTCGGTGTCTGGCTTATTTACTTAGCATAATGAGAGAGACATTTCCTAGCTCAATGATTCTCAAAGTGTGGTCTACAGAACACTTTTAAATAAATCACTTAGGGGACTTGTTAGTAATGCACATTTTCAATGCTTACCAAAAATCTAAGAAGCAGAATTCCCGGCAGAATGTGGGAATGGAAGAGAGGAAGACCCAGGGAAGATGGATGTTTAATAGGTATTCAAAGAATTCTTGGCTGGGTGTGGTGGCTCATGCCTGTAATCCCAGGACTTTGGGAGGCCAAGGCAGGAGGATCACAAGGTCAAGAGGTTGAGACCATCCTGGCCAATATGGTGAAACCCCATCTCTACTAAAAATACAAAAATTAGCTGGGAGTGGTGGCACGTGCCTGTAGTCCCCGCTACTCAGGAGGCTGAGGCAGGAGAATTGCTTGAACCCAGGAGGTGGAGGTTGCAGTGAGCCAAGATTGCGCCACTGCACTGCAGCCTGGGCGACAGAGCAAGACTCCATCTCAGAAAAAAAAAAAATTCTTAAAAGTGGTAAAGTTGGAGAACCACTGCTTTGTTTCTTAGTAAACAAACACCAACTAGGATTGTCTCAAGAATCAAAACTCAAAGAATCATTTATACTTTTTGGTGTCACTGTACAGACATAGCCAGAAATAAGTGTACACTTAAAGGATTTAGTGAAGTCAATGACTTTCTTCTAAATTGAATACAATAAATAATGTGATGGGATAAGAATAACCGTATCATTGAAAACCTAGTTTTCTCTCTCAAAATAGAAAAGCTGCTCCCTTGCTAGAAAGAAGGCAAGTTTAGCCTTGGTCATAGTGGATGTAACAGGAGTGGGTACCAAGTTGGAGATAAGATGGGACACCACTTGTATTAAAATTGTGACAGCTGCCCTGAGCCGGAAACACATTTACATCCTGACCACCGGCCTGTTAGAATAATCATGTAAAGCTTTGTGCAGGAGATTTAATGAAGGGGAAGCCATGATGTTCAGTGGCATAACATGGAAATTTAATGAGACCTTCTTGAGGCTGCACTCAAATTAAATGTGCAAATTTGGGGAGAATAGACTCCTGAGGACTAACTATACCCTCCAGAGAAGTGTTAGGTGAGTTCACAAAACTTGAATCTAAAAAGCTCCACTTAGAAGTAATGAGGCCAGGCACGGTGGGTCCCGCCTGTAATCCCAGTGCTTTGGGAGGCAGAGGTGGTTGGATCACTTGAGGTCAGGACTTTGAGACCAGCTTGGCCAACATGGTGAAACCCTGTCTCTACTAAAGATACAAAAATTAGCTGGGTGTGGCGGGTGCCTGTAATACCAGCTACTTGGGAGGCTGAGGCAGGAGAATCACTTGAACCCAGGACACAGAGGTTGCTGTGAGCTGAGATTATGCCACTGCACTCCAGCTTGGGGAATGGAGCAAGATTCTGTCTCCAAAAAAAAAAAAAAAAAAAAAGAATTGGAAATTACTAGTTTCCCCACAACATCCATAGATAACTGTTCCCTTAAAATTTAGAGTCCTTTATGGATGCCAAGATAATGTTGAACCTGGTCAGACTGGTTTAATGCTTCAGCACCACACACTAGCCAAGCCAGACCTCTAGAGATTTGATGGCTATAGTAGGACTGGAGATCAAACAGGGGCTGGAACTCCTAGATGAACCTATTGCCTCCAGAAACTTGAGAAACCCTTACTTACTGCAGGCGAATGGAGAAAAAACTGTGGCAAACTAGACCAGTGGCCCTATAGTAGTGGTAGCAGTAATTCTTATTAATAAAGAAATTAATTAATAAACCATAAGAATAAGAATAAATCATAAGAAAAAACTGATTTTTTTTCTACATAGAAATACTAGGCGTGTGGAGGACAGTAGGTGAACAGTGACTGGGACTCCTAGATCAAATTTCTAAGTTTACTAAGCCCAGAGGAGGAAGAACACTCTGACACCGTGTTCTCCTTGGAAGACATACTGCCTTCGGTCCTTTGCCAAAGGATGGCAGAACAAGACTTGCAGGCCCAGAGACAGCCAAGTCCAGTTCAAGGAAGGGTGATGTAAGTCAGGAATGGATACATTACATTGGATTACGTCAGGACCATTAAGGAGCCCTCTGACTTCTTCCTTTTGATGGTGTTATTCTGGGCTGAGAAGAAAAAGGAGAGGATGCCCATCTTGTAAGTGAGGACTTAGGAAGCCAGCTGTACTACAGTTATGCCTCTTGTCTCTTGAAATTGAATCCCTGACTGATAAAATTCTAGCAGGTGCAGAGCAGTAGGTTGCCAGGTCATGGGCTGGGTTGGCTTCCAATGTGGCAAAGTGAGCCAAAAATGGGGATCTTCAGCCACTCACCCCTGGTGTTTTGCAGACTGGGATGTAAGTAAAGAAACCACTGAAAATCCTGACACTGGCTACGCTTTGGGTGTTTGATATGGCCCCAGGCTGTTTCGGTTTGGGTTAACAGAGCCAACCAGTACCTTTGTGACCCCATAATCCCTTTACCAAAGACTTTGAAGGAAGAGTCTGTCATGCTTGCTCCCTGAGAAGTAAAAAATCCCAGTCCCCAGGTATGTTATTAAAAAACAAACAAAAAAAACACCTACGGATGTCCTTGTAGTTCTACCTGGCAGTGCCTCCAGTTCACTTGCAAAATACAATTACAAGATGAATTGTGACAAGAGTTAAACAACTCACACAAAGAGAAGCTACAAATAGCAAGAGTCTCTGAATTACATGGCAAATACTGGGAGCTCCCAGAGGGAGCTCTCAAAAGACCTACAAGGGGAAAGAACAGCAGAACAAAATTGACCAATTTGACAAAATTGACAAAATTCACCTAACCCAACCCCTGCCAAAGAAATCCTGTCATTTTATTCCCTTACCTAGGATCAGTCTTGACCATGAACACTCATAATCCATTATTACAGAGATTACACTCCTGATTCTCTAGGCCTCTCAGACACTTTCCAACAGCTGATCCTAATCTGTTAAGAAAACCAGTTCTCAACTGTAGTATTATTTTGGCCTTCATACCTGATTCAGTTTACCCCCTACCGAAGACAGACGAGCCTTCAGGCCTTCATGTATGGTCCCCCTCCCTGCAAAGAATGCTCTTCCTTCTAGCTGTTCCTCTGGCCAACAAGCCACATGATACTTCCTTTTCCTCAGGGAAGATTTCCCTAATCCCCGTAACCAGGTTACAAACTCCATTAAATATTCCCTCAAAACCTCACACTCCTCCTGCTTAGCACTTACCATACTGTAATTAAATAATTATTTGAGTACAATCAAGAGCCACGTAAAGACATTTTGGCCAGTGATGGACCTCATATACGGCAATGGTCCCCTAAGATGATAATACCATATTTTTACGGTACCTTTTCTACATTCAGGTATCTTTAGATACACAAACATTTACCATTATGTTACCATTGCCTCTGGTATTCAGTGCAGTAATATTCTGTGCAGGTTTTAGCTTAGGAGCAACAAGGCTGGACTGCACAGCCTAGGTGTCTCCTAGGCTGCACCATCTAAGTTTGTAAGTGCCGTACACTCTGATGTTCACAAAATGACAAAATTGCTAATGACACATTTCTCAGAATACATCCCCATTGTTAAGCAATGCATGGCTGTGATTACTTGTTCAATCTCTAAATCTCTCAAAAGACCAGAAGCTTCATAAAGCACTGACTGTGTTTGCCTTGTTCAGTGCTACTGTTTTCCCAGTGCTGAGCGCATAATAGGTGCTGAATAATATCTACTTAATGATAGTAGAACACCTAAAAATTGAAATCAATGTAAAGTTATCCTAAGGTACTTTTACTTACTAAAACTAATTAAAACTATTATTATTACTCACTTATTAAAACTATGCAAACTTAACCTCAACTACAACTTTTTAAGATAACTATGGCTTAAAATGTTTAACAGATAAACCTTTAATTTTTCATTCTGCTCTAGTTTATGAAACATTGAACAAAAAAAAGGTGAGAAGTTCAAATTAGTATTTACCTAAAATAAAACGAATCATTTTGTAAACTGGGTCTGTAATTTAAAATGGTAACTAAGTAGTTCTATAGTGACCATGGCTTCAGTTAAATAATATCCAATCAAGGCAAGATATGAGTATTAAACATTCATGAGCTGCTCAGAATATTATGAATTAATCAGCACTTCCTCATTTAAATGTTTAATATTTAATGCTAGTGCTTCTACAGTCTCTTGGAATTATTACACTTTACTATGTCTCTTACAACTGAATAACAATAGAGTTGCTATATACTTTCTTAGAATTCTGGTTATGGAATCCACAGTGATCTGTATGTTGGAGGAGAACGTGATTGTAATGCATTAAGCTTTTGATGAAATTCTTGACACATTTGTCTCAGATGCAAAAAGATAATAAAAAACACTCATGATAAGCAGAAGTAAGCGCTTTTGCAATGTGATTGCCTTTCATCCATGATGAATTATTTGTAGAAGCTTACTAAAAATCTGGTTTTCATGAACTCCCCTAGACAAATGTAAGTGGTATGCTAAAGGCATTTTAGGCAGTATAAAGTATTAGTGTCAGAATGTTAGTCTAGTAAATCTTCTAAACACTAGCTGTGGAAATAATAGGATAATATCCCCCCAAATGAATTCACCCATTCCGAGTCCTCTCAGCCATCTTAAAACTAATGTTGGCATTTAAAAACTAAACAACAGTCATAATGCTTTATTCTTACATATATCTCATCATTCAAAAGTCTCAAGGAAATCAACTGTGACTCATTATACCTTACAACATATTCAGTTCTTTTAACCCTAGCAGGGAAGTACTTTTGTGCACCAGATACAAAACAGTGGTGACTGTAACAGGTTGAATCATGGTTCCCTTCAAAGTAATCATTTGCTTAAGTCCTAATCCTCAATACTCAGAATGTGATGTTATTTGGAGATAGGGTCTTTACAGAGGTAAACACGTTAAAGTGAGATCATTAGGGTGGATCCTAATTCAATAAGACTGATATCCCTACAAAAAGACAAATGTTAGATCTAATGACAGACATGCATAAAAGGAATGCAATATGAAGAAACATATGGAAAAGATAGCCATCTACAAGCCAAGGAAAAAGGCCTGGAATAGATCATTCTCTCATTTATTGTCTCACAGCTCTAGAAGAAATCTGCCTGGGGATTTCAGACTTCTATCCTCTAGAGCTGTGAGACAATAAATTTCTGTTATTTAAGCCACCCAGTTTGTAGTACTTTGTTACAGCAGTCCCAGCAAGTAAATACAGTAACATAGTAAAATGTTGTGTGTTACAACAGAAATATTCCATTCATAAAATATAAAAATTATATTTCCCAGTGCAGCTGCAATCTGACTCTAGTGCATATGTAAATGAGAAATTATCATATATTAAATATTACCCCTTACAATGTCAATCATGCTTAGGAGAATTATAGTTGCAATGGCATTTGTTCCTCTGAAATTTCTAACTTTTTCACATTGATATGGATTTTTAGCATGAAATGATCTTTTTCCTTTTTTAAAATAAGCTAATTTCTGTCTACACAGATAGCAAAACTACAACAAAGAAAAAGGTATAAAAAATAATCATTTTCATCAGATGAATAACATTACTTTTGTTTCAGTAATGAAAATTCAGAACAGATACACAAAGGCATAAACAAGCATATTTACAAGTATATTGATGTTTAACACTGTTAGTGTCTATAACCATTATAATCATTAATGCAATAAGAATATTCAATACAACATGTGAAACATTTTTAAACATTTAATACCTACTTGTATTTTGTTTAGATGCCTTGTACTACATTTTCATAACTAGAATCACATTCTAGGTGCTGGTGAACACACACATGCACACACACACATATACTTACTTCATTATATAATCAGTATACTTAAGTATGTCTATTTTTTTAATTTCCTTCATCCTATCTCAATTCATCTTTTAAAAATAATTTGGGGCCGAGTGTGGTGACTCACGCCTGTAATCTCAGCACTTTGGGAGGCCAAGGCAGGTGGATCACCTGAGGTCAATAGATGGAGACCATCCTGGCCAACATGGTGAAACCCCGTCTCTACTAAAAATACAAAAATTAGCTGGGCATGGTGGCACACGCCTGCAGTCCCAGCTACTCGGGAGGCTGAGGCAGGAGAATTGCTTGAACCCGGGAGGCGGAGGTTGCAGTGAGCTGAGATCACGCCCCTGGACTCTAGCCTGGCAACAGAGTGGGACTCCATCTCAAATAATAATAAATTTGGGCATTTCACATCAGGTTTGCATAAATTAAAACATACAATTCAAGCCACGCAACACGGTTGATGTCTGTAATCCTGGCATTTTGGGAGGCCTGGGTGGGCAGATCACTTAAGCCCAGGAATTTGAGACCAGCCTGGGCAATGTGGTGAAATCTCATCTCTACTAAAAATACAAAAAATTAGCCAGGCGTGGTGGTGCATGCCTGTAGTCCCAGCTACTCAGGAGGCTAAGGTAGGAGGATCAATTGAGCCTGGGCAGACAATACTGCAATGAGCCTCGGCCCTTGATTGCACCACTGTACTCCAGCCTGGGTGATGGAATGAGACATTGTCTCCAAAAAAAAAAAAAAAAAAAAAAAAACCCGTATACATATATATGGGTATATATATACACACATACATGCACACACACACGCACACATATATATATGTGTATACACACACACATTGCATTTTTAGTTAGTTTAAAAAGTTTTAATTCTCAAAAACTTATGTGTCAAAAATCTAGAATGGAGAGTATTATTTACAATAACAAATCTCTACTGAAAGAAAAGTAATTTCCCCAAGATCATATCAAATTCAAAAGCCAAATCTGGAAAAGCCTGTTGCTATGGACTAAATGTTTGTGCCTCCACCACCAAATTTATATGTTAAAATCCTAGTCCCCATCCAAATTTGGATTAAAACTTTGAACTTAAAAAAAAAAACAATCTTAATCCCCAACATGATGGTATTTAGAGGTGGGGACTTTGGGAGGTAATTAGGTCATAAACGAGGAGCCCTCACGAACGCGATTAGTGCTCTTAGAGGAAGAGACACAAGACAGCTTCCTTTTTCTCTCTCTCTTCCCCGCCCCCCAACCCCTGTCAACAGACACCAGAGCTGCCAGCACCTTGATCTTGGACTTCCCAGTCTCCAGAACTGTGAGAAATAAATTTTTGTCTAAGCCAGCTAATCTACAGTAATTTATTACAGCAGCAGGAACTAAGACGCCTGTTCAAATGTGAGGAAAAGAGATAATGATATCCTATATTACAACCCTTCCTTTCATAATTGGTAGAAAATTAACCGG
This sequence comes from Homo sapiens, assembly GCF_000001405.40. NCBI lineage: Eukaryota > Metazoa > Chordata > Mammalia > Primates > Hominidae > Homo > Homo sapiens. Next base: position 103,949,759 of record NC_000007.14, read on the forward strand.
TATGGTTTCTCAAGAATGTAAACTCAAAAAGAACAGTTTCCTTCCTACTCTACACCTCTCACATACTCTATACTCAGCACTGAATTACAAGATCCATAGTTAGTGCCTAGAAGTTCAGTGAACTGAATTTATATTTCTGTGTCAAAATGCCAAAGAAAGCAATTTACATCAAGCTTATAGCACATAAGAAACCATGTTGTCTGTTTAGTTTTGTCAGGTTGCCATAATAAAATGCCACAAACAGGACAACTTACAAACAATATAAATTTCTTTTTCACAGTTCTGGAGGCTGGGAAGTTCTAGAGTTTTGGTGCCTGGTGAAAGCCTGTTTCCTGGTTTATAGATGGGGCCTTCTCACTGTGTCCTAACATGATGGAAGGGCTAGTAGCTTTCTGGGCTATCTTTTATAAGGGCACTAATCCTTTCACGAAGGTTCCGCCCTCATGACCTAATCATGGCTCAAAGGCCCTACTTCCTAATACCATCACTTTGGGGATCAGGAATTTAACATATGAATTTGGGGAGGACATAAACATTCACACCACAGCATAGTTTCTACAGACATAGTCACATTTATAATAATTAACACATTATAATTTAATGAGATTTTACTATATTCTAAAATAAAATTTCAAGAAATGTATAAACATAAAACTACTAAATTGATTCATGATACACTAAGATTATGAAAAAAAATCAGCAATATGCATTTAGTTATCCAAAAAGGCATATAAAACACTAAACCCAGATATGTTTATTTAAAGTGGTTCCTCAGCATGTGCCCATATTTATGCAAATATATAAACTTAAGATAAATACCAAACACTTCAAGCATCAAATATTACTAAGTGATTTTTAACATCATTTTATCTAGTTATCTACATGTATTTCCTAGTGCCTTCTACCAGAAGAAAATTCTAAATCTTTTAGATTTAATTTCATTTTTTACTGAAAGACATTTTATAAACAATTTTGACTTTTAAGGAACAGTTGTGATGAAGACATTTCCTTTCCAATGTTGGATAACACCATGATCTATTCCCCTTTCCTTGTTAAAGATACTACTGAAACATTACTGAAAATAAAATTTGTATAAATAAGATTGAAATGTTGTTCAGCAAAAAAGAAAGTCCAGTGCTCTGTCTCCATGATTGCAGCTGTTTTTTGACATTGTTGTTGTTGTTGTTTGAGACAGAGTCTCGCTCTGTCGCCCAGGCTGGAGTGCAGTGGCATGATTATCGGCTCACTGCAACCTCCGCCTCCCTGGTTCAAGCGATTCCCCTACCTCAGCCTCCTGAGTAGCTGGGATTACAGGCACCTGCCACCACGCCCAGCTAATTTTTTGTATTTTTAGTAGAGATGGGGTTTCACCATGTTTTTTAAATGAGTGGGTCCCCCAGTCCTCTCCAATCTACCAGCAATCAGATCCACTAGAAATCTGACACCACTTGCACCAACTGCTTTATCAGTTTTCCAACTGCTAATAGTCGAGTACATTTACAATCTATAAACAAATCACATATATATCAAGATACTGTCTTTGAATTATATCAAAACAAAATAGATAGGAAGGAACAATATTCTAGAGATACGATATTTTGGAAGGGAAATAAATGTTACTTTAATTTAAATCCTATGATTGTCTTATCATTATGGAATGACTACTTTGGATATTGCACATACCACCAAATCACAGTCCTAACCAGGCACACTTGACTGGGTGGGAGGAATGTTCATCTCTACTTTTTTCTACAGAATCCTGCTTTAAGAAGACCTTCCTTTCACCCTAGTTTGCCACCCCTCAGTGCAGCTGAGTTAGCCTGAACTTTTTAAATCAAATCTTTCAACACCCATTGCCATGAAAACATTTTCACTATGTCTTTTGTGCTCATGTGATTTAGCTCCGACATTGCTAGCCTTTTTTTTTTTTAAAATACAGAGTCTTGTTCTGTTGCCCAGGCTGAAGTGCAGTGGCACGATCTCAGCTCACTGCAATCTCCACCTCCCAGGTTCAAGCAATTCTTGTGCCTCAGCCTCCCAAGTAGTTGGGATTACAGGCACATGCAACAATGCCTGGCTAATTTTTGTATTTTTAGTAGACACAGGGTTTTGCCATGTTGGTCAGGCTGGTCTCAAACTCCTGACCTCAGGTGATCCACCCGTCTTGGCCTCCCAAAGTGCTGGGATTACAGGTGTGAGCCACTGTGCCCGGCCCTCTGGGCCATCTTTGGCTTTTGAGCCCTTAAATCAAAAAGTCTGATGAACTGATATTCAGATATTCAGTTATCAGTTCTTATTTTGGGTACTCAAACATCTTTTCATTGTCAAGTCAGTTCTCAATAAAATAATTTAGGTTGGGTGCCATTGGTATTTATTGCTTTTTAGAGCTTATTTAACCAGTAGTTTTGCTGTCATTCCATTTTGTTTTGATTTTCTTAATTATTTGGTGAACTGTAAGGCAGGAAATGGGTGAGTCCAAGGATCAGTGAGAACCTTCAGTCTGATTCTTTGGGTCACCCTTCAGTCTACCAAGTCAGGAAATGGGAAAATGATAGAATGTTAGCTACATACAACTCCCTGTGATTCCTGACATTGCAGATATACTGTGCAATATTACTTTTTAAATAACTTTACTTAAATTTATTCTAATATGCTATATTTTAGGTATTTACTTATGAGCTAACAACTTTCATTTCCAGTTTCAAACTAAAATGTTTATGTCTCCTGATGCATTTTTATAAACCTTGCTTTAAACCTTAAACACACACACACACATACATACATACTCTCACTCTTTCTCTCTCTCTCTCTCTCTGGATATAAACTTGACACTAAAAGAAAATCTCTGGGGTATTGAAATGTGTCACTGCAAATGATCTTAAATGTATAAATCTGTATGAAGTAAATGGAGACATGAAGAAGTAATATCTTTCCCATGTAAAGCATTATGGAGGTGCACACTCAAAAAACCTTACAAAGTAGCTGTTTATATTCAAAAGGTCGGGAAATTGCATTTAAAATCATTATATTGTTTAAGCATAAGGATGCTGAACAATACATCTCTCAAAACACTCACAGAGGATGAAAAAATATTTTGAAAAAATGTCTTTTGCTTTTCGTTTTTAATTCCATCTTTACTAACCGGGAAAACGGTATTTTAACATGGAAATAGTCTCTGGCCTCATTAAAAGGTGTTCCCCTCTCTCCTCGCTATGCACTCATTAGATGCTATACTCCTCTATAATCTCATAGCCACTACTGCATTCACCTCCCAATGTGCCTTATGATGGTGACTAGCCACCAACGTCTGGTTTCTACCGTTCTCTTCCTCATCCCACGCGCTGATTCAAGCTCCAAGATTCCTGCTCACTTCAAAGAGATATTTGCTCCAAGATCAGCACCACAGGGGAAAAATCAGGGCAAGAAAAGTCTTCCCATGGAAGACAAGCCCTTGAAAGTATCCTCAACTCATATTTATTGCAAACAGTTGATTGAAAAAGTTAAAATACTGCCCTACTTGAAACTCACAATAACAAGTGGAAGGGTTATTGTTTTATCATTTGGTTTCGGATCCACATTCATAGCGTATTGCACTCTCTGCCACAGACCATCAAGAAGACTCAAGACAACTCAGATAACGTGATTCAATCACTTGTAACATTCAGTTTTCTTTGTAGCTTCATTGAAAGCAGTTCTAATGTGCTCTTGACAAATCACATTTTGGCAGTGCTGATATTTTTAAGGCACTGGTAGGGGGACATACACACACACAGAATTTTATATAAAGAATATTAAATATGCCAATCTAAATACCAAATGAGAGTGTAATCTCAACTAGCAGTCGTAGTAAAATTGTTTCAGTAAAAATAAATGATCAAAACTTACCAGCCTCCACTGGGTGCGGTGGCTCACATCTGTAATCCCAGCACTTTGGGAGGCTGAGGCGGGTGGATCACCTGAGGTCAGGAGTTTGAGACCAGCCTTGCCAACATGGTGAAACCCCATCTCTTCTAAAAATAGAAAATTATCCAGGTGTGGTGGCACACGCCTATAATCCCAACTACTCGGGAGACTGAGGCAGGAGAATCCCCTCAACCCAGGAGGCAGAGGCTGCAATGAGTCAAGACCGTGCCACTACATGCCAGGCTGTGCGGCAGAGCAAGACTCCATCTCAAAAAAACAAAACAAACAACAATAACAACAAAAACAGGCGGGGCATAGTGGCTCACGCCTGTAATCCTAACACTTTGGGAGGCAGAGGTGGGTGGATCACTTGAGGTCAAGAGTTTGAGACCAGCCTGGCCAACAGAGCAAAACCCTGTCTCTACTAAAAATAAAATTAAAAAAAAAAATTGGCCAGCCATGGTGGCAGGCGTCTGTAATCCCAGCTACTCAAGAGGCTGAGGCAGGAGAATCACTTGAGCCTGGGAGGCGGAGGTTGCAGTGAGCCGAGATCGCACCATTGCACTTCATCCTGGGCAACAGAGTGAGACTCTGTCTCAAAACAAACAAACAAACAAACTTACCAGCCTCGTGTAATTCATATCCTGCTTCTGTCTTTTCTAGTTGCTAAGTACAGTTGCCAAGTATGCTATCGTGATAGGCACCTAACCAAACACTTAGGAAGAGAATGGCATGAGTTTGTGAGGGTGTGTGTGTGTGTAAATGAGGATGTATGTGTAAGCATGTGTGTGTGTGTGCACACACATGCATAAGTTATTTACTCCCATTTTCCTTTATTGGGAAAAAGACTTCAATTCATCCTTTCTGGACATTCACTGACAATCATTTCCCAATTGCAGGCCATCTGAATTAAAGTCTTAGCAATGCTGGTACAGAACAAAATACACACAAGATATTAGAATTACCAAATACCCTTGAGACCAAGTTCTGGCATGGAATCTATAAGAAGTATATTTAGCATAAAATTAATATGTCAGAAAGAGATATTATAATTAGGTTATCAAAGTGCTTAAATTTGGATAGGCAAGAACTGATTTTTGTATTCTGATAAGCCAACACAAAAATCATGAGTTATTAATCTAGATACAGACTAAACTTCTGTATTTCAAAGCACAATGACAGAAGTAAAAGTTTCCATTTATCCTTTGTGCTAATTTTTAAAAAACAGTAATTTTTAAAGCCTCAGAAAATACAATTAGCAAGACTTTAAAAGATAAAATAAAAGCCTTTTTAGCTAAAGAGAAAGCCAACGGCCATCCTTGGCTTTAAAACTGGTTTTAGCTAATGCCAGATCATTTGTTCATTAAAAGCAGAAAAGGATACCAGCCAATGGCTTAGGTCTGGTGTTCAGATCTCAAAGGCAGATCCAACAGAAATGAACTACTTATATTTTTCAAATAGCATATTATTTACCTCAACCTTAAACGAAAATCATAAGTTAAGAAGCCAGGGATCCAGTCTTATCTATGCCTATCTATGAGACCTTGAGTGATAATCTGCTTTTCTGGACCCCAATTTAATAAACTGAAACCCACTCAATGACATACAAAATGTTTCTCAGCTCAAAATCTCTTATGACCCTATGGCATTCCTATGAGATGTTTTAATATATTTCCATGAACAGTAACTAAATTCCTTCCTCTAGAAATTAAAATGAGTAAAAATAAAATCTTGTCCTAGTAGACCTTCAGGTAATTTTCTCCAGCAGCACAGAAATGGTTATGACTTGGTAATTCCTTGTGATTCTACACCATCCATATTAATCCTATCAATGACATTCAGTGTGTATTTTCAATACCAGGACTTACAACCTTCTCCAGTTCTAGAAAATCATCTGCTAGTATCCCTCTGATTATTGTATTTGGCTTCTTTGCTGCACCCTGAAACTCCTATTAGATGTAGGATAGTGTTGTTGTTTTACTTTCCTGGCTCAGGTTTCTGACAGTGAGTTGGGCACTGTAAGGCCCCGATCTACATGTAAAACACTTTGGCTTCTGTTTCTCTCCACGAACCCAGACAAGAAACTCCATGTGAAACAGCAAGTCTGATGGGCAGAGATTTTCTGGTAATTATGCAGGGACAGGAAAAGCCCATCCCAGCTTCAGACCTTGTCCTGAGAGCTCAGATCCATCTTTCTTTTGAGGTTAGGGGTCCTGAAGCCTTGATTCAGACATTAAAACTCTCAGCTCCTAAGGTATGTATCAGATCGGGATAGCCTTGTGGGCCACTGCAGCTTCCATTCTTTCTAACCACTATGTCTTTGGGTTCATCCTCTTTCCTGGCATCTAAAGATTTCCTGTAATTTTTTTGTAGCTCAACTATGCACTTTTTAGAAAATTTCTGTCGTATTTTACCCAGCATCTCATGTGTGTTCCATGGTATCAGGGTTTTCCCACGTTAGTTCCCCTCCTAGCTACTGCTTTATCTACATTGCTCATAGACCATAAAGTGCTACATCCCAGATGGTCACTAGGGCACATTCAAAGGTTCAGTTGCAAGGTGAGCTCTACTCACTATGCTGATGGTAGTCAAGAGAGTCTCTCTTCTTTCTAGAAAAGCTGTTACCTGAAATGAATAGCTTTCCTGAAAGATGTGCAAACACAGTAAAACTGATTTTAGTGTTAAGTGTTCAATAAAGAAACAAAGTAACAACACTGCTGAAGTAATCTCCTGTAAAGAAAAGACCAGGATAAACCCAAACAAAATTTTAGAAACAGACACGAAATGAGAGTTCTAATCAGCACAACAGAAAAGTATATCCTTACAGCATGACTTCTGGATATAATACAAAAAAATCTTATGAGAAAATCTCTCCTTTGGGCTAGTTTTCAAAACTTTTTAATTAGGAATCATACTGACACACTATAATCTTTGGCTAGAAGCCTAGTTTAAAAGGAGAAGATGTAAAAGTGTATAAGACTGAAAAATCGTGTTTACATCTTCTCCCAAAAGGGGTTATTAGCAAGGATTTAAGAAGGCTTGGAAGTGCTGAAATTTCAATGTAGACTTGAAAAGGAGGTGGATATGCTAAGGATGAAGCTGTAGATGGCAAGCAGTGTAGTCCTGGACCAAAAATAAAGAATGGAATCACTGGAATGTTAAAAGAGAACTGTCCTGGCAACTTTACAAGTTGTGCTTAGAAATGACTGTCAAAGAGGTCCATGAAAAAGAAAAAAGCAAGCAGGGGATGAATGGATATTTTTGGTGTCTTGGGATTCCTTAAGCCAAAGAGAAGATTAACACTTCATATATGGAACTGGAAGCACAGACACAGGTAACAGGAGACTAAGAATTTTACCCTAACACAGAAAAGAAAACTGGCAGTGTGCAGGGAAGGAGAAATGGCTCATGCTGCACAGATGAAATTGGAGGGACACCGGGGTGTTTGCCTTGGCTTCATCAAGCCATTCTCATTGGAAATATTAATGGAACTCATTTCCCTTGAGTTGAAAAAAGCAGAGAGTGCTACACTAACATCTGTCTCAAGTGAAAAAAGACGACTTTTTCAACTTGTCTCAGCACTCCAGAAGAAAATAAATGAAGGAAAACGAATTATTCTTTTTATATACAGTTTGCTGAATGAAAATGAGTGGTGTTGCAATAATTAGCTCGGGGATGCAAAACAGAAAAATAAGAGCCCTGAACTGTAATAAAAAGTTATCTAATTCTAAGGGAGTTGACTCAGTCATAACAACAGTCCTTTAACATGTGCATAACACTTCATAAAACACTGCCACATGTCTAATTTCACCTTCGTGGCAATCTCGTATTATAGAGAAACCAGAGGTGACTGGTTTGCCCTTTTGTGAATCGAGGCACAGGGAGGTGAAGTTACTTCTCCTGGTCACACGCACATGCTCATAAATGCACACACATGCTCACACGTGCTCACTCACAGTCAACAGCAGGACCTGGTGATGCCTGCTCATCCCCCCTTGTGGCCCAAGCCCTCTGCACTCCCCTATCTTTCAATGTACCTGTATTCATTTTACATGTGTTGGAATACTTTCACATAAGGCTTTTTAGATTTCAGAGTCATTCCTGGATTGTTGGCTAAGTGATGCTCGCCCATCTGTGGAGCAGAGAGGAAACACACTAAATCTGCAAAAAAATCCTCATGAAGGCAAAGCATGTACCTTAATAGCAGATTTACAAAAGCATTAGTAATAGTCTGAAGGATAATAACATATTACCCAGTTGTCTCACAAGCACTGGAAACACTAGAACAGCACACACCAGAGGTAATGTGCAGCTTCAGACTCAGACCCCTTCAGGCTCCCTTTGGCAGACCCCACCTCTCTCAAATGTAGCTCTCTTTACACTACCTGCACCTCAGCCCTGAGCTATACAATGGGCAGAATAGTATCTACCTCACTGTGTTCATACAAGGATTAACTAAAGCAGGATGGTGCACATGAAGTACCCAGAAGTGCCTACATGGATTAAGTACTTAATGAATAATCCCCTCCCCTGAGAATAAATTGCCCTTTCCTGGCAACATATGGAGTGCATTCATTCTTCTGTCACAAAAAAGACCCAGTGACAGCCATCGTTCTGAAACTCAATCTCATGTAAGTTTGGCACATGGGTTCCTATGTAAGGAAAACTAGTAAGATCCATGGGCTAATATTCCTGAAACAGGAGTTAAGGTCTGATTTGTGACAGATTTCCTTCAAGTCTGAAGAGAGTCCATGTGTACTGTGGTGTGCTTCTGACCCAATATGAAGCAGCTTCATAGGTAGTTTTCTACGACTCACTGTCCTCTTAGCCACTCAATCATCTCCCACTCCCACCAAAGAACATGTAGGGGAAAATCTCTGTCATGAGGCTCTCAGTGTGTTTCTCATTTCAGTGAATATCTATGTGTGTGTGTGTAGGAGTGTATGGGTGTACTTTTTGTCAGATCTTACATTTGAACAAGGGAAGGAGAGGGTAGAAACAGTACCTGTCATCAGCCACACACAAGTGACTCACTCTGCAATGGCTCTCAGAAATAATCTTACTGAATTGAGATTAAAGTATTTTAGCTTCTTCATTGCAAAACTAAAATCTGCAAGAAAAAAAAAATCAGAAACATTAGACTTTATATCTTAGAAACAGCCAGAGCCCTAGGGATCATCTAGGCCAACAAAGTGAGGTCTGAGGCTATTTCCTTTTCCACTTTACAGACAGAAAAATAGATTTGAAGATGGAGATTTGTTCAGTAACACAAACCTCCAAACACCCAGTCCAATAATTTTTTCCTTTGTTTTTTGAGACAGTCTCACTCGAGTTCAGTTGCATGATCTCGTTTCACTGGAACCTCTGCCTTCCAGGTTCAAGGCGATTCTCCTGCCTCAGCCTCCTGAGTAGTTGGGATTACAGGCACCTGCCATCACACCTGGCTAATTTTCGTATTTTTAGTAGAGACGGGGCTTTGCCATGTTGGCCAGGCTGGTCTCGAATTCCTGACCTCAAGGGATCTTCCTGCCTCAGCCTCCCAAAGTGCTGAGATTACAGGCTCGAGCCATCATGCCTGGCTGATTTCTTCATAATCATACACTGCTCCTTTCCCTCCTGCATCAGTTAATGAATTCGCATGGATTTCCTCTTTCTTCTAGCAGCATTCATTCCCTTTTGAACCATTTACATGCAGGTGATGTCCATATTTATATCCCAGCCCAAACCCCTCCCAAGAATTCCAGACTTTTCAACACCTGCCTACCAGAAAGCATCACATATGTGTCCAACAGTTCTCTCAAACTTAACATGTTCAAAACTGAGCTCCTATCTCTGACATTCCTCCCAAACTTTTCTCCCTGCAGATTCTCCCACTGAAGTAAATGACAACTCCATTCCCCAAGTTGCTCAAGTCAGAACTCTTGAAGCCAACCTGACTCCTCTCTCTCTCTCTTTTTTTCTTTTTCTGAGACAGGGTCTCGTTCCATCATCCAGGCTGGAGTGCAGTAGTGTGATCACGGCTCACTGCAGCTTAAACCTCCCTAGCTCACGTGATCCTCTTGCCTCAGTTTCCCCAGTAGCTGGGACTACAGCATGCACCACCACACTTGGCTAATTTTTTAACAGTTTTTGTGGAGATGGGGTCTCACTATGTTTCCCAACTCCAAGGCTCAAGCGATCCTCTTGCCTCAGCCTCCCAAAGTGTTGAGAATACAGGCATGAGCCACTGCACCCACTGACGCCCCAAATCTTACCACATCTCACCTTCAACAAATTCAAATCTGACATCACCATGGTCTAACTCATCAACAGTTGCCAACCATAGTATTACAAAAGCCTCCTAACGGGTCTTTCTGCCTCCATTCTTGCCCTCTGCCCCCACTCCCCTCCACTTCTCTGGCAGTTCATTCTCAATTCAGCAGCCAGAATGATCTTTTTGAAAAGAAGAAATTAGATTATGTCGTTCCTTGGCTCAAAACCCTTCAAAATGTTCCCTTTCACGCAAATCCTTTCAAAAGCTCATGAGACTCTACATTATTGGCTCTGTCCTTCCCCTTCTTTGCTCACCTTCCTATACTGTCCCCCTCCAGACATACTGTCCATCCTTGCTGGGACCGAAATACAGAGGCAGTTTCCTATATGTTTATGGTTGCTTCTGGCTGGAAAAACTCTTGCTCTAGTGAGCTGCAAGCTCACTCTCTCCTCTCTTTCAACTCTTTATTCACATATCACCTTTGGCGTGGGGGACTCCTCCCCAACTCCCTATCTCTGACATTCCCTATCCTCCTTCCCTGCTTTTTTTCCTCCTTAGTTTTATTTATCTCATCTAACATACTATATATTTTATCGTATTTTTTCTGACTGCCCTCATCTTGGTTATAACAGAAGAACAGAAAATATCTGGCATATTTGACAGGTAAATGAGTAAATCAATGAATGGATAGAATTCTCTTTAAATCAGAATGGTTCCCAAAGCAGGATTAGAGCAAATGCTAAGAAAAAAAATTGTTTATATTAAAGATACTTACATATTTCATTGATTTATTTGTGCACATGTGCCTGCCTGTGTATGTACATGTATTTATTTGCTGTGAGGATGCCTGTGAATAACCAAACTCTCCGCTCTGTCCCCCACAATCCTTCCTTATATACAGAAAAAAATACTGCATCAACTAGAAATGGCAAAGCCAATGTAATCAATAAAGAACACTGCTTTAAGGTGTTTTCCTCACATACAAGCTAATTTTACTCTTTGGAAATCACTAACAAGCTCGGGCAAACTTTTATGGATAGCTGGTGTTTTTTGAAGGTATGTGTGCACACAAGAGGGACATTTAAATTGTTAGGGCAGATGAATTTCTTTAAACATGACTACAGACTACGTGTTTGGTCAGCAAAGTGCTAATGAACAGAGAAATATAAAACGTTGCTTGTGCAAGAAATAGAACAGTAGACATGCCTGTTATAGGTACCTGTATTCTTCACTAAGGTAAACCATAACAACTGTGAGAGAAAACATTTTTCAGAAGATACTCTCCACCTGATTTCTAGGTCCTAATGAAAAACCCATCTTTTTTTCCCCCAAACTGTATCTTTTTATATACTTTAAAGAATTCATGACTGAACATTATAAGTTATGGTCAGCCATCTGAGAAACATTTTGATCTATTTTTGCCTCACCTACAGAGCAAATAAACTGAAGCTCAGAAATCAAAAGACTGATGAATTTAGTTTTTTTCCCCCTTTTGGAATCATTTATATTTTTCAGCAACTAATAAACAAGAAAACGGGCAAGACAATACTAAAAAAGAAGTGAAATGAGTAATTCACTCACCAGGTAATTTACTCGTGCATAATGGAGAAATGGTGTATTCTTACAAGCTCAAGAGCAAAGCGTATACAAACATAACGTCCTGCTACTGTTGTTGTTGTTATTTTGCTTTGCTTTAGAAGACAAGGACATTACAGGTAACTTGGGATTGTGAGTCTAGGCTTTAGAAACCATCCTCGTGGGTCTGAATTCTGCTCTGCCTCTTATTACCTCTAAGGCCTTGGGAAAGTCACTTAGTTCTTTTCATGTTTCATTCTCTCCACCTGTCATAGTGCATAAGAGTATCATTCCAAACAGGTGTGAGAATTAAATGATTATAATGTCTATAAAATATTTAGTAGGGTGTCTGAGAGTAGGAAGCATGAAGTATTAGCTACCTTTCAGTAGGAGTAGCTTTTAAATTCAGAGTTTTCCAAACTCCATTGGAAGGTCTTTCTGTCTCATCACCAACACAAAATAAAAATAAGCTCTTGTTTTAAAAGTTTTAGGGGTGAGGGGTGGAGAAGCCTTCTCAAAGTTCTCTTTCTTCTTTCTGAAAGACTGTATTTCTTTTTCTTTTCCTTTTTATATTTGGTCACACCTTTTCAGTTCTGGATCATTTTATTAAATCTCTAGTACTGTCAATGAACTACAGCTGGTTATAGAAAGCGATATTCAACACCTGTAACAAAACACGCTTCCCTGTTCCCCGTGCTGAACTCATCCTGTTCCCTGCTCACTGCCATCCTTTACCTAAATTACTAAGCAGCACAGCCACTCCCTCCACTCCTCACCACTGGCAGCATTCCTTGAACTCTCTCATGGAACACATTCCTCTCAACCCCATACACGCAGCACTTCAGAACTGCGGCACTCTTTGCTTCTTTCTCTTGTCACAGCATCACTCCCATCTTTCTCTGTGGCCTTCCCTCTCTTTGCTCTTCCTGCTCTTTGATTGCCTTTCTAATTACCACCAAGAGGAATGAGTGAGGCGCCTCCACCGACAGAAATAGGTGCCACACACAGGTGGTCTGCCAGGAGGTCGTTGCACTGAGGCACCTCACCAGTAGATTTCAGCTCACAGAAACACCAAGCGGAGAAGAGAACACCTCCCAAAGATGAAACTTGAAATGCATTTTAGAGAGGACCTGTTGGATTTTCCATTCCAAAGTTGTTGTGTGTGTGTGTGTGTGTGTGTGTGTGTGTAGCTAATATATGTATTATGGACTAATGAATTCAGGAGTCTGCCATTACCAAAACATAGCATGACAAGAAAGAATTCTTCTGAATGTCATAGAACACATTTTGAACTGACAATCTAACCAGAAAGGTTAAGTTAAAGTAAAAACTTACAGCTTCATAATTAAGAAAACTATTATGAGTTTAGCTGATAGGAAATATTTTGAATATGCCTGAGAAAATAGGGTAAACATAAGGTAATATAAAATTTTACTTACACTGTCTAAGGACATGGTACCCTAAGCCAGGGAAGACACTGGGGAAAGGTTGAGAAAACGTCCAGCTTTGCTAGGTGTGCCAGAGAAGGAAACACCAAGAACAGGAGACAGACGTAAGCCAGTGATGGGAACAATAAGACAATCTGGAAAGCCTCGAAACCAGGCTGCCTTAGACAGGATTCTCTCTCTCTCCTCTTTTCGCCTTCTTTTTTTTTTCTCATTGGCGCTTTCTACTCATTTCTCTTCCTCCTCATTCCTCTGTCTTCGCTTTGTCCTTTCTTCCTATACAAGCCTTTTCTGGACAACCACTTGCAATCATAAGACAAACCTTAAACCCACATGATATTATCCTACATTACTGTATATTTCTGTATCACTTGACTACAAAGCATTTTCACATACATGATCTTACGTCACCCTCTGAGGTAAGTAAACAAAATATTTTAATTCTCAATGTATAAGCAGATAAACAAAGGCTTAATGAAGTTCACTTCAGATGTTCTAGGTAGGAGTCTTCATAGACATTATCTATGTTATTTATCAAAATAATTCTTGTGGATATGAGCTTGCTTGTGGATTTCAACCATCCCTGGGCAGATTTAGGGGGGCTGTGGTCAGGATAGCACTGGGTTGGGTGACAAAGAAGCTTTTAACTATATCTTTTTTAAAAATTTCTTTTAAAAATCTGAAAAACTATGGTAAATATTAATATTTGTTATATCTGCATAGCAATGCACAGGTGTTAAATCATTCATTTTGTTTTCTCTATGTTTGAAATATTTCATAACAAACAGAAAGGAAAGAAAAAAATAGCCTTGTTATGGGGATATCAGTATCTCCCTTTTCAGATGAGGAAAAGTAGAGTGCAGATAGTTAAGTGATTTGCCATGCAGAGTTACACTAATATCACAAGTTGCAGATAGAGGACTCTGACTATTAATAACTAACAAAGGGCTGGACATTGTGGCTCATGTCTGTAATCCCAACACTTTGGAAAGTTGAAGCGAGAGGACAGCTTGAGGCCAGGACTTTGGCATCCAGGGCAACACAGAGAAACCCCATTTCTATAAAAATAAAAAAATCAGCCAGGCATGGTGGCACACACCTGTAGTCCCAGCTACATGAGAGGCTAAGGCAGGAGGATCACTTGAGCAGGGGAGGTGGAGGCTGCAGTGAGCTATAACTGCGACATTGCACTCCAGCCTGGGTGATAGAGCGAGACCCTGTCTCGAAATAATAATAATAATAGTAATAATAACTAAGATCTAGATATAAATTCCTTAGTTCTGGGTATTGTGGTAGATTTCCTTATTATGTTACTCAAAAGAGAAGCAAAAGAAATTGGAGTAAGTCATTCCTTTTGTGATCAATATCAATCTAAATATATAAATGATTAATTTCCTAATAGTGATCTGAAAATGACCAGACAAGATGAATCACACACAATTTGAGGATCAAGCTGTGTCTCTCTTCTAGACCAGATGTTGCAGGAAGAGAATTTTAGTGATGTCTTCCAGCTAGCACCAACCACCACCAATGGATGATGTCACCTAGAGCAATAATATCTCACCTATCCAGATGGCTCAGTTAGGGCACAACTTACAATTACCACAACTATCACTCCTGGGAGTCCACTAAATAAATTATTTAAAGAATTGCACCTAAATTTTTGCCTGTGTAAAGGCATGACAAACTTTTATTTGCTTCCCCCTTTTTATGATCCAAAATTTAAAGTAAAAAATAAAGTTACTGACATGAAGCACTTAACTTCTGTCGTTCATTCATGTTTATGCATAGTTATCACTTTACAGTCCCCAAGACATTGTCAAATACTTTAGTTCATTAAGTCCTCTAAAATGGGACCACTGGAAGAGTACTGTTGAGTGAGACCACTTTGATATGTCTGTGCCCACACAAATACAGTCAGGGACTTGAAGCCAGAGTTCTGTGCATGCATGTCAGCTCCCCCAGTTAGGTGAGAATAACTTAGGACAAGTTACCTACTGTTTCTGAACTTCTGTTTTGTGCTCTCTAAAATAAGGATAATAATGCTACCTCACAGAATCATTGTGAGGAAGAAATAATTTATATGAAGCAATGTTGAAAACTGCAAAGCACTATAAAAAGGTAAAATTTAATATGTATAGCAATGTTATTAAAGGCATATTTTCACATAAACCCAACTGTGCTTTTTAAACTAGTGGTCAGAGAACCTTTATTACTTGCATAGACCTTAAGGCCAAGATTTTTCAAACTTGCTGCCTTATAACATCTATTTTTAAATCAAAATGAGAGAAATTTTTAAAACAGCTCTTGTAAATATATTCATAGGCTGCCTAGCACAAAGTGCATCAAATAAATGTTATAAATTAATATATCACAATAAATGCTGAAAATAACTCAGAAGTCACAACCAATGAAGTGCCTTTGTCCACGAGAAGAAAATGGTTGCCCCAAGCAATTTTATCAACATACTTCGTAGAAAACACATTATAGAGTGGCCTTTTAAAATGACAGTTTAAATAAATAAAATGGAATATTATAGCCCTATACTCATAAAATCATGTCTTTGAATGGAAACAATATAATGAAACCATCATTTTTATATATTTTTAAGGACTCTGTCACGTATTTTGATTCTTCATCTCCTGGTATCTTCAAGGCTTGGACGTTATTCTAAATAATCCATTTGGGCATCGAAAATTAACCTTGACACTAGTGGCAATAATAACACATTTATTTGCATATTTCCCTGTTTATCTGGTTGGATCAATCCAATTCCCAGATCTTTTCTCTTTCTGCCAGCCCTGCAAAGTCCTTTGTTTCATACAAAAGTCTAGAGTAGTTGTGTGAACAGTATTCAACATTTGGAAAAGATTTTATTTTATACCCCAAAATTAAAATTTAAAATTATGTAAACATTTATTTCATTAAGTAAAAATTTATTGAAACCAATATGCTCTTTTCTTATTCTTAACATTTGAATTATTCATAGCTATATATATGTTTACCACGTCAAAATCTCAGATTTAGAATTTATTAAGAAAAATTAAGTCCTCACATTATTGACAGATTCTTAGAAACTGAGTCTTTAAACAAAATGACTATAACAAAGCCAATTTTATTACAGGCTAATTGATAAAAACAAGACAAGTTCCTATGGCATATTTCTGGTCACAAAAAGTCACCAAACTTCTAAATAAAGACAAAATGCTTATAATATTAAACACCAAAATGTGAATTATAGATACATTTAAGAAAGATTAATAAAAACAAGTGAGAAAATTACCCGCTTTTTCCAGTTCTGGCTCGCAGGTGGCCAGAGTGTCTCCCAGCAGCTCAGGGTACAAGGTGGGACCCAGCCCTGCACAGGGTGTCAGCCCATCACAGGGCTCATTCACACACACCACACTCACCCAGACCGAAACAATTAGATACATGGATGAACCTAATGTGCACATCTTTGAGATGTGGAAAGAAACCACAATACCCAGAGGAAACCCCGGAAGACATGCCGAGAACATGTAAACTCCACACAGAGGTGGTCCAGGTACAGAATTGATTTTTTTTCTCATCAACATTATAATGAAAGGACTTTAGAAGAAATGACATTCAAGGACTAGCTGTAATGGAATGTTTTGCATATAATAAGGATATAAAATATGAAAAATAATCTATTGTGATTCAGTTTAACAACGCAGAGCTAAATAGTTCAGATTAGACATAAATGTACCAGAAGCAAATATCGGAAGCTACAAATGTACCAGAAGCTAGGCTATCAAACTTCCTTTATTTTCCAAAAACAGATACTGAATGAATAAACCAAGCAAGTTGCCCATTTTGGAACACTAGTTATCTTGGAGTGACTCACACATCTTTCCCTTGAAGGAAAATTATACACTGAATAAATCCTCAACTTCACATGGGAACTTGCACATCTTCCCAAAACTTCTCCAAACTGCCAATGCTTCCACCATTTCTTCAACAATTCAGATGTTGGGGTCACTGATGAGTCTACCTTTTTCTGTTCCACCCCTACACCTAATCAAAGCTCTACCTTTCCTTCCTGTGTAACTTCCCTGTGACCTTTTGCAGCTGTCGTCATTGCCAATGTTCTATTAATAGCTGACATTTATTGAGCATTTACTATATTCCCACTAACAGGATAGGCCCTTTACAGGCACTGACTAAGATATGGGTGTGGTTATGCTACATACAAGAAAACTAAGGGCTAGTGGTAGTAGAGGCAGGATTCTAACCCATGGAGACCAATTCCAAAGCCTACGCTCTTAGTCACTCTGCCAGCCTGCTTCTGCTCCTATCACTAGTATCCAATATTGGATCTTCCTTCCTCCCTCAGGCCTCTACAACTCCAGTCCATTTTACAAAGCCCTACAAGAAACCAAAACACTTTCAATATCAAGGGGCTCCTGATGTTGAAAGTGTTTTAGTTTCTTGTGGGGCTTTCCATGATGAAGTATAGTGATTTAGGTGGTTGTCTGCACTTTCCAGGACAACCCTAGAGCAGTGAACCTACCAGTCATCCCCAGATGGAGCAGGCCTTTTCTTCAATTAGGTTCCAGGCAGCTTCCCAGCTTGAAACTGCAAACAGGCTTTCAAGACACAATTCTCCACCTGATAAATGTTCAGTGGCTCCCTGCTGCCCACAGACAAAAGGAGAATGCCTCTATCATGTGAGCAAGGCTCCATCCTCAGACAGAACCTGCCTGAAATCAGCCCTCTCCCCTGCCATTCTCCAGACCAGTTCTTCAGCTCCAGCAGAGCTGTTCTGCTCACTGTTCACAAAACTTTTCCCACAAGTCTCTATAGGTACACCTTTGCTTATGCCACACTCAGGCCTAAACTACCATTTCCCTCTCCTTTCCTGTCAAAATTTCAAGCTTCAAGGTCCATACCGGAACCATCTTTGATTCCTCTAGATCTAAGGTTTCTCTTGTAACTACACTCTAACAACTCATGTGGCCCAGGCCACTTTCCTGTCGCACCATTTATTATTTCATATTTACAATTTCCTTTGGGTTTGATTTTCAAGTACATATTTCTCAAACTGTATAGTTTATATATAAATATAAAATATATTTTGTATATATATTTATATATATGAATATATATATTTCTCAAAGTATATATTTCTCAAACTTGATGGCAGGAAAAACTCAACTTGTATTTCATTGATCAAACAGAATACTTTCTACAAAGTAGGCCCTCAACAAATGTATATTGATTTTAAAGGAAAATAAATAATTTTCCCCCAAACAAGAAAAATATATTGGGAGGCTAAACATTACTTTATGATATATTATATACAATCTTCACACAAATGACTTGTCAAACATGGCTGAAGGTAAGAGGAATGTCTTTAAATTCTGCTTAATGTGAACTCAGAAGTAAGAGAACTAAAGAAGAGTATATTAGATTATCTCAGAGATGCTGCCTGGAACACCAAGTGCCCTTTCATCAGTTGGTTTGACATCAGGTCTGCAGGCACCATGCGTTGCTACTGAGGACTAACTGGTGGCCTATGAGAAATTAGGGGACAGAAAAAAAAATAAAAGTATGAAAGAAATTGTAAAAGGTAAGCAAATGTAAAAAAGAAGAAATTAGATCTCCTCAATGAGAGATCCAAGAAGACAAAGGATATTACTGCTTCCTTATTCAAATCTAATCTAACCATCTAGTAATTCTTTTCACTAAGCTATTTCTGCAACTTATTTGCAACTAAAGAAAAGAGGCATTAGATTATTAAGAACCAGTTAGAAAAGGTGAAAATAGAACCCATGAGAAGATGTATTTTTAAATGATCATCCAAAAATGCTAAAGGATGTCAAATTTACCATTGACATTCTGCCTAACAACAACAAAAACAATTACAGACAAAACTTCATAATATTTAAAAGAATTTGTATATGAATTGTCATGGTTTTATGGAAATATAACAAGCCAGTAAGTACCAGATTTAATTAAAATTTCAGAATCATGAAAAAGAAATGACCTATTTAACTTGACATTTTATAGGTTTCAATACCTCTCTGTGCCTTCATTATCTCAAATGTAAAATAGGAATAATACTAGTACCTACCTCATAAGGCTCTCCTAATAATGAGTTAATTCCCCAAAGGTTTAGAGAAAGGCCCACATCTGGTGTGAATATTCCAACTATCCTTGTTTTCCCACTCATAAAACAGAGGTTTGCATTTGCAAAAAAAAAATGCATTTAAGATTAATAAACTGGGGTTTTTAACTCCTCCAGTAATTATGGCAAAGTTCATGCCCTATGAACTGTTGAAAACAAATTTTATTCAGCAAGATGCAAAATTAAATTCTGTGGCCCATTCTGGTTTGTATACAATCTGCCTTTTTCTCCATATTGCTGTATTCATTTTAAATGCCATAAAAATATTTCCTAAAAATGGAAGAAAATCAACCCCAATCATTGTTTTTAAAAACATTTAGAGAGTTCAGTAAGATGTCTAGGTACAAAATATATGGCAATCAATTACATTCGTAGATGCCAGAAATGGCCAATTAGAAGATGTAATTTAAAAGATCACTGTGTAAAATCCTTAGGAATTAGTAGGAGAAAAATTTTCTATTAATAAATGATACTGGGAAAACTGGCCGAAAATCTAGGAAATAAATTAAATAGGTATCACTCTTCTTAGCCATAAATTTCAAATGAATTTGAGAGTTAAATGCAAAAACCAAACATTATTAAAGTACTAGGAGAAAGGATTATGAAAATGTTTTTGTAATCTGAGGATTCAGGAAGTTTCTCCATGCATAATACTGAAGGCAGAAACCATACAACAATAGCAGCCAATATTCACCAGCTTACTATGGACCAAACATATATTATATCTCATTTATTATCGTGTCACTATGTGACATGCAATTCTTCATTTTACATATAAGAAAAGGGACTTAACGAAGTTGAGTACCTTTAAAGAAAGGAGACTCAGATAAGTAACTTCCATGTCAGTGTATATAGTCTATCCTCATTATTCACAGATTCCTTATTTACGAATTTATCTGTAACTCCAATATCAATACTCACAGTCATTTGAAGACATGTACATGCAGAGTGGCAAAAAATCTGAGTCACCGGATACTCAACCCCACACCTGAGGTCAAACAAGGCTGCCTTCTTCTTTCAGATCTCATACTGTATTGTCCATTTTTTTTCTTTTCTTTTTTTCCTTTTTTTTTTTTTAGAGATGGAGTCTGGCTCAGTCACCCAGCCTGGAGTGCAGTGGTGTGATCTCGGCTCATGGCAACCTCCGCCTCCAGGGTTCAAGAGCTTCTCCTGCCTCAGCCTCCTGAGTAGCTGGGATTACAGGCACATACCACCATGCCGGGCTAATTTTTTGTGTTTTTAGAAGTGATGGGGTTTCACCACTTTGGCCAGGCTGGTCTCGAACTCCTGACCTCAAGTGAATTCGCCCACCTGGGCCTCCCAAAGTGCTGGGATTACAGGCATGAGCCACCACTCCCGGCCTCTCATTATTTATTTAGTGCTATTTCTTTTTCTTTTTCTTTTTTTTTCTTTTTGCACTTCACCTTGGTGATTTCACTGTTTAAAATGGCTCCCAAGGATAGTGCTGAAAGGTTGTCTAGTGTTCCTAAGTAAAAGAAGGTTGTGATGTGCCTTACAAAGACAATCCATTCAAGCATAAGTTACATTGCCTTTGGTCATGAGTTCAACGTTAATGAACCAACAACATATAGTTAATAAGGTGTCTTTAAACAGACTCACACATAAAACAAAGTTATGTATTGATGCTTTGATGAAAATGTGACAGGAACCTAACTCTACATTTCCTCCAGGAACAGTGGTTCTGTAGTCACTAATTCAGTGTTCACAGTCTTCATTGAGTATTACTACTACAGATAATGTGAATCAACTCTTTTTTTAAAAAGTAGTCAAGGCTAGGCGTGGTGGCTCACGCCTGTAATCCCAGCACTTTGGGAAGTTGAGGCGGGTGGATCACCTGAGGTCAGGAGTTTGAGACCAGCCTGGCCAGCGTGGCAAAACCCCGTCTCTGCTAGAAGTACAAAAGCCGGGTGTGGTCGCGGGCACCCATAATCCCAGCTATTCAGGAGGCTGAGGCAAGAGAATCGCTCGAACCTGGGAGGCGGAGGATGCAGTGAGCAGAGACCGTGCCACTGCACTCGAGCCTGGGCGACAAGAGTGAGACTCTATCTCAAAAAAAAAAAAAAAAAGAAAAAGGGAAAAAAAGGTAGTCAAGTCAGGATTAGAATCCAGGCATGTCTGATTCCAGAGATCATACTATTACACACTGTCATGCTCATTCCATATAAACGAAACAACTGATAGATTTGACTACCCAAAAATTAAAAGACAAAGGACAAACTGGGGGTTGGGGGGAATACCTGTCATATATATTACAAGGAATTACTAACATTAGCAGTTTTTCAAATCAATATGAAAAAGAGAAAACTTTAAAAATAAGTAAAGGATTTAACAGATAATTCATACACAGATATGCACAAAATTAGTAATGAGACAGAAAATTATTCAACCTTTCTAGTAATCAAAGAAGGAAAAATAAAACAATTATAAAATACTCTTTTTAAACCTATAGATATACCAAAGACTAAAAAGAATTATATCACCCAGCATTTAGTGTGTGTATGCAGACAGGCTGCCTGACAAAATGAAAAGTGGTATTATCTTTTTGGAGGACAATCTGACAGTAGGTATCAACAGCTGTAGTGTTATTAATAAATTTTGAACTGGAACTTTCAGTTCTAGGAATGGATACTGTGAAAGTATTTGAGCATCACTGAATAAATAATAAAAATAAACTTTAAAAAAATCTTGGCCAGGCATGCTGGCTGATGCCTGTAATCCCAGCACTTTGGGAAGCTGAAGCGGGAGGATCATTTGAGGTCAAGAGTTCAAGACCAGCCTGACAAACATGGTGAAACCCCCGTCTCTAGTAAAATACAAAAATTAGCTGGGCGTGGTGGCCTGCCCCTGTAATCTCAGCTACTTGGGAGGCTGAGGCAGGAGAATCACTTGAACTCATGAGGTGGAGGTTGCAGTGAGCCAAGATCACGCCACTGTACTCCAGCCTGGGCGACAGAGCGAGACCCTCTCTCAAAAATAAGTAAATAGATAAAAATAAAAAAATAAAAAAATCTCTGCAATGTTGTATGTATTATCTAAAACTTGAATATTAGAGGGAACTGAGTATGTTTGTGTGCATCCATATACTGTAATACTAAACAAAGGTGTAGCTCTGTACTTATGGGCATGGAAAGATGCTGAACACATATAGCTGAGTGAGAAAAGCTGACTGTGGTAGGTATAGTTTGATTCCATTCACGTCTGCATGCACGTATGCAAATTAAAACACAGATTGCTTACAAGTAAGAGACTGGATTTAGAAACTAGTTTCCTCCCTTGCGCTGGAAGAGCTTGGTCCTGAGAACTACGTGAAAGAGGATTTCACTGGATCTCATAACTAAATATTCTAAGTCTTCCCAAGAAATTCTACAATATTTCTTAGAATTACAGAGTAAATAGGTGTGGATGGCACTGTCCCACTGAGAAGCACTGGCAGGGATGGAATGCAGATGAAGTATGGGCAGATCCCCATCACAATGACTGGCGTTGGCCATCTGACTTCTGTTTGGAATAGAGGGGCCATCATCCATCAAAGACTCCTAAAGTTTGACATTACTAGATTTAGGAAAATACAATGCCATGATGAGATGCGGCATCACTGTCAGGCAGAGGCTTACAAGAAAGGGTGAGAAGAGAACTGAGAGCAGCAGGAATCGCTTTAAAGCTAAATTAGAAAGAACAAGAAACCTACACAGTTTGCATTTCATATGTGTTCCTTTTCTGGCTTATTAATATTTTCTTTCATAAAGAGATAGATGCTTCACACACTGCTAATGTATGTGGGCATATGATTATGTGTGTGTGTGTGTGTGTGTGTGTGCTACAAGATTAGATAGAAAAACTTTATGATTGACACCAAAAAAGAGGTACCATCAGCAAGAATGTATTCATGATGTCAGCAGTTACTGTGATCCAGTTGTTTCACAACAGAGAGTATTAGAATCCCAAAAAGAATTCTGTGTAGAATTCCAGAATTTTGTTGAAAGAGCAAAGGTGCCCTGAAGGTTTAAGTAAAGGCATCTGGCATTTGCACTCAACTGTCACAGCCAGTAGTGATAATCCAACCCATTTGGTGCATGTGACAGCTTTTTCAAGAGCGTTTCTAACAGTGGCTGGAACAAGGCAGTTAATGGCAGAAGTTACTGTAATAAGAGAGAGTGTCTGTGTGGTTCTAGGGGAACCCTTTGCTCTACAGGAAAAGAAACATAAACAAGTGAGATAAGCCCACTAACAATGCATGCAAGTTATTATAATCCACAATTTAAAATATAGTAAGATAAGAAAAATATTTATGTAAATATTTACCTTGTCTATGATTAGGAAAAGACGCTCTCAGCACAAAAGCAATATGAGAAAACAAAAGAAACAAAAATGTATCTGTTTTCATAAATATATTAACACAATGGGCATATAAAAATTCATGAAAAAAATAAAAATAAAACCACAACTTAGGGAAAAGAATTTTGCCAAAATTTAAAATATGTACAAAAATATTGATCATAACGTTTATAACACTGAAAACAAAAGAAAAACACCTGAAATGTGAAATATTTATAGATTTTTAAGTTATGCTACAGCATACAGTAAAATGTTGTGGAGCCATGAAAATGATGTTTTTGAAAAATGTTGATATCAAGAGCACATAATGTTAAGATTAAAAAGATCATAATTCCTAAGACTATAAATAGATTAAATAAATATATTCCTTTTTAATCACAGGAAAAAATAACAAAAAGTATGTCATAATAATAATAATACTCAGCCAGGTGTGGTGGCTCACGCCTATAATCCCAGCACTTTGGGACGCCAAGGCGGGTGGATCACCTGAGATTAGGAGTTCGAGACCAGCCTGGCCAACATGGTGAAACCCCATCTCTACTAAAAATACAAAAATTAGCCAGGCATGGTGGTGCATGCCTGTAATCCCAGCTACTCGGGAGGCTGAGGCACAAGAATTGCTTGAACCCAAAAGGTGGAGGTTGAGGTGAGCCGAGACGGTGCCACTGCACTCCAGCCTGGGCAAGAGAGCAAGACTCCATCTCAAAAAGTAAATGAATAAATAAATAAATAGTACTTAACATTTTCTGTGACAGGCATAATGTTGTTTTTCATATGCAATAACTCACTGAAGATCCAAAACAACCCTGTGTGACGAGTACTATCATCACTATTTTTCAGACAAGGAAACGGAGACATAGAGAAGTGAGATCCCTTGTCCAAGGCCACATGACTTAAAAGTGCAAAGCTTGGAAATGAACTCAGCCAGTCCATTTCCTGAGCCTGTGGGCTATCCACTACCACAAATCCCTGAGAGTTAAGCCATCTCTGATTTCAAAGGCTCATAAATTAAAATATCTAAATATGTTATGGATAGAGTGGAATTTTATTTCTACATTATCTATAAGATTTGAGCTATTCTCACTAACAAGTCCTTGGAAACATTCATGTTAATTTCCATAAGTTTGGAGCCTCCGATCCTCTTAACTTATAGGATATCAATACATGTAATTTAATGAAGATGCAGAATTCTCAGCTGCTGTTCCCTTTGTATGTTCATCACTGTCCAAGTAAATTTCTCTTAGAAGACAAAATCTTTGGGGAAATTTGTCGAGTTTCCATTTTTGTGTGTTTTCTATAAGGTTATTACATATCTGTTGAGTATGGAGCCAAACGATTTTGGTTTCTATCCTTCCCACTATTTATTCCTATTCAAATGAAAATTTAAATACAAACTAGCTACCCATTCATCAAGATTGTTTCAAATTTATTTATGGCGCAGCATAGAGAAGCTTCTGGGAATAACAACTTTAAATCTATTATAGTTTCTATTAATAATTGTAGTCACTAATTGCTATGAGAACTATTTTGGATATGCTAACATATAGTTAAAGTAAACTCATTCCAACAGACTGCTATAAATAGCTTTGCATATTCTCACAGAAGACATGAGAATTTTGTAAGTTTGAAGAGTGGGAAAGTAGAAACACGGTTTTCAGACTTTCTTTTCAAACATTGTTATCACAGGTTCAAAGCCAAAATTTAGAAATTGTACTCACAAACCCATCTTTATAGATGATCCTCTTGATTAATTATCTTGGCACTGCCACTTTCAGACAACAATTTTAACTATATCTCATATTAGACAGGGATCCCAAGTGCTATTCTTGCTCACTGATTAAATAAAAATGTTTATGCACCTGTTGTGTGCCAGGCACTGTTCTAGGCACTAGGAATAGAAGCAAAACAGGCAGTAGAGGAGCAAGCAAAACCTGCTTTGATGAGGTTTTAAGGTATTTATACTGATAGAGCACACAAAGGGAACAAGGTAAAACAGCAAAATACAGACAGGACGATAATAGCAATGAAGAAAAATATAGCAGTCAAGGGGATATGGGTCCTGGGAAGAATGGAGCAGTATTTATTTATTTATTTATTTATTTATTTATTTATTTATTTATTTATTTTGAGACGGAGTCTCGCTCTGTCGCCCAGGCTGGAGTAGTGGTGCAATCTCCGCTCACTGCAAGCTCCGCCTCCCGGGTTCACGCCATTCTCCTGCCTCAGCCTCCCGAGTAGCTGGGACTACAGGCACCCGCCACCACGCCTGGCTGATTTTTTTTTTTTTTTTTTGTATTTTTAGTAGAGACGTGTTAGCCAGGATGGTCTCGATCTCCTGACCTCATGATCCGCCCACCTTGGCATCCCAAAGTGCTAGGATTACAGGCGTGAGCCACCGCACCCGGCCGGAATGGAGCAGTTTTAAATGGTGTGGTCAGGGAAGGCCTCATGGAGAAGGTGACATTTGAGTATGGACCTGAATCAGGAAAGGACAGGCATACAAGGCCATCTAGGGAAAGGGATGCCAGACAAGAGAATAGCACTGCAAAAGTCCTGAGGTGGATCTGAGCTCCTACTGTGTTTGAAGAACAAAAAAGAGGCCCTATGGTTTCAGTGGAGGAATAAGAGGTAAAATACTACGTCAGAAAAGTAACCAAAGAGGCAGGTGCTACAGGGTTTGAGAGGCCATGCTGAATATGTTATCTTTTTCTCAAAGACAGACTGGGAGCAACCAGAGGTATAGCTAGAATGACTATATAATTTACTATTTAGATTTTGTTACTTTTGTTGGTAAAATGCTAAACTGGACGGACACTGGGAAAACAGAGAAAGACCAGGGCTGTTACAGGCAAATGGGGGAAATATACGATGTCTTAGGTGTAGACCAGAGGAGTGGCATCGTCTTGGCTTTTAGCAGAGCACCCAGGCTGCTATTTTCAGACTAGAATGAAAGTGAGCAAGCGTTAACACAAAGACAGTTGTAGGAGCCTACTGTAATATCCAGGTGAGAAGTGGCTGAGGCAATGGCAAATTCTGGGTGTTTTGAAATGCAAGGCCAGCAGGACTTCGGAATGGAACTGATGTGGAGCATTAGAGAAAAAAGATTTTGAGATGAAACAATTGTAGGAACGGAGTTGGCCTTAATATAGCTGGAGAGACTACAGAAGAAGCTGCTTTAGGAGAGTCAGGGGAGGGGAAACAAGAAGCTCCAGTAGCCATCCAAGTGGAGATACTGGGTGGGCAGTAAGACACAGAAGGCCTAAGACAGTCAGGGAGTCATTAGGCAGTCACCAGCATGAAGGTGGCACTGAAAGCATTAGAATGGTCAACCTCCTGGCCTGAGCATGGTGGCTCACAATTGTAGTCCCAGCAATCAAGAGGTCGGGCAAATTGATTGAGTCCAGGAGTTCAAGACCAGCCTGGGCAACACAGTAAGACCCCTATCTCTATAAAAAATACAAAAATGAGTGGGGTATGGTGGCACGTGCCTGTAATCCCAGCTACTCAGGAGGCTGAGGTTGGGAGGATCACTTGAGCCCAAGAGGCTTTGATATTCCCTCGCAGGTTGTTAAGTGTAAGATCTCTGGCAGTGCCGGGCGTGGGAACTCACGCCTGTAATCCCAGCACTTTGGGAGGCTGAGGTGGGTGGATCATTTGAGGTCAGGAGTTCAAGACCAGCCTGGCCAACATGGTGAAACCCCGTCTCTACTAAAAATACAAAAATTAGCTGGGTA
Source organism: Homo sapiens (assembly GCF_000001405.40). Taxonomy (NCBI): domain Eukaryota; kingdom Metazoa; phylum Chordata; class Mammalia; order Primates; family Hominidae; genus Homo; species Homo sapiens. The sequence goes on from NC_000007.14 coordinate 103,977,173, forward strand.
TGGTGGTGTGCGCCTGTAATCCTAGCTACTTGGGAGGCTGAGGCAGAAAAATCGCTTGAGCCCAGGAGGTGGAGGTTGCAGTGAGCCGAGATCACGCCACTGCACTCCAGCCTGGGTGACAGAGTGAGACTCTGTCTCAAAAAAAAAAAAAAAAAAAAAAAAAAAAATTCCCTGGCAGTTTGAAGTGAGGCAGAGCAGATACAATCCCGGAGTATCTGGGCTTCCTGTACGAGGAGAGGTCACCTATACTGCAGTGTGCAACTTTCAGAAGAGAAGAAGGCATTTCCACAAAACTAAAAAAGTGTTAAGTCCCTTTTAGGCTAGATCTATATGTACAATAAGAACGCAATTCCACCCTACCCCTGCTAGGCCAATAATACTTGTGGTCCCAGGAACTTGAATCCAGTATTCAATGAAACAAAATGAAAAGAAGTTGGAGAGGATTCATCCCAATTGTGAGACCAGAAAAGCCTCCCTACTGGTTCCTACTACCACGACTCCTTTAGCAGTTGACCACTCCCTTCTCCTTGAGACACGAATCATTTCTACATCTGTTTGGATTTTCCTTCCATTCTGCAAGCTAACCCACCTCCTACTAATAAATCCCTTTAGCCCAAGTTAGCCAGAGTTGGTTTCTGTTGCTGGCAAGCAGAGTACCCTGACACACCTGCCACTCTCCAAAATGGCAGCTAATAAAATTTACGCTTTTCCAAGTTGGGTCAATTTTCCAAGGTAAATAAAAATAAAGGTTTAGAGACGAATACCATACCAGCAAAACAAAAGCTTAATACTCTAATAACCATCCTTAAATTCTGATTACAAATGTTTCTTTCACTAAGAAATATTTCTAAGGAGAAACATTCTTTTTACCCAATGAAAACATCTATTTATCTTAAATTAATCAAAGAAATGAACATCTTTTTATTTGAGATTAAACATCTTGATAAGAAGTATATGTTGTTATTAACTAGTCACCATGTTGTACAATAGATCTCTTGAATGTATTCTTCCTAACCGAAATTTTCTATCTTTTGCCTGACATCTCCCCACCCACCCCAATCCCTAGCACCTGGCAACTACCATTCTATTCTCTACTTCTATGAGTTCAACTTTTTTCAGATTCCACATATAAGTGAAATCATGTGATATTTGTCTTTCTGTTCCCTGGCTCATTTCGCTTAATATAATGCCTTCCAGGTTCATCCACGTTGTCACAAATGAAAAGTTTCCTTCTTTTTTAGGCTGAATAGTATTCCATTAGTGACTGCTTCTACAGGATGGCAAGGAAGCACACACCTCGTTCAGTATTTCCTATTCTTAAATATTTGCAGAGCTTCTATATTGTTCATTGTGTTGTAGAAAGAGTTAGGAATGACTGGTCTAGATGGTACAGGACAAACTTGTTCGGATGAGCAAAAATCACTAAGCAATACGTGTCAAATCAATCATTATTTTAATAATTGAGGTGAATCTGATCTCTAGAGCATTTGCATTTCATTTCAATGAATACAGATAGCTATCCCCTGGGTACTCATTAGTGATACCAATTCTGAACTCTTCATTTATTGGAGTTCTCTATGTTTAAAATATTTCGGAATTGACATGTCTGCCTCAGTTTCTGTTAACAGTCTGGCATAAACCACTTACATTTGAAATAAAAATTCTAAAAGTTGTAATACCTGCATCAGGTGAAATCACGTTAGTCTCATGGCTTCCTACCCTCCCCACCCTGGAGGCTCACAGATTTGCACATCAGAGCTACAACTTAGCACAGCTCATCAGAGAATGGTACAGGGAGAAATGATCTGGTGTTTCAGGCTTGAGAAAAGAAAACATCTATATGTGGAACATCTCTACACTTTTTGGTGATGTTTGTATAAAGGCTCCTTTGAGTCGTTAAAGTCCAATGAGGCAAGTTTTTCTCTCCTAGTAAGAACATGAGCCCACCTTCAAACCCTCTGAGAACCTCTGTAGGTTCTGAATAGGAAGCTCTCAGCCTGAATCTCTCCTCGGCCCTTTTATTTAACTTTTACCAGGGGTCAGCGGATCTTGGTTCAGCTCTGACCGCAAACTTTGGAATAAACTATAATGGTGACAAATCAAGAAACATTCCTATACTACCGGAGAATGAGACAAGGGCAGACCCCACTTCTTATCACTAGACATGACACATGCCTTGCCATCCCTCATGCTTCACTCCTAGCCTGGTTGCCATAAAGTCTAGAGCTGAGCTCTGCCCTCTGTGGCAGCAGGTGGACTACTTGGAGGCAAGGGCTGGAAAGGATGCTTAGCAGTTGCTCTGCTTTTTTTCTCATTCAAATTAGCTCAACAGAAAGTGATTTTTGAAGATCTGATCCATGTATGAAAAATAACTCCACAAAGGCAAGTAAAAACAAATGTTATCCCATTGGGTTTATATCACTGTAAGAGCAGAACTTTGAGCAGTGAACAGGTCAGAATGCAGAAACTCAGTGGTCACCAAGGACTTCTACCGTGTGCCACATCATTCAGTTTCACAGGCTGTGCCTGCAGACTAACAACATTTACTGGAATTTCCTAAAGAGAGGAATATACAATAGATGAACTTCAATAAATATCTTTAAAATGTCCCTCCCCACCTACATTTTTCAATTCTCTTATATTCAAATCCTATATAAGTTCTATTAGTGTGTGAGAGAACACGTTTCTTCATTACTTAAAATTTTTTGGCCAGGCGCGATGGCTCACACCTGTAATCCCAGCACTTTGGGAGGCCGAGGTGGGCTGATCACCTGAGGTCGGGAGTGCGAGACCAACCTGACCAACATGGAGAAACCCTGTCTCTACTAAAAATACAAAATTAGCTGGGTGTGGTGGCGCATGCCTATAATCCCAGCTACTCAGGAGGCTGAGGCAGGAGACTTGCTTGAATCAGGAGGCGGAGGTTTCGTTGACGGAAGATCATGCCATTGCACTCCAGCCTGGACAACAAGAGCGAAACTCTGTCTCCAAAAAAAAAAAAAAATTCTTAATAAAAATTATATTATCAAAATATTAAAAATAAATTTTAAAAAGGTTGTAAATCACTTTTTTTGTATTTTTATGTGTCATTATATTTTGAAGGCATGTTAACTCTTTCAGGCCAACAGTATACTAGGTGATTGCTTTGTGCTTTACCTGGGAGACAATGTCTGGTCAAAGAATTATGGACTTATGGGTACGAAATTCCAGCTTTGTTTAGCATAGATATCAGCTTTCTGGTTTGATTTTGCAATCTCTATTTTAAATAATAAAATTAGCTTTTACTTTTCTTTGTTTTCTCATTTTTGAGATTAGTTTTATTATTTATTATTATTTTCCTTTTCTGAAATAACCACCATTTTGAAAAATAAATGCGTACTATCTAAAAGGATGGATTCTGGAGAACTACACAGCAGCTTTGCCATCTTGGGCAAAACACTAACCTCTCTGTGACTCAGTTTATGCACGCATAAAATGAGAATAACAGTACCTTCCTCATGAGGATTTTGTGAAAATTACATGAATTAATATGTGTAAAGCATTTAGCTCAGTGCCTGGCACATATTAAGTGCTACTTTAGGGTTTGCTATTGTCACTGTCATAATTCATTCATTCAGGAGTCTTTGAGTTGCCTTTTTTTTCAGGTAATATTAGTGCTTGAAATTGGAGTGTAAATCCACTTTTTCTAAGAGCTTAGAACCAACCAATTTCCTCATATTCCTCCATCACACACACTGGACATATAACATTATTTGCAGGATGAGAATACAGGAAGTGTTTATTAAAGAAAAGGAAATGTGAAAAGAACTGGAACTATGATCATAACATATCTCAACATTCACAACAAAGGTGACCCAAACAAAGAGATTACATGTTCCTGAAGGTAAGACTCAGATGTCTGTTTCCTATGTCAATATGTAATAAGCAAAAGGAATGACAAACTTGGATATAGTCCTAGAGGCTGAGCCAGATGTGACAAACAAGGTTAAGGATGGGGCAGAGCTCACATTCACAACCATGTCACACGTCTAGATGTTTTAAATGTCAACAGGATTTACATATGGTGACACTGCATTTTAGAGAGATAGTGTCAGGAAATAAAGTTAGGTGAAGGAAACGAACAAGCAAAAATTATCAGTATATAAGAGGTCAGGCACAGGTTACCTTCTCAAAGCATAATTAGAAAAGCTAACATAAAATGCACTATCTTTGCCACCTGTAAAAGTAGCATACCTTAAGGGATATTTTGAAAATATATTGTCAAAAATTTCCTAGGAAACACCTCAGTTTTATCAAGGTTACCAAAACCAACTCTATGAGAGGATCAGAGCAATTCAGAGCTTGATACAGGAATTATGACTGACCTAAAAGCAAATGTTAACTGGGACATCTGTGTGTTTAGATGAAATACATATTAATTAGGATTGCATTCAGCTACAAGTAACAGAAACAACTTAATTTTTCTCACAATACAAGAAGTCCCGTCATTATTTCAGGGCTGGCATAGCTGCCTGAAGATATAAAGGAGGACCCAGCTCCCTCTAAAGTTTTGTTCCACCATCATTGGCATGTGGCCATTATCCTCAAGGTCACAAGATGGTTGTATCATCTCCGAGCTAGAATAGGCAAGGTTAGGGCAAAAAGTGCGTGCCTGCTGAGTCTTTTATAAAATATTCTTTATCAGTTTTATCAAGAGTCTTCCCAAAGACTCTGACTGGGTGCAGTGGCTCATGCCTGTTATCCTAGCATTTTGGGAGGCCAAGGCAGGTGGACCATCTGAGGTCAACAGTTCAAGACCAGCCTGGCCAACACGGCAAAACCCTGTCTCTAGTAAAAACACAAAAATTACCTGGTCTAGTGGTGTGCACCTGTAGTCCCAGCTATTCAGAAGGCTGCGGCACGAGAATCGCCTGAACCCAGGAGGTGGAGGTTACAGTGAGCCGAAAAGGTGTCACTGCACTCCAGCCTGGGCGACACTGAGACTCTGCCTCAATAATAATAATAAAAAGAACCTTCCCAAAGACCCTAATCAACAGATTTTCACTTCATATCGCTGAATTATACCGCCAATAAATGGCAGAGCAAGATATGAACACGGGTCTATCTTCAGCATCCAGTTAAAAAATACTCACCTCCATGGCTCCCTTGCAGCTCCATGTAATTCAGCGATATGAAGAAATTCTATGGGAGGACCACAGCAATTCAGAGCTTGATACAAGAATTATGACCGACCTAAATAGTTGATAATAAATGTACTGATTTGTTTTCATATTACTATCAGTAAGAAGAGAAAAAAGGTGTAGAGATGGCAATGGGGGAAACCTGAAGGGAAGAAAGTGAAAGAATTTAAAAAGAAAAAGAACAAAGTGGTGAAGCAGAAAGGAGAAAGGAAGAGGAGAGGGAAAGCAAGGACCATGGCATGGAGTCAAAGGAAGCAAAGGAGGAAAGACAAAGATAAAATTTAGAGAGAGGAAGAGAAGATGAGATACAGTGGGAAGGAGATGGGAAAGGCAGAGAGAGAGGACTAAGGTGACCTTAGTCCTTATGGTCTACTGTCACTCCTTTTCAGGTCACTTGGTTTGTGGGCACCAGTGGACATCAATAATCGGTGCTATCTATAACATGTCACCTTTCCTATCATGTAAGAGTATTTTAATCAATAATTTTCTTTTTAAACTGGGTCTCACTTCGTTGCTCAGGCTGGTCTTGAAATCCTGGGCTCAAGTGATCCTCCTGTCTCAGTCTCCAAAGTAGCTAGGATCACAAGCATATGCCACTGTGCCTAGCTATAATAAAATTTTATTTTGTTTTCAACATAAAGTTTTATTTTGTTAAGGAAAGCTAATTCAGCATTAAAGGATAACCTGCATTTTAAACATTTACTTTGAAAACTCAGAACGCTTGTAACTATTTCTTAGTGGGATTCAATGCTATCTAATTATCTTAGCTTTGTTTTTTATTTTGAGTGATTTAGGGCTGCCTTATACCACAAATCAACATTTCTACATTTGTACTGATCCCCCTGCCACACACACATCCTCAAATACATTTGCTATAATTGGTTCTTAGAGAGGATAGAATAAAAAAGAAAAAAATAGGTATAGTTTTAGAGAAGCACACATTTTAAAAATAATTGGCTAACCTATAGGCACAGCATTCAACCCTTCAGAAGCTCTGCCTTCAATGAGATGGGCATGGCAGGTGACTGTGGTGAAAATTACTTTCTGAGCCACATAACTGACACCAAAGTGAGATCATGTCATTTCATGCGGAATGTCCTAAGAGCCAATAATTTTTTAAAGCTACACAATTCCTGCGTTTGAACAGTCATTATGAGATATTCATATTTGAAAATTCAATTCGAGTATCTGAAATAGGGCTTTTAAAACGCTTTTGCTTAAAGTTGATGAGACTGAAATGCTATAGAGTTCAGTTATTTTTAAAATGACTCTAAAATCAGGTAAAGAGGGTGGATTAATCACCCCAATGTTTTTGAAATGAAAATACTTAGATAAGTCAATTTGCCTTTTAACGTGTATTAAGTCATTACTCAGGCATAGCCTAAACCACCTCTCTCTGTCCACAGTGAACCTGCCCATTCCAACCTAATGCACTCCACCTTCCTTTTTTTCCGGAGTGTAGTGCTATCCAGTTTTTCTATTTCTATGTGACACAAAGAACTTCATATTTCTGTGTGTGTGTGTGTGTGTGTGTGTGTGTGTGTATGTCTTTTAAAATGTAAATGTTCAAAAAGTACTGGTCACTCAATTTATTTATGCTTTTCAAATGTAAAGGTTATTTGAAATAAAGGGGTCATTGCATCAGCAACTATTTATGAAGATTAAAGATATAACATAAGTTTCAAACTAGCACTTGAAGTGATCAGAAAAACAATTATGGCTTAATATGCAACCAATCTTAAATAATTGATGGAGTAAGGCTTCTAGTTTATTCTATAAAGTTGACCAATTCCCAGGAGGTAAAAAAAAAAAAAAATCAAAGACAGATTTTTAGATATTTTCTTTTGAATAAAACTAATCCATAAAAATTTGAAAGTCAAAAATGCTGACTTTAAAATCTTGGTAAAATATCACTCTTTTTAAAGATGGAAAGTCAAATTTACTGGAATAAAACAGTTCTGTAAAAACTATATTCATATTATTACAACGATACAACATTACCATTTTATTAACATTTTCAATGCAAATAAAACTAATAGTTTAAAACAAAGATTCACACAAATTGGAAGGAAATATAATTAAATAACTCCTAGTAATGTAGGAATGAATGAAGTAGGAATTTCTGCCAAAATGAAATATTTTGAACTATAATTGTAAAGACTTGATTTTAGTTTAAAATTGGAATTGAAACTCACAGTGAATATAAATTACAGGAAGCAAGATTTATGATTTAAGAAACAATCTCAACCACATCAGTAAAATATGTATGAAATAAATTGTAGAGAGTAAGATAAATATGTAACAAATAGAGCAAAATGCTCTAAAATGCCCAATTTTCATAGTCCTATATAAGCAGGACGCAGCTTCAGTTCACTTATAAATTGCATTTGACAAATGATTTTGAAAGTTTAAATACACTGATTCCAGAATCAGACATATGAAGGATAAATAACCGATCACCTGATCAGCAATGCAGTTACTTTAGTAATGGCAAATTACTTTATTTCAAATAATAAAATCATTCCTTTGAAAGGAATTAAATCTGGAATATATTTCCAAAAATTACGTCTGACATAAATATCATCTGGTATTTGAAAGGTCATTAAATTGCACTTCCTTTGAACAAGAATTTTTAAATAGCAACCAGTTAATTTCAGAACACGTGTGCCTTTAACAGTAATACTGGAAATTGTCAAAATAAAGTGCCCTCAATACTCTATCCTGATTATACCTTTCTTTTAAGTAAATGTTTAGTTTTAGGAATAGAACATTGATTTTCCTGTCTGTCTCACAGTATAATTTTTTTTTAAAGTGGGAGTAGATATACAGCATGAAAAAATTACCAATAGTGATGCCGGACTTACAAAATACAGTAAAATCCCCCTTTTAAAACATCATGCCACATCACCAATTCAATTCTACTCAAGGCCAAATTTTTTTCTCTCAGTTGATATTTTAGAGCATACTTCTCATTGTTAATGGAACACTTCCCCCATCTTATGCTACCATAGTAACAGAAATTCTAGTCCATTCAGAAATTTAGGTACATTGTCTCACCAAAGCTCAAGTATTTTGGGTAGACTCATTTACTTAACGCTTGTCTTTCATGCACAATGTCTTCTTCTAATGGCTGACCTCTCCTTTTTGATGGGGACTGAATAAAGCCAACCTTGTGAGGGGCAGTTCCTTACTGACATGATTTCAGGGGCATCCAAGTCTTTCTATCCCCATATCTATTATCTGGCTGTTCAGTGATGCTAAACTTACTTTAAGCAAAGAGGGGAAAGACATCTTTCTACAATTACAATAAAAAATGTGGGAAAGTTTAACACTGACAAGTCACATTCACCATAAATTGATTGGGGGCAAGGCGAGGAGTGGCAAACAAAATGGATGGTAGATACCTGATGGCTGGGGGTGAGGAAAAGGAACGACCATGGGTGAGGAAAGGTGCAGACTTCAATCCAACCATCACACTTTTCACAATACTGCCTTTGTCCCTAGGAGAAGGTGTGCTGATTACGGGGCATGGCTGGAAAACAGAAATGGCTACCTGACTAAACCATGTAGGTTCTTGTTTCCTATTTCCCCATCATTTGCAACTTTCTACCACACAAAACAAAACAAAACAAAAAATTCCAGGTTTGGTGCCCGAAACGCACATTGCGGAAACTGACCATGTCTTAGGATTTGTGCAAAAAAAAAGGAAATTCTAGGAAAAAAAAAATGTTCTGACCCTGAGACCTTTCTAATTCAACATGATGTATAGAGACCTCCTTTCGCTGAGCTTCTACATTGTGGTATACTCATGGTTCATTGTGACTAATAATGCCCTTTCAAAAGAGTCAGAGATAACATAATTTAAAAGATATATGAAGATGAGAAAGAGATACCAAATGACATTTAATTGAGAGATGAGAACACACCAGATGTAACCATGCACTATTTATAGAGTTGCCAGTACTGAAAATAGATGGATATACTACTTAATGTAAAAATCTGTGACAATTCTGTTAGACTCGAAAGCTCCAGATTTTTTAGTACTATATATTTTTTATTTTTGTTAAAGATATTCCATAGATATATTTAAATACGACACATACAGGGACCTATAATTGTGAACCACTTTTATTCTAGACTGGCAATTGCTGCCCCATTTTACATTCTGAGCTCTGCCACACACCCCAGTGTCAGAGGGCAGCTGACTGATCTACAGAAATGTTCTATGTTAGGTGCTATTGTGCACACCACCTCTATCTCAATGCATTCTTTTAGGTAAAAAAAAAAAAAAAAAAAAAAAGTCACAACTATCAGCTCTACACCTAAACATGGTTCATTCAAATGGTGACTTCAATGTAAATCATAAATGTGACTGATTTTTTCTGATATAACTGTTACACTTTAAAGATCCAGAAGGTTAGAAATAAAGTCTCAAGCTAACATTTTACACATTTCTTGTAAGTTTAAGAAGACTTCTTGGGCAAAAGACCTTTCATTTTGGTCACATATCAAAATGGGCCAACCACAAAAGTACATGAGATTAAGTTTTCCTATTGGCAGTTCAATTCTAACAGAAGCTGTGTGTGTGTGTGTGTGTGTGTGTGTGTGTGTGTGTGTGTGTCTGAATTTTTTAAATTAATTTTCAAAAGCCTAAAAGGAAAAGAGACATACATAAGCATCACTTCATTTTTAAACATGTATTCTACCTGTAGAACATTTTACAAAAAAAAAAAAAAAAACTCTTACTTTAAGGCCTATAGCTACAGCTAGTTCCAAAATCTAAATGTTTAATAAAATAGATAACAGAAATTTAAAATCTGACACAATTCTCAAAGCTTATAATAATTTGACCTTTCATAACTTACATAATACAATTTCTCTACCTTTTCTGGTGGTGGAAAAGAGGTGGAAATTGAGATTCTCCTCCGCAATGTCCAACTTGAAGTATTTACACTTTATTTCTACTCTATGTTATCCATTCCTTTTCAGACTTAGATATGTGATTATGGTGAGTCTTAAGGTGACTTGCATTTGCTATTCAAGGGTGCAAGGGAGCAAAACCAAAGGGTGTATGATATTTTGGTGTTTTTAGTTAAGTTTTCAATATCGAGACCTTCCAAAGGATGTGGAAAACAGAAAAAATAATAATAAAGCTTTGTATCATCACATGGTCTTCCATCATAACCTGACAGTCACGCCTTTGAGACCAGCCTCACTCACTTACCCACCGTTCTCACTGAGAGATCATACCGGGCAAGAACTTTTGCTAAGAGTCGCACGGAGCAGCAGGCTGTCAATCAGGCTTTGGGTTAGGTCTGGTTGCCATCACAGTAGCTGCTCCTTCCACTTAAAGATTCTCATTATCTCAGAAAAGCACTAGATTGTTCTTGGGAAGAGGGCGTAGTAAGCACTTTTATCTAAAAAGGGACTAGTTACAGAACATTAATTTTCCAAAATTATTTCTAAAATTCCACCAAATTAAACTTCTGCTTTACAGACAAGGCTGCCACCATGCCACAAGGAAGTTGTAAAAGCACTGTTTAAAACCTCTAGGAGACGTTTATTTAGGCTAAATATTTTATAATAGATATCAAGGTTTTTTTAAAAACAGAAAAATCTTAAGGATTCTTACAATTTTTAAATGCTTGTCTATCTTAAGTGCTAGCACCCCGTAGATTATCTCCCGCCATGCCAATGATTGTTAGCCTATTAGAGATAGAAACTATTAACAGGAGCCTACTGGACAATGGTTTCTATTTGGTTGGGTATAAATATTTTGGGGTTGAAATTCTAATTAAATAGTGCCTGTCGCTGCTTAAAAGCTCTATAGGCATGAAATGTTCAGAAGTCCCAGAAGAAATACAGAAAAGAGACATTTTTTATTTTTCCACATACTCGATGTACTAGCTTAAAATACATGTACTACATAATATTATATTTCTTGGAGCTAAATTTTATTTCTTCTGTAATGTTTATTTTTGATGCAGGGCTGCATAATGATTCCATTTTTAAGATACCTCTAAATTATAAGGGATTCCAGCCTCTACCTGGAAATTAAAGCTGTGCAGATAAAATACAAAGTCATTAATAAACATCACAAAGATAATTCTAACAAGAAGCACCATGTAAAAGTAAGGCAGGAATCAGAAAAATCATCAATTACTGACATATTAAATCACACTTTCAAAAGAATAGGGAGCTGGAAGCAGCCGCTCCCTTTCAGGAGGGCTGTATGACACTGAATGAAATGCCAGGGACTCCTGGCTGGTGAGCAGCGGGAACTTTGCGGTCGAGCGGCGCGGGGCAGCCACAGACCTGGGCGCTTCAATCTGTCACCAGCCTGCCCGCAAAGCCCAGCGACAGCCCCCAACGCCCCCCCGGGGACCCATCTGGGGGGACCGGGAGCAGGACAAAGGTCTGAAATCCAAGTCCTAGGAGTAAAGAAACAAAATGCGCAGGTTCAATTTAAAGTGCCTGCGGTAAGTACGGGGAGTGAGGGGGAAAGACACCGGCCTCCAAGAATTCTCAGGCGTTTAGCACAAGCACCAGCTCATTACCAGGAGATGCGTTCGGGGAGTGGGGACATGGAGAATGAATCCCAACTTGTGACTCCATTCTCCACTAACTTTATTCTCGCTCCCTGGACCAAGCGCATCGCTGGGGCCAGGGTTGTCATGGTTCTTGTTTCCAAGGCCCCTTGGAAGAAGGAAAGGGATGAGAAAGGTGCGCTGGCGGGCGCACCCGGCGGCGGCGAGCGCGGAGGTGCTGCGGTACCTACCATGGTATTCTTGTCCCGGAACGTAGTAGGTGGGGTTGCCCGCAATATGCAGGGAAATGAGCACCTCGCCCTGCTCCCCATCCCCTTCCAGCTCCCCGTGGTGGGTGCACAGGAAAAAGAAGGGCGAAAAGCGGGGGTAATAGCCAGCCGCCGCGCGCGCCCTCAGCGTCGCCCCCAGCAACAGCGCTAGGAGGAAAGTCTGCCGGGCCCAGCCACTGCGCTCCATGCCGCCGCCGCCGCCGCCGCCGCCGCGCGCCCTACGCGCCGCTCGCTCATTCAGTTTTGGAGACGCCGGGACGGAGGAGCCACGCGGAGAGAAGGCGAGAAGAAGGCGGACGGGAGCGGAACGGGCTCGGGAGCGGGCCTGGGAGCGGGCCCCCGCCGAGAAGTTCCGCGGGAGACGGCGGCTCCCAAAGTTACTTTGGGCCGCGGGAGCGCGGGACCGGGGCTGCGGGCGCCGAGAGCGCGTCGTCTGCCGCCTCCGTGCGCCGCCGCCGCCTCTGCGCGACGCCCCTCGGCCAGGCCTGGGAAAGCGCCCGCCCCGCTCCACACCTTCTTAAAGCCCCGGGCGCCGCGTCCCCCCCGCCGCCGCCACACGTGTCCCGGCCGCTCCCCCGCCCCCGCGCGCCGCCCCGCCCGCCCCCCGCCCTCTCGGGCTGGCTCGGCGGCACCTCGCGCGGCGAGGGGCGCACGCGTCCCCGGAGTCCCCGGCCAGCGCCCGGTTCGCACCCGGGAGGACAGGGAGGGGCGCCCGCCGGGGAGCGGGACGGGGACGCTGTCGAGGACCGCTGAGCCCGCGACTCTTCTGCGAGGGACGTCAAAGCCCCGCAGAGGGCACCTCCCGTCCAGCTGTCTGAAGGGGAAGGCCAGCCCCTTTGGCCGTCAGTGTGCCCTGTTTTTCCTGGGAGGATGCGTGAGGGAAGGAGAGGGGCGGCAGGGACGGCCGCTGGCGCCGGTTTCTTTGTCTGAGCCGGCTGCGTCCCGCGCCCCTCGGGGCTCGCAGTCTGCCAGTCCGGGCGGCCCGCACTCGTTCTGGGAATCCGCCCGAGGCCGCGAACCGCTAGGGGCCCTCGCGCTCCCTTCCCACCCAGGCCCCCTGTCCCTCCCGCCGCGGCCGCCCGGCCCCTCGCGGCAGCGACAGAGCCTCATCTGTAGAGGATTTTAAAATGAGATTAAGCGAAAGTGGAATTGGCAGACTCGAGTGGTGCCTGGAAATGGTGATTTGTGCTGCTCGGTTGTGGGGAATTGTAAGGCAGGAAGGGCTGGCGGAGCTAAGATCCGACAGGCTCTCTTCGCCGGACTGTTCTGTTATTCATTGCTTCTGGGCTCTTCAGGCAGAGATGGGTGTTGTAATTTTTTAAATCAGTGTTTATTTCCTTTAAATGTCGGTTATGACCAATGGCCCTGAAATCGGGGGAGGGAAAAACGTTCAGGGGAGATGCTGGCAGCGGTGATTGAAGCGGGTGGTAATGAGCGGCTGCACATGAACTGCAGGGAAGTGAAATAATCCATAAGCACGTTTTTAACCGAGGACGGCTGGCAGGAGCCCTGCGGCATCCGGAGATGGGGGAGCGGGGTTGCCAGGTTTTAATGCCTCTCCCCACCCACCCTTGGCTTGCCACCAAGCCAGATAAACCCGCACGTACAGAAATGAGTAGATTATAAAATTGGAAGGGATAGTGCCTTTGCCTGCATTTGTGGGGCGAGGGGCGGTGAAAATCAGGGTCCAAGGGGAGACCTCTGTAATCACTTCGTTGCAAAAGGAAGAAATTGTTTTTCTTCCTCTTACTGAGACCGAATGACAGGTAGAAAGGGCCCATTTCTAGCTGGCTTCTTGTTTCCCTTACTTCAAAATCCCCAGAGGCTTAACTGCCATATAAATAATATACAGTGTATACATATATGTATGTGCATATATATATATATGATGTGGTAACAATTGCTACACTGTAGCTCTGCGGGGTGCAGGCTGTGGGGCTAGACGTACTTTAGCTTTTTAATCCTAACACCAACTGGAGAGGCAAAAAATATCCCTATTTCACAAGGGAGGAGGCACTCAGAAATGTTGATAACTTGCCCAAAGTCAGTGACAAAGGCTGGATGCAGGGCAGACTGGCTGGCCTCAGAGGCTCTTGTCCTGCACTGCCCTGCCACAGTCGACAGCCCTAGCTGGAGCAGGTGGTGTTGCCCCAAACAGAATTAGGAGATACTCGCCCACAGCTAACAAGGCTGTTACTGCCTTCCTGTCCAGTCATGTGAATATAGCCAAAGACAAAATTAATCACTTGTAGAAAGAATCCAAAACTATTTAATGTTTTTGGCTTACACTTTTAAAATGTTTAGTTACTATGCACTGAGCACCGTCCTAAGTACTATACATACTAACTCCCTTATTCCTCATAACAATACTGTGGGAAAAGTACCATTGATAGCTTCATTTTACTATGATGAAACAGCACAGGGAGGTTAAGTAACTTGTCCAAGGTCACACAGCTAGTGAGTGCTGTGACTTGAACCCAGGCAGTCTGATTTTGACACACTAACCACTGCAAATCGCCTCTAAAGAATGCATGTTGGTGTTGTTAGAGGGATGGGGGAATAATTATTCTTCATCCAGTGTCAGAATACCTCATTTAATCCTTATATTAGCCTGCAAAGTAGGTATAATTATCTTCATTTTTAAAGAGAAGAAAGTTGAGATTCATAGAAGTTAAAGGAGCTTGGGATCAAGTCTGGCCATGCTTGATGCCAAGGTCGCTGCTTAAATAAACTGTCTTTAGTAAGCGCTGACACTTGGTCCAGGACATGATTGGAATTTAATTCATATAAGGTCCTCAATTCCCAGGAAGTCCCCTTCTTTCCATTGTGTAGTGCACTCTCAGAGAAATATTCTTTCTCGTATCTCTCGACATGGCTTTCTTAACATTCAATTTATGTGACCAAGTTTATTTTTCAATCTTCCCCTTTATTGTGCTTCCTTAATTTTTACCACTTTGCTTTGCTATTACATTTGAATAACTTTTATACTGTTAGCCATGAAGCAAGCTCATATTTCTGGCTACAGCCCTGCAGTTGTTCAGTAACAGACACAAAGACTGTTTTTAAATAATGTCCTGAGTGGTGTTGAGCTGGTCAAGAGGGGAGTAAAAGTTGGTACACTCCAGTCTGCAGTCCTTAGAACTAACATGAATACCTTGTAGAGGCTCAAGTTCATATTTGTTTCATCTCTGACACTTTTTTTGATTAGGCCAGTTCAACTAGTCATTAAAAACTTTTAAATAACCTTTAGAAAATCAGAAAAATACATAAATCATATATAAAATCCATTGAACCGAGAGTAGCATCTTCTTAGTGAGCAACTTACTTGAAATCACGCAATAAGGTGGAAACCCAGGTTAGATAGCAAAACTTCCTGTTTCCCAATTCGTGTGCTAACCCTTACACCTCGTTTCTATTTAGTGAGCCATAATAAGTATCTCCAAGAATATTGGGTCTGCAAAATCCAAAAACCTTCCGAACTAATAGAAAAATAGAGAAGTGCTTTTCCAGAAAAAATGGTTTACATCAAAAACATCTGCAAAAAATAAAAGGTGATGTCAGGTGAAAATGAATAGGCTTGTGGGAAAGGGAGTTTAAAATGGAATGAGATTTATTTTTAATTAAAAGAGTTTTGAAATAGTAATTAGTCTACCAAAAGAATTAAACTAAGTATTCTTAGAAGATAAATCCACTTCTTCTTGATAAGTGGAAATTATTGCCCAGTATTTGAATAATCATAACACGATGGGAATTAAATTCATATATATATATATATTTGCTATGTGTGTGTATATATATATATATATATATCTGCTATATCTCTCTATATATACATGTATATATATACATATATCAGATACATAGCTTTTAAATTATTGGGAGGTGATTCATCCATATGAAATACAAAGAAGACATTAAATTATATTTTAAGGTTGCAAGAATTCACTCATCTGCCTTCCATTGATATTTTTTGAGATGAAGCATTAAACATTTTGGTATATGTGGGAAAGTGAGTCACTATTCTTATTTACCATGTAAAAATCAAACAAAGTTTATAAAATCAAAAAATATGTAAATATAAATATGAAGAGGGTGAACAAACTGAAATCAGTTGACTTATTAGACTCTAAAATGGTAATAAAAGGCCACATGAGAGCAAACCCAATAGCAGCTAATAAACTTATAAAATCTATTACTCATAAGACATGGTACTGTATGATAAAATTGAGGCTCCTAAGCAAAAAACAAAAATCAAAAAAAAAAACACACAAAAATAGACCCTAAAGATCAGTAAGCCTTTTGCAAATGAAATTGCACTGAGAAAGGTGGGATATTAGGGAGTTGGCTCTGTTACGTACGTCCTGCCGGAACATGTTACTTATTGCCACCCCAGATTGAAATACCATGATGAGATAAACTATGGGACAACACAAAGTCATTATATTGTAAGATTTCTGAAACAGAATCTGATTCCTCAACACTAAAAATCCCTTTTTTTAAAGTTTCTCCACTTCCTGGGATTTTCCCTGCCCCTGCTTCTCTCTGGAATGCCCTTCCTGTTTCCTGTGGCCTAACCACACATCTTCCACCCTCCTCTCCCTCACCTCACTTCTTACTTGGCTATAGCAACTCATGCTCCAAGTCTTCTCTCACACATTTTTGCATCTGAGAGATCTTTCCTGATCCCTCATCCTAAATTATGTCCTCTAGACCAGCACTATCCGATATAGTGTCCTAGTCCCCAGGTAGCTATTTAAATTCAAATCAAATTAAATTTAAAAATAAGTTCTTCAGTCACATTAACCACATTTCCAGTATCCAATAGCTAAGGGTGGCTAGTAATGGGATAATCTGTAAGGCTGCACTGTCTGTACTGGACAGTAAGTGCAGACTTACAGATTATCCCATTACTGCAGAAAGTCCTATTAGACAGCACTGTTCTACATTGAAAATGTGAATGAATGCCCAGTCACCAACACATTCATTCAATCAGTATTTATCAGACACCTCCTATGTGCCAAACTGCTGGATGCAGTGGACTCAGTGAATAAAGCTAATACAGTGCCCACCCGTTTGGCATCTACAATCTAGTGCTGGGGACAGACAGTAAACTCATACAATAAACAAGATTATTTCTGACACTGGTAAATGCTATGAAGAAATAAAACCAGATGATGTGGTAGAGAGTGTCTAGGGCAGGGAGGCTACTGTAGATTGGAGAGTCAGGGAAAGCTTCTCTGAAAGAGTGTAATTGGAGCTAACACTTCATTAATACGGAAGAGTCCATCATGTTAACATGTGGGGGAAAGAGCAGTTCAGCTGGAGAGATCAGATAATATAAAGGCCCTGAAGCAGGGCTATGCTTGAGATGTCCAAGGCTTAGGAAAGATAGCAAGAAAAGGGAAGAGTGAGGCTGGGCACAGTGGCTCATGCCTGTAATCCCAGCACTTTGGGAGGCTGAGGCAGGAGGATCACTTGAGGCCAGGAGTCTGAGGCTGGCCTGAGAAACATAGCGAGACCCTATTTCTACAAAAGATTTTAAAATTAGCCAGGCATGGGGGTGCATGCTTGTAGTCCCAGCTACTTGGGAGGCTGAAGTAGGAGGATTGCCTGAGCCCAGGAGTTCAAGGTTGCAGTGAACTATGATTGCATCACTGTATTCCAGCCTGGGCAACAGAGTGAGACCCTGTCTCTAAAAAATCACCATCGTCATAAAGTAAGTAAAATGAAAGAAAAGGAAAGAGTGGTATGGGTACGAGATGAGGTCAGAGAAGCAGGCAGAGACTAGATCACATTAATGTGCTGGGGAGACTTGGGTCAGGAAGTAACATGATCTGAATGAATAATTAAAGGAAAGAGTTGAAGAATGCCAAAATAAGTTGAAGAAACATTTTCTAATACTTTTTCTCCAGGGTTTAAATAATATCCAACACAATATTTTAATGTTATTGTCTACAGCACAGTATTACAGTAAAGCAAGTACATTCACTAGGCACTAGCATGGACAGTGCTACAGTGAAGATTTTCTTTTCTTTTTTCTTATTCCTGAAAACAATGGTGAAGCATGGAAGGGATTTTAAGCAGAGACATACCATGGTCCTATTTGTACGTTTGGAAGATCAAGGGGAGAGTGGATTGGAGAGCCATGAAAAGTAGATTCAGGGAGAGAATTAGGATGTAGAGCAAGTATCTCAGGTGAGAGGTGATGGTCTTCAAAGGAGATGGAGAGAAGAGAGTAGAACTGAGACGTATTGAGGAGCCAGAACTACAGGATTGAGTAACAGATAGAGTGACTGACTGGGCATAGGGATAAAGGGAGAGAGATGTGTTGAAGAGGATGCACAACTTTCAGGCTTTCGCAGCTTGGTAATTGTTGCTGTTAGATAAACTGTTAGATAAACTATTAGATAAAAAGTATTTTTTATTAAGTAAACTTTTTAATGAAGTATAGTAATAGGCACAAAACCATGAACAAATAATAAGTGTAGTGTGCAATGCAGTGTCAAAAATGGAACACCTCATGTAAGCAGTGTCCAAAGAATATAAACAGAAGTCTCCATGACCACTTTGATTGAGCAATCATATTCCTCAAGGCATGGAGAAAGTTTCAAGGAGAAACATAACATGTCTTCAGGATGGTTATTTTTGCCTGTTTCCAAACTTTATGTAAGTGGAATCATACAATATATGTGATTTTATATCTGGTTTCTTTGGCTCAATATCATGGTTATAAGAATTATTCCAGTTGCTATAGGTTGCAAAAATTTGTTCATTTGTATCTTGTAGAGTATATGGGGGGGAAAATCACAATTTTCTTATTTGTTAGTGGAAATTTTGGCTATTTTCAGTTTAGGGGAACTATGAATATGCAGTTAATATATTCTTGCACGTGTCTTTTGGTGAACATGTGTGTACATTTCAGTTAAGAGAGGGAGTGTTGGATCATGGTGGAAACTCCTTTTAACACATTGATGAATTAGTGAGAAATAAAGATAAATCCTTAGAGGTCAAAAATGAAGTGACAGCAGGAATCCAGAGATAAAGAATGGAGTATGTAATCCACCCAGGACTCTGAGACATCTGCCCACTTCAGTAACACTTGAATTTCCACTGTGACGGACATGTGGGGTTGGGAACGGAGATAAAGCTTAGGGCCTGCTCAAGGTGGGAAGAATGATAGGATAGTGCTACTCAAAGTGTGGTTTGCAGATCAGTCTTCAAACTATCTGTTGCCAGTACACGTTGAGATAGGTACAGAAATGGAGAGTGTTTAAAAACTTTCATAGTTATTGTATAAGCAGTAGTATCCAAGCAGCATTCCATGTCCCTAGTAATTCATATTGACCTTAGTTTTACAAAAGTATCTGTCTGTGATGGATTATGAGTTAGTATGCAAAGTACTGTCCCGGAAAATCCATACATAAAGCTATTACCCATCCCCAAATAGCTCGGCCCTCAATGAAAGGTGAACTAGAAAAAAATCAGAAATTCTCTCACTAAAATTTGAAACCACAATCTGGCTCTCAGGAGGTTGTGACACAAATTCACATTTCTGTTTGATTTTAAAAACCTCAAGCTAATAATTAATTTTAAAGCGGTTCTGGGTTGAAAGTGTTCCCAGGCACCTGGCAAAACCAAATTCAAATCACCTCTAGCATGGACCCTAAAAACAAAACAAAAACAATTTCTTTAAGTCAGGCTTCAAAGAACTACAACAGATGAAGATTCACAGAACGTTGTGTTTACAATCAAAAATCACTAATACTGTGAGAAAGCAGAACACAGTGGGTCAGTAGAAACAGGAAGTAACCACAATCAGACTCACAAAGACTTCAGATGTTGGAATAACTCTGTTATTTAAGATATGTATATTTAATACATTTAGAAAAGTAAAATAATATTCCAAAAATAGAACTAAAAATAAGAGACCATCAAAAATGACCAGCCATTCTCAAAGTAAGAAATATAATACCTATAATTTAAAACTCCAAGGAGAGAAGTATGTGCTTCTGACAGTATAGTGTATTAGATATTCTGGAAGGCCTTCTTCCTGTGAAACAAGTAGATCCAGCATAAAACATAATCTTCTTGTGTTATCAGGCTTATAGAAAGAAACGGAAATCACTAAAAGACCAGGAAGTTTTATGGCTCAAGGACATCAATTAAAAAAGAAAAGACCAGAAAATTTTTTAAAGGGACCAACTATAAGGGAAAGCCAGAGTAGTATGTGCAGTGCATAATCCAGAGTAGTGAGTATGTGCAGTGCATAAGCCAGAGTAGTGAGTATGTGCAGTGCATACATATGAATGTGGGTTCCCAATTACATGGAAATGCAATATATGGCAGCTGTCACTGCAAATCAAAACAAGAAAAAGTTGACTTTCCAATAAATGTGATGAGACAATTGGTTTTTCATAGGAAAAATAATCAAATTGGACCTCCACTTCCCATGAGGGCCATAGGCTGAAATACAGGGCCTTTCAGTTTCATGAGTCTCTTCTAAGGCCTTGAGAGAAGCCTTGGGTTCACATGTTTTTTGTTTGTTTGTTTGTTGTTTGTTTTTGAGACGGAGTCTCACTCTGTCATCCAGGCTGGAGTGCAGTGGTGTGATCTCGGCTCACTGCAACCTCTGCCTCCTGGGTTCACGCGATTCTCCTGCCTCAGCCTCCTGAGTAGCTGGGATTACAGGCGTGTGCGACCACATCTGGCTAATTTTGTATTTTTAATACAGACGGGGTTTTGCCGTGTTGGTCAGGATGGTCTCGAACTCCTGACCTCGTGATCCACCCGCTTCATCCTCCCAAAGTGCTGGGATTACAGGTGTGAGCCACCACACCTGGCCCGTATTTTTTTAAATTTGAAAAGTAAGATATTTTCAACACATTTTTAAAAATCACCCTCTTTTTCTATTCTGATTACTCCTCCATCACATTTTTCTTTGTGTAGACTGTTACTGGAGTCACTGTGAGCATTTTTTTAGATATGGCTAAAGAAAAGTTGATTTGGAGATTCACTGCATTTGAGTTTAGTTGGATATTTTTATATGGTTTACCGTCACTCTGTGATTGCAAAGTTATTGAAAGAATGACTTCTAGGAATATTTCTACTGGTACTATGCTGACCTACCTCGAGCCATGACATGTAGGTGCAGAATAGGAGTTGCATCTTACAACGCGTCCTATGGACCCTGGCTCCAAAAATATGCAGACAGTAGAGAGGTAACAAGGTGTGAAATGTATGAAGCCAAAAGCTAATCTGTGAACACATTCTTCTAATCCTAATTCTTCTAATTTGAATGTTTCAAAACATAAGATCTCTGCTGTCATAAATGATGAAATAATGCAGTGTTTACAATTATATTTTTAAATGATTGTATAATAAAATATAATGAATCACGTATTTAGTGTATCTAATGCATTTTGCTTGCTTTGATAATCTGATGGTTCCAGACAAAGCAGCACACAAAATTGTCACCAATGCAGTGAAATGGCCTAAATAAACAAGTGTTTCAGTGACAAATCTCTCAGTATATTCTTCAGTAGAACTATGTATATAATATTAGTATGGGTAATTTGATGACATGCATTTCATTGCTTTAGGGATGACTTAAATTCAGAAAATTTTATGGTTTTTCATAATTGTTGATTATACCAATATTCAAATGTCATGAGGAATAATTAGTCTAAGGAATGACAAATATGTAAATCTAAATAAATGATATGGGGGAAAGTTTTGAAATGTCAAAAACAACCTCATCTAGAATAATGGGAATCAAAAACTCCTATGGTCAATATCATGAAGACAAGGAAATAATTAAAATAGGCAAGAAAATATAGATGATAAAAATGACAGTAGAAAAAATAAAATTATGTGAATTAGTTCCCTTCTAAACAGGAAATAAAGATGAAAAGGAAGATGAAAAAAACACAATATATTTGATCAATAGAACATGGGTGAATGTCTAAACAGCTTCAATTTGATGAATTTGTTGACTTGGAGAAACACCATGCTCCTTCATTTTTTCCTGTTCAGATAGATAATAATTTCATTCAACATCCTTTAAGGAGAGAGAGTTTATTTTGAAAGTTCCAAAACTGTGATTGAGCCCACTAAGATTTATAGAGAATCAAAGAAATCATGCAATGGACAAAAGAGCTTCTCAGAAAGATATTTTGAAAAACAACTTTTTAAATGGTCAAACCACTATCAAATCCTATCTGGACTGTTGCAAAAGTAGAGGATGCTTTTATTGTTTTGTTTGTAATGTCTTTTAACAAGACATCAGACAAGTTTGCTCATATCAAATCAGAGTGGAGGAGTTTATTAAGAGCCCCCAAAATTTATGATGACTCCTTAAAGCACAAGAAGTTTATGACATCTGAAGCAGTTTATTGAAGAATATACACCTAAAAATGTAGCTAAAGAAATATAAGTGGATTAGGCAGTTAATAAAAGTATTATGCTATTTATCTGGATTTTGTGATATTTTGCTTTGATTTTAAAATGTTTTACTTTGTTGTGATTTTTCTATCTCTTAAAAAATCCCTTTTATACATAATGTATTCTTTTTCTTAAAGAGGACCTCTTGATTATATGTAAGTCTCATGTCCCACAAAGCCTGGATCCACCTCTTCTGAGATGTAATGTTCAGCCAGTGTGCCCAGGTTTGATCTTACCTGATACTGACAGGCAGCATCAGTTATGACTAGTGGGGCATGACTAATGTTCCTAATTGATTGTGACCACACCGTATCAGTGTTTATGTATTCTGAATGTTAAACTTTACTTATACTACAGACAAAAAGTCAATTGCTAGAATAAAGTTTCAAATGGGAAAAGCAAAGCTTCAAAACTTTTAGAAGAAAATAGTGTACCAAATACCTTTCATTTCCCTCTCCTCCCCAGATCCACTCTCCATCCTTCTCCTCCCTGAACTATGCCCAAGATGCTGATCTATGCAGATGGCTTTACCAGGGTGCCTGTGGCCTCTTTTCTGGGCGAGTTTGGTGAATAGAAGGACCTGACATTAGATCAAAGGGAGGAAGTGATTGCTAGGATTAGAGTGGTTGAGTGAAGCATTACTCTTAAATTTGCCTCTCTACATTCTATCTAGTCTCATCTTCTGGAACTCTCCTTAGATGTAAACTACACTTTCTCACTCACTTTTCTGTATATTTTAACTGCTCTGTTGTATTTTCCATCTATTCATTTCTCTGTGCCACATTTGAGAGAATTTCTTCAGATTTGCCTTTCAGTTCATTAATTCTTTCCTTCCAGTGTGTCTAAGCTGCCATTTTAACCTGTCCATTGGGTATTTATTTATTTATTTATTTATTTATTTATTTATTTTGAGATAGGATCTTGCTCTTTCTCCTGGGCTGGAGTGCAGTGGCACAATCTCAGCTTACTGCAACCTTCGTCTCCCAGGCTCAAGCAATCCTACCTCAGCCTCCCCAGTAGCTGGGAATACAGACACAGGACACCAAGCCCAGCTAATTTTTGTATTTTTTTTAGAGACAGGGTTTCACCGTGTTGCCCAGGCTGGTTTCAAACTCCTGAGCTTAAGTGGTCTCCCTGCCTCGGCCTCCCAAAGTGCTGGAATAACAGGCATAAGCCACTGTACCTGGCCTTATTTTTAATTTTTATTATGTAGTAATTTATATACATTGAAAAAAGGTCTGAGACACAAGAAACTGTAAGCAATATAATGGTAATAATAATGAGTAATAATAGTAATGAATAAATGTTATATATATCAGAATAAAAAGTTAAGTTGTGGAATATATTTTATATGTGTTTTCATATATGTTTCAGATATATTCTACAAACATATCTGATATATGAAAACGCAGAACAAAACATAGTCCAGAACAAAGAACTTAAATTGAGGATGGTGTAGTCAGAGTTAGAGGGTTCAGGAGGAACGCTCTGACTAGCTTCAATCTTTAGTATTAAGAGTTAAGTTAAACATCATGTCCACACATAAATGGACATACATAGTGAACCTGATGTTTAACTTAACTCTTATTACTAAAGATTGAAGCTAGGGTTTTGCACTGCAGAAGAGTACTCACT
This sequence comes from Homo sapiens, assembly GCF_000001405.40. NCBI lineage: Eukaryota > Metazoa > Chordata > Mammalia > Primates > Hominidae > Homo > Homo sapiens. The sequence goes on from NC_000007.14 coordinate 104,001,245, forward strand.
GAGGGGCAGAAGTGGCAGATGAAATCATCCTGTGTTCCACTTGCCAATCCCAGACAGAATAATATAAGAATGGAAAATTATGGGCCAAACTCAATTACTCATGTACAAAGATTTGCAAATCCTAAACAAGCCTATTGGTAAACTAAATCCAGCAAAACGTAAAAAAGGTAATACAGGATAGCAGTTTTAGGTTCATTTCATGACTAAAAAAAGTAATTTAACATTAGAAAAGTTATTACTATGATTTGCTATGTTAACAAAGGAAAAAACAATTTTAATCATTTCAACAGATATTGGAATTCAGCACCCTTTTATGATAAACTCATAGAAAAATGAAAATTGAAAGAAGATACTTTAATCTGACAAAGGATATTTATAAAAGTTCCACAGAAACATTATTCTTGCTGGCAAAACATTAAAAGCACTCCCTTTAAGATCATGAATGAGATAAGGATGTCCTCTATCACCAGTTTTATTTAATATTGTGTTATATTTAATATCCTGGTTCTAAACAGTAAAATAAGAACAGAAAAATAAAATATGTAAAGGTTGAAAAAGAACAAACTAAATTCTTAGTTGGCAGTTAGTTTCTTTCAGTTTATTGAAGATATAGTTACATTGGTTTTCATAGTTGCTGTTGAGAAGTCAGTCCTCATTTAAACTGTTGCTCATTTGAAGGTAATCTGGATCATTCTTTTTTTCTGGATCTTTAAAGAATTTCTCTTTGACTTTGAAGTTTTTCAGTGTAACTGATACTTTTTTCTGGTGCATAAAAATACAACTAGCTTTTGTAACTCACACATTACATTCACTCTCATAGCTTGTCTGTATATGTCACAAATGATATGATAACCTACATGGACAGGAAAAAATATAAAATGTAATTAAAAGAAGCAACACAAGAACTAAAATATGGCCTTTAGTAATAAATTTAAGCAAATACACGAAGTTATATATGAAAAAAATTAATACTTTTCCCAAGTTACATAAACTCTAGAAAGTGGTAAAGCCATAATTCAAACCTAGTCAGAAGTCCCCCAGCACCTAACCACTACACTATCTTGCCTTGAATGACAGAAGGGGAAACACCAGTGTCTCATATCAGTTGAAAAAATATTGCAAAGCAAATTAAAACAAGGTATCATTTCATGCCTACTAGATTGTCAAAAGTTAAAAGTCTGACCATACCAAGTATTGGTGAGGCTATGAATTAACAAAAATTCTTACACATGGCTGGTGGAATATAAGTTGTTGCAACCATGTAGAAAACAATTTTTCAATAGTAAAGTAGAAGATAGTAATTCTGCTTCTAGCTATACAACATGAAGACATGCCTGTTGACAGCAAAAGGTGATGCACAAGAATACTCAGCGACATTGCTATTAATAGCAAAAAAAAAAAAGAGAAATAATAAATATCCATTAATCAGAAAATAAATGCTCTGGTTATACAATGGAGGAAAAATTCTTGGTTTTTTAGTAGCTGAATTATGGTTTAATGTAAATATTATAAATTTCAGCTATTTCAAGTGTAGAATTCAGTGATTTTTAATAAATTTATAACATCGTGCAATATTACCACAATCCAATTTTAGAGCATTTTAATTACCGAAAAAAGTGTTATGTTTATCAAATTTATTATTTAATAAATTTACAAAGTTGTGCAATATTACATGAGATAATAAACATGAGATCCCTCATGTCCATTTTCAGTTAATCCCATCTTCCCCACCCCCATTGCCAAGAAACCACTAATTTACTTTCTGTATCTATGGATTTGCCTTTTCCAGACATTTCCTATAAATGGAATAAAATTTGTGGTCTTTTGTATCTGGCTTCTTTCATTAGCATAATAGTTTTGAAGTTCATCTGTGTTGAGGCATATATCAATAGGTAATTCCTTTTTATTGCTAAAGTGATATTTCCATGTATAGCTAGACCATTAACTTTTTGGCTATTACAAATAATACTGCCACGAACATTCATATACAAGTCTTTGTACTAGCATACATTTTTATTTGTCTTGGGTAGATACTTAAGATTTTTAGTGGAATTGCATAGGAGCAAATGTGCTTAACCTTGTTTGTGTGAAGAACCTCTCTGGCAGTCTGATGAAGTCTGTGAAACCCTTCTCAGGATAATGTTTAAAAATTTTGATGCCTAGGCTGGGCGTGGTGGCTCACGCCTGTAATCCCAGCACTTTGGGAGGCCAAGGCGGGCGGCTTACGAGGTCAGGAGATCAAGACTATCCTGGTTAACACGGTGAAACCCCGTATCTACTAAAAATACAAAAAATTAGCTGGGCGTGGTGGCAGGCACTTGTAGTCCCAGCTACTTTGGAGGCTGAGGCAGGAGAATGGCGTGAATCTGGGAGGCAGAGCTTGCAGTGAGCTGAGCATGCGCCACTGCACTCCAGCCTGGGCAACAGAGCGAGACTCCATATCAAAAAAAAAATTGATGCCTTTATATAAAATATATAGGATTACAAAGAAATTACATTGAAGCATGATTATTATCAGCATACTAAAATAGTTGTGGTACTATGGTGTTGTATTAACTCATTAAATAATAAGATATGGTAGCAAGATTAGCAACTAACAATCTCAAAGTAATAATGAGTTTAGTCCGTATTTTGAGATCTCTATATCAACCATAATGTAACATGGAAATATCTGTAATTTCGATTGGTGACAAAGTCACATATTACTATAGTTGGTTGCTTATTTTATAATTGAAGAAAATGCTAATTCTTTGTGAAATTTTAGTGAAAATCCTATTTCATAGATTTTCCTTTCTGCCAACCAGGTTCTCAAACTGTTAAAACTTGAAATGCTGTAAAAATGAATGAATGAAATGAATTTTTTTTCTTTTTTTAAATTTTATTATTATTATATTTTAAGTTTTAGGGTACATGTGCACAACGTGCAGGTTTGTTACATATGTATACAGGAAGGGGAACATCACACACCGGGGACTGTTGTGGGGTGGGGGGAGCGGGGAGGGATAGCATTAGGAGATATACCTAATGCTAAATGACGAGTTAATGGGTGAAATGAATTTTAACATGAATGAATTTTGCAAACATAATGTTTAACTTAAAAAGCAAGTTGAAAAAGAAAATATACACTCATTATATCACATACATAAAGCTTAGATACAAACTAACACTACCTGTTGTTCAGGCTTTTACACATATATAGTGAAGTATGAAGAAATGCATGGGAATAATAAACGCAAATTCAGGGTGGTAATTACTTCTAGGAGGAAAAGAGAGGGATTTGTCCAGGGAGGGATTTAGGAACTTGAACTTTACTTACAAAAATATATTTATAATACAGACCAATAAGTTTGCAAGTGTTATATTATTTTATATTTGTATATTTTATGTTTCCATTATAGTTTCATTTATATTAAATATTTCATAATATATTTTTAAAGAATGAATTAATCCTTTTAAAAATATGTAATTAAAGAAAAAGTATTGCCTTTATTTAATATCAATTATAATATTCGAATTATTAATGCCCCAAATGACTAAATATTGTGTTATACTCAAAATTATGAAATTTAAAACTAAAAAGTGAAAATACAATAACTTTATGTTATGTATTGTTCCAAGTTGAGTTGAATTATTCCCAAGAAAATTTGTGTAATTTTTGAAGCTACCTTCAATAGATTTTTAGAGATATTTAATGCTAATTCTCTTTATATTTTACTTTTCTGTTATTTGAACTCTGGACTTTTCTTAGATATCTTTTCCAGTTAATTTTTTAATTTCATTACAGTATTATTTATAGGTTAGAGCTGAAAGAACTGTTTGGTTGTAACCAATAAAGACTGTAACTCAAATTAAATTAATTTTAAAAATTTATTTATTTATTAAGATAATTGAAAAGTCCAAAGGAATTTTCAGCCATTTGGCATAACTCAGATGATGCTGCTAGGACTCCCTCCATCTCTTAGCTCCACTCTTTCCTGTAGAGACATCACTCTCAGGCAGGCTCTGTCAACATGAGAGCCCTTGGCAATTCCAGGTATAGTTTATTATTGAAGAACTGGCCGAGAGTCATCTGCTATCCTTGAACCAGACACTAGGACGGAAATGCAGATGGGCCCAGTCTGGAGCATGTCTCCTAAAGCCTAGAGTGAGTAAGTGTAGAGTCAGGCCCACGGAAACCACATGGACTGTGAGGGAGGAAGCGGTGGGTCACCAAAAGAAAATATACCAGAAGAAAAGAAAGTGAATGTTGAGCAGAACAAACAACAAATTTCCACTGCATCAGCTGAAGACTCAAAAGTCCTTCCATTGCCTAGCAGTGGAGGTTCCCTCCTGTGCCATATTGTTCTCCAGTAGCGGCAGGACGTCTGACAATACGTCTGAATGCATTCTCATGTTTAATAATGAGTGCTGATCGAGGCTGTTTTCAGAAGTCAGTCGACTTTAACTTCAAGCCAAGTCTGGGACATCGTAAAATAGAGGCCAGGACTCCCACATTTTATAAAACTTGATAGTATTAATGGTGTTTCCTGTTTGGGTCTTCAGCTTGCTACTTCCATGATAAAGTCCTACATGAATAATATATAATTCTGTAAGGCTTTCCAGTAAAGTTAAATAAAGAAGAAGGATTTGTTTAATATTGTTGGATTCAATGCTGAGTACTGACATAATGGGAAAATTATTCACAAACATTTCAGTCTTGAGAAAATACTTCCCATATTACCAATGCTTTGGCACACCTGAGCTTACAAAAGCTACAATTCATACTTTCTGAGCACATGACCTTGTTCAAGACTTCTCCACACAAAAAAATTATCTGGAAATTCAATACCTATTAGCAGTGCTCTGAAAGTCAGTTTGCTGTAACAAATAAGGATAGATAGATATCTACCCATTTTCTTTTCACAATATTCAAGGAAATTTTCTGAGAAAATGCTCTGCTTATGGGCATTCCTGCCATTGAAATAGGTAGCGAGAATTTTACTTATTCAGGATTAGACTCAGGGAGATGAATGAATATTGGTTCGCTACGTACTATTAACCTACCATATGCCAAGCATCGTGCTAGGGAATGTAAGAGTAAAGAGAGATGGTCTATGCTCTCAAAGAGTTTATAATTTAATGGAGGCAACACACAGATGGATAATTATAATATACTGTGATACATACTTTGGTAAAATAAATAATATGCATTATGGTTGAGATTGAGATTAAGCAAGAAGAAATATTGGGATGGGTTGGAAGAGGTGTTGAAAAGCCTTCACTGGGGAATATCTTACATGAGATTTGTGCTAAGTTGTAAGAACAGGTAGGAATTATCCAGGTACATGGGAGTGGTGCAGGAATGGAAAGGACAACCCAAGCAGAGTAAACAGAGACATACGCAAGCACAGTGTGTTGAGCTAACTAAAAATAGGCTTAAATGAAGTATGTATGTAGCTGAAAAGGTAGGTACTTCCTGGTAGGCCTAGAGAAAGATAGCTACTAAAAAGTATCGGTCACCCACCGAGATTTTATTTATGTAATTGTAATTTATTTTGCCTTGAAAGCATTTTACTAGGTTAATCCTTGGAGATGGGAGAGATTAGTCATCCACACCATAATGTCAAATAGTTTAATCAGTTTGCTACCCTAAAATTTGGTCTAGATGGGGTCGGCAAACTTTTTTATCTAAAATACCAGATTATAGGTATTTTTTCTCTTGCAAGCTGACTTAGTTCATTCTGCACTGCTATAACATAATACTTGAGACTGAGTAACTTATAAAGAACAGAAATTTATTTCTCACAGTTCTGGAGGCTGGGAATCTCAAGAACAAGTCACCAGTATCTGGTGTCTGGTGAGGGTCTGGTTGCTCCTTCCAAGATGGCACATTGAATGCTGCATCCTCTGGAGGGGAGGAACGCTGTTCCTCACATGGCAGAAGAGCAAAAAAGAGCAAATCTTCTCCTGCAAGCCCTTTTCATAATGGCATTATTCCAACCTAAATATTTCCCATTAGACCCCATCTCCCAAAGCTGTTCCATTGGAGATTTGGCTTTCAACATACAAACTTAGAGGAGTCAAACACATTCAAACCGTAGCACAAGCCACACAGTTTTCGTTGCAACTACTCAACTCAACACTTGTATCATGAAAGCAGCCAGAAGCAACATGTAAACAAATGGGTGTGACTGTGGTCCAATTTAACAAGAATTAAGAAAACAGGAGACTTCCCCAAGGTCTCTACTAAGTAGGAGAGCTGTGAATTAAACCAAAGGCTTTGGCTTCCTAAAATAGTGCCCCTTCCTAGCCATGCTGACCCCAGTGACAAACTCCTAACTTTGAATATCTGTCTGGGCAGCCCTTCTCCCTCAGTTTTTCCCCCAGAAGCCATATAAGAAGCTTTTCTTCCGTTTGAAAAATGATGCTGAAGAAAGAAGGGAAGCCCTGCTTGATTCATCGAGGCAGGAGGTAGAAATTCTAAACTGCTAATTGGTTCTTTTTGTTCCTGGGGTAAGCCTCCCTTTCAACTTTACATTGTCAAGCATTGGACTTTCCTCCTCATCTGCCTGGCCTGTGCGTGGCACACAGGTGTACAGGAAAGTAGTTTTGGCTGTGTGCAAGTTCCAGGAAACACTCCAAATCTGAATTTATTTTCCTCCCTTTACACCAGCCTCCAAATATGGTAAATCATAGTTAGGGTTGAAGCCTAGACATAAAGGCCTATTTAACACATTACATAGCTGGAATATAGCACTATCCCACTGCTAAAAGTTCTGTCATGTTTAGTAAATGCACAGGTCTTGGACCATGAAACTCACTCTGAGAGGCATGAAAATATTCAAGAACTGGGGATCCCAGGACTATTATTTTGGGGTGGAGTGCGGGGGAGAATAAAACTGGCTACCTAATAATTTATTTCTCTCATTCCTTTTCCATATTTGAATTTTAGAAAGTCTATAAAGCTCAGAGGGAATTTGTTCATTCCACACACTTTATGAATCCCTTTTTTGTGCACTTCCCATGTCAGAACCACACAATAAAGCAACCATTACTTGCCAATTGCATGAACTTTGGTCTCAAATGGGTCATGGGTCAGTTTCAAACAAAGCACTAAATGTGAAATGATAAGCAACTTCCATGCCTATGATATTACGAGATTTTATTTTTCACATAGTGGACACAATGGCATAGTTTTGTCTTTATTTTTCAGTTAATGACGATAATGTGGATATTGCTCAAAGTCTGGAACAGGTCTAACAATTCTGCTGAAGACGTAAACTTTTCAGCATTACACAGTTCAATAAATATGCCTTTTCTTCCTAATCATTTAATGAAAATTTTCTTGTAAATTTTCATGAATAGTAAAGGATTTCATAAGAAAAAGGCCATTGACAAAATTTGACTTATATAACGGAAAAACCTAACACATTGAAAGTTATAAAACTGGTCACTTAAGACATGGTTGCACACATTTGTGCTAATGCTACAGGTACTAATGCAAAAAGTAATAATTTTTAAAGCCTCAACTTAGTCAAACTTTCTATCATTTATATAATTCATACAATAAGTGCTAAATATCACAAGTTTGACATTTAAAAGCTAGAGAAGGTGTTTATAACAAGGTGAATACTATAGCTTTAGTATTAAGATATGTAAATGAATTTGAGCTCATGACTAAAAAGTGTTCAAATCCATCCAGTTTTGTAAATAATCAAGTGCTACAAACAGTATGACTGTAGCATTAGATTTTTGGATTGTAACCAAGTGTCTCTAACAAAATTCCCAGTCCTTTGCATGCACTGCTAACCCTCAGTGGTTCTGATTATTCTAAAGGGCTTATGAGTTTTGTTTCATGATAACCCACAAGCCTAGAATCAAATAATATAGTTCTGACCCAATTTATAAGTCTAATAACTATAGGTTATATGCTCACTTTTAAAAAATTATAATTATTTTAAAAATATAATTTTATGAATTACATAAATGATATAAATGATAGCTTGACTAAATTGAAGCCCTCACAATTATCGCCATTACTATTATTTTACCCTAATACTTGCAGCATAAGCAGTAAATGTGAGCAAACAAATCTTAACACTCACAAGTTTTATAAGTTTTAAAGTGTTAGATTTCTCATGCATAAAGCAGATTTTGTTAATGGCTTTTTAAAAAAAATAAATTATTTTAAATAAGATTCACAAAATTATTGATGACATTGTTTTTCCTTTCAGGCAAAATTGCTAGTTTAGTTCACAGAACTACTAACTGCAAGGTCAGTTTCGTTTACAACTTTTAAGTTTTACTTGTAAATATTTATTCTGAATAGCCTTTTTGAAACATTGAAGATCACAAAAATCTCCTCCTTTCATTTTATAACAATTCATAACTTATTTTAAGGTACACAAAATAATGTAAACCACTAACTGTTTGCCTTTTCTGTAAAAATAGAATTCAAGTCAAAGGTATTCATAATTGTGTTCTCTATTTGGCATGATTAAGTTCATACCTTTGGGGGTCATAGGCTGAGAAAGCTGGCAAAGTACCTATATTTTATACTATAGTGTATGACTCTTACACGTTGCACTGAAATACTCTCAGAGTTAAATATCCATGCAATTGAGATTGCCCATCAAATGTGATATATATAATACAAGGGTTGATTTCCTAACTCTCCTTTCATGAAAACACAATCCAACCCCTGCAGTGGGTGAGCCGTGATTCTTCCAAGAGCCATTTAAAGTGCCTGAGTGAGGATTTTCTCCAAGAATAGGGCAATTTGAAGGCTCCCCATGAGTTGAGGTGAGGTGAGAAATGCTTCCCAGTCAGAGAGCCCAGGGCCAGGGCATCCCACAGTAGGCACAACACACTCTTTTGCCTAAGGGATCCATGCTCTCTGACCTGGGTGGCCAAGCTGATCCTTACTCAGGGGTGACAGAGGATGGTGAGTGATGTGAGGTCAGGAGCTTTGCTTGCTGACTCCAAAACCCCAAACTTTGGAAGTCAATAAGCAGCACTTTCTGGGAACTCAGCTATGGGCTTCTGCCATAGTCCTCCCTGATTCTGTTAATCATTGAGCTCTCTTTTTCCAAATTTAAGAATGAGTCATTGCTTTAACTCTAGGGCAGCCCGATAAAGGTTCAGCATCAATGGCCTGCCCTGTGATTTCCAGGTCAAAGGAAAAGAAAAAAAGAGAGGAAAATGACAACTGCCAACTTAAGAGAGGCCTGTGAAGAGCGTTTCTGCTGAAAAATAATGCTGACCTCCAAATGACCTTCAGTACAATAGTGCTTCTGCTCAAGGATAAACTGAACCTAGGTTAAGGTCTAACATCTTAGATCTTTTCTTTTAACTGCCATATTTTGACATTTGCTAATATTTGATACGAATGGCTAATTTTGATTGGGACACCTAAGATAGAAAATCACATAGAAATCTTCCAAGATTTTGAAGGTCCTGGCTTAGTGATTACATCATCCAGTGCTTACTATTGATATGACAGGCCATGATTTGTTGACTTGGAGATATTTATTTTGTTACAGTCATTTCAAACATCCGATTGCTAGTAATTTTTGGATAGCTTGAAACCATAGTAAGTTTTTTTCTCGGCCAAGTTAGATACAAACAGGGAAATCTGAACTTAGGGAATATATCACATTCAAATACTTGATAATCAAAATAGTTTTCCTTATTATCCCAGCAGATGAAATTTTCAGAGCTCAAATCAGAGTGGAATATGTTAAAGTAGGTCAAATGTATGGTTTTTGTAGTCAGATATCTTGTTTAATTACTAATTTTTAAAAAAATACACAAAGTTGGAGTTCAGGGCCTGAGAAAGCCCCGAGGTCACATTTTACCATGAACCAGGCAAACCATATATGCTGCCCCATATCCCAATGAGCAATCCATTGCTGCTGAAATCTATTTGATAAATCGGTTATTATTGAATGATAAACTATTAAGCAGGGGTTAAGGAAACAAAAACACAGTAAGTGACATATAAGTAGATGAGTTATCAGACCAAGAATTTAATTCTAGTACAGTTTCGGGCCAAAAGTTTTACATTTTCATAATGTTTTATAACTAAGAAAGTATTTGCATATACAAGGACTCATTTTATTTAAACCTCATGATAAACTCCTGTGGCTGGTGTTACCATTTCATTCTACAGATGCAGATGGTGAAGATATAGTTTGAATCCATGTCCTTACTCAAATTTCATGTCAAATTATAATCCCCAATGTTGGAGGTAGGGCATGGTGGGGAGGTGATTGGATCATGAATGTGGTTTCTCATGAATGGTTTACCACTATCCCCTTGGTGCTGTTTTGATAGTGAGTGAGTTCTCATGAGTTGTTTAAAAGTGTGTAGCATCTACCCCTACCCCTTGCTCCTGCCATGTAAGACACCTGCTCCCACTTTGCCTCTGCCAAGAGTAAAAGCTTCCTGAGGCCTCCCCAAAAGCAGAAGCCACTAAGATTCCTGTAGCACCTGCAGAACCGTGAGCCAACTAAACCTCTTTTCCTTATAAATTACCCAGTCTCAGATGTTCCTTTATAGCAATGTGAGAACAGGCTAATATAGTGACACTCAGTGAGTTTAAGAGCATGCAATAGATATTCATTCATTCAAATAGTTATTAGTCGAGTGCCTACAATGTGCCAGGGACATGTAGTAACTAGCCAGAACCTGAACTTGGTTTGGATAACTAAACCTATTGTCGAAAACATTGTTTCAAAGAACACTAAGAAGCAGGCAGCAGCTTCCAATCTATTAAGTTTGTCACATTAGTTGACATCTCTTTGCCTCCCAGCACTGTGCCAAGCTACTTTTGACAGTCTAATGGATAGAAAGCAATGACTTTATCAACCCCTGAAATACTAATTATAGGCAAACTGTGAGATAGTGCTGAGAGGCAGCTATCCCCATCTCACCACAGGGTCTTTCTCTGTACTTGCTCTCCTCTATGACTGTCTCACCTTTTCCACTTCAACTCACTCCTATTTGAAAAGCAATCTGAAACAAAAGCAGATTCTTTCAAAAAACTTGATTAAGAAAAGGAAGAAAGAAAAATATACGTGTTTAAAATGAGAGATTTAACCACAGATGTAGGAGAGACTACATTTCTGTTGAAAAGTATATGCAACTCTATGGAAATAAAATTGAAAATTTAGAGGAAAGTGGTAAATTTCCAACAAAATATAAGTTACTAAAATTAGCCTAAGAAAGAATAAAAACCTAAACAAACCAATAAACATAGAAGATAACTAAAGCCATGCTTTGAAGAAAAGATACAGGCCCAGGTGGTGTTACAGATATATCTAGTCTTTAAAAACTGATAATTCATGTTATTTAATGTACACTAGCTTATAGAAAATACATTAATCTCCATTTTATACAATTAGAAATACCTGTTTAACAAAACCCAATAGTACAACATAGATGAAAATTTTAAATAAAATATTACCAATCTAATCCAACAATAAATGAAAAGAGCAACAATTGGAGTTTATTCTAGATACTCAAGGATAGTACAATGTTAAACATTCTTTTCAGATAGTTCATTACACCAACAAATTGAGTGTGAAAATGCATATTGTTATGACTATAACAATAGTATACAAAATGGGATGTATAAAAATTCACCATATATAATTTTTAAAACCTCTAAATAAAATAGAAGTAGAAAGTAAATAAAACAGAAGTAGAAAGAAAATATAATAGACTATTTGCCACACACCAAATTAAGAGCCAGCATCAAGCTAAACAGTAAAATGCTAATGTCATTTCTATTAAAACCAGAAACAAGGCAGAAAGCCAACATCAACATTCTCATTCAACATCATTTTAGAGCTAATGCACTAAAGAAAAAAATGAAATAATGCATACAAATATTGGAAAATATTGGAAAATGAAAAAGTTATTCCTTTTTGCAGAACGTGAGTATAGACTTAGAAATCCAAAGAGACTAATTTAATAAATTAACAGTACTAAAAAAAGAATGGATTTAAGGTAAGGTACAAAAATATTTAATTTCTGTTTATACTAGCAATAACCAATAGAATAGAATAACATAGCATATTAGAAATATCATTCACAATAGCAATAATTATGACAAAATATACATGACAAAAATATAAAATTATACTAAAGACATAAATCAAGACTTGAATGAATTGAATGTATACCGTGATCCTGAATGAGGAGCTTTAACATCATAAAATGTTACCCTTTCAAAATTAACATGTAAATTTTATTCAATTCAAATATACATATTTTGGAGTTGAGTAACATTTCAAAGGTCAACTGAAAGCATCTGAGAATAGCCAAGAAGACTCAAAAAATATTTTTATATGGGGCTAGCCTTATTAGATATTAAACCTACTTCAATGTACTGTAATAAAAGGAATAGACAATAAAATGTGGAATTAAATAGAGAGTAAAATAAAAACTATGTATATATGGGATCCTGATAAATGTCAGTGGAAAGCAGGTTTTGTTTAATATGTGATACAAGATGGGCATGGTGGTGCATGCATACCTGTAATCCCAGCTACTGAGGCTGAGGTGGAAGGATTGCTTAAACCCAGGAGTTCAAGACCAGCCTGGGGAATATAGTGAGAATCCATCTCAAAAAGAAAAATAAAGGAATAAAATAGAAAATAGAAAATACATCGTGCAAATACAGTAGGCTAGTCATGGAGAAAAAAGTTCTTAGTTTGCATAACTGTTGAGCAGAGGAAATTTTCATGCGCAAGACAGAAAACTCAGGAGCCATTAAGTAAACTAATAAATGTAGATTCTATATGACAATTTAAAAGGCTTTTAGAGCAAAATACAGTATACAAATAATACCAGTAAACAAAAAATATTGATCTACTCTGTACCAAATGCTATACTACATGTTTCACATTTATTAATTCATTTAATCCTCATTCCATTCTATGAACTAAGCATGATTTTCATTTCCACATTTCAGAAGATAAATCTACAGCCTCAGATCACACACCAATAAATAATAAACCTAAAATCTGAACCTAGACAGTCTGGCTCTAGAAACTGGGCACTACACTAAGATGCCACTCACATCATTCATTGACTTGGAAAATATATTTGCAATATATAAGACCACCAATTATACCACAAATACACAATAAATTCTATAAATTAATAATAGTAATGAAAGACAAGCAACCAATAGAAACACTGATGAAGGAGATGAATGATTAATTCACAAAACAGGAAATTCAAGTGGCCAATAATCATAAAAAATTTACCCTACTGGGCAAATACAAATAAAAGCAGTAGGCAAATTATGAAGAATGACAAAATCCAGTGCTATCAAGGATGTGGGGAAACAATCACATTCAGATATTGCTGGTGGAAATATGAGGATGAATTGTCACACTTTTAAAATCTGGCCATATGGCTGAAAATGCAGTATGTATATATACTCTTTCACTCAGCAATCTCACTTTTGAGTATGTATCTTATCCAAGTAAAAACACAAGAATGTAAGACTACAATGTAAGAATATTTATTACAACATTGTAATAAGTATTACATTGTCACAGTGTCAATTTTAAGGAATATTATATAGCTGTTAAAAAGAAAAAAGGAAGGGCTGGGCACAGTGGATCACATCTGTAATCACAACACTTTGGGAAGTTGAGGTGGAAGGATCACCTGAACCCAAGAGTTCCAGACCAGCCTGGGCAAGACAGTGAGACATAGTGAGACACTGTCTCTACAAAAAACTTAAAAATTAGCTGGCCATGGTTGTGCATGCCTATAGTACTAGCTGCTCAGGAAGCTAAGGTAGGAGGATTGCTTGAGCCCAGGAGATGGAGGCTGGAGTGAGCCATAATTGCACCACTGCATTGCAGCCTGAATGAGAAAGTGAAACCCTGTCTCTTAAAAAATAAATTAAGACATATCTATTATTTTTGGGGGAGTCCATGTATTGTTTAGCAAGAAGACAATTATCAAATAATGTATAAAATATCCTCCCATTTAGAGAAATCAGACAAAGATATTATTTGCTTTTATTGGAGCACTGAGAAAGGCTATTAATTTCATTCATATTGGTTTCCCTTGGGAGTGAAATAAAGGAGGAGAGTGTAGAGACTATTGCCCTTTCCCAGATAGATGGACAAGAGGTGGAGAGGAAGCAGTGGAGAGAGAGACAGAGAGAGAGAGAGAGAGAGAGAGAGAGAGATTGTCCTACTTGAAAAACAAAATCTGAAAGTAAATGCTTTGATATGCAAAGAAAATTCCTGGAAAATTCACAAGAATGTGCTTTGATATGCAAAGAAAATTTCTGGAAGATACACAAGAATGGAGTGGAATTAGAGAATGAGTAAGGGAATGAAACTTCTCTTAATACCCCTTTGTTTTGTCTTGGTTGAATTTGGTTTTTGAACAAGGAACACTTATTTATTCATCGTTTAAAATCTGGCAAACTAATTCTAATGGTTGAAAGTAGCTTAATGTCACCTTTCAAGGAATATTTAAATTTTAATGAACAACTCTGAACTCTGAAGAATCAGTCTATTTCTAATAGATCATCAGGGCCATTTAGAGAGGAACTCCTCAAGACACACCATATGGACCTACTAAGTTGGTCTGCCTACTCACATTGTTTTCAAATATTTCTTGTCAAACATACAGAACTTCAGTTCGTAAAAGCTTTTGCTCTCAGGATTTCATGGAAGCTAGGAAGGTTATATTTAATATTGGGATAATAATCCATGAAATGTGGAGATTGGTAAATGTATCATGTATGTCTGTTAACACTATTCATATTGCCTCGCTACAGATCATTTTTTGTATCAGGCTGATTCACAGATCAGAAAGAAACACAAATCTCTATGTGTGGTTTTGTTGTCAAACCTATTTGTTGTGTATCAGTCTCAAGGAAACTTAAAGTTGGAGATTGTATTTCACGAAGATAGATATTATTAAGAGCTATTTGTAACTATCTGATTTTAAGTTACCAGTAGAAGGTAGACCTTGATCACATAAAGCAACAGATGGTAACATTAAGAAAATAAATATTCTGCTGTTAATGCTTATAGGCAACTTCAGCAGGTGAAAATTATAATAATTAATAAAAGAAGAAATCACTTGCATAAGTCAATGTTATAATATCACAACTGGCTGGATATGGGGGAGCACAAAGCAACACTTAAAAGTTATTATTTAGAGGTCCTGAAATTCAATTTTTCTCTTTGCATTGTCTTAATAAATCACACATCAAATAATACAGTTGAAAGAAAAAAATTCAATGAAATGAGAGTTGAATGCCAGGTTGAGTAGAAAATTTTAATTGGAGAATAATCGTCCTTACAGACACAGAAGACACTTATAGGTGAAGTTATCACTTTCTTTTTCTCTCCCATCTCAACTCCTAAAATGAAGTGATAATTACTTTAAAAGCAAAATGGTTCTGGATACATTGATAGGTATTTTTTCCCCAAAGACTATAAGTAGCAAATTTTAACACTTGATGAATCATGTTATTTCTCATCTCAATTAACAAACTATAATAGTTAGCAAAAAAATCTCCTGCGAGCTATTCATTTATCTCAGTACAAAATGTTTGAGGTTGAAATCTGGCCCAGAAAATGGAGCAGAAAGATTAGGAAATGGAAATCATGTAACTGTCATCGTGAGTAATATTCTGTTCTTCTGGACCTGAAACATAGCATTTGCACTAGAAATGCCTATACTTCCTTCTCAAGAAAAAAAAAGAAATCATCAAAACCTTAGAAACATAAATAAAAAATAGACAAACATTGAGTCTTCTAAATGAACTCATTGTGAGAGAGTTTTTATAACAAAAATGAAAAAAATATACTACATCAGGGTTTTTACAGAAATAGAATAAACACTTGCAACATTCATAGAACAGACAGAAGATAATTGTGGTCAATTATATTATACTCCTACTCCTGCGAAAATATCGCACAGTCCAGGAAATGAGCTCTGAGATCCTTCCTGTATGTGGTAATATGTCCCAGGGAGCCTTATTGTCTATCAGATTCCCTGTTTTCACACAGTGGATATGTGTTTTTATTGATTTTTATGTACCACACCTTCTGTTCCACAATGGAGTTAAGATAGCTTAAAGAGATATATAAAGTGCAGTAGAACCTCATAAATTAAAACTTTGAGCATAGATGAAAAAATATGGATAGAAACGTAAATGGAGGCCAAAAAAGATACACTATAGTAGTCATGCTCTAGCTGTTGGTGAGCCACAGAATTTGGTGCTAAGCTTTCTAGCAGTGACAGAGAAAAGGAAGACATCAAACTCTAGCATATTTTTGGAAAAGGAAAAAACCCTGATGAACCTTGAGTGTTGGTTTAAATTATTCTGTTTTTAATAGAAGCAAAAGTATAATAGTAGTTAGTGGAGATCTAATAGAGTGCTTACTAGAATTCCAGATACTTTTCTTAGTACATTACATACACCAAATCATTTAATCTTCACAAAATCTAATTAAGTAGATAATCCTATTACCTCCTTTTTGTAGATTAGAAAGCCGAGAAACAAAGAGTTATATAACTTGCCCAAGATCATGCATCAACATATAAGATGTTATTCAATGTGTACTTAGCTAAGCAAGGTATAAACTCTATGTGGTTATAGCTTTTATGTATTCACCTATATGAAACAAATTTGATGGCATATAAGCAAAACTACAAAAACAAGGCAAGCTAATAACCTTAATTTTACATGATAAATGGTGTTGTTTGAAACTAAGTCCTGCTTGCACTTAGTATAGAATTGAGTGCTGAGATGAAAGTTCATTCAAGTTTAGCGTGCTACAATTTGATGACTCAATTCTCCCTCCATTTTTCTCTAATTAAACTACTGAGACACCTAGTTCATATGGCCTGTTGAGATACTGTTTGGCTTTCCTTTGGTGAGAAGACATCCTCAATCTATCAAGCCCACCAGTGTTCTTTTCCTTTTACCTGGCAACAAATCAAGAAGTATCACTTGATATCAACTCTACTGGAAGCACAAACATGAACTCAGACAGTGAAACTGTGGACCAGTTTTAATTATAAGATGCAAATGATCAAAATATGCTTATATTAATTTGTTTTCTAGAATATCACTTAAAAACACAAAATTTATGTCTTCTTGTGAATAACTCTACTTTCCTTTTTTGGGAAATACTTTATGGAGAAACAATTTATAATGTTCTTCATTTTAAAAAATAAATTACTCAAGTATTACTAATCTTCATACTAGAAGACAGTTATTTCTCATGGGACAAAGGAATATAAGGAGGACAGTGTCAAATTAACTACATTAATGATGGCTTTGGCAACCATCTTATGAAAAAAGACAAGTATTTGAAAATATAATGATGACATCACCCCAACAATCAACTCAGTAAGAGTAACCCTGATGATCTGGTTTTATTTGGGGGTATTTTGAAGCAGGGGAAACAAAGCGTTAGGGAAAGAAGTTTGTGGCAATAAACTCAAAGATGTCAAATACCTCATTTCAGCTATTACATCTTGGCTTCCACATAGTCTTCAATAGCAAGAAGGTCTTCTATAGAAAGCTAAAGAGCCAAATAGGAACTTGAACCTGAATAGACATGTTCCCTTTCACTCACAGGTTGAGAGAAGAATATTCTTTGGAAGTGTACCTCTAAGAATGTTTACTTGTATGATGTCTTTAAGCTTGGAAATCAACAAGATCTTAAAGATTCATTATGATTTCCATTTGTTTCCATTTTCAGTACTGTTACCCATTAGAATGTTTTAAAACTTAAGCATCATAAAATGTATTATCTCATATAATAAAAAGTCCAATGTTGGTGTGGCTTCCACAGTGACTGATTTAGCAGCTCAAGGAAGTCCAGGCCCCATATCTTTCTATCTCATTGCTTTCCTTCCATAGTGTGGACATTTTCCCCACAAGTTTCCCCCAAAAGTCAGGAGTATCATTGCTAGTAGTGAGAAAGTACATTATTCCTCATTCATATCCAGCAGACAACAAATGAGTTTCTCCACCAATTATACAATAAAACTCCTTTAGTCTGATTGGCTAATCATAGGCCCCATTGCCAACAGAATTCCTGAGCTAATTGCTTAAACCATGTTACCTAACCAATCCAAGCAAGAGACATGAGATTACCATGATTGCCATAGACTAGTCAGAGCCCAACCGAGAAACTGGAGCTGGCATCACCTTCCCCTAAGTCAATTGGGCTGCACTTTGTGGATGCCTGCATAAAATTAGAGTTCCAGTCTGGAGGGGAAAGTGGGGATAGGATGCTGAGTAAGCTATCAACAAATCTAGCAATAAAAGCTTTTCCTAAGAATGTTACAGGAAAACATTTTGAATTGTGCCCTTATATCTCTTGTATGGGCTATATGGGGGCAGTAGTGGCTCAGAACTCAGTGAAATTCTTGCATGTTGTAGTGAGGGCCACTTCTCTGTGGTGTTTATTTCTTTAAGGGTCAAACATCATTTATTGTTCATATATTCTAATAAGTATTTTTATCAATTAAAACCACTGCTGCTTGGTGTCAACTACATAGAAATAATAACTTGTTCCTTTAATTAGTATCTCATTATAGGGTCTTTCTGTTCCATTACTTCAGTGACAGGATGATTTGAGCTAGCAAGAACAGTTTATTTGAGGACCATATCTTCCTTACCAACCAATTGCCAGCTATGTGCTATAGAATGGGTACACAGGCAACAGTTATTTCTATGTATTTGTTTCACATTCTATGAATTCATTCCATACAAAGCAGCATGGTTAACGTTAAACCCAGTAGAAAGATAAGCTAATAAACATGCCAACATGTTAATCAGTAAGATTCTTGGATGAGTTAGTCCCTGAGCTGGATTTGAATGAAAGAGCAAGAGAGAGAGGGAAGGTATTCCAGACAAGCAGGCTCCTGTGGACAAAGGAAGAAGGCAGGGTGGTGACTCTCTGGGAAGAGAGCAGTGGATAGGAGGATTGAAGAGAAGACCATGGGATTAATTCACCAATAACTTAGGTTGGAATCTGAATTAGTGGAGAAGGAGAAGCCTAATGAAAGATAGAGGAATAAAATGAACATTTGTTGGATATCTGCACTAGATGCTATGTTGGGTGTTTCACACATTCATTCATTCACTCATTTAGACGAACTCTCGCCCAGGCTGGAGGGCAGTGGCATGATCTCAGCTCACTGCAACCTCCACCTCCCAACTTCAAGCAATTCTTTTGCCTCAGCCTCCCTAGTAGCTGAGACTACAGGTGCCCATCACCACGGCTGGATAATTTTTTTGTATTTTTAGTAGAGACGGGGTTCCACCATGTTGGCCAGACTGGGCTTGAACTCCTGACCTTAAGTGATCTGCCTGCTTCAGCCTCCCAAAGTGCTGAGATTACAGGCATGAGCCACTGTGCCTGCCCTATATATTTATCTTATTTAATCTTCACAAGAATCTAGCAAAGTAAGTATGATCATTATCATTTTCTTTCTATGGGTAAGGATCAAAGAAGTTAAGTAAATTGTCCATGATCACACAACTAGTGATGGGCAGAAGAATTTTAATCCAAGTCTGTTTACTCCAGATCTTGATCTTTTCCCATGGCCTGGTATTATCTCTTGTTGGAGGAGAGAATGCTCTAATAAGAATCTTAGCATTCAGAATTGACCACAATCTGTAGAAGGAGGACCTGAGAAAGGGTACTGCAGTCATCTAAAAGCAAGGTGGGTGGGGGGTGGTGGCAGACAAAGTGTATATGAAACACTTGATTATGGAGATGTAGGTGGGATAATGTATAGTTACAATCAATTAACTATGGGAGACAAAGAATTCTACAGTAAACCCAGCATCTGTGCTAGGTTACTTGGTGAAATGGCTCTGCTTCCAACCAAAATACAGAAGATAAAACATCAGAACTTGATGGTCCTTGGACCAAGGATAGTAATTCAGCCAAGAAACATTGGAAAGGTATTTTTATATGTAGATGTGTGGGTAATATTCTACAGGCCTCTCATTTCAGAACAGACATATTTCAAATTTTCATAAGGTGTACTTAGGATTCAACTCACTTGGAATTTGTTCTAATTTTGAAAAGGGTTGAGTTAAATTTTCCTTTTTCTTTTATGTATTAATGACATAAGGAATATATTTTAAAATCCATATCATACTCTAAAGTTTAGCATCTAAACAAAGCCAGTATTGCTTAAGGTCAATAGATAAAAAAAAAAAAAACTAGACAATGACTATCCATATACAAATATAATTTATAATAGCACTTCACGAAATAGCCAGTTTTTCTGGTCAACTTTAAATACATATTCAGTATGTATTCTAAAGTCTCATCTTCTTTTGATTGCATATGTTATAATTGAGGTTTGTTTATAGGTCTCAATAGGGGATTTCAGAGCAGAGAACTTCATTTGGGATTTAAGAGGTGCATGGTAAATGTTTGTTGAATGGCAGTGATGGCAGTGGTGGGCCATCTGGAGCAGCCACTGCCATCATGCCAGCTGCAGCAGGGAGGCACACCAGGGGCTGTATGCTGCATGGAGCCAGCAGGAGCTGGGGACAAGAGGGGACCCCACCCCTTCCAAGATGGGGCAGTAGCTTCCTGGGTGCCACTGCAGCTGCCCAACCCATGGCTGCAAATCCAGGCATCCCTGAGCCTCAGGGCCCAGAAGCAGGTGAGAGCCCTGCCCTCCTGGGCACAACTGCAGCTGCCCAAACTGTGACTGCAGAGCCAGGCCTCCCACTGTATGGAGCAGGCACCCTCCCCTGAGCACAGCTGCAGCCACCCAAACCACAACTGTGGACCCAGGCATCTCTGCACTCTGGGGGACCCAGGAGGGCCCCCCTGCCCTTCTAGGCTTGCAAATGCCTGCTCCCACTGCCTGGCTTCTCCCTGCTGTCAATGCCTGCTCTGATCTTGGAGCAAAGTCAGGGCAGAGCCTGGGTACTGTTGCAGCCTGGCCAGGTGTGCACATGCTTGGAGCAGTGCTGACCCGCCAGCCCCTTGCAGCCTCAGGCCCCTCCAGACTTTGGGTGCTGACAAGCGTAGGAGGGAAGCTGAGGTGGGGCTGAGGGCAGCTTGGTGCTGGCCTGCAGGTGAACCTTGGCACCTACAGTTTGGGCACCATGAATGGCAGCAGGAGGCAGACACGTTCCTAGGCAGAAGGGGGCCAGTCCCTGGTGAGGCACCACCTTCAGGCCAGGGAAGGCCTGAAGGCTGGGGGCCAGGCTACCAGACCTGCGGACCTGAATGGGAACTTGTGGTGCCTTTTCTGGTCCTATCCATGGCCACCCATGGACCAATCAGTGTGCACTTTCTCCCCTCTAGGGCCCATAAAAGCCCTGGGCTCAGCCAGAGCTGAGCTGGTATCAGGATGACCAGCTGCAGGGAGGATCAATCAACTCTAAGGCCTCCTCTCTGCTGGGAATGCAGAGATGACGGGGTGACCTGCCTGCAGAGAGGAGCCACCCACTCAAGGGCCTCCTCTCTGCTGATAGCTGAACACTTGTTAGGACAACGTATCTTGCAGAGAGGAGCTACCCTCATCAGGACATCCTGGCTGCAGAAAGGAGCTACCCCCCTGTGGGTTTCCTCTGAACTGTTCTATTGCTCAATAAAGCTCCTCTTCATCTTGCTCACCCTCCACTTGTCTGCATACCTCATTCTTCCTGGTTGTAGGACAAGAACTCGGGACCCACCGAATGGTGAGGCTAAAAGAGCTGTAACGCAAACATGGCTGAGACATCCCCCTTGCTCTCCATGTTGCGGACGAAGAGAAGGAAAGAAGAGTTGTGACCCTTTGGGGATCCCAGACCTGGGAGTTCCCCAAGCCAGGCTATGACTCCTCCCTCTTTGGGGCCCTGCAGTTCCTGGCATCTCCAATCTTCCAGGAGCCACTGTGTTCCCTGGTGCCAGCTGTGGAAGCTGCTTGCAGTGCAAGTGGTTCAGTCACAGCCTTGCAGAGAGCCCGCACCTGTGCTGGCTCCTGGAGCAGCCTGCCCTGCTCCAGCAGGTGGCATGTCTGACTGCACAGTGGCCAGACTCCATGCTCCCTCACACACTCCTCACAGTTCCAGGCCTGACTCACCCTTGGCAGGTGTGGGACCCAGGCCGGTAGCATGAGCCCAGCGCAGCCTGCCAGGCCAAGTGGGCAAAACACAAGCCCCACAGGCCCAAGCAAAACTTGGGCAAAGGCATCTCCAGCCACAGAGGTTTCTGGCCAGAAAAATTGACACCCCAAAGATCCCATAACAGTAGCTTGTTTCTTAAATGCAAATTTGACATTTTATATTAGTCTTTTGGAAAGGAAAGAGCTCCTGGCTTCTCTGCTTTTTTGCTGCTTATTTACTGCATAACTTCAGCAAGTTATGCTTATTGGCTGCATAACTTCAAGAAAGTTCTTTAACATCCTGAGGGTTGTCAGTGATGCTTACCGAACAGCATTGCTGTGAAGATCAAACATAGCAGTAAATGCAAAATCACCATATAAATATTTTTATTGAGAAAATTAAGTAGGCTAAACATGGTGGCTCACACCTGTAATCCCAGCACTTTGTGAAGCTGAGGCAGATGGCTCACTTGAGCTCAGGAGTTTGAGACCAGCCTGGTCAACATGGGGAAACCTAATTTCAACAAAAAAATTTAAAAAATTAGCCAGGCATGGTGGCGTGTGCCTGTAGACCCAGCTACTGGGGGGCTGAAGTGGGAGGATCACTTGAGTCTGGGAGGTCAAGGCTGAAGTGAGCTGTTTGCACCACTGCACTCCAGCCTGGGTGACAGAGCAAGACCCTGTCTCAGGAAAAAAAAAAAAAGAAGAAAGAAAGAAAGAAAGAAAGAAAGAAAGAAAGAAAGAAAGAAAGAAAGAAAGAAAGAAAGAAAGAAAGAAAGAAACAGAAAAAAAGAAATAAGCAAACAAACAAAATTAAGTTACAACTGTGAATTATTTTAGCTAGAATGCTGTTGAGCACCTTTGCCACAGCAGTAAGGCAAACCATCATCCCTTAATATGAGTATTTGATGCAAGTGAATGACCTTTAGTTTTCTGCAGCACATCCACTCTGTACAACTCAAATCAGTGATCGTATGACAACTCCCAAATGTCTTAAGTAAGTTTTGGACTAAAAACAAATATTGACGTTAAGTGTGTAAGATGTCGGAGAGGAATCCATTGGGGAAAAAGCTGGAGAGCACACACAGAAAAGAATGATGAGGGTAGCTAACGGCTACAGTTAGCTTGGAATTTTGATGGTAGGAGGGAATAAAAAATTCCAGTCTCAGCTTGGAATTTTGATGGTAGGAGGGAATAAAAAGAATCAGAAAGGCCATAAGTTTGGAACATCCATCAATAGTTTCTACAATGGTTCTAAAAATGTGATTCCCTTAGACACAGATGCTTTTTCAAACCTACACTCCTCTCAGGTGCAATGCAAAAAAAGTATTTTTAGGTATTGTCTATAAAAGCTACTATGGTGCTGGAGAACAAAAAGTAAATACAGAATTAGCTCCAAGGTCAATGTTGTTTTCATATAGCTCTAGGCCATACTACAAAATCTCTACCCATGACCTTGCCCTGAATCCTGACCAATGGACACAGCAGAAAAGAAAAAAAAGATAGGAGGATGAATCAGAACCTTTGGTTGCCATCGTCCTGAAATTGCTAGCCATTCACAAATAAAGTGGGCAACAAATTAGGCCCAGCTACTCAGGAGGCTGAAGTGGGAGGATCCCTTGAGCCCAGGAGTTCAAAGCCAGCGTGGGAAACTTAGTGAGACTCTTTTAAGAAAAAAAAAATTTTTTTTTCAAAAAAAAATCAAGTTTAAAATGCAAATGGAATCTAGAGATTTTATTGAATATTAGAACGGCTCGCTGAAGTATTATTGGGCTTTAAAGGCTTCACTGAAGGGCTCCCTCTCTTTTCGTCCTCCACTCCCAGGATGGTTATTCTACCTGTCAATTCTTTCGGAAAGGAAATAGAATAGAGTAGCTGTTAAGAGCTCAAGTCCTGGAATCATACAATCATAGGATTGAATCCAAGTGCAACTGCCTACTAGCTGGGTGGTCCTCAGGACATTATTCAACCTCTGTGTCTCAGTTTCCTCATCCTAAAAAAGACACAATATTACCTGCCTCATAGAATTATTGAGAGTGTTGCTGAGCTCAGTGCTTGACAAAGATTCAGTAAATGTGACCCATTCACATTCAACACATTCCTTGTTAACAGAGTAGGAAATTAAGGGGCTGCTAGCTTAGGGAAAAAAATGTCTTGAAATGGTACACCAGCATCTTGGGCACAAAGGAAAGATGTACTGTGGACTCCTAGTAAGAGTGAATACTGGATGGCTTATTGGAAGTGAATATAGAAAGTGACAGCCCCACCATTACCAAGGAAGGGCAGAAAGGATGCAGTCTGCCCATAGCCGTCCTTGTTTGAATGGATATTTGTGTGAGCAACAGATTAAGGTTTAACGTTTTTGCTTTTAACTTTTAAAGCTCTTGAAGACCCGCTTCCAAGTGAGCTTTAGGAACTCTGAGCCAGCGCTTGCCTTCAGGGGCTTTGAGGAAATGGAGCTTTGGACTTTGGGGCTTAGTAGAACATTAAAAGGATTGTACATCTCTTTCCTTACGTAGCTCCCAAGCAGGGAAGATCATTGCTCATTTTAAAAAGCTTTCGTTTTTCAGGGGCCCTTGGCACCTCAGATTCATTTTATATCTGAGTTTATAGCTGTTATTTATAATTTTTTGGTGGTCTACATTTATCTTCTTTATGGTTTTTTTTTTTTTTTGGTCTCTCTTTTCAAGTATTGTTTTTTAGAGAATGCACTTTGGGTTTAGAACCCAGCTAATATGCAAAAATGACCACTGTGAGGTTTTGAAACGGATGGATAACAGATCGGTAGATTACTTTTAAAACTCTTTTACAAGATGATTTTTAAAACTATTTTTTAAAGTTAAGGATACCACTTTACAATATATAGTCATTTAACACATGTAATTTAAGAAACGGCAACATGGGGGATGCTTTTCAAGCCTTTTATCTGAGGCTCTCTGAATTAGTTTTTTTTGTGGTGAACCCACCTGTCCAATGTATTATGTAGAAAACTGAGGTTCCAAGAGGCTTAACAGAATCACTTAAGGTCTTTAATAAATTGTAGCCAATCCAGACATAGAGTTCAGGACCCTTGACCAGTGCAGGATCCTATATGTTCATCAGAATGACTTAGAAGCTTTTCAGAATTGAAGGCTTTCCCATCCTTACCTGCTAGAGTCCATTTCAGGAATGTGGGAAGATATCCAGGAATATTCCTTTTTATACATACTGCATTTAATAATCCTTAAGTCTGGTAGTCCCTGAATCACACTTTGAAAACCACATCTTCAAATCCAATTCAGAGCCCTAAAACAGTGAGCCCCAAACTTTTTGGTTATAGGAAACAGTTAAACTTTAAAAATTTATCTAGGATCTCAAAAAGTTTTTGTTTTGATAGGTCATGTCTATCAATATGTATTGTACTAAAATTTTTAAATGGGATGTTTTAAAAATATTTATGGCTGGACGTGGTGGCTCACGCCTATAATCCCAGCACTTTGGGAGGCTGAGGCAGGTGGATCATGAGGTCAGGAGTTTGAGACCAGCCTGACCAACATGGTGAAACCCCGTTTCTACTAAAAATAAAAACATTAGCCAGGCATGGTGGCAGGTGCCTGTGATCCCAGCTACTCGGGGGGCTGAGGCAGGAGAATCGCTTGAACCCGGGAGGCAGAGGTTTCAGTGAGCCGAGATCATGCTACTGCACTCCAGCCTGGGCAACAAGAGTGACTCCATCTCAAAAAATTAAATAAATAAATAAATTTACTTATACACTCATAAAAATAAGAAACCTATTGTATGTTAATATAATAACACATTGGTTATAAAATAACTATATTTTCTAAGATAAAAAATATGTAGTGGTATAATTTTAGATTTTTCCAAATCTCTTTAATGTCTGGCTTACTAGAAGGCAGCTGGATTCTCATATCTTCTTCTGCATTCAATCCGTTGCAATCTGTTGGTTTGGGCTAATGTATATGAAGAAATCTAGCCTCACACAGATAGTTAGTTGGAAAAGAAGGGACTATTTTAATAACCTTTTTACATAATTGTGGGTATTCTTTTTTGCTATTACATCAAAACTCAAGTTTCTTAAAGATTCATTACAATGTAGAATTTGAAACCATGTGGATTAACTTTTCATATTCTGTCACATTAAAATTCATGGTTTGCTTCCATTTTGAATAATCTTTTACCTGTTCTTGATTTTGTAATATCATATGTTAGTCATTTGGAAAATAATGTTTCATTGAGGTAAGCAGATCTTCCACATTTTGGCATATTTCACTACACAATATTTTAAAACTCATACTCATTACTATTACCTGAAAAAGGCACCAAATATTGAGAAGTTATCAAGCTAATAGTGGCAAATATAAACTTTCCAAAATTCGAATTTTCACTCGAAAGCTCGAACTTTATCATTGGCAACAAATATCTAATAGTTTTTTTTTTCTTCTTATGACAGGCTTACTTGGTTAAGTTTGGAAAGGTTGAAAAGGCATATTTCATATGTCCATTGTTCTTTCAAATTAAAAGTGTTCCATTAAAAAAAAAAAGCAGCTGGTTTAGTCTGCAACCCAAACACTTGCACTATTGCTTGACCTTGAGGCAACTGTTGGCCTCTGGTGCTTTCTCAGCACTTCCCATTTCTCATACAGATTACAATGACATGTTCTCAAAGGTGGAGATTTCATAGAGTTAATCACTTGTATTGCTTTACCAGGGACACTCTTAAATGAAACTAGGTTTTGTTTGTTTGTTTGCTTAACTGCAAATGCAGGATGGTGAGGAACACAATGACTACTAGTGCAATTTGGTGCCACTGCCTTAATCTGTGCTAAGGGGCCAGCAGTTTGCTTTTGCCCTTACAAGGCAAACGTCAACACTGAGACAAAGGCAAATAATGTCCTACGATTTTTATAAACCAGTTTTGATCTTGCAGGTCTTCTGGAAAGGTCCCCAGGACTCCCAGAGTTTGTGGACCACATTTTGAAAAAAACACTGCTCTAAAAAACCAGCTTGCTATGATTTTAATGTAATTCAGACTGGAAAACAAAACACATAATTTAGCAGGATGTCCTCATTGTTATTGGCTTATCCTCCCCTAGAGAAGGGACACAAATGAGTAGAATTAATTAACTCATCATTCTTTTCAAACCATCTTAAAAAATCAGTTGTCTTTATAGAGCTTAGCAAGCTGGGAAGTATGCAGTATGAGATAAGAACTCATCACCATTTATAGAGTGGATGATAACCCCAGTGTAAAATAATTACAATGTTTGGAGAATCCATAACTTATTTTAATCTTGGCCCAATACCAAATCAGGATTTTAAAAGCATTTAGGAGAAGTTTAGGTGATGGTGGCTCTTGGGACTCTTTCATCACAAAGGAAAACATATTCCTTAGCTAGGCATACTTTGTATACCATTAGCAACACAGAAAAAAAAAACCCTCCACCCAACCATAGACATAGTGTTATGAATGTTGGGGGCTGAGGGAATTGCTATTGAAAAGATAACAATGGCATGGGGGAAGTAAAAATGAATTTCTCTTTGCCCCTTAGGCATTCATCTGTCAATGATTGGATGTTACCTTTGTATGCCTTTCTCCCTTCAGGCACAAAGATGGAATGATGCTTGGAACTCCGAGTAAAATTTGAATAGGCTAGACATCTGCCTTCTGGCTATAACTTTCTATACAGCCAAAGCAGCTAAGAGCCTTAAAGTCCCTTCCATCTGACACAATTTGCCATAACTAGGAAACTTTAATGTATACTTTAGAAATTTAGAGACATTGAATGACTTTGCAATTAGTTTTCAGTTATTGCCTTCAGTCTGTTGGGCACTGGTTTGGAGAGACAGTAAGAGCCCTGGGTGCCAGTGTTTTCTCATCTCCTCATTAACTAGTTGTATGACCTTTAGCAAAGGACTCCATTCTCTCATCTCATATGTATAATGAGGGGGCCTAGATTTGAGAACACACAATATCTTGCAGTTGGAAGATATTTGGAGAATTGTTATCTAATTCAATTATCTCTTTTAGAACGAAAATAGCCACTACTAATTTACCACTTACTACATCCAAGTTTTATCCTAAGTCTTTTGTATATGTGAACTCAATCATGAGCCTTATGAGGGAGACATTTATTGATATTAGTAAGTTTTGCTATAACATGATATATTGGTTCCCCGAAATCACTGCTCTATGCAAAATCATGCAATAAAACACAGGTCTTATAAGGAAATGGAGCTGGGGTATGATACTAAAAAATTTAAATGGTACTTTTTTTAAAAGATAGATACCTAATAAAAATGGTGAAATATTTAAGCAATACATAATGACTACAAAAAACCTGAAGCTTCCTTGTGGAGGTAAGCATCTGCACTCCCACTGGCCTGCCCACTTGCCACATGAGGGAAGAAGATTTAGGGGCCAAAAAAGGAAAGTGATGTACAGAAAATGGAACTGAGGTGCAGAAACAGTGGAACTGGTTACACGTCTACAATTTGCCTTATTTAAACTCGGTTTGAATTTATTTGAACAGTCAACTGCCTTTGATTGGCTGAAACTCAGTGGTTGGCACAAGAGTGAGTTACAGTCTGTTTACACATCCAGTTAGGTTACAGTCCACTGTGTAGGGAGAAACCTGTAAAATATGTAAACAGGCAGGTTTAGGCTAAACTTAACAATTCTCCACTATTAGTCAACCTCTCAATTGAGAGACTGACCAAAACTTTAGGCATTGGTGTCACTCTGTCACCTTTGTAAAGGTACTTATTTGGTTTCAAATCCCACTGAGAAATATCAGAACAGTGGGTTTTGTAAGGCAGGAACAAAGATTTCAGGTTATTATTATTTTTTAAATGTTAGAGTAGGGGGGACTTTTTGTGCTGGAATCTCAGGAGAAAGACAAAACCTGGTCTGTTTTAGGATCTGTTTCCTTAAAGTTTCAGTTTGATTATGTTGCATTTAGCCTAAGTGACTCCATTTTGGTTTGGTCTGGTCTGTTGGGGCCTAGGGCTTGAGCTCAGTCCAAAACAATGGCTTCTCACAATTTTGTTTAAAATTACACTTTGATCAGAGTCTCACTTAGGTGAATGATATGGTTTGGCTGTGTCACCAACCAAATCTCATCTTGAATTGTAGTTCCCAAAATTCTTATGTGTTGTGGGAAGGACCTGACCTGAGGTAATTGAATCATGGAGGTGGTTACCCCCATGCTGTTTTTGTGAAAGTGAATGAGTTATCTTGAGATCTGATGGTTTTTTTTTTTTTTTTTTGAGACGGAGTCTTGATCTTTCACCCAGGCCGGACTGCAGTGGCGCTATCTCGGCTCACTGTAAGCTCCGCCTCCCGGGTTCACGCCATTCTCCCGCCTCAGCCTCCTGAGTAGCTGGGACTACAGTCGCCCACCACTGCGCCCGGCTATTTTTTTGTATTTTTAGTAGAGATGGGTTTTCACCGTATTAGCCAGGATAGTCTTGATCTCCTGACCTTGTGATCCGCCCGCCTCGGCCTCCCAAAGTGCTGGGATTACAGGCGTGAGCCACTGCGCCCGGCCAATATCTGATGGTTTTATAAGGGGCTTTTCCCCCTTTGCTTGGCACTTCTCCTTCCTGCCACCATGTGAGGAAGGACGTGTTTGCTTCCCCTTTGCCTTCTGCCATGATTATAAGTTTCCTGAGGCCTCCCCAGCCATGCTGAACTGTGAGTCAATTAAACCTCTTTCCTTCATAAATTACCCAGTCTCAGGCATGTCTTTCTTAGCAGCATGAGAATGGACTGATACAGTGAGAATGTGAATAAAACTTAGGGCCTTAGCACAACTCTCAGTTAACATCATTTTGGATTTCCAGTCTCAGCATGTCATTCATAGGTTACAGTATCTTCACGTTCATACATTCCTTTGAGTTTTTGTCAGTCCAGTTGAAGAGAGACCATTTAACATTCTAGATATGGCTGCATGTAAACATTTAAAACTTTTGAGAGAATTCAGCGCACCAGGGAGACTACTATTACGACTATCAGGAGGATAATACCAAGAGTTTAAGAGTGTCCTCCTTAGAGTCTCCATGAACGAAATGAATTAAAATCAAACAGATCAAAGAATGAGCTACAGGAAGAGTCTTCATTTCAACCAAGCAGCCTGTTTATTAATCCCCTACAATGGAATCTCTACAATACCCATTGTATTCCTCCATGTACAAGAAGTGTCAACAACTACAGATATTTCTCTGTTTGGCCAGTTAGTAATCTAGAGCAATTCTATTATTTAGCACATTAGCAAGATAATTTAGTCTGTTGTGCAACCACAGCCTTTACAGTAGAATCTGCTACAGAGCCTAGAATGAGAGATAAATTTCTAATCATTGCCTCATTTACTCCAAATCATGAAAGAAAGAGACCTAACAAATGATGCCCTTCCAGAATAGTGAATGCCTCCTGGAAGTATTCTCTTTAACCTATGATCTAGGTTAGGAGAAGTAGACCAATGTTCTGTTTGTGACTGATTATGAAGCAACAATATACCTCACATTTGCCCTTCATCTTCCATCTGTCAAGGCATGAGATTGTCCATGTGTAAAGCTGGCTGCAGAATCCTTCACAAATAAAAATATACCTCATGATTGCACATAACAGACTCTTTTTTACTTCTACTTTTCATAGAGGCATAAGCAGGGGAAAAATGGAGAGATAAGAATCTCGTGATAGCAGAGGTCTTGATCCCTGATCTTGGAAAAAAAGCTGTCTATGTCTGGGATGCTGTCTGCTTCTGGAGATAAACGTCCCTGATTAGCTTTACCTTACCATCTCCAAGGGGTATACAGTTCTAAGAGTCTGGAGGGGTCCTTCTGAGTTGTGAGATTATGAACCCAAGGTCCAAGGTGCCAAAGTTTTGCTGAAGTATGAGTGGCAAGGGCGGTCTTTCTCTGATGTTCTCAGAATCTCCAGGTTCTAGATTGTGAAGGGTTTGATTGTTCTCAGTCAGTGGACCATGAAAAGCTTTATTTGCCTGGTGGAAATATAGTTTGGCATAATTCATAATAATATATTTGGCATAGTGCATTAAAGCCTTTAGTCATATCAGAATTTAGTAGCAGAAAATACAGGAGCCTCTATTTTTAGGTGTGTAGGCCTTCCAGGAACTATTTCAGAAGGGGTCAGGTTACGTTTTTGTTTCATGGTGGGCAGTTTTACGCAAATCTTCCCCAAAGTCTGAGGAAGCTGAGAGGCTGAAGAAAGAGGATGACATATCCAGTTTCTCAGAAAGAAACATTTAATAGGGACTTACAAACAGAAGCCACATCTGTGTCTCGGGTGGTGGTGAGATAGGGTGGTGACCTCTGCGCCATTACTCCCCAGACCTAGGGCTTATATACCACAGAGAAAGGGTGATTCAGAAGAAATGTGTAGAATAATTGAAGTATGATAACGTCAAGGTTGTTACAGGGCAACATTTACAGTAAGATTTACAGTAAGTACCTGCTCTTACACAAGGAACAATAGGTAAACTGGAAATCTTTACAGACTTACAGTAAGGGCAAGATTTACAGTAAGTACCTGTTCTTACACAAAGAATAATAGGTAAACTGGAAATCTCAGAGACCTCTCCAGAACTTGGGTTAATAGAAGCCAACATGTTGAGGTGAACTGCTTCCACAGTTTTCTACTGGAAGTGGATCTGATTGTTACAAGACAATCCAGTCAATTAAGTTAGCTTTACCTAATGGTACTGTATCTGTAATACCTTATTTGACTATTTTACAACTTGTCCAGTGAAACAAGTACCTCTATTATTAGATATTTCTCCAAAAGTGTCCCATGAGAAAAACACATTTTCTAACAACCTTTTAGATATCTTTATAATGACAGCTCTCTTTCATGGGAAAGCTTTTATACAACCAGAAAACATGCATTGAAAAGGAAAATTGAATGAAATCTCTCTATAAATGTTTAAATGGCCCATTAGGTAACAGAAATGTACCTGAAGTTTTGATAATCTTCCCAGGATTATAGGTTTGACAAACCATTCAAACATTGTTCATAAAACATTTTAGAAATTTAGAAAAGTCACTACATATTTATTTATTTAGGATTATTTTATCTCTTCCATGATGAGTCATGGAATGCAGAATTTTTAATAGTGGAAGCCTTAAGGACTTAGGAAGGACCAGGTAGCTGTCCACGCTCTTTATGGGTCCATGTTTAGCAATGGACTTATATCCTGTTAAATACCAATTTTGTTCTCCAATTAAGGTATGTAGCATTGTTCATTAGATGGGTTATCACAGGTAATTTGACTTGAACCATGGAGTTTATTCAAAACGGATATCTAAACGATTTTAGTACTAGCTAATTTAGCATGAAAATCTGGCAAAGTATTTTCTTGGTATTCAATTAATTCTTGTCGTGCTTGGGTTAGCAGTTTTATAAGCCAGTAAGTCTCTTTATTAGAATTTTGGGAATTTTTACTCAGTCCAAATGATGTGATCCTAAAGTTATCAGAAACCTGTATTCAAGAGTGCTTGTCAGGGTCCTTTTCATCCTTTCTGTGAATCAAGCTACCAAGGTTTATAGCCAGTTTGTAAAAGTCCTGGATATTTAACATTCAGCTCTTCCAAGGAAGTAAGAGCAGGCTTAAGGACAAGCATGGAAGCTCCCTGACTTTCAGTGTTATTTATTTATTTATTTATTTATTTATTTATTTATTTATTTGAGAGATAGAGACTCACTTTGTTGCCCAGGCTGTTCTCAAACTCCTGGGCCCAAGCCATCCTCCCACCCCAGCCTTTCAAATTTCTGGGATTACAGGCATGAGCCACCACAGCTGGCCTGACTTTCAGTGTTGTTGGAAGCTTGGAGAAAGGCCTGACATCACGACAACCAATAAGTAAATAGCTATGGTTATAGTCAAGCCATTAAAAGGATGAATCCCAACTCCAATTTACAGATAAGTATACTGAGGCCCATAGAGGTTCATTGATTTCCGATGGTCACACAGTATTGAAACGACCCCTATAAACTTTATAAAATTAATCAGGGAAGAAGAGAGAGGGAGAAATGAAAATAAACCAAGTTTGCAGCACATTCAGCATTAATCATGAGGTGAGCTTGCTCTCTGACTACTTCCTCATAGTCTTTTGGTGCCTGTTACCTCAGAATCATGTAGATCCTATTACAAGATTAGAGTTCCCCTTAACTGCTCTATAGATAACAACTTGAACATTATTAAATGTTGTTTTCCCTTTGAGATATTGCTTTAGGACCTTCAGGTCCTGTATGCTGATGAAACTACTGACTCAGCTAGTCTGAAGAACCCCATGAGGAGCCAATTCACCAAAGAAAGCAGTTTCCACATCTTGATTATATCATCCCCCTTGCCCCGACCAATCAACAATCCCAATTTTCCAGCCCCTCACCTTCCATGATCCCCTTAAAAACCCTATCCCAGAACTCCTCAGGGAAATAGATTTGAGGGTCTCCTCCCATCCCCTGGCTCAGTGCCTGGCAATCACTAAACTCTTTCTCAGTTGCATCCCTGTTGTCTCAGTGCATTGGTCTGTTACTGCACAATGGACACACAAACCTGTTGGTTTTATAACAGTAGGATGATTAGATCTCAGGTATTTGCACTCCTATTTTATTTAACAGTCTAAAGCAGTGGTTCTCAGAGGTTAGCCTGCATTAGAATAACCTAGATAAATATAAAATGCAGAGGTGAAATGTAAGGTCTGGAAGCGCATGACTTTGACTTCAATACCAGCCTGCCACCTGACAGCTGTGTGACATTGGGGAAGTTGCTCAACTTCTGTGTGCCTCAGGTTCCTTATCCTAAAATGTTGCCAATAATAGCAACTTGGTCATTGGGTTGTTGTGAGGATTAAATGAGTTAATATTTGTAAAGTGCTTAGAAGTGTGCCTGGCACAGAAGAATTACTCAATAAACATTATCTTTCACCTGTCTGTCATTCTTTCTGGCTCTGAAAAAAGACTTTGATTCTGGGATTCAGTTTCAGTCAATATCAGTTATTGGTCTCAAATATATATTTGATGCTTGTGTCCCTGATAACATGTGTTAAGATGTGGCATTAGAAAAACGAGACAGCAAAAAACAGAGTTCATTCATTCCAGAGGCTCAAAGCCACAGTGAATGTCAGTTCATTGGTGAAAATGTCACTGGGTAAGTGTTCTTTCGCAAGCATCTTATCTGAATTACGGCAGTCCTAAAGAATGTCTAGTGATAAACCTTGTCATAGGCAGGTGATGTGTGAAGGATGCAAACGAGTTTCTTGGGGAGTTTTTTGAAAGCCCTTGGAAACAGTTCTTATTTTGGACATGAAAGCATGTGCCTCCTCTCCCCTTCATGTGTTTCTGGCCTTATTTTGTCTAGGTCTGGCAAAGGTGATTTCATCTCATTATCTACAACTTTCACACCTCCAGAGACTTGAATTCAGTTGCCTGTGATAGGGCCCTGGGATATGCATTTTGTTTTTTGTTGTTGGTTGTGGTTTTTTTGTTTTGCTTTTTGAAACGGAGGCTTGGTCTTTCACCAGGCTGGAGTGCAGTGGCGCGATCTCAGCTCACTGCAACCTCCACCTCCTGGGTTCAAGCGATTCTCCTGCCTCAGCCTCACAAGGGATATGCACTTTTAGCTCTAAATATACATATATAATTCCTCAGGTGATTTTGAAGTCAGTGGTCTAGAAACATGCACTTAAATACCGGCAACATTTTGCATACAATTTCAAAAGATTCAGAAACTCCTGCAGTGCACTTGTGCATTCTCAGGTTCAGAAGGAAGAGACACATATAAACAAAAATAATGTCAATCAAGACAGACCATGAAAAGGTCTATAAGAAAGGAATGGAAGGAAGGAAAATACCTTCTACTGGGAATGCTGTGTTTTTTTTGAGATGGGATCCTGCTCTCTTCTCCAGGCTGGGGTGGAGTGGTGTAATGATGGCTCACTGAAGCCTCAATCTCCTGGACCCTCCTAACTCAGCCTCCTGAATAACTAGGACCCCAGGCATTTGCTGCCATGCCTGGCTAATTTAAAAAAAAAAATTTGTAGAGGTGGGATCTTACTATGCTTCCCACTTTGGGCAACCCCTGGGCTCAAACCCCTGGGCTCAAGTAGTACTCCCACTTTGGCCTCCCAAGGTGTTGGGATTACAGGTGTGAGCCACTGCACCTGACTGGAACGTTTCTTGAGGAGGAAAGACCTGTTCTGGACCTTGAAGGTGAGGAAAGTCTAACATGGGGCTCTCAGGGCAGAGAGAGTATATTAAGTGAAGGCCCAAAAAGTGTGAAGGTGCAGGGAAACTTGAAAAATAGAGAAGCAGGCAAGAAAAATAGATATATTGGGAGTGAAGTCTGAATTGGATTCAAACTGAATCCTAAGTTTGAGGATCCCTGCAGGGCTTGCTTATGGAGAAAGGTGGCCTGAATGAAGGTTAGGAGGGAGGTCAGGGATAGAAACATGAATATCAGAGAGAGCCTTGCAAAGGCCATAGTGGAAATGCTGAACATTAGTAAGATTACCAATAAGAGAAAAAAACAAAAAGAGCAAAAGAAGAACCTTGAACAACCACATTAAAGTCCCAGGTTTTTCTTAGCTGTAGATAAAAAACAGCATCAAAGCCTGGGCACGGTGACTCATGCCTATAATCCCAGCACTTTAGGAGGCTGAGGTGGGCAGATCACGAGGTCAGGAGGTCAAGGCCAGCCTGGTCAATATGGTGAAACCCCCATATCTACTAAAAATACAAAAAAACTAGCCTAGCATGGTGGCACATGCCTGTAGTCCCAGCTAATCAGGAGGCTGAGGCAGGAGAATCACTTGAACCCAGGAGACAGAGGTTGCAGTGAGCTGAGATTGCGCCACTGCACTCCATTCTGGGCAATAGAGGGAGACTGCATTTCAAAAAAGAAAAAAAAATGCATCAAATCAACAATCAGTGATCAAAAGGCAAGAGATAAATGTTGGCAAGTGTGTGGAGAAAAGGGAACCTTAGTATACTGTTGGTGACAATGTAGACTGGTGCAGCCATTATAGAAAACAGTATAGACGTTCCTAAAGAAATTTAAAATATGGCCTGGTGTGGTGGCTCAGGCCTGTAATCCCAGCAGTTCGGGAGGTCAAGGCAGAAAGATCACTTGAGCCCAGGAGTTTGAGACCAACCTGGGCAACATAGCAAGAACCTGTCTCTACAAAAAATAAAAAAATTAGCTAGGTGTGGTGGCATGCATCTGTAGTTCCCACTGCTTGAGAAGGCTGAGGTGGGAGGATCCCTTGAACCCAAGAGGTTGGGGCTGCAGTGAGCCGTGATCACACCACTGCACTCCAGCTTTGGTGACAGAGTTGAGAGCCTGTCTCAAAATTTTTAAAAAGGATTTACAAAAGACACACACACACACACACACACACACACACACACACACACACAATGGAATATTAAGTCTTATAAAAGCATGAGATCTTGCCATTTGCCACAACATGGATGGGCCTGAAGGATGTTATACTAAATGAAATAAGCCAGACGCAGAATAAAAAATTGTATCTCATGGATATGTGCAATCTAAAAAGAAAGCGATCAAATATAAAGAGGTAAAGAATAAAACAGTAGTTACCAGGGGCAGGGTGAGAGAGAGGAAATGGGAGATGCAGGTCAAAGTATATAAAAGTATACAAAGTATACAGAAGCTATGTAGGCTGAACACACCAAGAGAGCTAATGTACAATGTGAGGATTACAGTTAATAAAATTGTATCAGGGATTTGTGTTAAATAAGTAGTTTGTCTGCTCTTGTCACAAAATAAAAGTAACTATGTGAGATGATAGATATGTTAATTTGCTTCACTATTGTATCCATTTTACTATCCATAAGCATACACTAAATCAGTTTATAAGTCTCAAATATATATAATATGTATTTTTAATAAATGAATTACTACTTAAGTCATTATAAATTTCATGCTGACTCGTGAGAAAAGAAAAATCTGAGAATATTTCTTATTGTGGGCTTTATTCCCTTCTAAACACTCAAAGTATTACAATTAAATTAGGGTGATTGGGAAGTTGTGTTACGACAGGGGTCTTTGGACAAAGAACATGAATATCACCTGAAAATCTGAGAAATGCAAGATTTCTAAGGGTCTCACCCCAAACCACAAGTTTTCCAACAATCTGTGTTTTAACAAGTTCTGCGGGAAATTGTGTCACACCCTGAGTTTGAGGACAACTGTCTTAAGAAAAGGGAGGTCGTAAGATGTTTGCACAGATCTACGGTACTGGTCGTGAAAAGCGAAAGAAAGATCATCTGGTCGAGTGAATAGTGGTCATTTTATTTTAAAACATCAACTTACACGTAAGATCAAACACAAATCATGCTGATAAAATATTCTTGGACCAGAGACAGATTGCTTGCCTGAAAATATGTTGGGTATTTGAACATCTGCAATCAAAGCAAATGTTTATGAGAATGCTAGAAAGAAAGGTCAAAGGGGTGCTGAAAATCATTAGTTGATCATCACTTTCTACAGTCCTATAAGACAACCCCAGCTTTATCAGAATATGGCAAGAGGAAATACAAGCCAGACCTCATGGATCATAATATTTTTTCCCACCTCTTTCTGTAGCATATTTAGCTGAAATATGAAGCCCAAGAAATTCTGAAAATCAACTTGCGACACATAAAACTTAGAATGTGGCACTTTTAAATGGGTTATGTGGACTTGATTATCTCCCTTGTGAATACTTGTATTAAATAATTCATTTGTAGAGAAATATAGAACCTTTTCAGTCTTTCTTATATTCTGCTACTGATTGTTATAATTATCAACCTTTTGTATCAGAGTGTGTTTTGGCTGCAAGTGAGATAAAACTCCAATTTAGAGTGGCTTAAACAGTAAGAAAATGTAACTGGGAGCCCAGAAGTAGAGCAGCTCCAAACTCAGCAGCTCAGTGTTCCAGCTCCCCTTGCTCCTTTGTGTATGGGCTTTATCCACGGCCTGGCAGCAAGGTGGACCCAGCTGTTCCCACTATCACATCCAGGTATGGCAATGTCCAAAGGAAGAAGAGGGACCAGCTCTTTCTTAAACCTCTGTTTTAGGAGCAAGAAAACGTTTCTGAGAAACTCCCCAGAAGACTTCTCTTCCTGCCTTACTGTCTAGAACTGAGTGACATTGCTAATCCTAAATTAGCCCTCATAAGGGGAAGTGTGTAACTGTGACTAGCTCGGACTTACTCTACAGGCTGGAATAGGTATTGGAAAGTCAACCACTAATATCACTGCAAATAACGATCTCCACCAACACTTACTATGTTTACTTTCTATTGTGCTAGAGACTATGCTAAACCCTTTCTGTGTATTATATCATCTAAAAATCAATCCAGAAGATATATGCTTTTATTAATTTCATGTTACATATAAGAAAACTTAGCCTGAGGTCAGCGAATCTCTTCAAATTCACAACCAGAAAACGCTGAGCCAAGACTCAAGCCTAAAGACCACTCCAAAGCTCGACTCACTCTAAAGCTCGGCTCTAACAACCACTCTGCTATTAAGAGAGAGCACATGTAAAATACTTTGTAAATTTAAATGTACAATTCAAATATCAGGATTATTATTTAGGTAAACATAACATAAACCTCAGCAAAATAGGAATGTAAAGATAGGAGAGGAGAGAAGACAACAAGTAAGGATACACTTTGCTGTTCTACATGCATTCAAACTTTTAGGTTTTAAAAATCATACTCTAAAGCATGGGAAGAATCTGTATATATGACTATATGTGACATTTGTGACATTATGGAGAAGGAACAAGGAGCCAGGAAACCAAAGGAAAGCAACTGCTTCCATTTTAAAGGAACAAAAAAAGAGGAGATTGCAAACTGAATAACAGCTAACAATTATTGAATACTTCCTCTATGCCTGGGATTGTTCCAACAATTCTGTGATGTAGAATTATTATTCTCTGCATTTTATAGATGAAATACTGAACTCATGGGGTTTCTAAAAGGATTAAATAAGTGGTTAAGAAAGAAAGGTATTTAAAACAACTCCTGGCACACAGTAAAACCCTCCACAAATGCAGGTTATTATTGTTACACAGAAATCAAAGCAATCCTCCGTATGCCTGGAGTATGCCATCTTTATTACAGACAATTTAACTCACAATTTATGCCTGTCATTTGCCTTTCTAATTATTTTTATTAGCAATATTGTATTTAAAGGGAGTACAATGTTATATTAATTTGCAGGTAACAAAAAAGTCAAGTACACTGAACGACTGATGTGAGAGTCTATAATTTGGATAGTCGTTGAAGAAGGATTAGCGCCACTAGTAGTAAGACATGAGGGAGTTTAAGGCTCATCTTTCTGACTCACCAGTGTCAATGACACTTGAATCCAGCCTCTTCAGCAGTCTGGGGTCTGAGAGCCGAATTCCTCAGCTGAGCTTAAATTGCTGATCTGTTATTTACTGAGCTTCCCGCCGCCCCACTCAACTTTGTGTTTCTGGTTTTTGTCTGCGAGTAGTCATAAAAGTTTCATATAATGACAGGTAAGGGACTGGGAAAAGATGCAGGCACTGGAAATCTAACACTCGAAAGATGTATTTGTCCTGCAATATACTCCAAACAAAGCATATTTCTGGGCATTAAAATAATAGCAGTGAAAAACCCTACTCTTTTCTAATGCTAAATTGTTTTAGCACTGGAGTCATTTTACCCCATAAAGGGTTCCTTTTTCCACATAAAACTAGATTTGAGTTTGGTTCTTCAACATAATTGAATCTTTGGAATGTCTGAATAGTTTGGGAATGAGCGATTGTGTAAATTCTGAAGTCTGAGGGCACTTCTTCCTTTTTTCCCTTCCTTTCTTCCTTCCTTCTTTCTTTCCTTCAGGGAGGAATTTAGGTTTTAGTAATTGTGGGTCTTATTGCTGCACAATTCCCACTAGATGGCTGTAGCAAATTTCTGGAGATTTATTCTATTTGGAGCAGCAAATCATTCCAGATTCATGAACCCTTAGCGTTTTAGGTTTCCCTGGGATGTTTATCAAAGAGTGTTGGCATTTAGGCATATTTGTAAAATTATTGAATATTTTTGTTTTTCTATCAGTAAAGATATTAACTCTGAATCCATTCCTTTCCATTCCTCTAATTTGGTATCATGCTCATCTTCATCCTGAATGTATTTATTTACTGGTATAAGCAAGGAATGCCTCCGAAAGCAACCTGTACAACTGAGCCCCTAGTATGTGGAAATTTTATGTGTGTATGTGTTGTGTGTGTGTGTGCATGCATGTGTATGTTTCATGAAAAGGTGTTGAAATTTGTCAAATGCTGTTTCTGTATCCATTAGGATGATCATGTGCTTTTTCTTCTTTAGTCTATAATATACTATATTAATTGATTTTTATAGATTTAACCAGTAATATGGTTTGGCTATATGTTCCCACCCAAATCTCATCTTGAATTGTAATCCCCATAATCCACACATGTTGAGGGAGGGACCAGGTTGGGGGGTGACTGGATCATGGGGACGGTTCCCCCAAGCTGTTCTCATGATAGTGAGTTAGTTTGCATAGATCTGATGGTTCTATAAGCGTCTGGCATTTCCCCTGCTTGAACTTCTCTCTCCTGCTGCCATGTGAAAAATGTCTTTGCTTCCCTTTTGCCTTCCACCATGATAAGTTTCCTAAGACCTCCTCAGCCATGTGGAACTGCGAGTCAAACCTCTTTCCTTTATACATTACCTAGACTGAGGTAATATCTTTATAGCAGTGTGAGAATGGACTAATACAATTAGCTTGTATTTCCGGGATGAATCCCACTTGGTCATATTGTATAATATCTTTATATGGATTTGATTTCCTGGTAATTGTTGAGGATTCTTAGATCTATATTTCTAAGAGTTACTGATCTTTAGTTTTCTTGTCATAATTGTCTGGTTTTGCTATTAGGATAATACTGGCTTCATAGAATAAGTTAGGACATTGCCCTGTCCTATTTCTTGGAAGAGTTTGTGAAAGGCTGATGTTAATTCTTTTTTAAATGTTTGGTAGAATTGATCCGTGAAGCCATCTAGGCCTTGGATTTTCTTTGTGGGAAGTTTTAAAATTATTAATTCAATGTCTTCTTACATGTTTCTCCAGATTTTCTTATTCTTCTTGAGTCAGTTTTGATAATTTGTGTCTTTCTAGGAATTTGTCTGTTTCATTTAAATTATCTAATTTGCTAGCATACAAT
Source organism: Homo sapiens (assembly GCF_000001405.40). NCBI lineage: Eukaryota > Metazoa > Chordata > Mammalia > Primates > Hominidae > Homo > Homo sapiens. The sequence continues at coordinate 104,042,599 of NC_000007.14, forward strand.
TATTAATTTCATTCATACTTTTCTCTCTTTAAAATTTGTTTTCTTTAACCAATCCAGCTGTTTCTGTATCATTCATATTTTACTTCATGCAGACACTGATTTATTGGGGCAACATTATTTTAAGCAGAGAGCATTTAAAATTACAATATGAAAGTGGCCATCTTCTTGATTACAAAGTTGTTCATTTGTTTGTTCATTCAACAAACATATTGAATGTCTTGTATATGCCATGCATAGCTCCAGGTTCTGGGAATAAGGGGTGAGCAAGAGACAATACCTCACCCTGTGGAGCTTATATTCACATAAGAAAGGTAGACAAGGAGTAAAACGTGTTATATACTACATAATATATCAGGAAGAGTTTGATTATTAAGCACAGTTTAACAGATGACAGCATATCAATCTGTTGGAAATTATATTCCAATCATAGTAAGTTAATACATGAATATAACATACCTGGGATGCCTATGAGATTAAATAGATTCTAATTTTGGGAAGTGGAAAGGGAAACAAAGCATTAGATATTGATGTAATTTAGTGGGTTTTAACACTGGCTGCACATTATGTGCATCAGGAGAGATTTTACTATATCCAACTCCTGAATTCCTCCTAGAAGTTTTTATTTAATTGGGTCTAGGTGAAGCCCAGGAAAACATTTGTTTTGACAACCTACAGAATGGGAGAAAATACTTGCCAACTATGCATCCAACAAAGGTCTAACATCCAGAATCCATAAGGAACTTAAATCAACGGGCAAAAAACACCCCATTAAAAGGGGCAAAGGATATGAGCAGACAGTTTTCAAAAGAAGGCATACACATGGCCAACAAGCATATGAAAAAAATGCTTAATGTCACTAATCATTATAGAAGCGCAAATAAAAACCACAGTGAGATACCATCTTACACAAGTCAGAATGCTATTATTAAAAAGTCAAAAAATAAAAATGCTGGTGAGGTTGTGGAGAAAAGGGAATGCTTATAGGGAATGCTTATACACTGCTGGTGGGAGTGTAAATTAGTTCAGCCATTGTGGAAAGCAATTTGGTGATTTCTCACATAACTCAAAGCAGAATTACCATTTGACCCAGCAGTGCCTTTATTAGGTATATAGCCAAAGGAATATAAGTCATTCTACCATAAAGACACATGCACACATATGTTCATCACAGCATTATTCACAGTGGCAAGGACATGAAATCAACCCAAATGCACATCAACAGCAGACCGGTTAAACAAAATATGGTACATACACACATATGGTACACATACACATGGAATACTACACAGCCATAAAAGAGAATGAGATCATGCCCTTTGCAGCAATGTGGATGGAGCTGAAGGCCATTATCCCAAGTGAACTAACACAGGAAGAGAAAACCAAATATCACATATTGTCATTTATGAGATAAACACTGAGTACACATGGACACAAAAGAAGGGAACAACAGACACCATGGCCTACCTGAGGGTGGAGGGAAGGAAGAGGGTGAGGATCGAAAAACTGCCTATTGGGTACTATGCTCATTACCTGGATGGTAAAATCATTTGTACACCGAACCCCCGTGACACACAATTTACTTATATAACACACCTGCACATGTACCCGAACCTAAAAGAAAACACTTGTTCTAAGAATTCCTTTGTGATTCAAATGTGAAGCCAGGGTTGAGTATCAAGCACCTACTGTGTCCTAAACAATATGAGGTGCTTTATATGTTATTTTATTGTTCTAGTGTTAGCATGAGTTGCACTTTATTATTTTTATAGGCATGTGAGAACAACTCATGTTCAGAGAGATTAAATGATTGGCAAGTTACACAGCGTCTATTTCACCCTTTGCTCTTTAAATGGAGTCATCTTATCTGTGTGTTCCATCAAAGGGAGCTTAAAAACCCAGGAGTAAGGTTCCCTCTCTTCTATTTTCCCTGAGTGCCCTTCTTTTGCCCATTCACTGGCTTTTATGTTTTTCATTTTTATTATTTCTTCTGTGTCTCTATTGCCGAGATTTTATTCTTAAACTCAACACTTTGGCTACATATTCCTCAGTCACTACTACCTAATTTGAGGACTTATTTGGATCCCTTTTTCTGGCTTACTGACCTCAGCATGATCTGCGCAACTCTTGACTTTGTATCTTCCTAACTTTTAACGTAGCAGATAAAAATTATTAGCATAAGATGATGGTGTAAATAATTTTACACAGTGTCATTAGATTTTATATTTTTGCCCTAATTCCCACACCACCAAAAGAAACTTATTGCAGCTATACCTTGAAATTCTAAAGTGCTTTTGTGTATTTTGTAACAATAAAGTTTCTGTTTGTGTGTCTCTTGTACCTTACTAACAGCTATGCTAGTGGTCTATACCAATGGTAAATAGGAATAAAGGTAATGGATCAGTTGGCCATTTGGTTCTTCGATAAAGTTATATCATTAGAAGACAAACTCATTAATGATGAAATTCTCATATGTATTTTATTTTTAAAATTAAGATGTATCCAAAAAGATATTGTTTAGTCAATTAAGAAAATTCATGGAGGGAGGGGGTACAAACTAAGTCAAAGTAATTGTCCATGTAAGTGGTTAACTGTTTTGATGGCACTTAACCCCAACATAAAACCTTTGTAAGGCAGTTTGTCAGTGGTCTAAATTTAATTTAGTTAAAATAGTGGCTATACATGCTGAATGAATGGAAAACTATCTGCTTGATAGACTGCGTGTCCTGTACAGCGCTCAGTACAAGCTGTTTGGGTTTCTTGGATTGTGTCATATGGTCTAGGACTCAGAGCTCACCTCAGGACCTCGGACAGAACCTGGTTAAGCTCATGTTAGCACATGCAAATGACTTTCATTTTGAAAATGTGCTAAATTCTTTATAGACACAATCTCATTATCCATCACAATGACTCTGTGAGGTACATAATATAGTTTTAATTGTTTTGCCTAATACTGATGCTCACAAACATGATATTATTTTATTCTCTTTATAGATATGTGTAAAATGGAGCAAAAGTTTAAGCTATGTGTTTCTATTTTCTGAATATATATATGCAGCCATCCCATGGTATCTATGGAGAATTGGTTCCAGGAACCTGTTGCCCCCCACCCAATGAATACCCAAATCTGTAGATGCTCAAGTCCCTTCTATAAAACGGCATGGTACTTGCATATAACATACACATATCCTCTTATATACTTTAAATTTCTCTAGATTACTTATAACACCTAATACAGTAACTACACATCACTTCATTTGCATAGATTCAATGCAGTACTCAGCATGCAACAAATCCTAGTTTTGCTTTTTAAAATTTTGTGGAATATTTTCTCGAATATTTTCAATCTAAAGTTGGTTGAATCCAGGAATGCAGAATGCATGGATATGGAGGTTAACTGCAGAAAAACACTTTTAGTTGTTTTGTTCTCTTTGGGTTTCTTAGAAAATAAAACAGAAGCAGCTAGAGTATTTCTAAAAGAATCCAAAGACTAAATAATGGTCTTGCTGAAGGTCTGCTCATCTATCATTGCTTTTTTCTTTTAACAAACTCAAAGTCTTTTATAACAACAGAGAAGTGAGACTTTCCTAAAAATATCAGGAACCAACATTCAGTACAAATCGTACCTTCAGGTACTACTGGTAAGAAAATGAATACAACCTCAAGCATGAAACCTTAGGACTAAAACAAATGGAACAGTCTGATGACAGTCCACTTCTTGATGTTCCTATGCTGAGAAGCTTACTTCTAAACTAAAGCAATTTAATACTGTGTATTGTGGTTCCAGTGCCTGTGTAAGACACAATTGCCATCATAGGGCCACTTGGTTCTCCAGCTGCACCATGACAAACACATCTGATGAGCTTGTGGGAAAATGTTCACAAGCACCATCATTCATTGTCTGGAGATTTATGATTCTCATATAAGATCAACAGTCTGGAGTACACTGATTATTTTACTGCTGAGCTACACCATTTGTCTCAACTCAGAAATATTAAGATTTCTTACATAACGTTGCAGGATCATCTTTTAAGAAGCATTATCAATGGCCTTCCAACCTCTTTTGACTAAAGCAAAATTGATAGTGCTAGCCAGTCACTATCAGAAATTAAAGGACTCATTACAAATTAATACCCAATCCATGAAAATAAGCTTTTACTAACAGTTATGGCAAAGGGCAAAAATTGTATACTCCACAATATCTGAATATTAAATTAGACATGCCAACACCTACTCTGTTTATAGACTTAAGAATATAAAATGTGGGCCAGGCACGGTGGCTCACGCCTGTAATCCCAACACTTTGGGAGGCTGAGGCTGGTGGATCACGAGGTCAGGAGATCGAGACCATCCTTGCTAACACGGTGAAACCCCATCTCTACTAAAAAATACAAAAAATTAGCCGGGCATGGTGGCAGGTGCCTGTAGTTCCAGCTACTCGGGAGGCTGAGGCAGGAGAATGGCATGAACCCAGGAGGCGGAGCTTGCAGTGAGCCAAGATCCAGCCACTGCACTCCAGCCTGGGCGACAGAGCAAGACTCCGTCTCAAAAAAAAAAAAAAAAGAAAAGAAAAGAAAAGAATATAAAATGTGGATTCTGAATACATTAGGGCTGCCTGACTAAAATAAATACTATTCAAAGTGTGGCCTGGGAGCTGTGCTTAGCTACAATGACAGACTGTGCTTACCAAATACCCATGTGCTCTCCCTCTGGTAGTGTCTTTAAAACTTATGCTGAGTACAGCATTCTTTGGGTACTTTTTCTAACGATCAGCCTACACCTTCATTATGTATTTCCCATTCCCCTCTCAGTTAGGTTAGAGCCATGTAACTAGATTTGGCAATGGTCTCTTATGCATCCCTTCCAGGATGAGGCAAGTAGGAGCTGGTACATTTTCTCCATCACTCTCTTCCCCAGTGTGGGCAACCTTGGAGAGCATGCGTTCCAGATGTCATAGAAGATGGAGGTCTGCCTGGCCACTATTGGGCTGTGATGAGAGTGAGAAATAAACTTTTATTGTGTTAAGCCCCTGAGATTTCAGGGTTGTCTGTTGCAATTAATTACTCTGAATAATGCTGCCACAAATATCAGACGGTGTTGAGATTTCTCACCACTAAGGACAAATCTCATTTTCACTATCAAATTAGACTTAAGTCAGGAAAGAAGTTTTTCTCTTATCAAAGGAGAAAAGAATTCTTTAACTCACGCTATGACATTGCCTTTAAAAGTGATGTTGGTCACAAGTTTCCTTGGGTGATTTTTTCTAAAGATCAGACTACACCTTAATCATGTTGATGGATGTATAAAATAGATTTCTGCTCAGTTACTGTTATTTTGGTCTTAATAGTAGGTTAGAAGAACAACATCTAATTTCAATACCCCAGGCTACTTGTTCTAATGAATCCCCAGACTATGGCAAGCCACCCCTCCTGCAAGAGATTCAATGTCAAATACCTACTTTCTTGATCCATTTTTCAGGTGGAGTGCATTATATTAATTGCCTGGACTCAAATGCAGTGTGGAAGGACCGTGAGAGAAGGGCAGAGGAACCCAAGCTTTTAACAAGCTTCTATCACGAGCTATCTGTCCATGAAGAATGACTTTTATGGGGAAATCTCATTGTTATTCCAGAAGGCATCTGTCACATTATCTTAGCCACAATAGGTGAAGTACAATGAAGCAATTGTTTGTAAGAGGTCCTTGGCCATAAGCTACATTTGGTGACCCAGAATTGATTATAGTATTGTAAAGATTGTAAAAGACTGTGGTGTATATAAGAACACTGCCTGTCATTCATTAAAAGAAATCATCTTCAGTGAGACATGACTAACAAGTTTTAGTCAGAAATATATGTCAACTTTCTATACCAACTCTAGGCAAGAAATCTCTATTTTAAAATATGTCTCAAAATATTTTTCCATTATTAACTGAATTTCTGTGTGTCTTCCTTTTCCCCCTAATGGCAGGCTTACTGCTGCATTGGGGAAGACCAAAGGAGATTCCTGCCTCTATGGGCATGGCGGACACAACAATGAATAGGGAATCAGCAGGCTCCAGGGCAAGTGCAGAGTACTAAGTATTTCTCCCTCCATAGTTATTGGTCCACGTAGAGGCCATCAGCACAACACTCCTGGACTCTCTCACTTCATCTGCATCCCCAGGAAAAGATTCTTTGATCTGGTGAGTGACGTTAGGAGCAGGGACTTTGACCACGTAGCCTAGTCCTTCCTCCCCTTCTTTTCTCTTTGAGATTTGTCTGGTTGCATGTGCTTTGGTCTGCTCTCAGCCTCAAGGTAAGTTTAGTGGTAAAAGTTCTGCCCCTGCAGGGGGAGGCCACAGTTTTCCCCTGCTACCTGTTGTGGTGGGTGGTTAAGCTGGTCGAATTCTGGTATTCAGCATCAGGTATCTCTTATCACACAGCTAAGTTACTCCCTCAAATTTAACATCAATCAGCAATAATGCTGGTACTTTTATTTTCATTTGCTTGACTCCTTTATCTCCCAGTGCAGAATGTGATACGGGTTGAAGAGTGGACCAACCCAACCCAGAAATCCATCATTCTAACTATAAGAAATTTTCTAGCAGAGAGTTTAAAAAGTCCCAAATTGGAAGTATTCAAATTCTCTGTATTGGTTGACTGCAACTAAATGAGGAGAGGCAAAGAGAATTTCATATGAAGATGCAGTAATGTCTCATTAAACTCGGAGCAAAAAAGCTATTGGACCCTAGAAGAGAACTGGAACTAGGAAATATGAGACTGGCTGGATTCTTTCCACCTCTTGTCTTGACATCTCTGTGCACTTTTTTCATTCTGCTCTTTCTCTGCAGACCAGCTTTCTCTGCTTCTCCAGACCACAGGGAGTTTTGTCAGAGATGGGGAGTGGGATTCATACTGATTCAATCAAGTGTGGTCATGATGGGGAGATTCATATGCAGAGCAATGCATCTACTGTATCAATAGATCAATAACGTCGGTTATCTGCTAACAGTAAGGAATAAGAAATTACTGCATGAGGTTTGGGGACTAAGAAGATAGTTTAAAATAAATGGAGAAAGAGAAACTAGAAATTAAGTAAAATAGGATAGGTAATCTGTGCTGAGGGTACCTGTGAGGTTTGTAGTCCCATATTCAGAGCGAGCCCAATCGTTGGAGCTGCAAATGTTTCCTCAGTCATGAATAGCTGCTGATGTCAGACACAGCCTAAGCAGACAGTTGAGTTTAACCTGCTTTTTTTGGTCAGGTTAGTAAATCAGAGGAAACTGTTGGTGTTATAGAACAGGGAGTTATGAGAGTGATGAAGTACACACTGGAAGAAAGTGAGGTATATGAGGTGGGTGATGGAGAGTTAAAATGTGGTGAAATCAATGGTGTGAAGGGGGTCAAAGATTTATAAATGATCACTCCTACGTTGTAGTTGGTTTAGTTCATTAGTTGCTTTAGAGTTTTTTGTTTTTCTTTGACTTTTTATTGGCCAAGAAAAGAACTATGATTTTGTTTCACTATATTGCTTACAATTTGTTCTTATCTGCTTATTTGTCTATTGCATGGAACCAATCCTTAAACACATTCTTATAGGAGCCCCCTGGCTTGCTTTCCTAATTTGAGCCAATTGCTTTTTCCAGGCTTGCTAGAGAATTCTCCTCTTGGAATTTCTTTATAGTGTGCACCTGAGTTAGTACGATCATTTATTGCAGCCTACTACTCTCCTGTATTATTTTTTATCTTATTTTGTTAGAAGAAAATTCCTCAGAAGGAATATTTTACATGTAACTTTTCTGAGACTTTATGTTACCATCAATGTTGGTTCATAACTTGGCTGAGTATAGATTCTAACTTGAAAATTATTTTCCTTGGAATTTTGAAGGCATTGCTTCATGCCAGTTTAATTCTAATTCCTTTATAAGGTGACGTCTTTTTTCTTCCATGAAAATATTTAGGATCTTTTCTCTATCCTTAGAATTCTGAAATTAGCAATGATACATCTATTTGTGGATTTTTAAAATCGATTTTGCTCCAAATTTGGTGAACAAGTTTAATCTTAATTTAAAATAATCTAGTTCGAATTAATATTAATTTGATTTCAATATTACATAGAAACTTTTCCCCAGTACATATCCCTTCCTCCATTGTGCTGTTATTATTGTCATAAAAATTACATCTTTTCATGTTATAAGCCCATCAACATTGTTTTGTGCAGTTAGCTTTTAACACAGGAGAAGAAAAGAGTTATGAAAAAGTAATTTTAATCTAAAGACTCAGGTCTCTCTTTAGTACTGGGACATTTCCTTCTACTATTTCTTTGAAAATATCCCTTTTTCTGTTTTTTTTAATGAAGTTCAACTAGTGAGATTTTCTGTCTCTGTATATTTTCTGTTATGCCAACCCTTCTATTATTTCATCAATAATGTTTTTAATTTCCAAGAGCCCTTTGTTTTCTGATTGTTCCTTTTTCATAGTATCCTGTTCTTACGTTATACATATATTATATTTATTAATTTAAATATTTACATATACCCCTGGGACAAAACTAACAGGTTAAAAAGTATATTGTGACAAGTAAGCTCTCTCGAAGCTGTAGCCCTAGAGACAACATTATTAATTTCTTACATATCCTTCCAAAGATATTTCATGCATTTAAAAACATACATACATACATACATTCCAGCTTTCCTTTTCTTATTCTCATTCTCTTGTCTTTCCTAAATTATCTCATATTTATTGAAGACCAGCTATTTTCTTTATTTTAGACTTTCCATTTTGTAAGTCTGGTTTTATCCATATGATTTGTTGTCCATTCCCATGTAAAAATGGAGTAACCCAAGTGCGGTGGCTCATGTCTGTAATCTCAGCACTTTGGGAGGATGAAGTGGGTGGATTCTTGAGTCTCGAAGTTTGAAACCAGCTGGGCAACATGACAAAGCCCTATCTCTACCAAAAAAAAAAAAAAAAAAAAAATTAGCTGGGCATGGTAGCATGTGCCTGTAGTCCCAGCTACTCCGGAGGCTGAGGTGTGAGGATCGCCTGAGCCCAGGAGATTGAGGCTGCAGTGAGCTGTGATTGTGCCATTGCAATCACACACAGGGTGACAGAGGGAGACCTGTCTCAAAAATAAATAAATAAATAAATAAATAAATAAAAATTAAAGTGGAGTAGATTACCTTTTTAAGGCATTAGATGTTGATTTTTCTCCTGTTGCATATGTTAGTATGTTTTCTTACTTCTTCTCACCCTTGAGTAGAAAAGCCACCTGGAAGGTGCATGTTTATGTGTAGCAATGATGGCAGAGAAAATGGAGGGAGTTGGCACATAGTATTTATTTAAGAATAAGTGGGGCCGGGCGCAGTAGCTCACACCTGTAATCCCAGCACTTTGGGAGGCTGAGGCAGGCAGATTGCCAGAGCTCAGGAGTTCGAGACCAGCCTGGGCAACACGGTGAAACTCTGTCTCTATTAAAATACAAAAAATTAGCTGGGTGTGATGGCATATGCCTGTAATCCCAGCTACTCGGGAGGCTAAGGCAGGAGAATTGCTTGAACCAGGGAGGCAGAGGTTGCAGTGAGCTGAGATGACACCACTGCACTCCAGCCTGGGTGACAGAGCAAGACTCCGTCTCAAAAAAGTAAATAAATAAATAAATAAAATAAAAAATAAGGATAAAGAGTTGGTCTACATGCTGGGCAGGTGAATGAATAGAGAGGCCGGAACCCACCTAGCAGCCCTAATCCTCTTCCGGCAGTTTGTTTTATGTCTTCCACTTCCAATTAATGCCATGTTTTCCATCTTCTTTCTCCCACATTCTACCCCTGCCTACTCCAAGTCCAGAGTCCCTCTGTGTTTTGTCTAGCAGCTTGGCTCACTCCACACTATCATCCTTCTTTGCATTTACACAGGACTATTTAGGACTATAGCTTCCTCCTATTCATAGTACTTCTTAACATCTCTCATCTGTTCATGGTTCCCTCTAGTACATTGTCCTTATAAAAGTGCTGGGCATTGGAGAGTAATCTAGTTCAAGTACTCCAGACTACCCTTTTATGGCATTTGTTTAGTAATTCAAAAGGATATCCTACATTGGGGCAGGTACTTCTCTACAGAAGGAAATATTTTAATGAAAGGAAATTGTCAATCTGTCATCGTAGGTTTGGAGACATAATTTTGGGGAGCCCCAAGATGAGAAGGGAGAGAAAATGCTATTTTTATTAATTTGTTCCTACGTATTCCCCCACTCCCCATCTGGAGGATTGGTATTTTCATGAGAGACATCTGGCAGCCCTGTCTGTTCCATTCCATGGTTTCTCATTAATAGAACCTACAAGGAAAATGAGCTGCAGTTATTCTTTCTTTCTTGTAAATATAGCATCTTGCAATGATTGCAGCACTTTGGATATTATCATGGCTTTATCTCCCTGGAATAATTTCTCATTTTCTATTTTGAGGTACATTGTTCTATTCTTCTGATCGAAGGACTTTCACTCATTTTGATTCTAGCAACACTATAAAATTAGAGGGAAAAAACTTCAGAAGTTGCAAAACAGTAATGCTGTGGCCTTGTTAAGTTAAGGGACATCACGCTGTTTACCCATTCACACATGCTTATTGATTTAACGTTTTGTAAATTTAGCTTTCTTCAGTCTCAGCTGATGTGTGGGTGCATATACCAACCAGACTGATATTTATGCCATAAGTGAGAAATGAGTTGATAATTTATGAGTGGTGAAACCTAAAGTCAGTTTTTCCCTCAGGAAAGGAAAAAAAACACATGCAGCACATCTTAGACAACTCTCTTCTTTGATTCTTTCATGAAAGTGCACACTTATTGATGGGGTAATTGGAAGAGGGAATTATGCATTTTGGTCAGCCAGCCCACATTTTCCTCTATGAATTATCTCTGAGAGAAATGTACCTGACTAACAGATTTCTTTTTCTTGCCTTTTCTCTGCATCTGTGCAGAGGTTGGGCCTACACTAATGAGGACGTCCTGGGAGTTTAGTGCCTACATATAGAATGTCTGAGGGTTAATACTAAGTGACTGGCCCATGAAGATGCCATGCTGAGGGTGGAGCTAGTAAAATACGTCTATGTAATGATTGATATATGAATACCTCCCCTCGTTCTATGCCTCTGTGCTTTACAAAAGAGTTCTCTGATATTGTTTTGTGTCCTTTTAAACAAGAGAAGTAGATTTGATCACAAAGGGCCCATGCTGTAATGGAGAGAAGGACATGTAAGTTTGGAGAAGAGAGGGTAGGGGAGAGTTGTTTTAATGCCCTCTGGGAAAAACATCCAAATAAACACACACACATGCATGCATACGCATGCATGCAAATACTCATTCTCACATACATGTGCTCAGAGATGAGAATGGGGAATACTAAAGTTAAAAAAATGTCAGCTGGTCAGTCTCTTCTCCTCCTCCTTATCCTCCTCACTCTCCTTGCATTTGGAGATGTCTATGGAAGCCCAAGGACATGTAAGCCAGGAAACTGATCAAAAGTACCAATGCTTGTGTCAAAAATTTCTTACCCCCACAGCAACATGAATCCTTCAGAGACCATGGGCTTTGATATAAGACTTAAACTGTTTTGACTTAGTTTTGCCACTGGTCATCCTAGGGGAGAGAAAGAAACAGAAGTCAGGAATTTGACTCAAATGCTAAAGCTGAAAAAAGAAGGAAAACTTGCAGGGTGCCACACAGCATTCATTGGTCCATAGCAATTCTGATAAACAGCCAGGAACCTGTCATTAATTTCTTAATAAATGCCCAATGCTGTTCCTTGGGAATGACGCTCTGCTTTTCATGGTTCTTTGTTCAAGTTAGCAGTGCTTCTACCAGAATAAGTCTCTCAAATATTCTGTGGATTCTCAATGAATCATATAAAGGTTCAATCCTTCTAAAAAAGGATTTTTTTTGAGACACAGTCTCATTCTGTCACCAAGGCTTGAGTGCAGTTGTGCAATCCTGGTTCACTGTAATTTGAACTCCTAGACTCAAACAATCCTCCCACCTCAGCCTCCCAAGTAGCTAGGACTGCAGGCTTGCTCCACTATGACTAGCTAATTTTAAAAAATTGTTTTGTAGAGACAGAGTCTCACTATGTTGCTCAGGCTGATCTTGAACTCTTGACATCAAGCAATCCTACTGCATTGGCCACCTAAAGTGCTGGGATTACAGGCATGAGCCACTGGGCCTGGCAAGAAAAGAACTTTTAAGAAAGCTACAACTTCAAATCTTTTAAGATAAGCTGTCTTCAACATTGGAGTCCTTATGAAGCTGCTGTGTGATAATCCCTTAAAATTCTAAGAAGCCCCATTGCTTAACAGAAAGGTTGTGAGGCACACCTTTAAGATCCTTAGAAGGACTTTCGTCTATTGAAAATAATCTATGGGGTCTCATCTTAAATCATTCTGAGGTCTTAACAAAATATTTTACAGGCCCATCCTGGATTTAACCTTTGTCTGAAAGCCATTTCTTAATTTAAGAACATTTTGCCAATTTTAAGACATTGAAATAAGACATAGTTTAATTTTCATATCTCACTTCTTTATAATTCCTCTAACTTTTGCTTGAAAATTAAATAGTTACTTTGTTAGCTTTCTATTTCTGTGTAACCAATTACCATACATTTAACAGCCTAAAGCAATACAAATGTATTATCTCATAGTTTCTATGGATCAGGAGTCCAGTATGCTTTAGCTGGATCTTCTGTTCATGGTCTTACAAGGCTGAAAGCAAGGTGTCAGCCAGCTGCAGCCTCATCTGGAGGCTCAACTGGGGAAAGATCTGCTTCCAAGCTCCCTCATTCAGGTTGATGACAGAAATGATTTCTTTGGACTGTATAACTAAGATTCCTATTTCTTGCTGCTTTCAGCTTTTACAGGACACTGTCAGGTTATTGTCATGCAATCCCCTTCATAGACCCTCTAGCCCTTCAAATCTTTTCACAAAATGGGACCAGGCCCTTTTAAGGGCTCACCTGATTGGGTAAAGAGCCCCCCTAGGATAATCTCCTTTTGATTAAATCAAAGTTAATGATAAGGGGCTTTAATTATGTTTTATATTTTAATTACATGCAAAATTCTTTTTTTCCATATAACCTAATTATGAGTGAAATACCAGGGGGTTGAGATGGTGGACGCCATCTTAGAATTCTGCCTACAACAAGATTTTGGTTCATCTGTTCTTCCATTTTACTACAGGCAGCTAAAAAATTCCAGGTAGCACCATCAATGTTCTACATGAAAACTTCCTTAGCTAGATCCTTAGTTTATTATATCTTTCTATTTTTTACATTCTGCTATTCTATAAGGTTCCCTTTTCTGCAGCTTCCAATAACATTTTCCTTAAGGCTGTTATACCTTCCCTGGGACCTCTTAGGCTTCCACTAACATTATTGGCAAGGCTCTTTAGGTTTCCACTACATTCTTCCAGTTTCCACCAATCATTTGGTCCCAAAGCCAATAATACATTTCAGTTTTGTTGTTGTTGTTGTTGTTGTTGGTGGTGGTGGTGTGTGTATGTGTGTGTGTGTTTGAGACAAGTTCTCACTCTGCCACCCAGAGGCTAGAGCACAGTGGCGTGGCCTGAGCTCACTGCAGCCTTGACCTCCTGGGCTCAAGTGATCCTCCCACCTCAGCCTCCCAAGTAGCTGGGACCACAGGTGTATAGCACCACACTTGGATAATTTTGTATTTTTTGTAGAGCTGTGGTTTTATCATGTTGTGCAGGCTGGTCTCAAACACCTGAGCTCAAGAGATCTGCCAGCCTCAGCCTCCCAAAGTGCTGGGATTACAGGCATGAGCCACCATGTCCAGCCTTAGGTTTTTCTTATGGCAGCAGTACCAAAAGCAGGCACAAGCACTAAAATCTGCATCAATTATACACAGCTGTGTAACAAGCCACTCTAAAACTTAGTGGTGTAAAACAACAACAATCATTTTTTTAGTTCACAAAACTGTCAAAATTCAGGCATAGGTCTGTGTCTATTGAACCAATTACTCTGATAAGAGGTGAAATTGCCCTGTAAGGTTAAAAATCTCAAGACTAGGAGTTCTGCTTTTTAGCCATGGAAAATTAGTTGTTTGGACCAAACTCCCCACTGAGAACTAGAAAAGCTGGAAGACACACACATACTCACACCAAGGCAGTTAGGATGTGTGGGGAAAATATCTTAGGGAGAAGATGAAAGCCCGAAGGTGAGTCTAGCATTTCTTGGCCCTATCCTTTGAAGAGAGATGGCATTCTTACAAGCAGTAGATGAGAAGCAGAGCAGAATTTTTAGCAGACACAGATCTAGGGCGCAACAACTAAAGTTCAAGGCTTAGCAAAGAGGAGGAATCTAGGTCTAAAGGAAAGTTGGAACTCCAGAGGGATATACACTGGGAGTATACTGGAAATATACGAGCCTCCCCAGACACTGAAATCCAATTTCAAATCATTTTAATTCTTAATTGCAAGGTAATCTGGAGGCCTTAACTCAAGGCTGACTTCCAGAAGTAAAAGAAAATTCTTTCTGAAGGAAGATAAGATTATCCAGAGCTTCAATTTTCTCTTCATTTTTCATATCCAGTGCATGGTATCCCATCAAAAACATTTGGGTATTTGAGAAAATATAACTTAACTACAAGCCAAAGTGACAAAATATATGATAGATGTTTATTACTTTATTTGATAGGTAGCAGATATGAACTTTAAAATAATATGTTCAAAGAACAGAATAGAGAATTTCAGCAGAGAAATAGAAATTTTGAAAGAATGACACAGATATGTTAGCTGCTAAATCCTAATATTAATAATAACTGACATTAAGTAGTCATTAACACATTTGACCTAATTGTCATACGCAGAACAGTGCACTTAACAACTGCACCATTTATTAAAAAGTGAACATATGCTATCCATAAGCTACTCTAACAAATTTCATAAGATTAAAATTAGAGAGTATATTCTCTGACTACAGTAGAACTGAGCTAAATATCAATAACAACAATCATTAAAAAATAGAAAATTCACATTTGGAAATTAAGCAACACACTTCTAAATAACCCATGTGACCCTGAAGAAATGATGATGGAAATTAGACTATGCTTGAACTGAATAATAATGAAAATAGTACATAATACATCTTGTGTGATGAAACTAAAGCAGTGCTTAGAGAGAAATAGACTTTAACATATATATTAGAAAAGTAAAGGGGCTTGAAATCAATGATCTAAGTATCTACCTCAAAAAATTGCAAAAATAAAATCAAATGAAACCCAAAGTAATTAGAAACAGAGAAATAATAACTGTAAGAGTGGGAATTATGTTTTTCAAAAGAAACATAAAAGAGAATTTACAAAGGCAAAGTTGATTCTTTGAAAAGACTACTAAATTTGGCCAGGCACAGTGGCTTATACCAGTAATCCCAGCACTTTCGGAGGCTGAAGCAGGAGGATCACTTGAGCCCAGGAGTTTGAGACCAGCCTGTGCAAAATGGTGAGACCTCATCTCTACAAAAAGTAAATCAGCCAGCAAGGTGGCACATGCCTGTAGTCCCAGCTACTCAGGAGGCTGAGATGGGAGGATTGCTTGAGCCCGCAAGGTCAAGGCTGCAGTGAACTGTGATGGCACCACTGCACTCCATCCTGGGTGACAAAAGAAGACTCTGTGTCAGAAGCAAAACAAAACAAAACTGGTAAACCTGATAAAACTCTGGGATAAATGGTGACTGAAAAAAAGAGAAAAGGCCCAAATAACCAATAATAGAAATGAAAAAGGGATATTACCACAGGTTCTTCTGATAAGTAAAAGGATATTATGAGGATATTAGAATTATGATAAGAGATTAAAATTTTTAAGAAATATGAAAAAATTCCCAGAACACACTGATTGCAACTGACACCAAAAGGTAGCAATTGACCAACTGATTCTAAAGTTTATATGGAAATAGAAAGGACTAATAAGACCTGAGGTAATCTTGAAGAAAAAGAGTAGTAGACTTAGAGGAGCCACACTACTGAATATCAATACATGTTATAAAGCTATTATAATCAAGATGATGGTATTGGCACAGGGAAAGACTACTAGAAAAATGGAAAAGAATAGGATCCAGCAAAAGACCTACACACATGTAGACATTTGATTCATGTGAAGGGTGGCATAGCAGAGAAGAAAGGAGAAGATGGTCTTGGAATAAATGGTGCTCAGTCAATTGGATATCCAAATGAAAAGGAAAACTGAGGAGTTGCTTCCAAGATGGCTAAATAGGAACAGCTCCAGTCTGTAGCTCCCAGCGAGACTGAGGCAGAAGATGGGTGATTTCTACAGTTCCAACCGAGGTACCTGGTTCATCTCATTGGGACTGCTTGGACAGTGGGTGCAGCCCACGGAGGGTGAGATGAAGCAGCGCGGGGCATCGCCTCACCCGGGAAGTGCAAGGGGTCGGGGGATTTCCCTTTCCTAGCCAAGGGAAGCCATGACAGACTGTACCTGGAGAAATGGTACACTTCTGACCAAATTCTGAGCTTTTCCCACAGTCTTACCAACTGGCAGACCGGGAGATACCCTCCCATACCTGGCTTGGCAGGTCCCACACACACGGAGCCTTGCTCACTGCTGGCACAGCAGTCTGAGATGCATTGCTGCAGCTTGATGTGGGGAGGGGCATCTGCCATTGCTGAGGCTTGAGTAGTTCACAGTGTAAACAAAGCAGTCTGGAAGTACAAACTGGGCAGAGCCCACCGCAGCTCAGCAAAGACTACTGCCTCTCTAGATTCCACCTCTAGGGGCAGGACATAGCAGAATAAAAGGCAGTAGACAGCTTCTGCAGACTTAAATGTCCCTGTCTGACAGCTCTGAAGATAGCAGTGGTTCCCTCAGCATGGCATTCGAGCTCTGAGAATGAACTATCTCCCGAAGTGGGTCTCTGACCCCCGTGTAGGCTGACTAGGAGACACCTCAGACAGGCAGGTGCCTCTCTGGGACGAAGTTTCCAGATGAAGGATCAGGCAGCAATATTTGCTATTCTGCAGCCTGTGCTGGTGATACCCAGGCAAACAGGGTCTGGAGTGGACCTCTAGCAAAGTCCAACAGACCTGCAGCTGAGGGTCCTGACTGTTAGAAGGACAACTAACAAACAGAAAGGAATACCATCAACATCAACTAAAAGGACATCCACACCAAAATCCCATCTGTAGTTCACCAACATCAAAGACCAAAGGTAGATAAAATCACAAAGATGGGGAGAAGCCAGAGCAGAAAAGCTGAAAATTCCAAAAAACAGAGCCTCTCTTCTCCTCCAAAGGATCACAGCTACTCGCCAGCAAGGGAACAAAACTGGACTGGACGGAGAATGAGTTTGATGAGTTGACAGAAGTAGGCTTCAGAAGGTCGGTAATAACAAACTTCACTGAGCTAAAGAAGAATGTTCTAACTCATCGCAAGGAAGCTAAAAACGTTGAAAAAAGGTTAGATGAATGGCTAACTAGAATAAACAGTGTAGAGAAGACCTTAAATGACCTGATGGAGCTGAAAACCACAGCATGAGAACTTCGTGACGCATGCAGAAGCTTCAGTGGTTAATTCGATCAAGTGGAAGAAAAGATATCAGTGACTGAAGATCAAATTAATGAAATAAAGTGAGAAGACAAGATTAGAGAAAAAAGAGTGAAAAGAAACGAACAAAGCTTCCAAGAAATATGGGACTATGTGAAAAGACCAAATATACATTTGATTGCTGTACTGGAAAGTGACAGGGAGAATGGAACGAAGTTAGAAAACACTCTTCAGGATATTATCTAGGAGAACTTCCCTAACCTAGCAAGGCAGGCCAACATTCAAATTCAGGAAATACAGAGAACACCAGAAAGATACTCCTTGAGAAGAGCAACCTCAAGACACATAAATGTCAGATTCACCAATGTTGAAATGAAGGAAAAAAGGTTAAGGGCAGCCAGAGAGAAAGGTCGAATTACCCACAAAGGGAAATCCATCAGACTAACAGCGTATCTCCCGGCAGAAATCCTACAAGCCAGAAGAGAGTGGGGGCCAATATGCAACATTCTTAAATAAAAGAATTTTCAACCCAGAATCTCACATCCAGCCAAACTAAGCTTCATAAGTGAAGGAGAAATAAAATCCTTTACAGACAAGCAAATGCTGAGAAATTTTGTCACCATCAGGCCTGCCCTAAAAGAGCTCCTGAAGGAAGCACTAAACAAAGAAAAGAATAACCGGTACCAGGCACTACAAAAACATGCCAAATGATAAAGACCATCAATGCTATGAAGAAGCTGCATCAATTAATGGGCAAAATAACCAGTGAACATCATAATGACAGCATCAAATTCACACATGACCATATTAACCTTAAATGTAAATGGACTAAATGCCCCAATTAAAAGACACAAACTGGCAAATTGGATGAAGAGTCAAGACCCATCAGTGTGCTGTATTCAGGAGACCCACCTCACGTGCAAAGATGCACATAGGCTCAAAATAAAGGCGTGGAGGAAGATCTACCAAGCAAATGGAAAGCAAAAAAAAAAAAAAAGCAGAGGTTGCAATCCTAGTCTCTGATAAAACAGACTTTAAACCAACAAAGATCAAAAGAGACAAAGAAGGCTACTACATAATGGTAAAGGAATCAATTCAATAAGAGGAGCTAACTATCCTAAATATATATGCACCCAATACAGGAGCACCCAGATTCATAAAGCAAGTCCTTAGAGACCTAAAAAGAGACTTATACTCCCACACAAAAATAATGGGAGACTTTAACTCCCCACTGTCAATATTAGACAGATCAATGAGACAGAAGGTTAACAAGGATATCCAGGACTTGAACTCAGCTCTGGACCAAGCAGACCTAATAGACATCTACAGAACTCTCCACCCCAAATCAACAGAATATACATTCTTCTCAGCACCATATCGCACTGATTCTAAAATTGACCACAGAATTGGAAGTAAAGCACTCCTCAGCAAATGTAAAAGAACAAAAATCACAACTATTGTGAATAGTGCCGCAATAAACATACATGTGCATGTGTCTTTATAGTAGCATGATTTATCATCCTTTGGGTATATACCCAGTAATGGGATGGCTGGGTCAAATGGTATTTCTAGTTCTAGATCTGGTCTATCATTGATGGACATGTGGGTTGGTTGCAAGTCTTTGCTGTTGTGAACAGTGAAGGGGATTAATGTCCTTATAAACAGGCTTGAGGGAGTCCTGTTGTCCATTCCCCACATGAGGATGTAGCAAGAAGATATCATCTGTGAGCAATGGACCTTCACCAGATACTGAATTTGTTGGTGCCTAGATCTTGGACTTCCCAGTCTCTAGAACTATGAGAAATAAATTTTTATTGATTATAAATTATCCATTCTAAGGTATTTTGGTATAGCAGCAAGAATGGACCAAGACAGAGACCCTTAAGCTCTGTTTGGATTCCCCCTTCCTGAGCTAAGACCTATAAACAGCCACCAGGCAGTAAGCTGGAGCAACTGAAAGGCTCATCTCGTTTTTTTTTTGCCTTCGTTCATGTATCTCATTCTTGCTTGGCCTGTTAGCCAATGTCTGAAAACCATAGTTTCTTGTATTTCCCCCAGTTTTCTAGTTCTTTATGGCCAGATGGCAGCATTAAAAGTGCAAATATTGGCTGGATGCAGTGGCTCATGCTTGAAGCACTTTGGGAGGCCAAGGCAGGAGGATCGTTTGAGCTCAGGAGTTTATGACCAGCCTAGTCAGCATGGTGAAACTGTCTCCACCAAAAATACAAAAATCAGCCAGGTGTGGTGGCATGTGCCTATAGTCCCAGCTACTCAGGAGGCAGAAGTGGGAGGATCACTTGAGCCTGGGAGGCGGAGGTTGCAGTGAGCCCAGATCAGGCCACTGCACTCCAGTGTGGGCAGCAGAGTGAGATCCTGTCTCCAAAAAAAAGTACAAATATTTTATTTGAATCCCATTTGCATTCCTGAAAATCTGGATTCACCAAGTCCTAGATGGAGCCCAGCCATCAGAATTTTGAAAAAACATATAAAGGTGATTCTGCAATGCACTTTCCCAGTTGCCAGTAACTAAAAAGAGGCCATCACTACTAATTGACAGCCTCTGATTCCCTATTTGCAATACTGATGGTCACATTTATACGCACACATGCACACACATGTGCATTTTCATTTAGCATATATTATCATTTCAATTATTACTTATTTTTACATGTTATTTTTAACCACATTGGGCATTGCAAACTATGAATATACATTTTAAAGTGAACATATATATATTCAACATTTTAAAGTACAAAGTCAAGCTGACTTGGTGAGCATGCTTAATTTTTAAAAAATGTTTGATATCTCTATATAAATGACATCTCCAAGGATTTTAAAGATATACTGATCTTTTAAGAAAACTGCTGAGCCTACTCACATCTGGATTCTGTAATCTGTAGCAAAGTTTTTAGATTATGCAAACACACATACCATAATTTGCATACATGTATAGGTTTTTGAATATTACAACAGCATAGCTAATGTTTATTGAGTACTTATGTGCCAGGCACTGAACTAAATTCTTTTTTTTTTTTTTAATTTGTGAGCATGGCCAGCTTTATATTTTTCGGCTGGTCTATGCCTCTATTTTTAAAATTTTATTTTTATTTTATTATACTTTAAGTTATAGGGTACATATGCACAACGTGCAGGTTTGTTACATATGTATACATGTGCCATGTTGGTGTACTGCACCCATTAACTCGTCATTTACATTAGGTATATCTCCTAATGCTATCCCTCCCCCCTGCCCCCACCAAATGACAGGCACTGGTGTGTAATGTTCCCCTTCCTGTGTCCAGGTGTTCTCATTGTTCAATTCCCACCTATGAGTGAGAACATGCGGTGTTTGATTTTTTGTCCTTGTGATAGTTTGCTGAGAATGATGGTTTCCAGCTTCATCCATGTCCCTACAAAGGACATGAACTCATCATTTCTTATGGCTGCATAGTATTCCATGGTGTATATGTGCCACATTTTCTTAATCCAGTCTATCACTGATGGACATTTGGGTTGGTTCCAAGTCTTTGTTATTGTGAATAGTGCCGCAGTAAACATACGTGTGCATGTGTCTTTATAGCAGCATGGTTTATAATCCTTTGGGTATATACCCAGTAATGGGATGGCTGGGTCAAATGGTATTTCTAGTTCTAGATCCTTGAGGAATCGCCACACTGTCTTCCACAATCGTTGAACTAGCTTACAGTCCCACCAACAGTGTAAAAGTGTTCCTATTTCTCCACATCCTCTCCAGCACCTGTTGTTTCCTGACTTTTTAATGACTGCCATTCTAACTGGTGTGAGATGGTATCTCATTGTGGTTTTGATTTGCATTTCTCTGATGGCCAGGGATGATGAGCATTTTTTCATTGTCTATTGGCTGCATAAATGTCTTCTTTTGAGAAGTGTCTGTTCATATCCTTCACCCACTTGTTGATGGGGTGGTTTGTTTTTTTCTTGTAAGTTTGTTTGAGTTCTTTGTAGATTCTGAATATTAGCCCTTTGTCAGATGAGTAGATTGCAAAAATTTTCTCCCATTCTGTAGGTTGCCTGTTCACTCTGATGGTAGTTTCTTTTGCTGTGCAGAAGCTCTTTAGTTTAATTAGATCCCATTTGTCAATTTTGGCTTTTGTTGCCATTGCTTTTGGTATTTTAGACATGAAATACTTGCCCATGCCTATGTCCTGAATGGTATTGCCTAGGTTTTCTTCTAGAGATTTTATGGTTTTAGGTCTAACATTTAAGTCTTTAATCCATCTTGAATTAGTTTTTGTATAAGGTGTAAGGAAGGGATCCAGTTTCAGCTTTCTACATATGGCTAGCCAGTTAACTAAATTCTTTATGTTGATTATATCTTTTGAAACTGAAACCACCACAAAAGGTAGGTCATTATCTCCTTTTATAGAGATTGGTATCTTGCCAGCTTCTACTCATGCCTCCTCATCCTTACAACAACTCTATGAGATAGGTATTATTATTATTGCCAACTTCCAGATAAGGGAGAGAGGCACAGAATGGTTAAGGCAACGAATCATTAGGCATATACAATAATATATACAATAATTATTGGGAAATGAAAAGATGTCAGAACCACAGATCAGCTCAGGTCTTTATGACTCCAAAATCTATGTTCACAATAACTGTGCTAAAAATAAAACACATGTAGAATCAGGAAATACTTATTTCTAAATATTTTGAAATAAGAAAGTAAAACAATGAAAGAATTTTGGCCATTTTTTCCTCAAATTAATAATATTTTTAAATAAGCCTTTTTTATGGAAAGTAGAGTGAAAACTTGGCAAATGGGAATTTTTCTAATGATAACCTTTTTCTCTCAGGTAAGCAATGACCTTTCAAGTCAATATTTACTACGATTGATTGAAATCTAAACATACAGTAAGTTCAACTGAAAAAGAAAGTTTTGGTATATCAAAGAACTTTGATGCAGATAAAGAAGAAAATTATTAATCCTGGGAGAGTCAGAACTTTGATCCCATGTTTACCCTCAAGTGAATGGTAGTGGACACATAACCAAAGAAAAGTCATTAAAATGAATCAGTGACTTCAGGAATCCCTTGGATCAATACATAGATCTCCCCATGTTTGTAAAAGTTCATTTATCTCTGTGCAAACTGGATGAGTTCTGTTCAGACATCTCACAATACCACACATTCTCTGTGCATTAAAGTCACAAAGGTGGAACTCAAGATAGTTCAGCCATCAGGTAACATATTGTCCCATCTCCAAAATAAATGTCTTTTATTAACTTTCACTAAAAACGGTAAGGCAATCTGTGCACATGTGCTTCAAAGACTACCATAAAAAGAAAGAGCAGGAGATGTTTTTCTATTGCTTCTGGGTTTTGTCTTTTGTTTTAAAGATATACTACTTTCTTCTCTTTTGCCCTTCTACACCCAGAAGCATTTGCCTATTTCATAAACACAAAGTTAAAGAAACTTGCATTAATGGACTCTACATGAATATAAATAATGTCCAGGTTTCCATAGCAAACACTTAGTGCTGTTCATCTTCTCTACCCCTTACAGCAACTGCAAAGTGAAAGTTAGACACCAGCCTGGAGGTCTAATGAGCACCTGTTTCTTGTACTCAGGATATAACTCAAGCTGCTGTAAAAACTGCATTTGTAAAAAATATGAGAAATGATAAACAAGCTCCTCTTCCCAGAGGCATAGTATAGTAGCTTATCCAAAGCTATTGCTTCATAAACAAATTCAACCCAATTGTCATCCCTTGGTGTCCCAGAGGAAAGCAGTACCTGCTTGGAAACAGGAGAACAGGCTCTGGCCCCTGGCTTTAGATCAACTTCCTGGCTTTAGAACCCAACACAAGGACCTACTGGCTGTATAATCTTGGGCAAGTCACTTAACCATTCTGTACCTCCCTTCCTTATATGGAAGCTGGGAATAATAATAATAATAATAATAATAATACCTATCTCATAGTATAGGTAAAGATGAGTAGGCATTTAAAAAATAGTATTCAGGGCTGGGTGCAGTGGCTCACATCTGTAATCCCAGCACTTTGGGAGGCCAAGATGGGCAGATCACCTGAGGTCAGGAGTTCGAGACCAGCCTGATCAACATGGTGAAACCCCATCTCTACTAAAAAAAATACAAAAATTAGCTGGGTGTGGTGGTACATGCCTGTAATTCCAGCTACTTGAGAGGCTAAGGCAGGAGAATTGCCTGGGAGGCAGAGGTTGCAGTGAGCCAAGATCGTGCCATTGCACTCCAGCCTAGGCAACAAGAGTGAAACTCCGTCTCAAAAACAAACAAACAAACAAACAAACAAAAAACATAGTATTCAGCTATTATTTGGCTGCTCCCATGGTTGTTGCATGGATGAATTCTCCCAAATACATATCCATTTTATTTGCAATAGGATAGATGACATCTGGTAGAGTTAAGAAATCTCCAGATTAATCATATTTGCAATATACCCTGGCTAATTCCATTCAACCTCAAGATCCTTTACAAATACCTCCTTCATGTAGACTCTTCCATGACTAACCTTGACCAAAAAAAATCATGTATATTTCTCCAAATTCTCAAAAATACCATAACTGTGGCTGGCCCATCCTTGTGATTTAACACATATTGTCTTGTATTCTCAATTATACTTCTTTTTATTTATGAATTGTCTTCCTAACAAGACTTTGAGCTACCCCAAAGTAGAAACTATGTGTAATTTCCTCCTTTCTTCCTCCCTTGTGATAGCAATAGTAATAATATTAATAATACTCTCTCATATCTTTAGCTAAGGCAATTCCCCATAAGGGCTGACAGCTGAAGGCTCTCTGCTGGCAGCACTCCCAACAGATAAATCCTTCACTCCTAAAGGGGGACCTGGTTGGTGCATTGAAACTTCCATTATAATATTAAATTAGTCGTAGATATAATAAGCATAAGATACTTTCTCACCTTAGGCAGAGATCTTCTGTATGTCCCTTTGTGATAGTGTCTGTGCAGACTTTTCTAGGGGAATAGATTGGATGACCTCTGTAGGTTGACATTGTTTATTATCAGCCCATAAATCAATGGCAGGTGGGAGGCTTTCCTGGGCAAGCCATTATGTTTCTAGTAAATACTAACGTCAATGTGAACCAAAAGATAGGTATCTATTTGAGTAACATGTTCAATTACAGGTTCAAGGAATCCCATTTATGGTTCTCTTCCCCAAACCAAACTTAAGAGACGCTGATGAAAAGCTCAGAGCTGGCACTGAAAATGTTAAAAATTAAGAAACTGTGAGAAACTCTTTGAGAAATAGAAGGTAGTTGGGTCTAGGGTAGGGTAGATAATGAGAAGCTCTCTAAAGCCCTGAATGAGGATAGGCTGGCAGATAATTTTTTAGTTGTGTTGTTTTGTCTCCCCAGCATTGCCCTGGGAAGATCACTGCCTTCTCTGCTATAATCACAGGATCAGAAGGATAATATCCTAAGAGTGTCCAAAGCTGCAGAGCTAAGTAACAAATAACAAAAGTGTAGATGGGCTAGCAGGTACCTGAGAATCTTGCTCCTCCTCAAACTATCCTATAGTTTGAGCAATGATAGTATCGTTGGATAAAAGCTATTCCTGGGAAGAGAAACTAAACTCTGAAGGTGGAGAAAATGCATACAGGGGTAGCTTAATCTTGTGTTTTAACACAAGGGCCTCTCCACCATAAGGCAGTCCCCCTGAATCACTTGGTATAACACTCCCTGTCTCCTAACTAACCTGGTGAAGAAGTAGCCAGGGTCAAAGAAGTTTTTGCTCCTCTCTCCAGGTAGACATTACTAACTGAATATACTAGTCATGGTCCCAGGGAGACGATGGGACCATTTTAATAATAAGACTATTTACAGTTAGGCAGTCAGCATATCACAGTATCTAAGTGCTAGTTACAGGCCTGAAAGGGGACAGAGAAGTAGGTACTATCAGAATCAAAAAAAAAGGAAGCCATTTGGAGAGGCCTGTCTTGATGGAATTCTGATCTTTAATCATTGACACAGCTGACAGCATAAGGAGAGAAGTGAGAGAATAAATACCCTTGACTTCACATTCTTCTCTCCCAATATTCTCCTCCTGGAGCTCCCCAGTGGCTGAATCCAATGGGAAGGCAGAGAGCAAGGGGGTTTATTGATGTTGTTTGTACAGGTCAGCCTCCAGGAGCACTGAGCAGGGTAGGAAGAATGGAGAGGGGATCTGGAGGGGTAAACAGAAGATCTCCAGAACACCAAGTTAGCAGATAATCCCAAGGGACAAATAATGAGATATCTTGTGAGCACAAACACTATAAAATAAAAGCAAATAATGAAAAACTTGCACCAAAAATAAGCAAAATGAAAGAAACAGACAAAAACTTAAATAAATCAGAAAATTCAGGGATAAGGGGGTATATCAGAAACACAAGGTGGAAAAAAAGCAATGATGAAAAATAGCCAATAGGACATTTGCCATGGAAATTAACACAACAAATGGATTTAACAGCAGGATAGATACAGTCAAAGAACAAATTAATGAACTAGAAGATTAGGCCAAGGAACTCTTCCAGAAGGTGCTGGGAAAGTATGACAAGATGAAGAGAATGAAATATTGGAGAAAAGTTAGTATCTATCTGGTGGCGCCCCAGATGCAGATTAAAACCAAAGAAACAAAATACACTTTAAGATATAATAATCAAGAGTCTCTCAGAATTGAATAAACATCACAAACTTCAGAAAGGCAGGATTTATAGTGCTGAAAAGGGCAGAGAAAAAAAACCCACCCTAAATACATTAAAGTGAAATTGTAAAACATTAAAGAAAAAGAAAATCAGATTTCTCAACTGCAAAACCGAATAGAAGACAAGTATATAATCTTTTTAAAGTACCAAAGGAAAACAACTTTCAACCTTGAATTTTATAATCAGCTAATCTATTACTTAAATGTAACAATGAGATAAAAATATTATCAGGTATACATGTCTCAGAAAGTTTACTACACCAACACTCTCTTTCACAAAACACTTTGAGTATGTATTCTAGCAAGAAGAGAAATTAGTACAGAAGGAGGCAACAAAATATGGAAAGAAAGGATAAATATATAGTAAGATTTATTTTTGTTTAGATTGTCTTGGCCAAGACAAACAAAAAAACTATATCCATAATCATCCAGAAGTAAAATGTTAGCTGATACTCATATGGTGGGGGTGTGCATGGGAAGGTATCAAAGAGAAGGGAATGACAATATGCTAAATTTCCTGACTTCCTTGGGAGGAAACATAGTTTCTGACTATCTATGATATTGATAGATAAAAGATAAGCATAAAAGAGAATTTAATAAATTAGCATTAACTATCTTGAGAAGAGTAATCATCTTTTAATTTTTATTTTTGAATTATGGCTACATTTTAGTTGTACATATTTATAGAGTATATGTGATACTTTGCTACACACATACAATGTATAATAATCGTATTACTCCATTTTTATGCTGCTGATAAGGACATACCTGATACTGAGAAGAAAAAGAGGTTTAATTTAATTGGATTTACCATTCCACATGGCTGGGGAGGCCTCAGAATCATGGCAGGAGGTGAAAGGCACTTCTTACACAGCAGCAGCAAGAGAAAATGAGGAGTAAGCAAAAGCAGGAGCCCCTGATAAACCCATCAGATCTTGTGAGACTTATTCACTATCACAAGAATAGCACAGGAAAGACCGGCCCCCATGATTCAATTACCTCTCCTAGGGTCCCTCCCACAACACAGGGGAATTCTGGGAGATACAATTCAAGTTGAGATTTGAATGGGGACACAGCCAAACCATATCAATAATAAAATCAGAGCAATCTGGATATCCATCACCTCAATAATTTATTTCTTTGTGTTAAGAATATTCCAATTCCACTTTTTAAAGCTAATTTGAAATATACAATAAGTTATTGTTAACTATGATTACCTATTGTGCTTCTTCACGCTAGATCTTGCTCCTTCTATGTAACTGTATTTTTGTACCCACTTACCATCCCCTCTTTAACCTCCCTATTACCTTTTCAGGTCTCTAGTAGCCATCATTCAAGAACAGTAATAGATTTTTAATGTTCAAACACAAGAAGACAATTGTAATCTATCCAATGGAAGACAGGAAACAAACAACAACAAAAAAAGAATTTTTGTAAATCAGAAATCTATGTAAATGGAGCAAACTAATTGCAGATTTTTAGACTGGATTTAGGGGTAAAATCCAGTAATAAATTGTTTACAACAGAACCATTTATTTATTTATTTATGAGATATAGTCTCACTCTGTCACCCAGGCTGGAGTACAGTGGATTGATCTTGGCTTACTGCAACCTCCACCTCCCAGGTTCAAGTGATTCTCCTGCCTCAGCCTCCTGAGTA
Organism: Homo sapiens; assembly: GCF_000001405.40. Lineage (NCBI taxonomy): Eukaryota > Metazoa > Chordata > Mammalia > Primates > Hominidae > Homo > Homo sapiens. The sequence continues at coordinate 104,070,513 of NC_000007.14, forward strand.
GCTGGAACTACAGGCATGTGCCACCATGCCTGGCTAATTTTTGTATTTTTAGTAGAGACAGGGTTTCACCATGTTGGCCAGGCTGGTCTCGAACTCCTGGCCACAGGTGATCCCCTCGTCTCAGCCTCCCAAAGTGCTGGGATTATAGATGTGAGCCACCATGCTCTGCCAACAAATCAGTTTAAATTGACCTCAGATTCAGTTTCCACTGACACACACATAAAAAGAAGAAAAATAAATTGACTTCAGATATGGTTAAATGAGAAAAAAATGAGATAATTTTAATAAATGGGGAAAATCATTTGATAAACTTTACCTATATTTTCTGATGCAGGAGCAACGCAAATAAAACAGAATAGAGATTGTAGCAATCAATCCACAAATATATAAGAACTCTATACACAATAGTGATAACATTATAAGTAGTAAAAAAGCAAGAATCATTTAGTAGATGGAGTTAGAATATATATAGAAAAATAGGTGATGGCTTAAGAATAATTTAGTAGAGGTTATTTCACTACATAGAGAACAACAAGGATGCTCTCTATGTTGAACTATATTAATTAGAATTGGGTTTATATACATTTAACAAAAAAAGTGGCAATGGTTTAAACAAGGGAGAAGCTTATTTCTCTCTCCTGTAAGAGAAGTCCAGAGGTAGGATTAAAGGCTGGAATTGTAACTCTATAGTGTCATCAAATCCTTCCCATCTTTCTGTTCAGCCACACTCAGCATATAGCACCCACCCTCAAGGTCCTTCCATGGCCCAAGATGATTGCTGATACTCCAGACATTATTTCAGCAGTCTAGGTTGGTAGTAAAAAGAATCAAGGAGAGAGAAGGAGGAACTTATATTCTCCATTTTAAAGAATCTTCCCAGGAATAACTATAGTACATATTTCAGAGAGTTGCTGTGAGGTATGAACACAAGTTCTTGGTCCATTTCCTGGCCATAGAAATGTTAGCTATTATTGTTGTTGTTGAGAATTCAGGCACAAACAGTAATTACAATTCAGTGTAGTAAATGTCTGGTAGGTGATACAGGCACAGAAAAGGACCCTGTGTGTTAGGGAAGGCTCTATACAGGAGGTCATAGTGAGAGGTGACAGTGTGCTGGCAATCCTCACAGCCCTCGCTCGCTCTCGGTGCCTCCTCTGTTGGGCTCCCACTTTGGCGGCACTTGAGGAGCCCTTCAGCCCGCGGCTGCACTGTGGGAGCCCCTTTCTGGGCTGGTCAAGGCCGGAGCCCGCTCCCTCAGCTTGCGGGGAGGTGTACAGGGAGAGGCGTGGGCAGGAACCGGGGCTGTGCCTGGTGCTTGCAGGCCAGCGCAAGTTCCGGGTGGACATGGGCTCCGCGGACCCGGGCGGACCCGGCACTCGGAGCAGCCAGCCGGCCCCACCGGCCCCGGGCAGTGAGGGGCTTAGCACCTGGGCCAGCAGCTGCTGTGCTCAATTTCTCGCCAGGCCTTAGCTGCCTTCCAGTGGAGCAGGGCTTGGGACCTGCAGCCCGCCATGCCTAAGCCTCCCCGCCCCACCCACCGTGGGCTCCTGTGCGGCCCCAGCCTCCCTGGTGAGCACTGCCCAGTGCTCCACAGCGCCCAGTCCCATCGACCACCCAAGGGCTGAGGAGCGCAGGTGCACAGCGCGGGACTGGCAGGCAGCTCCACCTGCAGCCCCAGTGCGGAATCCACTGGGTGAAGCCAGCTGGGCTCCTGAGTCTGGTGTGGACATGGAGAACCTTTATGTCTAGCTAAGGGATTGTAAATACACCAATCGGCACTCTGTATCTAGCTCAAGGTTTGTAAACACACCAATCAGCACCCTGTGTCTAGCTCAGGGTTTGTGAATGCACCAATCAACACTCTGTATCTAGCTACTCTGGTGGGGACTTGGAGAACCTTTGCGTGGACACTCTGTATCTAGCTAATCTGGTGGGGATGTGGAGAACCTTTGTGTCTAGCTCAGGGATTGTAAACGCACCAAATCAGTGCCCTGTCAAAACAGACCACTCGGCTCTACCAATCAGCAGGATGTGGGTGGGGCCAGATAAAAGAATAAAAGCAGGCTGCCCAAGCCAGCAGTGGCAACCTGCTCGGGTCCCCTTCCACAGTGTGGAAGCTTTGTTTTTACGCTCCTTGCAATAAATCTTACTGCTGCTCACTCTTTGGGTCCACACTGCCTTTATGAGCTGTAACACTCACTGCGAAGGTCTGCAGCTTCACTCCTGAAACCAGCGAGACCACGAACCCACCAGAAGGAACGAACAACTGCAGACGCGCCGCCTTAAGAGCTGTAACACTCACCGCGAAGGTCCTCAGCTTCGCTCCCGAGCCAGCGAGACCACGAACCCACCAGAAGGAAGAAACTCCTAACACAACTGAACATCAGAAGGAACAAACTCCGGACACGCCGCCTTTAAGAACTGTAACACTCACCGCGAGGGTCCGCGGCTTCATTCTTGAAGTCAGTGAGACCAAGAACCCACCAATTCCAGACACAATAGTTAGGCTGTGTCTTGAAGTATGAGTAAGAGTTCACCTACAAAGAGAAAAATTAACCGCTAGTTAGAAGAAACAGCACATTTACTGGTGTGATCATTAGAAAAGTGTGGAGTATTCAGGGGATGTTGAGAAGTTCAATGTGGCTAGGTTCATGGGCATGTGTCCAAGTTCAGGAGGCGCCCTGGGGCCTTCTCTGCCATATCCTTGAGCAATGGGAATAGAAAACCAGCAGAAAAGAACTTCAGCTTGTGAGTGACACAATTATACTTGTATTGTATTGCATTTTCTGTTCCCTTATCCCCCAGATTCACATGAATAAAACTGTGATTATGCTTCTTTCAAAAAAAAAAAAAAATCTTCCCAAGGGTTTTATGCATACTTTTGTTTATATCAAATAGATGACATTTAAGTAAAATGGCCTCACCTAGCTGTAAGAGAGTCCAGGAAATGAGTCTTTATTATGGGCAACAATATGTTCATCTAAAAACTGAGGTTCTACGCCAAAAAAAAATAATAATAATAAATATGTAGAGGGAACTAGACAGTATTAACTACAAAAAAAAAAGCTCCAAATTGGTTAAAGACCTAAATATGAGAGGTACAATCATAGAGCCAATTAAATTAATAATATAAAGCTAAGAAAATAAAATGTAGAAGACACTTGTAAAATGTATAAAAACATCTTTGTAATACCCGGGGTTGAATTTCAGAAATGAAACATAAGAAACCAAAACCGTAAGAGGAAAATGGGTAGATTATATTACAACGGAAGTAAAGATTTCTGTTTAATGAAGGACAATATAAATCAAGTTTCCCACAGAGGAGGTGACAGCCTGGAAAAGGTTTTTTGCAAGACCTTAAACCAACAAGGGATTAATGTCTAGAAGATACAAAGAACTAAAATTATCAAGAAAAAATAGCTGTATTTTATAACAAGGTCTCTAAAGAGGTGAGTGAGTTAAAGTGAGGCTGCTAGGGTGGGATCCTAACAAAAAAGATGCTCTTATGTCAGAGATGAGGTTTTCCCCAGCAAGAGTCTAGGAGTACAGATTTATTCACATGGTAGGACACTGGTGAATGCCAATAAGCTAAGGACCAGCCACTGAGACAGGTAATAGATGTGCAGGGAACCGGTTATATGGAGATTGTATAGTAAGGTGAGGATTCCAGTTCACAAGAGACTGGGGTTCCAAGCAACGGCAGAGCTGGATCAAAGCAACTCTGCCTTGATACTAAGCTCACAAACATCTTCCACTCTTTCCTTTTGTTCCCTACCCTCTCATATACACCACATATTCCCCTAGCCTTCCTCAACTCTATCCCAAGTACCTAAGACCAAAATTGTTCTTAAAAACCTACAAAAGGAGGTTCCTAAGTGAGTATAAGGCCTAACAATTACCAGAACTCAGAGGTGACTCATGGAGGCAAAATCAAAAATCCTTAACCTCATTATGAACTGGCTTCCAAAGCGAAATGAACCAGAATGAACTTATTAGGCACAGTAAGTTTGAAGTCAGAAACTTTGCTCTAACCTGAAAAAGGTAGATTGTCAGAGTTCAAAGGAACCTTACATATTACCTGCTTTATAAACCATTTTGTCATCCATTTATTCAACAACTATTTCCTGAGCACCTACAATGTTTCTGGCATGGTGTGGCACTCTGGGGATTCACTGATGAGTCAAAACAGATTGGTTTCTGCCCTTGCCAAGCATGTCTAGTGGTGGAGATAAACAAAGCTCCTCCTTGCCTCTTGAGCTTTCACAAATGCTATTTCTTCACAAATGCCTGGAAGAATCTTTAAGTGAAAACTTCCTTCCCAAACTTTAGGTTGTGGTTTGGGCCAGGTCTCGTGGCTCATGCCTGTAATACCAACACTTTGGGAGGCTGAGGTTGGCAGATCACTTGAGGCCAGCAGTTTGAGACCAGCCTCGCCAACATTGTGGAACTCCGTCTCTACTAAAAGTACAAAAATTAACTGGGTGTGGTGGCCAGCTACTTGGGAGGCTGAGGCATGAGAGTCACTTGAACCCAGGAGGTGGTGGCTGCTGTGGGCCGAGATCGTGCCACTGCACTCTAGCCTGGGCAACAGAGTGAGACTCTGCCTCAAAGAAAGAAACAAACAAAAACAACTTTAGGTTGTGGTCTGAATGTTAACCTCCCCAGAGAGGCTTGTCCCAACAACTTTGTCCAAAGTAGGTGCTCCTGTGCACTGGCATTGCTCTCTATCACGGCACCCTGTTCATATCGTTCATAGCACTTATCACTATTTGTTACTGTATGTTTATTGACTTGCTTTGTTCAATGCCAAAAGTTTTCAGACGGGAAACTGAGGTCCAAAGAAGTAAGTGGACATTCAGCAACTCATCAAAATCTGAATGAAAACTCAAATTGTCTAAGTACATGAAAACTTTAAGAAACTGCACAACTTCTCTGAATCTCAGTTTACCTATCTTTAAAATGTGGTCAGTAATTATCCTGCCAAGGGAATCAGGCCAGAAAAAAAACAAAATAAAATGTGTCCAGATTGGAAACGAAGAAATAAAACTATCTCTGTTTTACATCATATAGGTGGCATGATCTTGTGTACAGAAAATACTAAGAAATCCACACATGGAAAATAAAAGCAAAACCATTACAGCTAATAAACAAGCTTAGCAAGGTTGCAGCATACAAAATCAATGTACAAAAATCAGTAGTATTTATATACATAAATGAATAATTGGAAAAAGAAATTAAGAAAATAATTTCATTTACATTAACATCAGAGAGATTCAAATACCTAGGAATAAATGTAACCAAGGAGGGGCAGGAATTATATATCATAAGCTACAAAATATTGTTGACATAAATTAAAAGAAAACCTAGATAAAAGAAAAGACAGTCCATGTTCATGGATTGGAACACTTAATATTGTTAAGATGGCAATTCTACAGATTCAATTTATCTCCAGATTCAAAACAATTGTTATGAAAATCTTAGCTGGCTCCCCAAGCAATTTTGAAAAAAAGAGCAAAGTTGTAGAACACACACTTTCCATTTCAAATCTTTTATAAAATTACTGTCATCATTGGTATATGTATATTTATAGACACAGATCAATGAATAGGATAGGGAGTTCAGAAATAAGCCATGCATTTATGGTCAACTGATTTTGGGCAAGGATGTCAAGAAAATTCAATGTGGGGAAACAACAGTTTTTCAACAAATTGTGTTGAGACAACTGGATATTAACATACGAAAGAATCAAGTTAGACCCCTATCTCATACCATATACAAAAATTAACACAAAATTAATTATAGACCCTAAATGTAAACGCTAAAACTATAAAACTCTTAGAAGAAAACATAATGATAAATCTTGGTGACCCTGGATCAGGCAATAATTTCTTACATATGTCACCAAAACAACAAACCACAAAAGAAAAAATAGATAGATTGAACATTATTAAACACTTGTCTTTCAAAGGATAGCATCAATAAAATAAAAATGCAGCTCAGATAATAAAATATTTGCAAATCATGTCTAATGGGTTTGATATTCAGAATATATTTTAAAAACTCTTATAGCTCAACAGTAAAAAGACAAATAACCTAATTTTAAAACAAGCAAAAGATTTAGATAGATCTTTGTCCAAAGAAGATATATAAATGGCCAATAAATACATGAAAAGATCCTCAGCATCATTAGTCATTAGGGAAATGCATGTCAAAACTACAATGAGACACTGCTTCAGACACATTAAGATGGCTCTAAGAGAAAAGATGGCAATTACAAGTATTGGTGAGAATATGGAGAAATTGGAACCCTCATATCTTGCTGGTGGAAATGTAAAATGGTTAAGCTGCTTTGGAAAATAGTTTAATGTTCCTCAAAAGATTACACATAGTTATGTCCCAGCAATTCACATATGGTTATATATTCAAGAGTTGAAAACATAATGTTCACACAAAAATTTATGTATGAATGTTCACAGTAACATTATTTGTAGTAGCCAAAAGTAAAATCAATACAAACGTTCAGCAGCTCATGAATGGATAAACAAAATGTGGCATATCCAATCAATGGAATGTTATTCAGCTATAAAAAGGAATGCTTTATGCTCAACCTTCCATCTCCCACAGCCATGATCATGGAATATCTAATAGAACAGACACATTTTTATAAAATTCTACCTCCTGGCCTCCATCTATTGTTTCCTATTAATCACTACAAATTGGGATCCTTCTCCAAGATTTTAAACTTTGGAACAGATTTAAGAAGTAGTCAATCCCTCATTCATGTTAGAAGCCATAAGAATTAAACCTAAATTAAAATCAGAAGCTGTTACATACTATGGGAGGACAGCCAGTGTGCTTTGAGAGGCAAACTAAGCTGATCTCAGGAAGCAGGAGTGCAAAACAAAGAACATGTCCTGGGGACATCCAAGTCCTGATTCCAGACTTTCTGGATGCCAGATGCATCTGGGACCTTCCCACAGGTTTGGTTGTCCAACCTTTCCTTGGGTTCCGTCAAGCAGTAAGTTGCCTCTCTGCATAAATTAATTCTATCACTGGCAACCACACTAAGGACACTTGAACACTGCAAAGTTTATTGTCAATAACCATAATCTCCGGTTATAAAAAAGAAAATGGAACCAAGAGCTAACATTTATGGAGTCCTTACTCTGTCAGACACCATTTTAAGTGGTTTAATGTGTCTTAATTAATCCTCACAACAATCTTATGAGGTAGGGGCTATTCTTTTCCTGTTTTATAGATGAAGAAACTGAGGCACAGAAAGGATAGAAACTTATCCATGGTCACGGAGCTAGTGTGTGCCTTGAATAAGTTAGCAATGTCAGTATTCTTAATCATTGTACTATATTGCCTTACATTGGGTAAAACAATATATATATGTAAATTATTACTATTATTTGGAAGAAATTGACATAGGAAGTTGCCATGTTATGACTAAATAACTTCTGAGATGTGGATTTCCTTTACACAGCAATATCTCATAAAGAAACTTTCAAGAACTATCCATGGCATTGGGTACTTTTGACGTATATTTTACATTTTCTGCCTTTAAATATTTCCATTTATTACCTGAATCCAAATTAACCCATATAGTGGCCTCAGTTATCATGGATGACTGATAAACAGTATTTTGGCTTACATAGCCACAGAGCTGCAAAAAAAGTCTCTCTCTGTTATGCTTCCAAAGAAAGATATATTCATATTCTGATGTTGTTATTATCAGGAGAGTCAGTAAATGATCTACACAGAGTTCACACTAGAGACGTTGACAGTGTATGATCCCATCATCTGAGATGCGTGTAGGTTCTGCTATTGCAGCTGTAAATCAGAAAGACAACACTTGTGCTGCCTGGTTCTCCTTGCAAGATATCTCTAAATTAAAGTTAAACTCATAAACTGCTTTCTTGAGATGATCAGAAAATCAGATTCTGGGGAATCCAATGCTTACCCAATTTATCCCCAGCAGAGGTTGGAAAGTTGTACATTAAGTCTTTCCTGTCTTTCCTCTCAGCCCTCCTTGCTGAAGGAACAGAAAGTATCAACTTTCTGTAAAAAAAAAAAAAAAAAAAGCAGCAGCACTTAGGGGAGAGAGGTTTCTTCTTCTGGGCTGTTCAATCCCCTGTGTCTGATTTCCTACAGAGTGTTAATTATCAGTAGAAACTTGTTAGATGAAGTCTGTGCATTGGGCATCTTTGTGGGAGAAACAGAAATGAAATTACCACTTCATTTCACATAAATATCAAGCAGTCACTAAGAAGGCAAGAACCAGTACCAACTTCAGATATGAACTGGTGACTTCCAGGGAGCATGCTGGCTTTAGATGTAAGTTAAGCTGGATGCTGGGATGGGTGAGGAAACCAAGCTAGCCAGAAAATAGCTCCTGCTTGTGCTAGATAATATCTGCAATTCCATGGTGTGAGTTTCACTCCTTAGTTTAAGACTTTCCTAGGTTATTAAATTGCAATTAATCTAAGGAAGGGAGATATCTTAAATCTTATCAGTTTCTTGTATGTTATTGTGAATGAGTTTCAGATCCTATTCCGTGAGTAAATTTTAGAAACGGAGAGAATTAGAACAGAATTAGGAAGAGAGACAAGGGCAAGAGCTTGGAAGAAACCCAAGTTGTCTCAATTCCTGCTTTGCAGTGCTGGCTCTGACTTGTCAGTCTTTTGCTGGACCACTCAGTCACCCGATCCCAAAGGGAACCAGAAAGCCCTCAACTACTCCACAGGAGGCATTGGGAAGAATTTTGTGGTTAAGAGGAAATCACAGCCCCCTCCCCCCGACAGGTTGGTAACACCTAGTTAGGTCATAAGCCAACATATTTGGTCAACTATAATGGAGTAACTATTTGGGGCAATGTTCTGTTTGAAGGTGGTGAAGGAAGAAGACCGAAATGAAATACAAATAAAAGTAGTTGTCCTTGTCCTTTGATAATACAGTAAGAAAAATCATGGAACATAGAAAACAAATAACAATAATGCAAAGCAACATGTCTGATGGTACAAATGTATAACATAGAGGCAGTGTATATAAGTGAAAATTGAACCTGAGCAGGATTGGTTACAGAAGACTCTTCTGAAGAGATTAGAGCCCCATCAGAAGCTAATGTCAGTCACAAAGGAGAGGGCATTCCCAGGATTTTTTTTTTCTTTTTGGTAGAGAAGAAGTCTTGCTGTGTTGCCCAGGCTGGTCTTCAACTCCTGGCCTCAAGCAATTCTCCTGTCTTGGCCTCCCAAACTGTTGGGATTACAGGCATGAGCCACCACTCCTGGCTTCCGGGAATTAAAAAAAAAAAAAACAAAACTACCCAACATGTACACATGAGAGTAGACATTGGTTATATGGGCCTCAATTACCCTGTTAGAGAAGCGGCAATTCTTCAATGAAACAAACTGTTCTTGCTGTCACTGAAAGTACTAATATAGCTATGGATTGTAGCTGTGAAAAGTTTTCCTAAATCTCCCTTCATCTGTGATCTCATTATACCCAGTACACATCCTTTAGTTTGCACTAAAAGATTATGATGATTTGTTTATGGCTATTTTCCTTAAGAGTTTGGAAGTTCCTGAAATGCTAGGATCACGTCTTATTCATCCTAGTAACCCCAATACCTGACACAGGGTATGATACATAGGTAGCACTCAATAATAATCATCGATATTTATTGAGCCCCTGCAAGATGCCAGGTAGGATAGAGTGGTGAACAAGATAGATGGGACTCCTGTTCTCATGCAGGTAATGTGCAATACCAGTCAGTGCATAGGTAAATGGGTGAAGCACTGAATGGATGTATGTTTGTGTTTTCAGGTACTGCAGTTGCTGTCAGGACATTAAAAAGTCTGTAAGGCCCTTTTTACTCCTTGAAAGGGATAAAACGCCTTTGCTGAAAACTTCTCTTTGTCATACTGATAAAGGTTCCACAGAGACACAAAGCTTCATCCTCCAGGAGAAAGCTTTGTGGCTGGATGAGCCAGAAGGAGGCTACCAGGGATAGACGGACTGGCAGGATGACAGAGTTCAGGTAAACAGTCCACCAGCTGAAAGCACCGAGAGAGCCTCTTCATCAGTGGTAAGGAGGTTTGTCTATACAATACTTCACATGAACTCTCTATTCTCACCAGTTCCTGATTCAGTCAGCCCATCAATCCTATTTATAAGATGTCTAATACTTACATGCTGTTCCTCTCAAGAATCCCATGGTATGAATTTCTAGCTAAGTCTGATGTTTCTGTTCTTACTCTCCGAAGACTGCTCTGATGCATTTTTTTCACGAGAAGCTTGGAAAACAAAGTTAGCTATCAAAATAATAGGTCTCAACAATTCATCATCTAATCCTAAGTGGCCCTGAAATTTTTCTAAAAAGAATTCAGATTGGGCAGTAACGCATGTCTTAAATTTGTAAAATGGAAGAATGAGGGTAGAAATTTGATTCATCCTAAAATAATGGTTTTGTATTTCTCACAATTTATTGGTGATAGATGCTTCAAGTCCTAGAAATGCAGAATTTTAAAATAGTAACCATTAACATCTGTATAGCATTTTACAAATTAAGTCTCACAAACAACCCATAAGGGAAATAAGGAAGGAATTCGCCATGAGACAAATAATGAAACTTTAGATTTTTTCTAATGTTTTCTAATATTTTTCTCCAATTTTATTTTATGAAAAATTTCAAATGCAATAAAATTGAAAGAAAAGAACATTAGACACCCAGGTACCCATCACCTAAACTGAAATGTTGCCAATATTTTGCTAACTTTGCTTTATCTATACATTTATTAAAATATTTCTTTTTTGCTGAACCATTTGCAACTAAGCTGCAAATATCATAAATGTTATCCCTAAATGTTTCAGAATGCATCAATTAAAAATAATGATTTTTATAATGATAATTTCATTTTTACCCTAAGAAAATTGGCGCTTATTCCCTAACATCATCTAATATTTAAACCATATCTAAATTGCTTCAATTGTCTTACAATGTTCTTTTTTGTTTTTTGTTTTAATTGAGACACAGTTCACATACTGTAATGGACACCCTTTCAAAGTATAAAATTTACTGGTGTTAGTATACTCCATGACCACTATCTAATTCCAGAACATTTTCATCACGCAAGGAAATCTTTACCCACTCATTAGCAGTCACTCTTCATTCCCTCCTGCCCTCAGCCCCTGCCAATCACTAGTTTACTTTCTATCTCTATGGACTTGCTTATTCTGTACATTTCACATAAATGGAACCATACAATATGTGTCCTTTATGTCTGGCTTCTTTCACTGAACATAATGTTTTCAAGGTTCATCCGTATTGTAGAATGTATTTTGCCACTAAAAGTAATGACAAAAATGCAAATACTTTTGCACCAACCTAATAGCACTCCATTTCTTGTTATGGCTGAATGAGATTCCATTTCATGGCTATATCATATTTTCTTTATCCATCCATTCATTAGTTGGCAGAAAATTTGAGTTGATCCCATTGCTATGAACATTCATGTACAACTTTTTGTGTGGACACGTTTTCAACTCTCTTGAATATGCATATATCTAGGAGTGAAATTTCTGGTATATATGGTAACTCCATGTTTAATATTTTAATGAAGTGCCAAGGGTTTTTCAAATGGCTGCATCATTTCACATACCCACCAGCAATGTATGACAGTTCCAATTTCTCTGGGTTCAGTGTACACTGCTCGGGTTATGGGTACACCAAAATCTCACAAATAACAACTAAAGAACTTACTTATATAATCTAATACCACTTCTTCCCTAAAAACCTATGGAAATAATTTTAAAAATAAATAAAAATCAAATGAAATCATAAAAAAGAAAGGGTTCCAGTTTCCCCATATCTTCATGAACACATGTTATCGTATATCTTTTTTTTTTTTTTTTTTTTTTTTGAGACGGAGTCTCGCTCTGTCGCCCAGGCCGGACTGCGGACTGCAGTGGCGCAATCTCGGCTCAATGCAAGCTCCGCTTCCCGGGTTCACGCCATTCTCCTGCCTCAGCCTCCCGAGTAGCTGGGACTACAGGCGCCCGCCACCGCGCCCGGCTAATTTTTTGTATTTTTAGTAGAGACGGGGTTTCACCTTGTTAGCCAGGATGGTCTCGATCTCCTGACCTCATGATCCACCCGCCTCGGCCTCCCAAAGTGCTGGGATTACAGGCGTGAGCCACCGCGCCTGGCCCGTATATCTTTTTTATTATTGCCATGATAATGGTGTAAAGTAGTATCTCATTATGGTTTCGACATGCATTTTCCTAATGATGAATGAAGCTGAGAATTGTTTCATGTACTCATTGACCGTTTATATACTTTCTTTAGAGAAAGCCTATTCAAATCCTTTGCTCATTTTAAAATGAGGTTGCCTTGATTTTATACCTAGAAAATCCCATCATCTCAGCCCAAAAGCTTCTTAAGCTGATAAGAAACTTTAGCAAAGTCTCAAGACACAAAATCAATGTGCAAAAATCACTAGCATTCCTATACACCAACAACAGGCAAGCAGAGAGCCAAGTCATAAATGAACTCCTATTTACAATTACTACAAAAAGAATAAAATACCTAGGAATATAGCTAACAAGGGAAGTGAAATCAGAGAGGACACAAATGGAAAAACATTCCATGCTCATAGATAACAATATCACGAAAATGGCCATACTACCCGAAGTAATTTATAGGTTCAATGCTATTCCCATTAAACTATCATTGACATTCTTTACATAATTAGAAGAAACAATTTTAAAATTCCAAAAAAGAGCCTGAATAGTGAAGACAATCCTAAGCAAAAAGAACAAAGCTGGAGGCATCACATTACCTGGCTTCAAACTATACTTTAAGGCTACAGAAAACAAAACAGCATGGTACTGATACAAAAACTGACACATAGATGAATGGAACCGAATAGAGAACTCAGAAATAAGACTGCACACCTACAACCATCTGCTCTTCAACAAACCTGACAAAAACAAGAAAGGGGAAATGACTTCCTATTTAATAAATGGTGCTTGGAGAACTTGCTAGCCATATGCAGAAAATTGAAACTGGACCTCTTTCTTATACCTTATACAAAAATTAATTCAAGATGAATTAAAGACTTAAATGTAAAACCCAAAACTGTAAAAACCCTGGGAGAAAATCTAGACAATAACATTCAGGACATAGGCATGGGCAAAGATTTTATGATGTAAATGTCAAAAGCATTTGTAACAAAAGCAAAAATTGACAAAGGGGATCTAATTCAATGAAAGAGCTTCTGCATAGCAAAAGAAACTATCATCAGAGTGAACAGACAACCTACAGAATGCAAGAAAATGTTTGCAATCTGTTCATCTGACAAAGGCCTAATATCCAGACTCAACAAGGAACTTAAACAAATTTACAAGAAAAAAACAACCCCAATAAAAAGTGGGCAAAGAACAGAAACAGACACTTCTTCAAAGAAGTCATTCATGCAGCCACAAATATATGGAAAAAAGCTCAACATCACTGATCACTCCAGAAATGAAAATCAAAACCACAATGAGACAGCATCTATGCCAGTCAGAATGACGATTATTAAAAAGTCCAGAAACAACAGATGCTGGTGAGGTTGTGGAGAAAAAGGAATGCTTTTACACTGTTGATGGGAGTGTAAATTAGTTTAACTATTGTGGAAGACAGTGTAATGATTCCTCAAAGATCTAGAGGCAGAAATACCATTTGACTCAGCAATCCCATTACTGGGTATATACCCAAAGGAGTATAAATCATTCTATTATAAAGATACATGCATGTGTATGTTCATTGCAGCACTATTCACAATAGCAAAGAAATGGAATCAACCCAAATGCCCATCAAGGATAGACTGGATAAAGAAAATGTGGTACATATACACCATGGAATACTATGCAGCCATAAAAAGGAATGAGATCATGTCCTTTTCAGGGACATGGATGGAGCTGGAAGCTGTTATCCTCAGCAAACCAAACACTCCATGTGGGAGCTGAATGATGAAACCATATGCACACGTTGGGGGAACAACACACATGGGGGCCTGTCAGGGGGAAGGATGGGAGGAGGGAGACCATCAGGAAGAATAGCTGGTGGATGCTGGGCTTAATACCAAGGGGATGGGTTGATCTGTGTAGTAAACCACCATGGCACATGTTTACCTATGTAACAAACCTGTACATCCTGCACATGTGCCCCAGAACTTAAAAGTTGAAAAGCAGTTCACAATATTAAAAAATAATAATAAAATAAAATAAAATAAAATTAGGTTGCCTTTTATTGTTGAGTCGTAAGGGTTCTTTGTATATTCTGGTTATCAAACCCTTATCGGATACATGATTTGCAAATATTTTCTTCCATTCTGTGAGTTGTATTTTTACTTTATTGATGACGTCTAGACATAGACATGGACGAAGACTTCATGACTAAAACACAAAAGCAATGGCAACAAAAGTTAAAATTGACAAATGGGATCTAATTAAACTAAAGAGCTTCCACACAGCAAAAGAAGCTATCATCGCAGTGAAGAGCCAACCTGCAGAATGGGAAAAAATTTTTGCAATGTATCCATCTGACAAAGGGCTAATATACAGAATCTACAAAGAACTTAAACAAATTTACAAGAAAAAAACAACCCCATCAAAAAGTGGGCAAAGGATATGAACAGACATTTCTCAAAATAAGACATATATGCAGCCAACAAACATATGAAAAAAAGCTCATCATCACTGGTCATTAGAGAAATGCAAATCAAAGCCACAATGAGATACCATCTCATGCCAGTTAGAATGGCGATCATTAAACAGTCAGGAAACAACAGGTGCTGGAGAGGATGTGGAGAAATAGGAACACTTTTACACAGTTGCTGGGACTGTAAACTAGTTCAACCATTGTGGAAGACAGTGTGGCGATTCCTCAAGGATCTAGAACTAGAAATACCATTTGACTCAGCCATCCCATTACTGGGTATATACCCAACAGACTGTAAATCATTCTACTATAAAGACACATGCACACGTATGTTTATTGAAGCACTATTCACAATAGCAAAGACTTGGAACCAACCCAAATGTCGATCAATGAAAGACTGGATAAAGAAAATGTGGCACATATACATCATGGAATACTATGCAGCCATAAAAAAGTATGAGTTCATGTCCTTTGCAGGGACATGGATGAAGCTGGAAACCATCATTCTCAACAAACTAACACAGGAACAGAAAACCAAACACCGCATGTTCTCACTCATGAGTGGGAGCTGAACAATGAGAACACATGGACACAGGGAGGGGAACATCACACACCAGGGCCTGTTGGCATGGGGGGTTAGGGGAAGGATAGTATTAGGAGAAATACCTAATGTAGATGACAGGTTGATGGGTGCAGCAAACCACCATGGCACGTGTATACCTATGTAACAAGCCTGCACATTCCACACGTGTATCCAAAACTTAAAGTGTAATTTAAAAAAAGAAAGAAAATATGGCACACACACACACACACACACACACAAACAACATAAAAGTTTTACATTTTGATGAAGTTCAGTCCTTCTGTTTTTTCTTTTGTGATTGTTCTTTTGGTGTCATTGTCTAAGAAATAGTTGTCTAATCCAAGGTCATGAAATTTACTCCTCTGCTTTCTTCTAAGAGTTTTATAGTTTTAGCTCTTACATTTAGGTCTATAGTCAACTTTGAATTAATTTTTGTAAAAGGTGTAAAGTAGGGATCCAACTTAATTTTTTCCCATATAAATACCCAGTTATCCCAGTACCACTTACTGAAAAGATTATTTTTTCTCCCTTGAATTGTCTTGACACCCTTGTCAGAATCAGCTGACCATATACCTATGGGTTTATCTCTGGGATCTCATTTCTATTCCACTGATCCATATGTCTAACCTTGTGCTATATTTATGCTAGTCTTGATTACTGTAGCTTTGCAGTAAGTTTTGAAATTGGTAAGTATGTGTTCTCCAACTTCGCTCTTCTTTTTCAAGATTGTTTTTGCTATTCTAGGTTCCGTGTATTTCCATATGAATTTTAAGATCAGCTTATCAATTCCTGCAAAACAGATAGCTAGGATTTTGATAGGGATTGTGTTTAATTTTTTTTTAACTTACAAAGAGTGGCTTTTAGGTAATAGTCAATAAGCTTTTCTAAGCGAAGAAGTTTTTCAAGGACAATCACTTTTAACTATTTTAATTGTTCCAAACGACTAAATATGGGGTATTTATTGTCATTTTTAAATAACTTCATTCATTTTGAAGAAAAATTACATTAAATACATGCAAAACTGAGTTTCAAAGGGTGTTCATGAATAAAGATTTGTGCTACCAAGTAATCTACAGCACTCTTAGCAAGAACCAGTGCTCTCTAATCAGCAACTTTTTTAAAGATAATTTTGCAAGAGTTTTTTTGCTTTTAAAGAAACCTGATTGCTAATTATTAAAAAGAGTACTACATAGCTCCAAGCACTAAGAAAGTGAGCAACAGATTGAAAGATGAATTTTCAGTGAATGAAAATTCAAAAAGCAACAACCACACTTCAATCTGTTGGGGTAGGCTCTTTAAATGCCCCTTTATGGAAGTCTGATTGCCTGGGATTTCAGTTAGTAATACTGTCAAAGAAAAATATCTCACAATGCTTCCTCTTATGAGTTTGCATGTCTAACCCTTGCAAGTGATTTTTTTCCCCTACTGCTCTTTCTTCTCCTCAATGCCTCTTCATCGCTTACCTCCACTTCCTCTTCCTTGAGCCCTCATTTTTTTCTTTTTTTGGGATTTCATGTTTAGATTTTAAAAAGCATTTTAGGCTGGTCGTGGTGTCTCATGCCTGTAATCCCAGCACTTTGGGAGGTTGAGGCAGGGGGACCACTTGAGGTCAGGAGTTCAAGACCAGCCTGGCCAATGTGGCAAAACCCCGACTCTACTAAAAATACAAAAATTAGCTAGGTGTGGTGGTGCACGCCTGTAATCCCAGCTAACCTGGAGGCTGAGGCAGGAGAATCACTTGAACCCAGGAGGCAGAGGTTGCAGTGAGCCAAGATCCCACTGTACTCCACCCTGAGTGACAGAGTAAGACATCTCAAAAAATAAACAAATAAATAAATTAATTAAATAAAAAGTATGTTAAAGTATAGTGAAAATACATTGTTACTTACATAATTTTTTCTACATCAAGATCACTGCCAACTGATTATACATCCTGCAAAAGTGCCAGGGTCCTGGCTGGGGAATGTGGGGATCAGTTTGGATGAGCATGCTGATGTATGTCAAGACATGATGCTATCTATTTGTCCACTGACTCTCCAACAAGATAGACTTAGCTGTAATGTTTCCTAACAAAATGTTTTGGTACTTCTAAGACAAATTTTTCTTCAATAGGACTCAAGATTGAAGTGACAAATTTTTCTCTATGGCAAACACTATGCAATAAAGGAAATAACACTTAAATATATGTGTCATAAATGTGAATTTTGCCAGCTGTAAAATGTCTTATCAAATGGCCACTCCATGGATTATATGAGAAAAATTTTAATTCCATGGTTGCAACTTTGGTGTACTTGGTTCGCTTCTGAATCAGCCACCTTCCTACACCATCAGAGAATCTATGTTCAGGGAAGAAAAGTCATTTTAATATAACTGTATATGAAATATAAATAGCGGAGTAAATCTAAAAAAAATAAAGTAGCATTTTCCAAAACAAATATGTGATGTTTTTTCTTATCTATTATTTTGAATTCTCTGACCCACTAGCCTCCCATGTATTATCCTAAATTACCAAAAGTTTAACACGTGTAGATTTAACATGTTTGGGCTTTCTTTAAAAGGTAACACATTTGGCTGGGTGCTGTCGCTCACACCTGTAATTCCAGTACTTTGGGAGGCTGAGCCAGGCGGATCACTTGAGGTGAGGAGTTTGAGACCAGCCTGGCCAACACAGTGAAACCTGGTCTCTACTAAAAATACAAAAATTAGTCGGGCATAGTGATGCACGCCCGTAATCCCAGCTACTCAGGGGGCTGAGGCAGGAGAATTGTTTGAACCTGGGAGGCGGAGGTTGCAGTAAACTGATATCATGCCACTGCACTCCAGCCCGGGCAACGGAACAAGACTCCGTCTCAAAAAAAAAAAAAAAAGGTAACACGTTCAGTTAAATACCCATTTACCCACAGATACATTCACCATCACTGGTGTTACTGAAAGATTTAATCTGCTGGTTAGGTGTGTTTCTGAGAATATCTTTGTTTAGTCTGAATTGAAAAAACTCAAACCTCTCCTTGGGCTCTCCTTGCCACAAAACCCTTGTGGAAACTTATTACAAGAGTACACTTTTGCAAATAATTGGTATTTTTAAGCCTTCTATGTTTTTCTTAATTTGTAGTTTGGTATTATTAAACAACGTACTCCATGACAGTAGCTTTGAAACTGTTTTTGATTATGACCCACATAAAAAATACATTTTACCTTACAACTCACTACACATATACAGGTGTGTGTTTGTGTGTGTGGTATGTCAAACAACAAAAGTTTTATGAAACAGTATTTACCCTTACCACATGCAATGCATGCTGATATTTTCTATTCTTTCCTTTTATAAAGATGCTGAGTAATCTACCTAGCTGATACCCAGCTGATGTCACAACTCAATAATGGTTCCCAATCTGCAGTTTGATCAACATTGTTCAGAGAAAAGACAGTCTTATCACACCAGAGTAATACCAGAATAGGATCTCAGTTTGTCCCCTGATAACCCTAGCTTTGAATGAGACGCTACCCCATTTTGAGTAACCTCTAAGCCTTGCATTCTTTTCTATTTTCCTTCTTCTGTAATAATCTCAGATGCCACCTACCATAGGTAAATACAAACATTCAAAGAGATAAGACAGTAATCCTGTAGTAGTATCAGTCACAGACTTTTTAAAAAACTCCTCCTCTGGAACATAACATTCTATAAAATTGGTGGTTATGTAATCAGCAATCAAGAGAAGGGCAAATATTGAAAAAGAAAGAGTCCCACAAAAGCAAAACACAAATAGCATTAACAGTTTACACTCTCTCTCTCTCTAGTCTTGCTTTTTATCCTTCGTCCTCCCTAATGTCAATTTTTTTGCCCAGTGGGTAGAATATAGTTGCCTTCTTTACCCTAATGTCTGCTTTCTTTCCCAGAAAGTTGCTTTTCTGTTAGACTCATGGCAGCCTTCCATGCAGTCTCTCCCCATTCTTGTCTAGCACTCTCTCTGAATAATGGAAGCTCTTTTATTCAATCCCGGGCACTAGCTCTCACTTGACTCCTCACCCACTAATCAATCACTCATCGCCCAAGGATTCCCAGTAAACTCTGGCTCCCCTTCCTCCCCTGCCAGAACATCTTTTCAGCTTTCATCAGACAAAGG
This sequence comes from Homo sapiens, assembly GCF_000001405.40. NCBI lineage: Eukaryota > Metazoa > Chordata > Mammalia > Primates > Hominidae > Homo > Homo sapiens. The sequence goes on from NC_000007.14 coordinate 104,089,927, forward strand.
CACATGATTACATAGCCAACATAGACAAGAATAACACAAAACAAAGGAAGGGTTTAAAAAAAAAAAAGTTGATTTCATTGCAGACAACATAGAATTCTATTGGGCAGATATTATCCACTGTATCAACTCAGCATAAGATAAAGATTTTATTTGATTTACCCAGGGATGAGGTGAAATTAATTGAGCAATAGCGAATTCCCTGCTCCTGCTCTTGCTGGAGGAAAAGTCCCTTTAGTAGTTATGGCCTTTCGGTTTGACTGTACATACACGGACCTTGCTAGTGAGGTTGTGTTATTTTTTATCTTCCATCTTACCACTTCTGAATTTTGTTAATTGCTTTTCCTTTTTCTACAATGAATCTTTTATTTTACTCAGACACCCAAACTAAATAAAAATTAAATCTGTAACTCAGAGTGGAGTAGAAGTATATCATCAACTTCCTGTTCAAAACATGTTGTTTCAGCATTTGCCATATTATCGTTTTGGAATCCATACTTAATTATATTATTCTACCTAAAAATATTGGCTAGATAACTTTAATATCAGGTGGACAAAGCTCAAAAAGAGAATTAACCTATTTGGGTCTTTTTGCTTTATTGTTTTTTTCCATGATTTTAATTAATAGATACCCATATATATTTTTTCTAACATTATATAGTGGTATAAAAATAAAAGTGAAAATCAACTATTATTTTGCCCCCTAGACATAACCACTGAAAACACTTTGGTATAGTCATGGAGACATTTTATATATATATATATATGTATGTATGCCTCACACATATTAATGCAATATTTTAGGAAATCTCAAAAGTAGTTGCCGTTAAGTGATTAGAGTAGAAATAATTTTTTCCCCATTTCTTTACATTTTTCTCTGCTTTTTAGATTTTTAGTAATGTCCATACATTGGTTGTAAGTCATAATAAATGAAAGTAAAAAAGTAAAACGGCTAGCCAAGGAGCCATAGCAAGGAGAGAGGTCATTTTGCTGGCAGAGCAGATGGATGGTAGGGGAGGTAGGGTGCTGGGGAAAGAGGAAGGAGTGTAGGTAGGGTGGGGAGGGGTCTACAGAGGAAGGAAGTTCTGACTAATCATACCTAATCTTCAGCTCCTGTTGTTGTTTGTTCAAAACTTTCATACTTGGGGGCACCTTCACAGTCACTTTCAAATATATGTTTATATTTTCCAGGACTTCATAAGGGCTGATTTAAAAAAAACAAAAAACAAAACAAAAAAACTACCTAGGTCTTTTGCCAATGTCAAGAAGTGAGGAATAATTTAGAAGTATTTCCTTAACTTCTGCTGTTTGGATCATTATGAAAAATCTCACTCATAGATAGGATGTAGCTGGCAGGAAAGATGTGATTATTATCTGTGTTCCCACCTTCAGGCGCAGAGAGGAGGAAATGCACACGTCTCTGCAGGGCTGCGACTGCCTCCCCATAGACCACTATTTCAATGCAACTCTATTAAATTACACTCCTTCGCCAATCCCAGGAAACTCCCCTCTTTCCCTAATGAAGCATTTATCACCATCTCCACACTGAATCTACAACTCATGCACTCTCCTGCACCCTCATATCTCAGCCCCATCCATCTCTTCTTCCCTTTGTTTTATTCTAGGAGGGAGGCTTGTTATATATTGCTTGTATAATGCTTTAATCATGGATTATGGGTTGCTTTATAGCTCCCTGAATGCCTTGGCAAGGTCTCTATATAAATAAAATTATTATTATTAAAGTCAATTAATCAGAGACACAATTCACTTTTCAGCATCTGACATCCCGAACACTTACTGATGCAGAAGTCTCATTGCTTATCTCTAGTGTAGGGACATTTTTTGGAATCAGTAATATAGAACATAGTTCTACAGATTTCTTTAATTAGATTTGTACATATGTACAAATACATTGACTGGTTAAGGATCAACAATTGATCAGCAGTGAAATAAGATATGCTAATGAGTTTTTGTTTTGTTTTGTTTGAGACAGGGTCTCATTCTGTTGCTCAGGCTGGAGTGCAATAATGCAGTCATAGGTCACTGCAGCCTTGATTTCCCAGGCTCAAGCGATCCTCCCACCTTAGCTTCCCAAAGTGCTGGGATTACATGCGTGAACCACCACACCCAGCCAACTACTGAGTAATGATCTTTAGAAAGAGCTAGTAAGACTTATCACATAATTTACAAGCTATTTTTTATTTTTTGAGACAGAGTCTCACCCTGTCACCAGGCTGGAGTGCAATGGCGTAATCTCTGCTCATTGCAACCTCTGTCTCCTGGGCTCAAGTGATTCTCCTGCCTCAGCCTCCCAAGTAGCTGTGACTACATGCATGTGCCACCACGTCCAGCTAATTTTTGTATTTTTAGTAGAGACGGGGTTTCACCATGCTGGCCGGGATGGTCTCGATCTCTTGACCTTGTGATCTGCCTGCCTTGGCCTCCCAAAGTGCTGGGATTACAGGCATGAGCCACCGCACCTGGCCTACAAGCTATTTTTATTCATACTCAGCAAAAGAAACAAAGAAGTAGCTCCCTGTGTATTAGAATCTCTTATCCACCTTAATTTCTTTTGATAGGTTATCTGTCTGGAGTAGCTAATTGTTTGATTTTTTCTTTAGTAAACTTTTTGTTAAAGCATACATAATATACATACAGAAAAGAGCACAATTCATAATCGTACCGCTCAATAATTTTCACAAAGAAAACACAAAAAGGGCCTCCGAGATATTAAGCAAAAGAACATCGCAATTCCTCAGAGGCCCCCTCATGCCACTCCAATTTACTACTCCTGCTCAAAAGTAATCCTGACTCCTGTCCCCAGAATAGTTCTGCCTGTTTTGGAACTTTCTGTGCACACAATCACAGAGGGTGTATTCTTTTGTGTCTGGCCGGTGATTTGTATTTTATGGTTCTTAGGTTTTTAAAATTTATTATCTGTTAAGTATCTGCCATGAGGCAGGAATGATGTTAAGGGCAGGGACTACAAAGAGTTAACAGACACAGTCCCCACCCTTGATAATCTTTCAGTCCAGCAGGATGACCGACATATACACAGATGGGGACAGGTAAGTGTTAGCGGTTCTGCGAAGGAAGACAGTGGGGCTGGAGGAGACAAGGCTCAGTCCCATAGGGGCTCGCAAGGTGGATAGAAAAGACTGCTGAGACACCCACCCTGATACCTATTATATGCCTTGAAATTCTCTAAGGACGTGAAGAAAGGACAGGAAGATATGGAATTGGTTGGACGAAATTATTCTGGAGGGCCTTCCTGGGTTGTTGCTGGGATCCTCTTTTTTCCCGGGTCATTTTCATTCTTCCTTTTTTAGTTTTTCCACGCCCTTGATCTCCTCTACTTCCCCTTTCTCTCACTTCTCCTCCCTCTCCCCTCTTCCTTGGTCTCCCTTCTATCAGAGTCTGCAGATCCTCCTCCCACAACTGCCCTGGATCTTTCTTTCTGACCGGTCCTTGCTTCTGGGATGAGAAGAGACAGGAGCTCTAAGCCTCTACACCTGTGCTGCCCACAGGCTCTACCTACTTGCCTTCCCACTGAGTTTTCTTATGGGTAGTGGGCCCATGGCACTTCCGGTGGCTGAGGGTTGAGCAGGTGGAAAGAATAGATAAAAGGAAGGATAGATGTGGGTGGAGGACGGACAGAGAGGACGAGCAAAACCATTTCAACCAATTCTTTTTGGTGTTCCACTTTGAGTCCTTCAGTCAATCAAATTGAGTTTCGCTGATTTAATATTTTTTGTGCTCCTTGTACCACCACCAAGTACTATTCAATTTCAGATGTTGAGGTGGAGCGGATGTAGTTTTGCTCTGTTGTTTTGCTTTGGCTCCAGCAAATTCATCTTTCTCTCCAAGAACCCAAAAGGTGGTTTGTGGTGATTGCCTGTCCACTGAGAAGAAGCTGCTCTTGTGTCCCCTGCCAGAGGGATGCTACCTGTTCAGTGTCAACAGGAGACCACTTAAAACACCAGCAAGGGATCTGGACCTCCTGCTTCATCATTATGCCAAGAATCCCCACCCTGTATTTCTTTTTCATCTGATTCTGACAGCGTGGTTTTTGTGTCTTACCCATTGGCTGCCTAAATTGGAGACTTGGCTGAAAATACACTGGCTGAAGTTTAGTCCAGACAAGATGAATGCCCAGGGTTGGTAAACTATAGAAATTGGAAGAGATAGCCCTAGTACCTCTTTTCATGGGATTTTTCCCTAAGGGGATGTTAGATTTTCAAGGGACAGAAAGTGACCATCATTTGGCAAGTGTTATGTAATATTAAGAGGCAGAGTATTGAGATGGGGAACATCCAAGAGCTTTGCATCAAACAATCTGAGTTTAAATCCTGGCTGCATCAACTAGCTGGGGGACCTTGAAGCCTATTCAGTCTGTCATTTGGGGTGGTAATGCACGCCTCAAAGGTAGTGAGCTGGAATCAGTGAGATCATGCATGAAGAGGGCCTGGTAGGTGCTTGGCACAGCTCCCTCCATAAGTTGTGTCTTTACAGCTCTTGGATAGGATTCTGTTTTAAAACCAGAAGATCCTCTTGTATAAAATGCCAGGGTTTGCCAATGTCAGTGCCCTGTGATAAAAAGCATTTTGGAGGTCAGATTTCACAAGAGGCATGGTTGAAACTAAAATTTTAAATCTCCAATTTGCATGTGAATGAATACATCTTATGGAGTGCTAGATCAAAGGCCTACTGATCCCATCAACTCTTCAACATGTAGATTCCGTGTGAGGATCAATGAGCCTACCTCAGCATCCAAGTCCTGAATAATAGACTGGCTGCAAGTTCGTTTAGAGACCTAAGGTGCTTATTGTTAAATAAAAGGAAAGCTTGATTTATGATGTCTGGAACTTCCTAAAGAGGTTCTTTGTGCTTCTTTGAGTTGAGAATTCCAACAAAATCAGAAAAAACAACTAATATGGCAGCTCAAATATCCAAGTCCCATTCTAAGGTAAAAACCATGGAATAGGAATACCCTGGCCGGTCACTGTGGCTCACCCTTGTAATCCCAGCACTTTGGGATGCTGAGGCAGGTGGATCACCTGAGGTCGGGAGTTTGAGACCAGCCTAACCAACATGGTGAAACCCCGTCTCTACTAAAAATACAAAAATCAGCCAGACGTGGTGGCACGCGCCTGTAATCCCAGCTACTCAGGAGGCTAAAGCAGGAGAATCGCTTGAACCTGGGAGGCGGAGGTTGCAGTGAGCCGAGATCGCACCACTGCCCTCCAGCCTGGGCAACAGAGTGAGACTCTATCTCAAAAAAAAATAAAAAAAAAAAAGAAAAGAAAAAAGTAAAGAAAAGAATCAATACCCTATAGATATTGATAGAGATACTTAATAGAGGGTAAGTGATGATAGGGTGCTGAGGTTATTTGCTGATTAGTGTCTTAAAGGATGTATGGGAGAATTACATGTGTGTATCTTGTGTGTGAATGAAAGTACATCTTTCTTATGCCATAAAGAGCCTGTTTTGTACCTGGAGTCATGTCTTGTGTTGGAGTTAGAGATGGGAAAACACACAGTGCCTGTTCCGAAGGCGGCCACAATCTAGTATTTGAAATCCAGACTCCTCAGTGTGGTTTTCACACGTGATGGAAAAGTTTCTCCAAGGAAGAACATCTTTGAAGTTATGGTAGAAAATAAGATGTGAGGCCAAAACAATTGATTTCCCTTTTTTTTCTTATATGCTACATAAGGAAATCCCCTTAGCTCTACCATGAAAATATGACTGGACTCTATCCACTTCTCACCACCCCTCCTGCTACCACTCAAGACCATTGCCATCATTATCTGTCACTGGGAATAGCCTCCTAACTAGGTCCCCCTCTGTACTGTATTCTAGACACAGCAGTCCACTGATTCTTTTAAAGAGCACTACTCCTGTATTCCAGGTCCTATGCTCACTCAGAGTAAAAATCTAAGTCCTTACAATATGAGATCTGAGCTCATATTCCCTCTCTGGCCTCATCTCTCGCCTCTCCTTGACCACTCTGTTCTACTCCACTGACCTCCTTACTGCTCTCAGACCCCCCATCCTCTCAGCTACACTACCCCAGGACGTTTGTACCAGTTCTCCTCTTAGCCTGGACCATCCTTCCTCCATAAAGCCACATGACTAATGTCTCTTGATCCTTAAACTTTTATTCAGTTGTCGCAATGAGGCTTACCCTTACCACAGTATTTTAAATCATCCCCCCCGACACACACACCACCCCGACTCTGGTACTCCGGTACTCCTCTTATATTTCCATCATTGACTTACTGCTCTACGTTTGTGTAATTTACTTTTAATTATGGTTATTGTTTGTTCTTTGTTTCCTTCCACTAGAATGTAAACTCCATTTTTGTTATTTTATTCGCTAGTCTATTCTAATCATCTGGAACATTTAACAACACATATTAAATGAATAAATTAATCACATAACCAGGATAGAAAAATACCTTAGAAATAATCTGATCTCCAACTTGATAGCTCAGATTTTTCAGGATGCATCTAATATACAAACCAAGGACAATCTGTACTCATGTGCTCTAAATTCAGGTATGCTGAGAATGGACTCCTTGGACATGGATTTATTTACAAAGTTCAACTCAATTTCGACCAGTACTCCTAAAATTATCTGTGGTGAAGAAATTTTAAAAATTCAATCTGTCATGAAGCAAGACTTTTATATGTTACAATAATGATGAATTTCTAGAATACCAAAATTTAAAAATACACATACAAAAATAATTAAACTAAAGATAATATATAATGTATGCGTGTTAGGTTCAATAGTAATGTAACTACTCTGTCAAATTGCTATACAAATTTGGAACACTTACTTTTAATTTCTTTTCTTGTGGCATGGTGGGCGAGTAATGACAGTTGGAGAAACACACTGAGGAGCACGTCTAGGCTTGACTTTGAAGCTCACTCTTCAATTGTTCCCTTACCAGACTCTCAATACCGCCCTCTCGTGCCCTCAGTTTAACAGGGTTGTCCTATGCACTTTGCTAATTGTGCTGTCCACAGTGTCTTTCTGGAGGAGACCTCCAGAGCCTTCCTTTGGAATTCTTGCAAATTCTAGTTTTCCAGAAGCCCAGTGAGTTGACCTTCGGAATGTGAGGATAAAGCCTTAGCTTTCCAAAGTTGCTTATTCTTCTCTTTATATTTTATTATGTTCACTCTTATTAAAAAACACATTTCTTAAAATACAACAAGCTTAATACGATTTGTAAGTATAATACCTGGGGACATCTAAAAATAAATCTAAAATTTTATCAATACGTATGAATGAAGTGAACAATGTATTTCTCTTATTTCACAGCAGTTGAGTCTATTGCCTGGATACAATAATAATAAGAATTGTATCCATAAAAAAGATGCGACCATTTAATGTTTTGGGGGAGGAAGTTGAAATATAATTTAGAAATAAGAAAGTAGTAAACTCATATTTCTCTAGATATTTTAAAAATATGATACATGCAAAAAGAGTTCACATTTTAACGTGTTGTAATTTCTCTTCTGAAAAATATCCTGACTGAGGATGTGTGATGTTACCAAGCATTTGTTTTCAGTTTATGTACAGGATTCTCCATGGAGATATGTCCATAACATGAAGGCATCCAATATAGAAAATGACATGCAATGCCTTTATTCTTCCAGTTTAATTAATGCTATGACAACCACTTGGCAGAGACTGTGGTGAAGAGGAGGCCTCTGTAGGGAACTGCAGGTTATAAGCAGTAAGGAGACTGTCAAACTATTATTGGGACCCAACATATCAAAACCCAAGCTTTTTTAGCAGCATCACTGGAGATAAATTCCAAGGAGAACAAGTAACTCAAAAAATTGGGTTGTTTAGTAAAAGGAAAGTTGATAGTGGTAGGAATCATATTTTTAGAATGCATTATGAATACCTAGAAAATGGTTTCCCAAATTTAGAAAACAAAACAAAACAAAAATCCTGGCCAGGCACGGGGGCTCACGCCTGTAATCCCAGCACTTTGGGAGGCCGAGGCGGGTGAATCACGAGGTCAGGAGATGGAGACCATCCTGGCCAACACGGTGAAACCCCATCTCTACTAAAAATACAAAAAAATTAGCCGGGCGTGGTGGCGGGGGCCTGTAGTCCCAGCTACTCAGGAGGCTGAGGCAGGAGAAGGGCGTGAACCCGGGAGGTGGAGCTTGCAGTGAGCTGAGATCGCGCCACTGCACTCCAGCCTGGGCGACAGAGCGAGACTCCGTCTCAAAAAAAAAAAAAAAAAAAAAAAATCCGAAACCTACCCAAGCTATGTGTATTCACAATGCCCTGAGTGCTTTGAGAAATTCAAGATTATTTCCTTCCTTCAAGGGTGATTTGTTGAGCCCCAAGGCTGTACTGGGTGCAGTGGTGAACAAGACAAAGTCCCAGCTGCCACTGAGTGAGCCAAGGGGACAGATAAGCAAATTGTCAGATACAGAATAGGTGGATAATGAGAAAGACTGGGGAAAAATAAAACACTTAGGACTAGAGAGCAAAGTGGGGGTGCCATTGCAGTCAGGGGAATCAGGGAAGGTCTCTCTGATGTTTGGGCTGAGACCTAAGTGAAAGGAGGGAATGGGCCACCAGGAAAAGTGTTCCAGACCAGGAGAGAGCTAGGGCAAAGGACCAAAGCCCATGCCTGTTTGCTGAGCTTGAGAAAGAGCAACAGACCAGTGTGATGGAGCACAGGAAGCAGGTGGAAGGCGGCAGGAAGGGAGGTGAGGGAGGAGCCAAGAGTCTATTTTGCAGGACCTCATTAGGGTTCCCAACTCTATGAAATGAAGGCCCCCTTTAGATAACTAATATTTCCCAATGGCCCTTTTATTTATTTATTTATAGAGATGCTTATAGAAGTTTCATTTATAATAATCAAATTATAGAAACAACTCAAATGTTGTATTCTGGGCTAATTCAGTGTGTGGTAAAACCTTGTAAAAATTTGTGTTTATGTGTAAAATGGAGTGAGGATCTAGGCTCAGGTCATAATTAATAGGACTTTCAAAAGTCTTATTGGACCTAGGACAATTTTTCATTGTATGAGACTGTTCTGAGCATTGTGTAACAGCTGGCATTCCTGGTCCCACCTGTTAAATGCCAGGAGCACCTCCACAGGTCTCCCATAAACCCTCAGCAGACATCATCTTCTTGAAAGCCATTGCAATTGGTTGTGACAATGATGGAGTCTTTGGGTTTTATGAGACGGTGTTGGGGAGTTTAGAGCATTGCTATAGATCAGTGCTGTTCCATAGAACTTTATGCAGGGATGAAAATGTACTATTATTACCCCTCCAACAGGTAGCTACTAGCCACAGGTTGCACAAGGACTTGAACTGTGGCTAGTAAGACTGAGGAACTAAATTTCTAATTTAGTTTAATTTCAATTTATTTAAGTTTAAATATCCATGTGGCTAGTGGCCGCCATGTTGGACAACACAGCTACAAACTATAAATATAGATCCCCAACAACCAGTTTTTTCTCTTGCTCCTTTTCCACCCCTTTTTACTTTCATGGCCATTTCTTTTTGATTCTGCTGATTTGAAAAGCCAACTCCTTGGAAATGTTGGACTCGGAGCACTGCACCAACACTTACTTAAGGGCTAATAAAGTAATACATAATGGTGGCTTCCCTGAATTCCTTATGTGTGGTTACAGCTGGGAATAAGCCCCTTTCACTTAATACCCAGTGTCTCTTACCAAATACTGGGCTAACAGTGACTGGGGCAGTTACCCAGAAAACAGAATGCCTGAATGCAGAAGTGCCTCTCCCCTATAGACAGGGACTGAAGTATCCCAGCAACTTGAGCCTTACAAGACCACGTTGCAGCACAGTGAGGGTGGAGATGAGAGAAGAAATAATAGGGAAAATTAAAAGAGAGTTGATATGGTTGGGCTGTGTCCTCACCCAAACCTCATCTTGAACTGTAGCCCCCATAATCCCCATGTGTCATGGGAGGGACCAGGTGGGAGGTGATTGAATCATGGGGGTGGGTTTTTCCTGTGCTGTTCTGGTAATAGTGAATAAGTCTCATGAGATCTGATGGTTTTATAAAGGGCAGTTCCCCTGCACAAGCTCTCTTGCCTGCTGCCACATAAGGTGTGCCTTTGTTCCTCCTTTGCCATCTGCCATCATTGTGAGGCCTCCCCTAGCCATGGGGAACCGTGAGTTTATTAAACCTCTTTTTCTTTATAAATTACCCAGTCTCGGGTATGTCTTTATTAGCAGCCTGAGAACAGACTAATGCAAGAGTAAAAGGAGCCAAGAGAGGATGCAGGAATGATCCATGAGTACAGTTTAACCTGGAGCCGAGTGAGGGAAGACTTTAACAAACAGTACAGTAGGATCAAAACCAGGAGACAAAGGTATCTTGCTACATGAGTGGTGGAATCCCAGTTTGGTGAGGCTCCTCTGCCAACTAGACCCCACCTGCACTCTTCCTGAAGAAGAAAGCATTTCTTGCCCCCTCCAGTTTTTGCTCACCATTTTCCCTTCAAATCGTACCAGTTCTTCAGTACCTAAGTCACAGGTCACCATCTTTCTTCTAGGCCTTCCCACTCCTCCACCCTGTGTGCCTCTATCACAGCACTCATCCCAACCAGCTGCAGTGAAGCCTCCCCAGAACCTCTAGTGGGGATGGCCTCCTTTCCTGAACCCGCTCAGCACTTCCTTGGTCAGGACGCAACATGGCTGTGTGCATCCTGGTCATCTCCTTCACTAGAGGAAGCACCTACAGCCAAGGGTGGGGTCTCATGCATTTATGTATCCCCTGCACAGAGCCTGGCCAAGGTAGGTGCCTGATGAACTTGGGTGTATTAGAATCTAGTTACTTTTCTCCTTAACAAAGAAGAGAGTCTGCATATGTTAGCATAATAATGGCTCCCCAAAAAACATCCACCTCCTATTCTCCTAAACCTGTGAATATGTTGCCATGAATGGCAAAAGCAACTCTACAAATGTGATTAAGTATTTTTAAATAGGGGGATTATCTTGGTGGGCCCAATGTAATTACAAGTGTTCTTACAAGGGAAAGGAAGAGACAGAAGAGGTAGAAGATGACAGAAGTGGGGCCAGAGATAGGGATTTGAAGACGCTATGCTCCTGGGTTTGTAGATGAAGGAAGGGGCTAAAGCAGGGAATGCAGACAGCTCCTAGAAGCTGGAAAAGGCAAGGAAACCATCTCCCCTAGAGCCTCCAGAAGGAACTCAGGCCTGCCAACACATTGATCTTCAGCTCAGTGAAACCCATTCCAGACTTCTTACCTCCAGAGCTGTAATATTACCGCTGTGTAATTGCTTTAAGCCACTAGCTTTGTGATTTGTTACAGCAGCAATAGTAAAGTAATATTCCCTGACTGCCCTTGAGCTGCCAGAGGCCTCTCTCTTTGGGCCTAGGGCAGCCTTAAGGAGCACTGCTTTGAAGTCTGTGATTGCCCTTTAAACAACAAAGATGTTCCACGTCTTTCTAAATGTGTCCACAGGCTGGGCACAGTGGCTCGCACCTATAATCCCAGCACATTGGGAGGTCAAGGTGGGTGGATTGCTTTGAGGTCAGGAGTTTGAGACCAACCTGACCAACATGATAAAACCCCATCTTTACTTAAAATACAAAAACAATTAGCTGGGCATGGTGGTGGGTGCCTGTAATCCCAGTTACTCAGGAGGTGGGCTGAGGTAAGAGAATCGCTTGAACCTAGGAGGCGGAGGTTGCAGTAAGTCAAGATCATGCCACTGCGCTCCAGCCTGAGAAACACAGCAAGACTCTGTCTCAAATAAATAAATAAATAAAAATAAATAAATAAATATAAATATAAAAATAAATAAAGTGTCTCCACAGAAGCAGAGACCACTTCCCATCCTACCCTCATAGGGACCAGGGTTTTCCTCAAGGGAGGAAAGTACCACTTAAGGATTATATAGGAAAGCCTATATTTGATAATGAATTGTTTTTATTTAATACATTGATAAACCCATAAATATTTTTATATTGTGTGTCCTGAGTCTGGGCAGAGGTGGAACCTCCCTAGGGCAGCCTGTGGAGGTGCCAGGGAGCAAGAATTTTTCTGCAAAGGAGCTGGGCACCCCCTTGGCACTACCTGTCTGTCAAGGCAGCTCTCACAGACTCAGCGTGCTCCTGGCATTCCCTGAGTCCCATCACCATTGATTGTTACTGCCTGTCCAGCAGCCCTCTTTCCTGCTGGAGTGTGTACCTTGTGGGCACTTGGTCTGAGCCTGATTTGCTGCTGCATCTCCAGGCTCAGCACAGTGCCTTGCTCACAGTGGGTGCTGGACACCTATATGGAATGAATGAAGCCACTACCAGGTACATTTCCTAGAAGGAAAGAACTATTCAAAACTAAAGGCCGTGGGCAGCTTAGGAAAGTAGGTGCATCAGTTGGGTCCCTCACTGGGTCCCTCACAGGGTCACCCGAGTGCCTGGCTGTCAGCCTTTGCACAGGGGTTCTCAGTATTGGCAGTATGTTGGAATTGCCTGGAAAGCTTTAAAATATTGCTGTCTCAGAGATTCTCATTTAATTGGACCAGGGTATAGTTCGGGCTTGGGTTTTTTTTTTTTTTTAAGTTTCCCGAGTGATTCTAATATTTAGCCAAAGTTGGAAACCATTGCTCTGCATCAACTTCCCTTGCACTGAGGAAAGTTTTTGTCATTTTGTTTTTATCACCTAGAACCTCAAACTCATCTGAGCCTCTTGTTCTTAGATAATGAAAATAGCTACCATTTGTTGTTTATTGACTATTGCCATGCACTATTCTAAGCACTTTATGAGTAATAACTCAATCCTCAAGCAGTTCCATGAGGTGGCTGCTACTACTCCTTTTTGTTTCTTTCAGACAGGGTCTCACTCTGTCACCCAGGCTGGTGTGCAATGGCATGATCACAGCTCACTGCAGCCTCAATCTTTCTGGCTCAAGCAATCCTCCCACCTCAGCCTCCGAAGTAGCTGGGACTACAAGTGTGCACTATCATGTCTGGATAGTACTTTTATGTTTTGTAGAGATGGAATTTCACCATGTTGCCCAGGCTGGTCTTAAACTCCTGGGCTCAAGTGATCCTCCTGCCTTGGCCCTCCAAAGTGCTGGGATTACAGGTGTGAGCCACCACGCCTGGCCTAGTCCCTTTTAATAGATAGGGAAATGGATAAGAAAGGTAACTTTGCTCATAGATGGTAAACAGTAGAGTTGAGATTTGAACGTAGACAATCTGACTACAAAGACCCATGGCCCTAAATACCTGGTTCCACTGGGAAAGGTAGGAGGGATTTTGGGATTCTACCTCAGAGCAATGGCTACCCATTGGCCTGCCCTCCAGCTCAGCAAATTGTTCTCTGGCCTTGTTACAGTAGGTAGCTAGTCAGGTATGAGCAGGGCAGGAGAGACGTGTTGGGAGACCATCAGGATGGTCAGGCAGTTGTTAACTGCTTCTCAAAAGTAATAATTGGTCACAGCCGGCACCAGGGGAAGGCCGGCTCCTAATAAATAGAAAACACCTGAAGCTGGATCGCAGCTTCCCAATAAGATCGCGGAAGTATGCCAACCTATAAAACCCCAAATCAAGAGGTCAGGCTGCACACTTGATTTTTTAAGTTGCTCACATGGCCCTCTTCCAAGTTGTACTTACTTTGCTTTCTTCCTTCCCTTTTCTTACTGTTCCAAGATTTTTTAATAAACTTCCACTCCTGCTCTGAAACTTACCTCGATCTCTTCTTCTGTCTTATGCCCCTCAGTCGAATTCTTTCTTCCCAGGAGGCAAGAATTGAGGTTGCTGCAGATCCCTACAGATTCACCACCAGTAACTCAGAGCTCTTCCACCGCTCACAACCTTAGTCCCTGGTGTCTGTGCCACTGCCTTGGTCACCAGTCTAGGGAAAATATTATGACCACGAGCTTTAGATGGCTATGGTTACAAACCCAGCTCCACCGCACCTGGCTGTGAGGGTTGGCTTCTTCATTTAAATGATAGCAATATTTTCCTTGCTAGAAAGAGTCACTCTGGCTGAAGGTTAGGGGGAGGAAAATCATTTCAGAATTGAGCCTCAGTCAAATCTGCATGATCTCCCTCCTGTCAGGGTTCTAACTGAGGTCCGAGGGGAGTCGGTGGGCAAGTGGCGGGTGGCTGGAAAGACACTTGAGGAATCGTACACAGTTTCAACATGGCTTTACTCTCCCTGGGCATAAGTGAGCCATATTTATAGTGTTAGCAGGGTAATTATACCTTTTACAGACAACAGTGGCTCGAGCCAAGCACGAGCTCACGTGGGTGATCATCTAATGGGCCTCACATGGCGTGGTTACATAACGTGTGGGGTTGTGTGCCTGAGCTCCAAACCCACTGAATCATGCCATGCAGGAAGGCTGCCTCCGCGTACTCCTGACTAAAGTGAAGCCATTTTTCTTACACCTCCCTTCACCCTTCTGCCAGGAGTTAGCAAATTTGAGTGGGAGGGCTCACAGGTAAATCTGGCATCCAGTAGGGGAGGTCTGATATCCTTTCTGGTTCCTCTGCTGTCCTCTGGGTCCCCCCTGTCCCCTAAAGATGGCCTTCGTCTTTGTTCACCGGACATTCATATCTTGTGAAGTTTGTGGTGCCTGTTATATTCTCAATCTTGAAGCCCCCAGGCTCAACAGCCACTCCATTCATCACAGATTGCTGGGTCTCCTTGGAGCTGTGCTCCTCTCATCTGCTCTCTCCATACCATCCTGGAATGAGATCACAGTCTGCAAGGCTACACTTGTGCCCACTCCCTCGGACAGTTTTCTTGTCATTTTGAATCTACCTATAGGAAGCCCCAGGTGGATCAGCTCTTTCACAGGTGTTGACCACTTTGCTATGTCCTTGGAAATTCTTCAAAACACAAAGCTATGCTTTGGTGAAAGAAAGGAAAGGAGGGAGGGAGGGAGGGAGGGAGAAAGGGAATGAGTGAGAGGAGGAAGGAAGGAAGGAAATCCTTCCTCCCACTCTAGGATTTTCCCAAAAGTCCTGGTTTGTTTCTAACTCCTACCCCACCATCCCCCGAGGATTTCCTTTGTGAAATTGAGAGGAAGGACTAAGAAACCCACCTTGGATTTCTTGCGCTTTACTTCCTTTCTGTCCTTCTCAGCCACCACCTAGCCCCATGGCACCTATTCTCACCCCCTATTCACTCACCTGCCTCACCCCCATGTATTCTCTTTTTACAATAGGAGAGGAAGTCAAAAAACTCCTCTACATCATAATCTTCCACTTTCTGAGTGTCATCTTCCTCCTTTGTCCCAGGAAAGAAGGGAAAACTATCAAGAGTATTTCCAAAATTAATACCCCAGTTGCAGAGGTTACTTTTGTATGATCCCACATGGATAGAATATGAATCAGCATGTAGAGATTATAGGGAGAAAAACATGTGGTTCAATAGAAGATGTGATTTTTAATAGATCTGGCCAGAAGGTAAATGGTTATATAGGTAGGTGGGTGACTATGAATGAGGCAGTCAGGCCATGCCTAGTCAACCCCTGAGCAGACTGAGTGTAGATTCACCCATTGGATAGCTCAATCAAGGTCTCATAACTAAATCATATAACCGATTTAGTTATAAGAGACCTTGGAGGACATTTATGCCAACCATTTATAACTAAATCGACTATGAGCAACAAGACTCTAGGGCACAGGCATTCAGCCCTGGCTGCACAGTAGCCACCCCAAGAGCTTCTAACTCAGTCTGGACATCATTTTCTTGTAACTTTTCAGATAATTCTGATACGTGGTCAAGGTTGAGAACCAGTGATCTAGGACAGTGGTTCCTAAATTTTAATGTTTTGAATCAGGTGTGTATCTTGTTAAATGCAGGTTTTGATTCAGAAGGTCTGGAGTGGGTCCTGAGTTTTCCATTTACCCCAAGCTCCCAGGTGATGCTGATGCTGTGATAAACCACACTTTGAGTAAATAGGTTCTAGGAGAAGATAATCAGACAGCATGTATGTTTTCAGGTCTAGTAACTTTCTAGCTATATGGGGGCATAAAAGGAAAGTGAGACCTAATTCCGTATTTATGCTTGGTACAACCTAGAGCAAGTAGGGTCAAGCCAAGTGTGCTTGGAACCGAGGATTGGTGACTGAGGAAAACAGAAAGAGGCAAGAGACTGGACAAGGGCAGCAATCATAAGGCTGGTCTGATTCCTCCCAATAGCATGACAGTTGTCTGGCCAACAGTTCCTGAGAAACCAGAACACATACTTGTTGATATGTATCTTTTTTTTTTTGCTCCCTTTATTATTCCCAGCCACAGCTATTACACATTTTTGTCATATTCTCCTCTCAGCCTTTTTTGTCTACTCTTGTATTCTCCACTCACTTTCCAGCAGATGGCCTTCTCTCCTCATCCAGAGAACATGCCCAGCAGCTTATAACACTCAGCTTTTTACATCATATAAACCTAGCTTCATCCACAGGCATCCTTCCTCAATACCTTCTTTAGTGAAACACAAGGCCCTTTCTTCTGCCCAAGGCTCATCTCTGCCTTGTCCTCTGGGACTGTCCGTTAAAACATTGTTGACAACTCTAGTTTATTACAACCAACATTTTCATCTTTTGTTTTGATTTTGTATGGTCTATATTAGGTTATTTTTCTAAGTAGTATTTAAATAGTAATAAATAATATTTGGTATTTAGTTCACATTTTTATTATTATTATAAGTGGAGTAAGGAAAGTTTTATTTAAATTATGTGCATGCACGTGTATAATGAGTCATGCTGTAAAATGCATTTCTTACCACAGGTTGCTAAGAGTTTGCAAAACATCTTGCTAAAGCCCATCTCCTTCGTATCTTGCCCCATCTATTGTGCTTTATCTGTCCTCTATGTTCTTTTCTCTTAAGCATAAAAACACATTCAGTTTTCCCTCACTTTGAAGAGAATAGCTTTCCTCAACCCTGCATTTTTTTCTATATAACATCTACACTACTGTATTAGTTTCCCAAGGATGCCATAACAATGTGCCACAAACTGGGTGGCCTAAACAACAGAGATTTATTGTCATACAGTCCTGGAGGCTAGAAGTCCAAAATCCAGGTGTCAGCAGGGTGAGTTCTTTCTGCAAGTTCTGAGGCAGAGCCTGTTCCAGCCCTCTCCCTTTGGCTTGTAGATGGCCATCTTCACTTCCATGTGGTGTTCTCCCTGAATGCGCTTCAGTGTCTCAATTTCCCTTTTTATAAGGATGCAAGTCATGTTGGATGACCTCATCTTAACTAATGATATCTGCATTGACCCCATTTCAAAATAAGATCACATTCTGAGGTGCTGGGGGTTAGGACTTCAACATATGACTTTTTGGGGGACACAATTCAACCCATAACAATGATCTTCTCTGAGTCAAGTCAACATTTGTACCCTTATGTACTTTATTAATATTGTGATTTAAAAGAGTTGATACTCTTTCCAGTGAAACTCTCTTGTTTGTTGTTAACTTTTATTTCAAGTTCAGAGGTACATGCGCAGGTTTGTAATATAGGTAAACTTGTGCCATGGGGGTTTGTTGTACAGATTATTTTGCCACCCAGGCATTAAGCCTAGTGCCCTCTAGTTATTTATCCTGATACTCTGTCTCCCCCCCACCCTCTGATAGGCCCCAGTGTGTATTGTTTCCCTCTATGTGTCCATGTGTTCTCATTTAGCTACCACTTATAAGTGATAATATGTGGTATTTGGTTTTCTGTCCCTGTGTTAGTTTGCTAAGGATAATGGCCTCCAGTTCCATCCATGTCCCTGCTGTGGACATGATCCTGTTCTTTTTTATGGCTGCCTAGTTTTTCATGGTGTATGTGTACCACATTTTCTTTATCCAGTCTACCATTGATGGGCGTTTAGGTTGATTTCATGTCTTTGCTATTGTGAATACTGCTGCAGTGAACACACATGTGCATGTGTCTTTATGATAGAATGATTTATATTCCTTTGGGTGTATACCCAGTAATGGGATTGCTGGGTCAAATGGTATTCCTGTTTTCAGGTCTTTAAGGAATCGCCACACTGTTTTCCACAATGGCTGAACTAATTTATACTCCCATTAACAGTGTGTAAGCATTCCTTTTTCTCTGCAACCTTGTCAGCATCTGTTATTTTTTTGACTTTTTGTTGTTGTTATTTGTTTGAGACAGGATCTCACTCTGTTGCCCAGGCCAGAGTGCAGTGGCCCCATCTCGTCTCACTGCAACTTCTGCCTCCCCGGCTCAAGCAATCCTCTTACCTCAGCCTCTTGAGTAGCTGGGACTACAGGCGCACACCACCAAGCCCGACTAATTTATTTATTTTTTTTGTATTTTTGGTAGAGACAGGGTTTCACCATGTTACCCAGGCTGGTCTCAAACTCCTGAGCTCAAGCGATCTGCCTGCCTCAGGCCCCCAAAGTTCTGGGATTATAGGCATGAGCCACTGCGCCCAGCCTATTATTTTTTGACTTTTTAATAATAGCCATTCTGACTGGTGTGAGATGGTATCTCATCGTGATTTTGATTTGCATTTATCTAATTGTCAGTGATATTGAACTTTTTTTCATATGCTTTTTGGCCACATGTACATCTTCTTTTGAAAAGTGTCTGTTCATGTCCTTGGCCCACCTTAATGGGGTTGTTTTTTTCTTGTAAATTTGTTTAAGTTGCTTGTAACGCTGGATATTAGACCTTTGTCAGATGCATTGTTTGCAAAATTGTTCTTTCATTCTGTGGGATGTCTGTTTACTCTGTTGATAGTTTATTTTGCTGTGCAGAAGCTGTTTAGTTTAATTAGATCAATTTTTGCTTTTGTTGTGATTGCTTTTGTCATCTTTGTCATGAAATCTTTGCCAAGTCCTATGTCTAGAATGGTATTGTCTAGGTTGGCTTCCAGGGTTTTTATAGTTTTTGGTTTTACACTTAAGAGTTTAATCCATCTTGAGTTGATTTTTGTATATGGTGTAAGGCAGGGGTCCAGTTTCTGTTCATCTTCTGCACATGGCTAGCCAGTTATCCCAGCACCATTTATTAAATAGGGAGTCCTCTCTGCATTGCTTGTTTTTGTCAGCTTTGTCAAATATCAGATAGTTGTAGGTGTGTGGCCTTATTTCTTGGCTCTCTGTTCTGTTCCGTTGGTCTATGTGTCTGTTTTTGTACCACTACCATGATGTTTTGTTTACGATAGCCCTATAGTGTAGTTTGAAGTCAGGTAGTGTGATGCCTCTGGGCTTTGTTCTTTTTGCTTAGGATTGCCTTGGCTGTTAGGGTTCTTTTTTGGTTCTGTATGAATTTTAAGATAGTTTTTTTTCTATTAATACTTCTGTGAAGAATGTCATTGGTAGTTTAATAAGAATAGCATTGAATCTATAAATTGCTTTAGGCAGTGGCCATTTTAATGATATTAATTCTTCCTATCCAAGAACATGGAATGTTTTTCCATTTGTTTGTGTCATCTCTAATTTCTTTGAGCAGCGTTTTGTAGTCTTCCTTGTAGAGATCTTTTACCTCCCTGGTTAGCTACGTTCCTAGGTATTTCATTTTTTTGTGGCAATTGTGAATGGGATTGCATTCCTGATTTGGCTCTCAGGCTTGACTCTTGGTGTATAGAAACACTAGAGATTTTTGCACATTGATTTTGTATCTTGAGACTTTGCTGAAGTTGAAACTCTCTTATTTGGCATTGATGACCCAAACGTCCCTGGTGTCTACCTTGGCCTTCCTCTCTTTTCACCATTGCTTTTTGTAGAATCTCACCTATGGTCAGGGTTTCAGTTGCCACCCATAAACTGATGACTCTCAAATTGATCCCTAGTTCAGAATTGCTCCAGAGATACTCATCATCTTAAAGACAACTGACAGTTATAGGCATAAGCCTAACTTAGGGCATAATCTTGAACAATACAAAATAATAAATCATGAGGCCTGAACTCATGTGATAAAGTCAAATGGTTTTCTGGCCTTGTCACCTAACAAGGATGAAGATAACACTGATTTTTCAAAATAGTCATTAACTTTCCACTAAAATTGATTGCTTAAATTCTGTGTCTTGTTTTGGGTATAGATGACAACTATAAGTAAGCAAAAATCCTTCATCAAACTTCATCTAGAAATGTAGTCACCTCTTCACCTGATGTGAGAATGGATGGAGGAAAATTCTGAAGGAATAGAATCAGCTGGAACAATTACATGTCCTCGATGCAAAATCCCACACTCCTACCCTAAGCATAACCCTCTTAGACAGCTACCATGCCACTGTAGGATGCTAAGGCCAATTACCGGTTCCCCATCACCCAGCACATATTTTGGCATTACAGTCTTGTGGGGGCTTCTTACATTCAATAAATGTTCAACAGAACTTGGTTATAAAAATACTGTCTATAAGCAACATCCTTGAATTCATCAAGGAGTTGTCTGGATGATCCTTAAAGTAAGTCACTTTCTCAGACAGAGACATGCTCTGTGATAGTAGCATTGTCTGTTTCTTAGTTTTTGTTTTTTAGTTTTTTAATGCTCATCTTAGTTGTCATTTGTCTTGATTATGTATACATTTACATATATATATTCTGTCCCATCCATTTATAATTTAATTTTTGTTTTATTTTAATATATATTTTTGTCTTGATTATTTATATATGTACATATACATATATTTATATCCATTTATAATTTAATTTTACTAGTGCTGATGCTTGATTTGCAACTAGGATAATGATTAAATGTCATTAATGCACTGTTTATCCCATGAAGCATATTTACAAACCTAGGTCACGTAAGAGTCCTAACCTAAACCTCAGCCTCCTCTGAGCTGTCCCTCACTGTTCAGTGTGTTGCTATTGAACTGCCCTGTTATGGGTTTAATATGTTAATCAATATACTTTTTCTTATATAATTTATAAGAACTAATTTGGGAGAGGCTTTTTCAGATAATTTTTAATATAGGTATCTAGTGATTTTTCTTGTTCATTAGGTTTGTGAATCTACAGATATAAGGTTATGATGTTTCAGAAGTAATTTTCAAACCCTGCTGTGTTCTTAATAAGTCCCTTACATTTTCTCAGTGTCAAAAGTCATAGATTTTAAAGTAGTGTGTTACGCTCAATGCATTTTCTTCCTCTCACTGTCAGCATTTGAAATAGTCAGATTCCCATGACAACTGAACCCCACAGGGTCCCCACTGGCCGCTCATGACTTACTGGAAGACTAAAAACCCAGCTGAGACTGGTTGCAGGGTTTCAAGCTTCAGCTAAGGCCCCTCACCATAATCCAAGAACATTTCCAGTGGGAAAGAAGACATACGCCTGGGTTAAACCTGTCAGTACTCCTTGCCTCTTCCCCATACATGAAATTCCTTAATGGTACTCCCTCTCTGAACTAATCAAGGGCAAGGCTTCAAATGAGAAGCAGACCAGCTCCTTATGACAAACATCTTGGGGCCCCTTAGATTAATGTATAATGCAAATAGGCTGACTATGCCTTTGGCAAAGGTAGACGATGAATTTATGTCCATGGTGTTTACATTGCCACTAACTAGGATTCTAAAGTTTTTCTCAAGGATTCAATAGCTCATATCCATAATCCCAGCTGGAAGGCTGAGGTAAGAGGATCACTTGAGGTCAGGAGTCTGACACCAGCCTGTGCAAACAAAGTGAGTCCCTGTCTCTACAAAAAAAAAAAAAAAAAAAAAGGATTCAACCTAGGATGTCTGTTTTTTCTAAGGAACACAGTATCGACAATACACTGATTAACCTGGCCTTACCAAAACTGTACTCATGATATAACGCTGTAAAGTAGGGTTTGGTTCTGAATCCTGGCTCCACATCTTACTTAGCTAAGCCTTAGACCTTACCAGACTTCAACTTCCTCATTCATTAAAAGGAAGCATAGTATATCTTTTGCAGGGCAGTTGAAAATGTAGCAGAATTTTTCAAAGTGAAAAATTTAAATTTGGTGTCCTTTACCCCTATTTTTGCCTTTTCTTTGTTTTACTTTAAAAACAATTAATTAGACGGGTGGATCACAAAGTCAGGATATCGAGACTATCCTGGCTAACACGATGAAACCCCGTCTCTACTAAAAAGACAAAAAAAAATTAGCTGGTCATGGTGGTACACACCTGTAGTCCCAGCTACTCGGGAGGCTGAGGCAGGAGAATCACTTGAACCCGGGAGGCAGAGGTTGCAGTCAGCTGAGATTGCACCACTGCACCCCAACCTGGGCGACAGAGTGGAATTCCGTCTCAAAAAAAATTTATTATTTTTTCCTTTACTGCTAAGTCAGTGATACTGACTCATGGAGGAGGTTACATAGGATCTAGAGCACAGAATCATTGCTAGGTTTGACGTGTTTGTTTTTGAGGTACAAAAAAATCCATGTGAGGGAATGCATAAATTGCATAAATCTGAAGTGTATAGCTCAACTGAATTTTCATATACACCAGTGTAACCACTACTCAGATCAAGATATACAATATTTTCATCACTCCAAAGAGCTCTATCATACCCCCTTTCAGTTAGCAATGCCACCACTACCACCACACTTTGAGGTAACCGCTATTATGATGACCATGGATTGATTAGTTTTTCCTGTTTCTGGCCTACTTCACTCAACATGTCTGTGAGATTTATACATGTTGTTGTATTGGTTTTCATTACAAGAACACGCATTTTTTAAATTTATTCTATTGATCAATATTTGGTTGTTTCCAGTTCGTGCCACTGTGAAATATTCTTGCACACATCTTTTGGTAGGCAAAAACACTCATAACTTTTAAGCATAACCCAGGACTGAAATTGCTGGATCAGGAGGTAGGCATAAGTTCATCTTTCAAGGAAACTGCCAGTTTCCTAAAATAGCTTACTACATTCCCATCAGCATGTATGGGAGTTGCAACTGCTGCACTCAATTTGGCATTTGAATTTTTGCTATTCTGGAGAGTGTGTAGTGTTATCTCACTGTGGTTTTGATTTGCCTTTTCTTGATGAATAATAATGTTGGGCATCTTTTCATATGTTAATTATCCATTCAGAAATTCTTTTGTATGATGAGTCTCTTAAAGTTCTTGGCCATTTTAAAAATTGGGCTGACTTTTTGTTATTAATTATAGGCATTAAGTATTCTGGATAGTAGGTCTTCGTCAGATATATGTAATGCAAAGATTATCTCCCAGTGTATGGCTTGCTTTTTCACTCTCTTAATATCTTGGATAAATAGTATTTCCTAAGTTTAATTTTGTCCAATTTATCATTCCTTTCCTTTATAGTTAGTACTTGTGGAAAGAAAATTTTATCTACATCAAGATCATAAAGATACTTTCTCTCATTTCTTCCCCTAGAATTTTTACCTTCTCGTTTAACTCTAAAATAATCTAGAGTTATTTTTTTTGTATATGGTATGAGAGAGGTGTCAGGATTTGCTCGAGTTCTTTATTGAAAGATCATTCTTTCCCCATTAAATTGCATTAGTGCCTATGTAATCAATCCAGTGGTTGTAAATGTGTAGACTTATTACTGGACTCTATTTCATTCCATTAATCTATATGTCTACCCTTACATTAGTACTACACCATCTAGATTACTATAGCTTTATAATAAGCTCTGAAATTTGGCAGTGTCAGTCTTCCAATTTTGTTTTCAAAATTGTTTTGTCAATTTTAGTTCCTTTACTTTCCACACAAATTATCAAATCAGCTTGTCAATTTCCATAAAAAACCTATTGGGATTCTCAGTGGGATGGCATTGATAAGATAAATCAGTTTGGTAATAGTTAACATAAAAATATTGAGTCTTTCAATCCATAAACACTCATTTAAGTCTTTAAAAATATCTGTCAGAAATATTTTGTAATTTTTTTCAGTGTAAAGGTATTGCATATCTTTAAATACCTCTATTTATTTTTATGATCCAATAAATTAATACTTTTATTTTCCAACTGTTGCTACTATATGGACACACAATATTGGTTCTTGTATTTTGTTTGTATATTCTTTTGGATTTTCTACATACACAAAGATAACTTTACTCATTTCTAATATTTCTGCCCTTCATTTATTTTTCTTTCCTTATTGTGCAATGTCGGTATTACTTTTTCCTTAAGTGTTTAGTAGAATATGCTAGTGAAGCCGTCTAATCTTGGAATGTACTTTGTTGGAGGAACTATTTATGAAATTGATTTGTTCAACAGATATTGGAGTGATTGTATTTTTTTTCTTATTTATTCTTGTGCCAGTTTTGGAAAGTGATTTTTAAAGAGTTTGTTCAGTTCATCTAAGTTGCCAAATTTCTTGGCATTTTTAATGATATGCTCTTCTTTTTAAGGTATGTGGAGTCTATAGTATTGTCCCATTTTCATTTCTAATATTACTGATTTGTGTTTCTTCTCTTTTCTCTTCATTACTTTGCTAGACATTTATCAATTTTCTTATTTTTTTCAAAGACTCCCTTTGGCTTCTATTGATTTTTCCCTATTTCCCATTTGTTTTCTATTTTATTTATTTCTACTTTTTATTTTGTCATTCTACTTATTTGGCTTAAATCACTGTTCTTTGCCAGGTTCTTGAAATGAAAGTTTAGATCACTGATTGAAAATCTTCTTTTTAATTGTAGATATTTAAAGATCTAAATTTTTCTCTAAGCACTACTTTAGCCAAATCTCTTGAATTTTATGTTGTATTTTAATTAAAGTTTAAAGTATTTTCTAATTTCCATTGCGATTTCTTTTTTTGACCTATAGATTACTTAGAAGGTTTTGATTACACGACTGGGGGTTGCTAGTTATCTATTATTGCTTCCTAGTTTAATCCTGCAGCAGGCAGAGAATATACATCATATAATTTCAATACTTTAAAATTTGTGAGACTTACTGTGTTCTATTTTGGTCAATATTCGCTGTGCACTTGAAAGGAGTGTGCATTGTGCAACTGTTGAATATAATGTCCTATAAACTTTAGTTAGGTCAGGTTATGTGTTGTTATGTGTTGGTTATGTGTTGAATATAATGTCCTATAAGCTTCAGTTAGGTCAGGTTATGTGTTGCTTAAATCTTTTGTACCTTTACTGATTTGTGTGAGAGAGTGTGTGTGTGTGTGTGTGTCTGTGTTTGCACGCGCACATGTGCGTGCGTGCTTGTGCTTGTTTTATTACTTGCTGAGAGGATACTACAAACTCAAACAATTATTGTAGATTTAGAATTACCTTACTTATTCATTATATTGTGTCCCTTTTTCATTGCTTGGCTTAAAGCAAGTCTACTTTGATATTAGTAAAGCCAGACTATCTTTTTATTTGGTTAGTGTTTCCGTGATCTATCTCTTTCCAACATTTCACTTTCTGTTTATCTGTGCCTTTATATTTAAACGGTGTTCCTTGGAATCAGCATATCATTGTTTGCTCTTTCTTTAAAAATCTAGTTGTATGAGAAAAAATTTACATACAATACAATTCATCTGTTTTAGATGCACAGTTCTTTGAATTTTGACAAATGCACAGTCACTTAATTTCCACCACAGTTAAGATACAGAACATCTCAATCCCCACAAAAAAGTTCCCTAGTGACTCTGCAATCCAATCTTCCATCCCTAGGACTTGGCAACAGCTGATCTGTGTTCTTTCCTACAGCTTTGCCTTTTCCAAAGTGTCACAAAATGGAATAATACAGCACAAATCTGGCTTTTTTACACTTAGCATAATGCATTTTAGTTTTATCCATGTATTGGTAGTTTGTTCTTTTTTTGCTTAGTAATATTCCATTGTATGAATGTCCCACAGTTTCTGTTTACCGGCTGATGGGTCATTTCCAGATTTTTGCTATTATGGTTTAAAAACACTATAAACATTGAAGTGCAGTTTTTGTTTCATTTTGTTTTGATCTCTCTTAAATAAACCTTAAAGTAGAATTGCTGAGTTGTATGGTAAGTTGTATGTTCAACTTTTTAAGAAACTGGTCAACTCTTCTCTAAAATGGCTGTGCCATTTGGCATCCCTGCCGACATCAACATTCAGAGAGTTCTAGTTGCTCTGCATCCTTGTCAGAACTTGATATTGTCAGTTTGTTGTTTGTTTCCTTTCTTTAGCCATTCTAATAGGTATGCAATGGTATCTCACTGTGGTTTTAATTTGCATTTTCATATTGATTAATGACGTTGAGTATTTTTCATGTGTTTATCTGCCATCTTTATATTTTCTTTGATAAGGTATCTGTAGAATTATTTTCTCAAAAATTTAATGGGTTATTATTATTGAATTGTGTGAGTTCTTTACATATTCTGGACACCAGACCTATGTATTTTGTCAATATGTTGTTCCAGTCTGTGGCTTGTCTTTTAACAGCATCTTTTGAAGAAGAAAAAAATATAATTTTGATGAAGAACGACTTATCAGTTTTTTATATGGTTTGTGCTTTTTGTGCCTGATAAGGAATTGGTTCTTTTCACTTAAATTATCAAATTTATGAGTATAGAATTGTCTATAATCTTCCCTTTTATCCTTTTAGTGTCTGTGGGGTCAGTGGTTATGCCCTTTCTATCATCCCTGATATTGGTAATTTGTGTCTTTTTTCTTGGTTAGCCTGACTAGAGATTTATCAATTTTATTGATCTTTTTGAATAACCAGTTTTTGGTTTTATTGATTTTCTTTTTGTTTTAATTTCATTAATTTCTACTTGAATGTTATTTCCTTCCTCCTACTTGTTTTGAATTTATTTTGCTCATCTTTCTCTAGTTCTTAAGGGAGAAACTTGAGTTTAGACTTTTCTCTTTTCTTAATATTTGCATTTAATATTATAAACTTCCCACTAAGCATTGGTTTAGTAGCTTCTCACAAATTTTAATATGTTCCATTTTCATTTTCATTTAGTTCAAAGTACTTTTAAATTTTTCTTGAAGCAATCTCTTTGGTCAATGGGCTATTTAGAAGCGTATTGTCTAATTTCCAAATATTTGGTAGTTATCCAAATCTACCAAACATTTTTTCGCTAAATTCTTACCAGATTATATGACACCCAGTGCTGCCCCAGGTAAGTAAATGCTCATATCCTATCTTTCTTTGATTTCCAGTCATCCATCTTGCCTTAGATTTCTAGCCATTTGATTTTACTGTATTAATCATTAGATAGGCCTGTCAGTCTCACTCTGTTCAGCCTCCTGAATGTCATTGATCACAATGGGCATGAAGAAAGAGAATCAGTGCAAATCAGTCCAACATCTGGAGCCATAACTTGAAGCACATACTCTGCTGAGTGTGATCTATGATGAATTCATCATGATTATGGCAAAATCTCACAAAATATAGATATTTTCAGGAAAAAAAAATGTTAAGAACTAATAACCAAATATTCTATACTTAGATCTACTTAGAGGGAACCTTTACACTTAATGGATAAATTCAGCATATTTTTTATACTTCAGAAATGATAAAGTCAATGCTTGGTAATAAGAACCACTTTAAAACAATAAGCTTTTGGAATTTAATTAGCACATTTAATCTGCAAGTGAAGTATTGTGAAGTCATTTTGGCTGGGCTGGGCATGTATATATTGACATAACTAAATCTGTGACCCACCCACTTCTCTCCTGCCATTTTGCTTTATCTTAATATTGCAAGAGCCATTTGAAATTTTATTTTTTATTTTTTTGAGATGGACTCTCACTCTGTCACCCAAGTTGGAATACAGTGGTGCAATCTTAGCTCACTGCAACCTCTGCCTCTCAGGTTCAAGTGATTCTCCTGCCTCAGACTCCCGAGTAGCTGAGATTACAGGTGCATGCCACCACACCCAGCTAATTTTTTTGTATTTTTAGTAGAGAGGGTTTTCACCAGGTTGGCCAGGCTGGTCTCGAACTCCTGACCTCAGGTGATTTGCCCCCACTGGCCTCCCAAAGTGTTGAGATTATAGGCGTGAGCCACCACGCCTGGCTGTCTTTTGAAATTTTAGTAATACAAGTCAGTAACTTGGTATTTGAAATTTTAGTATTTAAAAAAAAACTTCAATTGCATCATAAATCCTACTTCTTCATAGAAAAGACTAACAAAAAGTCCTTACAATTTAGAAGCGACTCCCCAGGGGCGGGGGTACACTTTCTAGAGGAGCTGAGTGCACTTGTGCAGGCGCTCAGCTTTTTGCAGTAAATAGGTGGAGTTTTCTAACCCAGAGGAGCCAGCCATATATATATATACATACACACATTTCCCTTATACATTTCCATTTAGCTACTGACAACCCTCAAGTTTATATCTCCAGCCTGGGCTTCTACCCTGAACTCGACTTATCTAACTGCCTCCTTGAGTATCTCCATTTAGATACTGTGTTAGCACATTCATGGTGCTATAACAAAATACCTGAGACTGGGTAATTTATAAATAATAGAAATTTATTTCTTACAGTTCTGGAGACTTGGAAGTCCAAGATCAGGGCACTAGCAGATCTAATGCCTGATGAGGGCTGCTCTCTGCTTCCAAGATGACGCCTTGCTGTGTCCACTGCAGGGAAGGAACACTATTTCCTCACGTGGTAGAAGGTCAGAAGGGCAAAACAGCAAAAGGGATGAATGTTGTATCCTTACATGGCACAGGAAGCGGAAAGGCAAAAAGGAGTGCAGAGCTCCCTCACACTTCTTTTACAAGATCACTAATCCATTCATGAGGGCAGAGGCTTCATGACCTAATCACCCCCTAAAGGCCCCACCTTCATGTAACACTATCATATTGGTGATTAAGTTTCAACATAAGAATTTTTGAAGGACACAAACATTCAAACCATAGCAGATACCTAACAGAAATCTCTGACTTGCTATGCCCATACCCAAAGCCCTGATTCTATCCCTCTTACCCCTCAAATTGTTCCTCCAGTCTTCATCTCGGCTAGGGACAACCCCACCCTTCCAGATGATCAGGTTAAAAACCCCAAAGTCATCCTTGACTTTCTTCTTTCACAACTGATATTCAATTAATTAGCAGGTCCTATAGAAGTTTCTTTCAAATTATATCCAGAATCTGACAACTTCTCACCCCCTGCACTGCTAACACCCTTATCTGAGCCATTATTTCTCACCTGCATTATTTTAATAGCCTCCTAGCTGATCTTCCTGCTTTCTCCTTTGACTCCCTATAGCCTATTCTCCATATAGTATTCAGTAATCCTTTTCAAAATCTAAGCCAGATGATGTGACCCCCTCTGCTTAAATATCTCCAGTGCTTTTTTTTTATTTTATTGTTATACTTTAAGTTTTAGGGTACATGTGCACAGTGTGCAGGTTAGTTACATGTGTATACATGTGCCATGTTGGTGTGCTGCACCCATTAACTCATCATTTAGCATTAGGTATATCTCCAAATGCTATCCCTCCCCACTCCCCCGACCCCACAACAGTCCCCAGAGTGTGATGTTCCCCTTCCTGTATCCATGTGTTCTCATTGTTCAATTCCCACCTATGAGTGAGAACATGTGGTGTTTGGTTTTTTGTCCTTGTGATAGTTTGCTGAGAATGATGGTTTCCAGTTTCATCCGTGTCCCTACAAAGGACATGAACTCATCATTTTTTATGGCTGCATAGTATTCCATGGTGTATATGTGCCACATTTTCTTAATCCAGTCTATCACTGATGGACATTTGGGTTGGTTCCAAGTCTTTGCTATTGTGAATAGTGCCACTATAAACATACGTGTGCATGTGTCTTTATAGCAGCATGATTTATAATCCTTTGGGTATATACCCAGTAATGGGATACCTAGGTCAAATGGTATTTCTAGTTCTAGATCCCTGAGGAATCGCCACACCGACTTCCACAATGGTTGAACTAGTTTACAGTCCCACCAACAGTGTAAAAGTGTTCCTATTTCTCCACATCCTCTCCAGCACCTGTTGTTTCCTGACTTTTTAATGATCACCATTCTAACTGGTGTGAAATGGTATCTCATTGTGGTTTTGATTTGCATTTCTCTGATGGCCAGTGATGATGAGCATTTTTTCATGTGTTTTTTGGCTGCATAAATGTCTTCTTTTGAGAAGTGTGTGTTCATATCCTTCGCCCACTTTTTGATGGGGTTGTTTTTTTCTTGTAAATTTGTTTGAGTTCATTGTAGATTCTGGATATTAGCCCTTTGTCAGATGAGTAGGTTGCAAAAATTTTCTCCCATTTTGTAGGTTGCCTGTTCCCTCTGATGGTAGTTTCTTTTGCTGTGCAGAAGCTCTTTAGTTTAATTAGATCCCATTTGTCAATTTTGGCTTTTGTTGCCATTGCTTTTGGTGTTTTAGACATGAAGTCCTTGCCCATACCTATGTCCTGAATGGTATTGCCTAGGTTTTCTTCTAGGGTTTTTATGGTTTTAGGTCTAACATGTAAGTCTTTAATTCATCTTGAATTAATTTTTGTATAAGGTGTAAGGAAGGGATCCAGTTTCAGCTTTCTACATATGGCTAGCCAGTTTTCCCAGCACCATTTATTAAATAGGGAATCCTTTCCCCATTGCTTGTTTTTGTCAGGTTTGTCAAAGATCAGATGGTTATAGATATGCGGCATTATTTCTGAAGGCTCTGTTCTGTTCCATTGATCTATATCTCTGTTTTGGTACCAGTACCATGCTGTTTTGGTTATTGTAGCCTTGTAGTATAGTTTGAAGTCAGGTAGTGTGATGCCTTTGTTCTTTTGGCTTAGGATTGACTTGGCAATGCGGGCTCTTTTTTGGTTCCATATGAACTTTAAAGTAGTTTTTTCCAATTCTGTGAAGAAAGTCATTGGTAGCTTGATGGGGATGGCATTGAATCTATAAATTACCTTGGGCAGTATGGCCATTTTCACAATATTGATTCTTCCTACCCAAGAGCATGGAATGTTCTTCCATTTGTTTGTATCCTCTTTTATTTCATTGAGCAGTGGTTTGTAGTTCTCCTTGAAGAGGTCCTTCACATCCCTTGTAAGTTGGATTCCTAGGTATTTTATTCTCTCTGAAGCAATTGTGAATGGGAGTTCACTCATGACTTGGCTCTCTGTTTGTCTGTTATTGGTGTATAAGAATGCTTGTGATTTTTGCACATTGATTTTGTATCCAGTGCTTCTTAACTCACACAGAATAAGAACCAAAGTCTTTCAATGACCTGTAAGACCACACACCACCTGGCCCCCAATCACTTCTGATCCCATCTACTACCACAATTACCCTTGTTTCCTGTGTTCTGATCACATTGGCCTTCTTGCAGTCAGAGTTCCTGTGTTTTGGAAGCAGATAGGCAAGATACTTGGGGGAAGCATAGGCATGGACAATAAGCAGTCTCTGCCATACCAATTCAAATTTTGAGATGACATAAAATATATTCCGTCTGCATCCCATAGTATTATTTTCAGCCTACTATGTTCTGTGTGGTGATTTAAAGCCTGTCTCCAAGTTCTTTAATATCAAGTGGGTCTAATTCCCTTCCTGTTAAGTATAGGCAGGCCTTTATCCCTGCCTCAACAAACAGAATGGTACAAAAGTGATGCTCTGTGACTTCTGAGGCTAGGTTAGAAAAGGCCATGCAGCATCTGCTGTTTCTCTTGGGATGCTTGCGTTAGAACCTAGTCACCATGCCATGAGGAAGTAGAGAGAGCACATAGAAAGCCCATGTGATCTAACATTCTCCATAGAATTAAGACTCTAAGAGGGTTTGATTTTTCCTTCCTGAGCTAGATACTAAATAAGATCTAGCCATGTCTCGTTACTGCCACTTCACTTGCTGAGGAGAATCAGGGTTATACGAACAGTGGAGAACTGTTATTTGAAAAAAAATACAACTTGTAGTTCTTGACAAACAATGGTGATGATCACTTTCTATATATTTTCCTAAACTCACTTCAACATGGTTTCTCCCTCACCATGTGATGGATACTACTGTAAGAATTAAGACCTCCAAATCACCAAATAACCATCTCTATCCTCATGATGCCTACATTTATACTTGCAGCAACTCTGATCTCCAGTCTAGATCCAACTACCTGTTTCACATTTCCACTTGGATTTCTCACAAGCACTTTAATGGCAACTGAACTCATAATCTTCTCCACCCCTACAGGCCTAGTCCTCCCCCAAGATTTTCTATTTCAGAGAATGACTCTACCAATGCTGGTAGTACCTATTATCCAGGCCAGAAACTCTCTCATTCTGTATAACTCATGTATCCCATTCACCTAACACAATGCCTGGCACATAACTAGTATTTAGAATCTGTTGAATTAAACACTTTTAGGGAAACCGCCATTAAATCGAACCCTCAACTCCTTGAAAGAAAAATGAAATGGATTACGGTTTATCTAAAACCCAAGCAAATCTCCAATCCTCTAAAACCCAGGCTCTTTCCAACATGCCAAAGCTACGACTATTTACTCGAACAGTTGAATGCTTTCTAAAATTCCCATCATTACTGTGCATCAACATGCAGTTATGAATGAATTGATTATAATTTTCTCTGCTCTACCAAATTTCTACTTCTCATACTGTGTCTCATGAATGTGTGCCACTGCTGGAAAATGAACATTAACTGTGTATTCAGGGCATTTAATGACAAACTTGAGTGAAATGTTGTTATCTTTATAGGAAAGATTTTGTTGAGCTCTACTAAGCATTTTTGAAAGCAAAGTGTGATAGCAGAGTGAAATTACATGCGAAATTATCTAAACTATTCACATGTTAGGCAGCCACACTTTGTAGTAGATGAAGCTTTCTAAATGTAGGAGATGAAGCTGAATAATATCAACCTCTGGTCAAATTAACTCCAATCCAAGCTTCTGCCTATGGCTAAAGGCACAAAATGCAAACAATTATAGTACACAATAGTGTGAGAATTCAGGTAGCAATGGAGGACACTATTACACATGAGACAGTTTCTGAATTTCATCTGCTATTTTTGATACTTATTGAGTACTTAATGTGATAGGAGATGCATTATTCCTGGACTTGGTCCCTGACTTTTCTTTGGAATGTACAAGCAGAGTGATGCATACTTTGGAGAGACTGAGTGGGCTTCTTACAGTCTGAGTTTTTCATGCTCCAGACCATCTTAATTACATTAATCAGTTGTTGGTTAACTAAATCTGTTGGAGGTATACCACTAATTGTTCAGCCAGTACACCTTGAGGGAAAAAAATGTAAGTCCTCAGTCACCTGCTCTCTGATTTGATAATTCTCAGCTATAATTTTGACCTATCCCACAGGATATTGAAAAATAAGTAATGAAATCTGTGTACGGATTGGAACCCAGTAGATAACACTTCAATTTTAAAAATTAAAATCCAAGGTATTGTTTCCATTTGAGTAACTCCAAAATTTAAACAAGAAATAATTTTTCTAGGTATGAGGTAAGATTACAGTAAAAAAGGGATGTGCCTCTTTCTAGTAAGAATGTCACATTCCCTCATTTACCTCCTTTCTAGCCCACAAAGACACATTTCAGGATAATAATAGCTTTATT
Source organism: Homo sapiens (assembly GCF_000001405.40). NCBI lineage: Eukaryota > Metazoa > Chordata > Mammalia > Primates > Hominidae > Homo > Homo sapiens. The sequence goes on from NC_000007.14 coordinate 104,123,354, forward strand.
GAACAATTACTCTGTGCCAGGTACCTTACTTAGATCAGGGTTTCTCAACCTCTGCACAAGTGACATTTGAGGGTCAGATTATTCTGTTATAGGATATTAATTTTAGTATACAGTAGTCCCCCTTTATCCACAGGGGCAATAAGTTCCAAGACCTCCAGTGGATGGCTAAACCCTCTAACAGTCCTGAACCTGATTACCATAATTTGAACACATTTCGGTTCACATCTTCTGCCTTTTCCATCTTAACTAAGCACTTATCATGCACTGTGGCCACAACTCTTGCAGTTTGAGGTACAACAGCAAAACTAGCATGAATTTTTTTTCTTCTTTACAATTTCACAGATAGAAGATTCATTCTTACCACATTCTTAGCAACTTCAGCATATGATGTTTTTCTTTCCTTATTGAGAACTTACACCTTTTCACTTAAAGGAAGCACTTTACAGCTTCTCTTTGACATATCCAAATTGCCAGCATGACTACTCTTGCACTTTGGGGCCATTAAGTAAAATAAGAGTTACTTGAATGCAAGCCCTGAGATACTGCAAGAGTCAATCTGATAACCTAGACAACTACTAAGCAACTCACCGGTGGGTAGTATGGACAGCATGGACAGGCTGGGCAAAGGGATGATTCACATCCTAGGCGGGACAGCATGAGAGTTCGTCACACTACTCAGAAAAGCATGCAGTTTAAAACTTATGAGCTGTTTATTTCTGGTGTTTTCCATTTAATATTTTCAGACCACAGTCTGAGGATGACAGACAGTAACTGAACTCAAGGAAAGCAGTATCATGGGTAAGTGGGGACTACTGTATTTCTGGTGTTTTCCATTTAATATTTTCAGACCACAGTCTGAGGATGACGGACAGTAACTGAACTCAAGGAAAGCAGTATCATGGGTAAGTGGGGACTACTGTATTTCTGGTGTTTTCCATTTAATATTTTCAGACCACAGTCTGAGGATGACGGACAGTAACTGAACTCAAGGAAAGCAGTATCATGGGTAAGTGGGGACTACTGTATTTAGCAGCATCCCTGGCCTTTACCCTCCCCACACCCAGTTGTGACAACCAAAACTGTCTCCAGAAATGACTACGTTTGCCGGCGGGCAAAATGTCCCTAGTTGAGAACTACTGCCTTAGATATATTCATTTATTTAATCCTGTAAAAATGCTACGAAGTAAATTCTACTTTCCACTATACAGGTGAGAAAGTCACAGAGACACATTAAATAACTTGCCTAAGGCCAGACAGCCAGTAGCAATACAGCTGGTATTTGATCCAAGGATTCCAGAGCCTGGAGTCTCAACTGCTATCTTGGTATCAAGACTTTGACCCCTTTATGACTAATGAGATGAGGCTTGGTAGATCACAATCTCTTCCAGAGTTGTTGAAAGGAATTGCTGCATCAACGAAAGCTTGAAATGGGCTTGAAAATGACTTGAAAGTAAGAGGGAAGAGGGAGTAAGGTCTCCACCTATGTATACCTGGCTCACGGTAATTGAAAGAAGACATTTGTAAAATGGAGGACCACCTATGTATAGTCTAAAAACCTACAGCTTAGTAACTTTCTTCTGCTACCACCTAAATTACTTTTACACCTAGGTAGAGTAGATGCTGAGTATAATTTAAGTGCCTCCTCTTAACAGAAATTTCTGGCCCGCCGGCCAGCCTAATTCTCATTATTGGATTCCCTCCTGTAATTGGAGATTCATATCTTCCAATTAGAGAATTCCACTTGCAGATGACCCTTGTTAAAATGCCAACATCCATATTAAGCTCTGTTAGTATTCATCTAAATAAATTAATCAAATTAGCTGCTGAGTCATTTAGCAAGCCATTAGAAAGTAAATTACAAAACAGGAAAGTTCTGATGACCCAGTCAGGGGCAGGGAAAATCTGGTTAGTGTTATGCCGGGAAGCCACATCTGGGGCTGGTAACAAGGTGGGGCAGTACAGGAGAGGAAATGCACCGGGCAGGAGACAGGTGACCAGCTGTGAGGATGCATGGACAGTCACTTATAGGAAACTTCACCTCCTTTCCATCCTTCTCTCCAGTTTCCTATTTGATAATTTCTCCCCTCCTGATATCCCAGAGTTCTTCCCTCAAAATACAGACTGGTTCCGCTTATCCGTGACAGGCTGCACAGCAGACATGCATCTGCAAAACAAATATGAGGGGCTGAAAGCTATCCTAGGTGGTGTTGCTCTTCCTTCAATCAGCTACCCAAATTGTTTTCTACAGCTTGATGACATGGATTTCTACATGCTGGAAACTAAGCCAGAATCCACACTACGCATGGCTTTTCTCTGACCCTGGCATCTCCAAACATCTTGTGAAACACAAACTTCATTTTCTGTGGGACAAGAGATTTACAGTGGGGATGCTCTATCACTTGCTGTGGATGTCAATCTTCAGGCAAGAAAGTCTGTCTTATTTATGTAGGGAGGCGAAAGGAATTCCATTCCTTTTCTCCCTAACTCATTACCTCTAAATAGTAGATAATTACTTGCTTTCTTTGAACCAGATAGTTACACTAAAAGTGCCTATCGTGAGAATTTTTCTTCAAAAAAAATGAAGAAATAAAATGCCACTGAAATTTACACTAGGTTCTATAACTAAGAACTTTAAGTCTGCTTAAAATAATTTTCAAGCATTCAAATGCTAAAAGAAAATTTCTTCAAAAATATGGACAAGAAAATCAAAACCAAAGTTCACAAGTGATATAACAGGAAAAAAAATTATTGTGGAACTCTTAAAGGCCAGTGATTTTAAAAAAGAGAAAGAAAGAAAATAAAACCATGATACTGATAAAAAAAAAAAAAACTGGGTTGGGTAGCTAATTTTAAGAAAGTGACCAGATAAACCTTATACAAGCATACCACAGTTATCAAGTAGGCTGAAAGAGGGAAAGTTGGTCTGTTTCTGATCAAACTACCTTGCCTTTTGAGAAAAGCAAGTGAAAAGATAAATACACACAAGCTTGGATTTTAAAAAGAACTTGTATTTATTATATTTTGCAACTATGATCTTTTAAAACAGTGGCCTTAGGAAAATCTGCTTTGGCAAGCGACTGCAGAGGCTCCTGTGGAGAGGAAGTGAAAAGAATGGGCATATAAACAAGGGCTGCTGGCACGTTCAAAGCGCAGGGGATAGTTCACAGAGCAAAATGTAGTCCTAAGTAAATGGGTTTCAGGCAATTTCAGTGTTAAGATAACATCATTAAGAGTAGAACAGATTGTGCTCAAACCCTGCTGTTTATAATTAACACGTTGCTTCCAAATACTCCAGGGTCCCTGGTAAATAGTCTTCTGCTCACATCCACCCAGACCAATCAGAATATTTTCATCAGATTCCATGCTGGGCCAGCACCTGTTTGGACAAATCCAATAGAGCCAAAGAACTCCTCTCCTTGGCCAGCTAAGTAGCTGGATGAACACAGCTTGGCTTAGTCATTGTCACAGTGTCCATATGGCTTTGAAGCTTGTTTTCACAAGAAATCATACAAGTATTTTATTATGTCAAAGTTCACCGTCCTAAAAACAAAAACAGATAATATGTTAGCATTCTCACCCCTAGATTGCTCAGCTTTGTATGATTCTGGAAAGCACATGCAAAATAATTCATGACTAATGCTAAAAATCCTATAGTGCTATCAAATGCACCCTGATAGGACTGACATTAATTCTTTAAAATGTTATTAGGAACACAATATTTTAATTTTTTTTTTTTTTTGCCATGCACGAAGTTTGCCTTTCTAAAAAAAAGTAAACGAAGCTAGAGCTATTCAACATTATGTACTTCAATTGTACTACAGAAAGTTTAGACTTCATTTGAAAGCTATTTGCTTTGTCTAATAACCAGAATAAAGTAATTAGAGATTCAAAAGTATTTAAATCTTCTTTGCTTCTGAACATTGTTTATCTTCCGAGACACCTGTTTTGTCATTACATAATGCATAGCTCATCTGTCCTCATTTATAGTTTTCATTCTTTTCAGTCTTTTAACGCTGGCTGACCTGTGTGTGTATTGTAACTAAATCTGTATGATCCAAGAATATGATACAACAAACAGATGATGTGAATGTATATTTTTGTACTCTGATGGCAGGCAGAATAAAATAGCAGAGAGAGAGACATATAATTATTCTCCTTTCACAAAACTCATTCTTCACTATAAATATTCAGACTTGGTTTATTATTTGAATAAATGGTCAAAATAATTGGATATAATGATCTAGCAATAAGTATAAAATTAAAGCCTTAAGTATTCAATTCTGCAAAAATAATCATCCATGTGAGAACAGCCTTTTAAAGATTCACTAATTGCATGCTCTTATTTATTAAACCATCATCAATTAATGTTTTTGTCTATCATTTTGCAATATACTTTCTAAAAAAGTTTCTAAGCAAATGACTGACATATCAAATATTTTTTAAAATGTGGAATGGGAAACTATAGATACTGCTTATGAAAACACATTTAAAAATAGCTAAAAAGAGATGCTATGGCTATTGTGGTACCTAATGTTGGACTGAAGAATAACTTGCTTCATTGTAACAGTGCCTCTGAAGAATACTAAGCCTTTCCAAATGGTATAAAACTGCCAAAACAATACTGCAGAACTAAAAAGTTTAAAAAAAATCTTTTGCATAAAGACGCAAAAAGTATGGTTATTAAATCATAAAGTTATTTTATATGTTTTTCTTTCGTTCAACTCTAGAAACACCCAAATTTATGGGCACCAAAGTACTTTTGACACATGATTCTTTTTGTTTGTTTTGAGATGGAGTCTTGCTCTGTCGCCCAGGCTGGAGTGCAATAGCATGATCTCGGCTCACTGCAACCTCCACCTCCCCGGTTCAAGCAATTCTCCTGCCTCAGCCTCTCAAGTAGCTGAAGGTACAGGCATGTGCCAACACGCCTGGCTAATTTTTGTAGTTTTAGTAGAGATGGAGTTTCATCATGTTGGCCAGGCTGGTCTCGAACTCCTGACCTCAGGTGATCTGCCCGCCTTGGCCTCCCAAAGTGCTAGGATCACAGGCGTGAGCCACCGCGCCCAGCCAACACATGGTTTTTAAAAAATCGTGATACTGATTGAAAAGATCTTATTTAGAGGACCATAGAAAGGAAACGGATATAATAGACTACTTTTTTTTTTAAACTTCATTTTATTATTATTATACCTTAAGTTTTAGGGTACATGTGCACAATGTGCAGGTTAGTTACATATGTATACATGTGCCATGCTGGTGTGCTGCACCCATTAACTCGTCATTTAGCATTAGGTATATCTCCTAATGCTATCCCTCCCCCCTCCCCCCCACCCCACAACAGTCCCCAGAGTGTGATGTTCCCCTTCCTGTGTCCGTGTGTTCTCATTGTTCAGTTCCCACCTATAGACTACTTTTAACCACGGACAGAAAAGGCAAGTGGTATTTGTACATCTCTCCAGGCACATTTCTCCACAATGACTTTGGGTCTTAGGTTATAAACCTAAAGTAATATGGTAAAATGGACTTAATGTTGTGTTGCTAATTTTTTTTTTTTCTGGACTTGGGTGAAAACAAAATTTTTGAAGCAGGTAAGATTAAAACAACTTAAATTCCAAAACTAGGAGAATCCATAAATTACAATACATTATTTGATGAAATATTATACAGCCATACAAAATGATCAATATGAAGATATACCAGCAATATTAAGGGAGAAAGGGAGAAGAAATAATTGCAAGTAAGTTGTGACGGCTGCAGAGAAATGTTTGTCTAATGGACTAGTACTAGAAGAGCACAAATACATGAAAATATTGTGATGTCTGTAGGACTTCTCTATTTTTTGAGAAATCTGTTTGTTACTATAGCATTAGAATAGTTTGTACAATAAATAAATAACAGAACAGACTTAATAGAATGAATGGAGTGACTTAAAAACACTAAGCAACTTAAATGTTCATAAAACTTTCATTATATTCCCTTTCTGTACTTTGTCAGTGGTAAGTATTCATGCAAACTGAATCATAGTAAGAGTTTTAGATTAAAAAAAATCGATCAGGAATTGAATATAAAATCATTCCTTTAAGAAACATTTACTTCCCAAGATGTATCACTATCTCTACCATTCCTCCACCCCCAATATAAATAGGTAACTTGCCAATTGATCTCACATATATTATTTTAAGACATGGCAGAATTTGTTAGAATAATCACAGGGGCAACATAAAAAACTATGCCACACATCCGAAAGATAATTTTGTGCTTTAAAGTACTTGAAGACAAACAATCCTCTTTAAAGAAAGGTATAACTTACAAGAGAATTGTGTAATTTGCATGGATGTTCCCTGGCTTTCCATGGTCACAGATGCATATTATAGTCACGTAAGTATAATTTTAAACTTTGGGATAACTTTCAATATACTATGGGAGATTCTCCCACAGAACATAAATGAATTATTTTCTAAAGTAACCAGCTGGAAAGAAATACAGTAAACACGAATAGTGTGGTGGCAATTTTCCTAGGAGTAATTCTTAAATCAGAATTTAGAATACGTTAATACAACTTAATTATATGGCATATATTTAAGGATTTAATTTTGCCTTTATCCTTTTATTTCATTTTGTTGATTCATTAAAATACTTTTTCTTTCTTTAGGATACTATTTTGTTTCCTTTTACTTTTGTGGGCAGTTTGAGTTTGAGATTTTTTTAATTTTTTTTTTTTCTGACAACTTGCAACCATACAACTTTAAGTTGTAACCTCTATTTATCTTATAGTGTCTTCCCACTGACTGTGGAAGAAAAACAATTGAAAATGTGTAACTACCATTCACATTAAGAACAATCCAAGAACAAAATTTAGTAAGCTTTTCAGTCATCTGTTATCTGCCTTCTCCCATACTCTATCTCCAAATTCTATGTTCCCTTTCTAGAATCAGCTTCCTACAGCTTCTCTGTCCAAACCTTTCCACTGTAGTCTCTATATCCTCTATCTCTTCAAGGAATGGTTATTTTCCCCTTCCAGGCTTAACTGAAACTAGGCTCCCCTCAAAGGACATAGTCTTTTCTTCAGCTCCTTCCAATGAATGTTTAACTCTCTACTGTACCCCCGGACAGTTCTGTCAGGTGGGGCTGGTGTCCTGTGCAAAAAGCTCTGCTACTCTGAGATTAAGACCATTCTGCTCACCATCCCCATCCTCTTTGTCGCCATCCCTTAGTCACTGAGTAATTTAGCATACAGTTCAGTCTTCCTTTCCAACCCAAGACCTGCGTCAGCCTAGTGACTTCACTATATATTTCTCTTTCTTACCTCCAATAACCTTTTCCACTCTCATAATCACACTCAGAAATGCTCTACTTCTAAAGAAATAAATTCAGACATTCTACCTTATGATCCCCAATTTATCCCTTTTTTGCTATCTGGAACATGTTGGGACAATCAGTTCACAAATGGCTTCATTTTTTCCTGATCTACAAACATTAACTGAGTATCTATATGCTAGGCACTGAATTATTAGCCCCCGACTGGCTTTACTTCCTTCCTGCCCGTCCTAGCTTAAGACTCCATGATTCATCAGGTCAAGTGGTTACTTGCTGGAATCCACTGAACTTACCTGGCAAAACCCCAGTACGATGTGATTTCGATTATAATTCTTTGCTGTCCCAGTCTCTAGCACATGGATTGGTGTTGGAGAAGATCACAAGTCTCACAGATTGGTGCCATTGTAAGTAAATTCAAGGTCAAAAACCTCAACACTCCCAACAAACTGCTTTCCTTTCAACAGTTTCTTCCATTCCCCATGGCAGCTATTTCAAATGTTCCAGATTTCTCTAAACTGCTACTATTTCTGCCCTTAGTCTCAATTTTGTCTCCTCCTTCTCGGAGAAAATGGAATTCATCAGATCAGAACTCCCTCAACTTTTTGCCACCAAACCTCCAAATTCAGCTCCATCAGAATCCATCTTTTTCTCTTGTTATAACGCAAGAAGATTCCGCTCTCTCATCTACAGCTCTTGCAACTCAAATTCTAAACCCCATGCTTATATAACGTTTCAGTAATTTTGTGCTTTAAATTAATCTTTCTCCATTTTGTATCATTAACTCTCCTTCTCTATCTGTTCTTTCCTATCAGCATTTAAATATGCTCAAATCTTTAAAAAATAAATAATAACCCTCTCTCAACCACATAACCCCTTCAGCAGTTATAATCCTCTCTCTTGGCCAGACACAGTGGCTGATGCCTGTAAACCTAGCACTTTGGGAGGCCGAGGTGGGTGGATCACCTGAGGTCAGGGGTTTGAGACAAGCCTGGCCAACATGGCAAAACCCCATCTCTACTAAAAATACAAAAATTATTTGGGCGTTGTGGCACACGCCTGTAATCCCAGCTACTCGGGAGGCTGAAGCAGGAGAATCACTTGAACCTTGGAGAAAGAGGCTGCAGTGAGCCGAGATCGTGCCACTGCACTCCAGCCTGGGTGACAGAGTGAGATTCTGTCTCAAAAAAAAAAAAAGAAAAAGAAAAAAGAAAAAAAAATACTCTCTCTCCTTTATAGCAAATAAATAAGTAAATAAATGAATCCTAGAATACAGGCTAATAAGAATAGGATATAGCTATGTTATACTTGTTGCTGTATCTCCCCAAAGCCTACCACAGTGTTTTGTTTATAATGGGCAACACAATAAATGTTAAATAAACGAATGAAAAACATTATCTCTCTTTGCTACATCTACTTTCTCATAAATACTACAATATGACTTCTACTTCATCATACCACTGAAAGTGTTCTGGATAAAGCTACAAATGACTGCTTTATCAGTAAATCAGAGGATTCTGCTTGATTTCTTGGTGACAACTGACTTTTGACCATTACTCCTGTCCCTTACAGTTTCCTAGTTTTCTTGTATATGCAACTTTATATGAACTGTTACATGCACTTAAGCTTACATCATGAGTTATTTTCCCAAGTTACTATCCTTCAAAAGTGTGATTTTCAATAACTCTATAAAAATACATGATGCTATTGATTGACTGCCATTTTAGACATTTAGGTTATATCCTGTGATCCCTATTATCTCATTTGTTCTCTGCCACAGGTGTCTGGAATGAGGCCAGCCTTCCTTTTCTTTGGTAACTATCCTTGGGACTTCCTCTCCCATCAAGCCTTGATTTGGAATGAGACTGTCTCTGAGCTCCCTTCTTGCTGTCCCCAAAAACAAATTCATATGGTTCCCCTTCATCTGAATTTTTACTGCTAATCACTATAGGAAAACATGCAATATTTATTTAGCACATACTAAGTTTAAAGCACTGTGCTAGGTTTGAGGATAAGGCAGTGATAGACATAAACACAGTCTGCTTTGAGCTTAGGAGCTTGTATTCTAGAAAGAAAGATGAACTCTAATTACTCAATTATTTAAGTAAAACTTGTTACATATAATGAAGAACAAAATGGGAACTTCCAAATCGTGTGTGTGTGTGGTATGGGGGGGTGATCATGGTGGTTGTGGTATTTGTGAGAAGGCGTCTTTAAGGAGCAGACATTTAAACTGAAATCTAAAGGTTATGTAGCAGTTAGCTAGGTGAAGGAGAAAAGAAGCTGGAAAATGCTGTATATACAAGCATGGGAAGCAGAATGGTGAATATAAAAAATGGAAAAAAGTGGTTAAAGTGCAGATACCGAGGAAAGAAGGTGTATGTGCTAGATGGGGCTAGGCACAGGTAGGGGCCAGATCATTTGGGCCTTGTTAGTTATTTAAAAGATTCTGTTATTTATCCCAAGAGCTATGGGAAACTACTGAATATTTTTAATGAGCAGGGTGACATTAAATTTTTATAAAATCATTCTGGCTACAGCATGGATAATAAATTATAAGAGGATAAGAGCAGACAGAAGATCAATTAGACTGTTAGAGAAGAGATGATGGTGGCTTGATCTAGAGTGGTAAAAGTATCATGATAACAAGTGAATGAAATTGAGACAAATAAGAGGGGCTTTGTAAGCTCAATAGGACTAATGGTTAAATATTAGGAGTGGGGGAGAGAGAGATGTCAAGAAGGACTCAAATTTCAGGCCTGGGTAACACAGCAGACTGCAGTGCTTATCACTGAAATAAGAAACACTGGAGGAAAGCCAGATATTTCACTTTTTGTTGGTGGGTTGAAGCAGAGGTTAGAATTCCTAAGTTCAGTTTTGGAAATGTATTAATATAGCTGGGAAACAGCAATAAAGGTCAAGAATATTATAAAAAATAGGTCTGGTCTTTAAAAACAGGGGCATTATTAATACACAGATGATTGTTGAAGTCACAGGTGTGGCTCAAGTTGCCTAGGGAAAAAAATGTAATATGAGAAAAGAGCCTAGGGCCAAGCCTAAAGGAACAGTTATATTTAAAGGTCAGATGGTAAAGATAGCCTTTGTTAGTAAAAACAACCAAAGAATAAAGAGGAAAACCAGAATACTGTGGAATCATGTCTAAGAGAAGAGAGTTTTAAGAAAGAGTAGCCAACAGTGTCAGGTGCCACTGAGAGGACAAACAGCCGAGACTAACAAAGGTTCTGGGAAAGTGGAGGAGATGGAATTCAGAGCATAGGTAGAAGAATCTACCTTAGGAAGAGGAACCCCATCCTGCTGAAAAAGGAAAGAAAGAGAAGATGGACACTAACACAGGTAGCTCAATTCTCAGTTGATGGCTTCAACCTTGTTCTGTGAAACAGAGTGAAGACTGAACAGAATGAACTCAGGCGTTAGAATGTGGGGTTTAAACAGAGTCAAGAATTTAGGTGGAGGCTGGGCGCGGTGGCTCACACCTGTAATCCCAGGCCTTTGGGAGGCCGATGCAGGCAGATCAACTTGAGGTCAGGAGTTCAAGACCAGCCTGGCCAACATGGTGAAACTCTGTCTCTGCTAAAAATTAGCCAGGCATGGTGGTGTGTGCCTGTGATCCCAGCCACACAGGAGGCTGAAGCAGGAGAATCGCTTGAACCCGGGAGGCAGAGGTTGCAGTGAGCCAAGATCGCACTACTGTACTCCAGCCTGGGCGACAGAGCAAGACACTCCATCTCAAAAAAAAAAAAAAAAAAAAAAAAAAATTAGGTGGAAAAGAAGTCTGGATACCAGGTGCCCTATTATCTCAATACATGAGGTGGAATGGCTGAAGAGACAAAAATCAGTCTTAAGGAGAATAGGGAAATAGAGCCAGATTGCATGAGTCTCAAGGAAGTCCACATTTTTATAAGAAGTTGGGGGCAGTAACAGTCTGGAAGTGGCAACAAGAAGGATGGCACCGAAATGACCTCCAACCCTGAGGGATTAGGGTTTGAGAAAATACATAGCTACAACTAGAGGTAAGTCCAGGGGAAGCAGCATCCCAAAGAAGGAATCAGGTTTTAGCTAAGGCAATGAGGAAGACTATTAGGAGAATAATAATTCCTAAGGCACATGGGAGGGAGGGAAAGAATGAAAGGTAAAGTCAGCAGAAAAGAAGTACAAAACACAGGGATGAGAGAATGGAAGAGGGCAGGTGTGGGGAGGAGCGGGTGCTTATTCTATGGATATTGCCCATGGGAAGTAGGGAACAGTAAAGAAAACAAAAGAAAGTTACAGAGCCCCCAAGTTCTATGTCAAGATTCCAGGTCTAAAGTTCTTGCTTCCTTCTGAGGTGGTAAATGAAAGTGCATGTCTCTGGATGTGTCTAACATCCATCACTGTGATGCTCTGCACTAAGTAACGTCAAATTAAGTCAGATTCAATGGAGATTCACTATATTAGGAACCCACAAACTTCTGTTTTGCACATGATTATACTGGGGCACAACCTAACATATTCAGAGTAATAAAATCCCTGAAATGAACAGGCTTCACTCCAAATTTATGCCTTGGATAGAGGCTCTTAGATATAAAGTTCCAATATAATTGCTTTTTTAAAGGAAGTAATTGCTTTGTGATTATACTTAACACACTAAAAAATAAGTTTCTGCTCAATTTTCTCTGCGTAAAAGTTTTCCTGGTTTTATTAAAATGAAACACTAAAACCCTTGAATTCATGTTTTACAGCCTATATGCCACAAAAATGTGGTAAATACCTGCATCATATTATCACAGAACTTAAAAACATTTTTTATAGAGACGGGGGTCTCACTACGTTGCCCAGGCTCATCTTGAATTTCTGGCCTCAAGCAATCCTCCCACCTCAGCCACCCAAACTGTTGGGATTACAGGTCTGAGCCACTGCACCTGGCCATTCATTCAATAATTTATTATTTATTTATTTTTCAGAGCATTTTGAATTCAGAAGAGACTTCAGGGAGAAGCTGCCAACCTATGGACTTCAGAACCTCAAGAAGCTGTAAAATTAATCATCAGAGGAGATTTGCAAATCTATACTGATATCAAGCACTGTTTTAGGCTGAACAAAATAATGTCTCATGCCTAAATACTGTTAATTTTGAAATATATGTAAATACTTTCATGACTAATTTTTAAAGGGTGCTAAAATGGAATCTTCATATTGAAAAAGATTAGGAACACACTGTCTATGGATTGCCCTGTTCACTCTGCCAGTCTACACACTCATCACCTCTTCCATTACAGTCCTGACAGATTGTTATCCAGCTGCAACCGTATGATGAAGTCACTTATTCATATAAATGGTTTGAACATTTTCCATAACACTAAGAACACCTCTTTGTAAGGAAACTTGTATTTTTAGACAGCTTTCATTTTGACAAATGTACTTTCTTCCCCAGAACTTCTAACATTCTAGAATTACTCAGAATTAGCTTCATTCATTTTGCACGACAGCCCCTGAAACACTTAAGACAGTTCACATGTCCTTCCTAAGGCTTTTCTCTCACACTCTGTCCTTCAGTCAGGGATGTGACACAATTCCTCATTCTACCACTCTCCTCGTGCCCCTTCAGTATGTATCCATTTGTCTCTCTGAAAACTCTAAACACAGCACAGCACACTAGATTTGATCTGCCTGTGACAACGCACAGTAGAATGATTATGTCCCCTGACCTAGACACTATATTTCTATCAGTGTTACCTAAGTCAGGATTTTTAAAGCCTTGTAGTCAGCTAAAAAATTTAGGACTTAAGCCAGCTCTCTCCCATCTTATTTCAATACAAGAGAGTTTTCTGTAGCCAACTGTCCATTAAATCTTACCTTGCCACTATGGGATCATTTATTCCAGCCTATTAAGGTTTTTCAGAATCTTGATTTTTGTCCTCTAACATATTAGCTATTTCTCCCAGTTTTACATCATTTGTAAATTTGAGAAGGTTCATTCTATCGTACAGCTTATTCATTCTTGGCACTTAAATAGATGATTTTTTCATGTTTAAATGTCATGACTAATGACATCACATTTGGAAAACACTAATTTTTATATTTAGTATATCATTACATAATTCAAGACATTTTACCTTGCAATAGCTCTGATGAAGTCTAGAGACACTGTGCATTTGTATTTTGGTCCATCAAGCTGATCGTCATGGCCAACCAGGGTTAACAGCTGAAGGGTCACTAGAGAGGTAATCTAAAAGAGAACATTTTTATAAGAAACTGTTTTAATAAGATTATGTAATACTTTTGTTTCTGAAACATCTTATAGTCTGATAAAGATACATAACTGAATCACAAAAAACGTCTGCAAAGAAAATGACTACTTTGCAATCTGTAAATACAAATTTGTACATATGTTTTCCAGTCTAACAACCAAGACTAGTTGTCAGAGTCCTAGTTTTGTTTTTTTTTTTTTTCTTAGAGATATGGTCTCGTTCTGTTACCCAGGCTAGAGTGGCATGGCTTGATCACAGTTCACTGGAGTTTCAAATTCTTGGGCTCAAGTGGTCCTCTCAACTCAGTCTTCCCAAGTGGCTGGGACTACAGGCACATTTTTTAAATGTGCCTACAAAAAAAAAAAAAACAATTTTTTATTGTTTTGTAGAGACAGGGTCTCACTGTGTTGTCCAGGCTGGTCCTGAACTCCTCGCTTTGTGATTCTCCTGCCTTGGCCTCCCAAAGGGTCGGTGATACAGGAGGGGGGCAGGGAAGTGCTGGGCAGAGAAGGCCATGGTCCCTGGCTAGTGCTCCACTCCAAGTCTGAGCCCACAGACCTAGGTAAGGGCTGGCATTTCAGTTTTTGTGCCTAAATATTACATTTTCCAAGACCACCCTGGCTACCATGCCCCCATCCTGTGCCTATAAAAACCCCGAGACCCTAGCAGGTAGAGATACAAGTGGCTGGACGTTAAGAGGAATACACTGGCAGAAGAACAAGCAAGCGGCTGGACATCGAGAGCAACATACCGGCAGACACCAGCAGATGCCAGCAGGCCACCTACGGTGGGACAACACAGAGTTTGGCCAAGAGCGGCTAGACTTCAGGGGAAAACCACCTTCCCACTCCATCCTCCTTCGGGCTCCCCAACCATCTGCTGAGAGCTACTTCCACTATTCAATAAAACCTTGCACTCATTTTCCAAGCCCACATTTGATCGGATTTTTCGGTACAGCAAGGCAAGAACTAAGGATACAGAAAGCCCTCTCTCCTTCCAATAAGGCAGAGGGTCTAATTGAGCTAACACAAGCCACCTATAGATGGCAAAACTAAAAGAGCACACTGTAACACGCCCACTGCGGCTTCAGGAGCTGTAAGCATTCATCCCTAGATGCGGCCGTGAGATTGGAGCCCCACAACCTGCCCGTCTGCATGCTCCCATTAGAGGTTTGAGCAGCGGGACACTGAAGAAGCAAGCCACTACCCCTGGAAGGGGGACAAGGGAACTTTTCCTGTTTCACTGGGATTACTGGTGTGAGTCACTGCACTCAGCCCAACCAAGATTCCTAGCTCAACAACTGATTCAAACAATCAGTCCCTAAGAATTCCACTAGAGACAGCTTTGTTTCATTACTCAGACACATGACCGCTAAACCTTTAAAAGCTGCAAATAAAGCACATTCCTCCTCTAAAAATTTTACAGAATATCTATCTAAATAACTCAGAATATAAAATCTATACTCCTTTGGGTATAAAACAATAATATGGATTTAGGTCTTTTTAAGAGTTAGGTAGCTGGTTAGATGAGAGATAAGAAATACATCCTTCAGACCTGGGCTTAGTCTTGGTTTAAAACTTTCTTTCCTTCTTTTCTTTCTTTTTTTTTTTCTGAGGCAGGGTCTCACTCCATTATCCATGCTGGATTGCAGTGGCGCAATCATGGCTCACTGCAGCCTCAACCTCCCCAGACTCAGGTGATCCTCCCACAGCAGCCTCCTGAGTAGCTGGTACTATAGGCACATGCCACCACACCCAGCTAATTTTTTGTATTTTTTGTAGACATGGGGTTTTGCCATGTTGTCCAGGCTGCTCTTGAGCTCCTGGGCTCAAGTGATGCACCTGCCTAGCCTCCCAAAGTGTTGGGATTAGAGGCGTGAGCCCCCGCACCCAACCATTGCTTTAAAACTTATTGCTGATCGTGTACTCAGGAAAACACCAGAAGGATTATTAGTAAAAGCAAAAGTGTATTTTGATAGGTCAAAATCAAAGTACAAAATCACTTAACATTCATATGGCCAACTAAAATATTAAGTTCTCTGAAATCTAAGAAAGGAAGCTGATCCAAGAGCTGAAATTCTTTGAGCGCCCATTGTCTTCTCCTAATTTCTTATTTTTGTCTCCCATAAGCCAGCAGGAAAAAGAGTCAGCAATGGCAGTAAGATAAAATTTGGAGACTTAGTTACCTGTAACTGCTCAGTGGCAATATGAATAAGAGTTTTAAGTTAAACTATCTGTAATACCTAATCATGTGTCTTAGGAATTAAAATGCTCACTTAATTTGAGACTAATACTTTACAAATGCTAAGTAAACATCCCATGAATAATAAAAACACTAACAGCAGTAGTAATTTGCTTGGTATTAAGTACTCTATACACATTATCTCATGTTATTCCTCATTACCTTCATGTCCACAAGGTGGACATTATTATACTTTTTTTTATAGATAAGCCTTAGAGATCTTAAGTAACTTTCTCCATATTCCAGATCTACTGGCTTAGCAAGAATTCAAGAAACCATGATCATCTTACTATATTACATTTCCCATTACCATTTTAAAGGGAAAATTATCATGCAGTATTTAGTCGATTACTTTACTAACAAATTAAAGGGTGAACAGATAATAAATATCTCATATAGAGTATCTTATGTAGAGAAAATCCTATATTCAGTAAATAAGAAATATTTCAACTAGAAAAGCAATTTATATTAATACATCAAAATACAAAGCTCTGCATTCAAAAGGCTAAGACTTTAATTTCTAATTCAGTATCAATAATTAGGTTACACCTTGAAATATCTTTTATAAATATTGTGCGTTGAAAAGAATATGTATTTTGCAAATGTTATGTTCTTTGTTACATGTCTATTGCTTTGTTACATATATGTCTATTACACAAGACACATATGTAACAAAGACATTATTTGTATTGTTAAATCTTATATACACCATTTTTAAAATCTGCCTGATCAAAACTGAGAGAGGTATTAAAATTCTTTTGTTATCATAGAATCTTTCTGCTTTGTAGTTTTTAAGCTATGTTACTAGGTAACATACATACAGATTTAAAATTACGTTTTGTTGACAAACCTTTTCATTATAATAACCCTTTTATTCTCCAGTAATGTCTTAGCTTACAGTGTATTTTTTTCTAATCTTAATATAGCTATATTAGCATTCCTTTATGTGCTCTGCCTTTTTCTGTTACTTTTCATGATTCTACTTTCAAGGTTGATGTTTTCTCAATTTAAAACAGTTCTCATGTAAATAACATATAGTGGGATTTTGTTTTTATAATCAGTCTGACAACTTTTACCTTTCATTAGGACCATAGACTCCATTTGTTTTTAATATATCTAATGATTTTCTAAAATTTTTCTTTCTACTGTTATATTGACCTATTTGTCCCTCCTTTCCTTTTTCTCATTCCTTTCTTACCTTTTGTTGTAATTATATTTTCTTATCTCTTTTTACTTTCACTACCTTGTAAGTAGTTCTATAGTCCTTTTAATTCGAATGTCCATTTTGATTTCTTTTTCGGCTCTCTTGCTATTTTGGAAGTCCTCCTTTATTTCCAACTTACAGAGTTTTTCCAGTTTTTTGTTTTGTTTCTGGGGGATCACAGAATGTGATCTGCATACTAGCAATCCTCTGAAATTTGTTGAGGCAGCTAGGTTCTCTGGGAGGAAAGAAGGGTGCATGGGAACCTGGGTGTCACTGTGACAGAGTGAAAATGACCATGGTGGCCACCCTGCCTGTTCTGCCCACCAGGCCCCTTCTTGCTTTATTCCAAGAATGTCTCCAGCTGATGACAACAGAGCACAAAGCATGCCCACCATGTGGGATGACTTACCCCAGGCAAATGAGGTAGGGTGCAACAAGAGTTTTTTTCTCTTACTTATTAAGGTATCTACATAATATCCTACATTTTGCCTTTTAGCCTGCAAAGTCTAAAATATTTACTATGTATCCCTTTACTGAAAAGGTTTGCTGACCTCTGCATTAGAAGATTGCTAGATTCAAATTGTTAATTTAACCAACATTAAAACTAAGATGTTTAGTAACTTGATCAAAGTGGTAATGCCCAGATGGTGCCAGAAACTCACCTGACTAGGAATTAAATCTCCTAACTCCAACTCCAAAACTTTTAAAAAACATGCATAAGCTGTGATCACAGCTAAGAAAGTGCAGATCTAACAGATGTATTATACTCCGGCCTGAAAAGAGTGTGTGCTAAAAGAATTAGGATGATCTGCAAAATAGTCATAAAGGGAGCATTCAACAGAATAAACCCAGCAGTATGCCTCTAGCACTAAGATACAGGACTCTTTGCCCATTAACTTAGAAATCTGGTATATGCTACAAATTTGTATTCACCGTAGAGGTGGAGCTGCCTGGCTGTCACTTAAGGTATTAAGATCATCCAATTACCTCATTCCCACTCTCACCACTGGGCCCATTCAGATTCCACACTTAATCTTCTGATTTCAGAAGAGAGAGAACATAGTTTAAGAGAAAAAAACATTTAAAGTTAGTAAGATCTATCTTTTGCCACTTGCTAGCAGTAGACTTCAGACTGGTCAGTTCAACAATGTGGACCTCAATTTTCAAAACCAAAAATCATCATAATAATCTTTCAGCCACACAGGGATGTTCTAAATATTTATAACTATAAATGAGCACCAAAAAGCTGTTAGAACTAATAAATGCTTTCAGTAAAGTTGCAGAATACAAAAATCAACAAACATGTCTATACACTTACAATGAACTATCAAAAAACGAAATTTAAAAAAATCTAACTTACAACAGCATCAAAAAGAATAAAACATGTAAGAATAAATTTAATCAAGAAGGTGAATTATTTATACACTAACAACTATAAAACACTGATGAAAGAAATTCAAGACGACACAAATAAGTGAAAAGATACCTGTGTTCAAGGACTGGAAGAATTATGATTTTTAAAATGTCCATACTACCCAATGCAATCTACAGATTCAATGCAATCCCCATCAAAATTCCAATGGCATTTTTCACAGCTAGAGGTATCACAATTCCTTATTTCAAAGTATATTATTAATACAAAACTACAGTAATCAAAACAGTATGGTAATGGCATAAAAACAGACACACAGATCCACAGAACAGAAAGTCCAGAAATAAAACCACACATATAAGGTCAACTAATCTTTGACAAGGGTACCAAAAATACACAATGGGAAAAGGATAGTCTCTTCAATAAATGGTACTGGAAATATTGGATATCCACATGCACAAAAAATAAAACTGAACTCTCATCTTACACCATACACAAAAATTAATTCAAATGGACTAACGACTTAAATGTAAGACATGAAACAATAAAATTCCTAAAAGTAAACGTAGGGAAAAAAACTCCCTGATATTAGTTTTGGCAATGATTTTTTTGGATAGGCTGCCAAAAGCACAGGAAACAAAAGCAAAAATAAACAAATGAGACTACATCAAACTCAACAGCTTCTTCACAGCAAAGGAAACAACCAATAAAATGACAAGGCAATCTACAGAATGGGAGAAAAAAAATCAGGTAAATCAAATGGCATAAACAAGATAATAGAAACAAAATTATATTAACAATTGTATTAAAAGTAAATGAAATGCTTCAAATAAAATAAAAAGACTGAAAAAATCAAACTGCATTTTGTTTAAAAGAGATACATATAAAATGGAAGCACATGTGAAAGTTAAAGGTCAAAGACAAAATTGAGATATGTCACACAAATTCTAATAAAACGAACAATGATGAAAATATGTTAAACATCAGACAAAACAGACATGAAATGAGGTTTAAAGAAAGGTTCACTTAATAATGATAAAATGCAGGCCCTGAGCTCGTATCTCTTAAAAGATTAATTGTTTGACACCTTTACTATGAAAAGAAGAGACACAGAAAGGATGGACAGCCAAGGGATCCAGGAGTCTTCGTGGGAGAGTAAGTACTGCTAAAACCCAAGACAAGACAAATTCAATAGCCTTCCCAGTGTGGAAACAGGTAGAAATCTATAATGACAGTAGGCCTGAAATTTTAATGAATGGGAAGATATGTAGTGAAGAGTGAACATAGTCTTTTATTGCTAAGTATATTAACTTCAACCCTTTCTATTTTTCTGTAAGGGATTCGTTTGCTAAAATAGGTTAGTAATAGCTATTTGAAAAATCATGCATTGAACTCTATTATTAAAGGCAGTTCCCCTTAGTACTTTTTTTTTAATACAGAAGAAAACATTAATTACCCTGTACTTTGCCACTGACATTTCCTTATAATATTTCTCATAACTGATACTTTCCTGTTAATTCGAACACTCACATATTTAGATTCTTTAATCGAAATTGTATGCTAAATTACTTTTTCCACAATTTTTTCATAGAAAAACACAAAATCTGTCTTTAATATAGTTAAGTTAGGGTCTCAAGAATATTTTCAGATGCCTTACAGTTTTTTACTTTTAGCACATTAGTTGTAACAAATGTCCAAAGGCAGAAAGTTGGAACAAACAAGCCCTTGAAGTCACTTTCAGTTCTACCAAGATTCCCCGGCTAAATTAATCATGTAAATTGTGCAAAGAATATAATATCACTTCAGCTGAAGATGCAGCAGCTAAAAGGAACTTCCAAAATATTAATAAGATGATTGATCAATTTTTTTAGGGGTAGGGATGATTTAGGAAAAGCTAATACATTAAAAGAACTAAACCTAAAAAAAGCAATTAAATTAGAATGTGATTTTTCACATTAAAAAAACTCATTTCAGTCATTTGTTGACTTTATCATGTGAAAATCACTGAAAAACTCAACATAAAAATATTCATATATATAAATTGTACACAAATATACAAATAATAGATATTCAGAAGAATATCTATTACATAAAGCAGTGAACAGGCCGGGTGCGGTGGCTCACACCTGTAATCCCAGCACTTTGGGAGGCAGAGACAGGTAGATCACTTGAGGCCAGGAGTTTCAGATCAGCCTGGCCAACATGGTGAAACCCCGTCTCTGCTAAAAATACAAAAGTTAGCTGGGCATGGTGGCACGTGCCTGTAATCCCAGCTACTTGGGAGGTTGAGGCATGAGAATTGCTTGAACCCAGGGGGTGGAGGTTGCAGTGAGCTGAGATCGCACCACTGCACTCCAGCCTGGGTGACAGAGCAAGACTCTGTCTCAAAAATAAAAATAAAAATAAAAAAAGGAGTGAACAAATGTACCAAATATTTAAAGGTACTTTCCCAGTTTATTAAAATTTTGCTAGAGTAAAATTGAAAACAAAATCAAGCACAAAGATTAATTAGTGGAGTCAACATTTTGAATCTCAAACGTATTAGTTTATTAACTTACTAAATGAAAACTACTGGAAAAATACATATAAAACTTTAAAAATTATTTCTATATATGCATAAATAGCAGAATATCCACCTTCCTTTCTATTATCCAATCCTTAAATTGGCTAATTTTTATTTCCAACTATATATCCATGAAACTCTTGAGGACTTACTCTAGGTACTGTGCATTTAAAAATGAGGCTGGGAGCAGTGGCTCACACCTGTAATCCCAGCACATTGGGAGGCCGAGGCAGGCAGATTACCTGAGGTCAGGAGTTCGAGACAGGCCTGGCCAACAGGGCAAAAACCCGTCTTTACTAAAAATACAAAAAATTAGCCGGTCGTGATGGCATGTGCCTGTAATCCCAGCTATTCTGGAGGCTGAGGCAGGAGAATCGCTTTAACTTGGGAGGCGGAGATTGCAGTGAGCTGAGATCGTGCCACTGTACTCCACCCTGGGCAACAGAACGAGACACCGTCTCACAAATAAATAAATAATGAACAGGATCATAAAAAATACTTATTTACTTCCTTGCTCCACTTTAAATGTTCATGACAATATGAACTCAGATCTCCAGGCTAGTATTAATACCTATGTAGTCTGATATGGTCAGTGTGGATCTGACAAAAAGTCTCTAGACAATGAGTACTCAGATTCATCGTGGTGTCTCAGTTTCACATGCATGCATGTATATGCATAAATAAGGGAGAGGTGGGGCCGAGCCTTTCCCATCTAACTGCCTGAGACCTTTACTATACAGGAAAAAGACACAGAACAGGATGGGCAACCAAGGGATACAGGGGTCTTTGGGGGACAGTAAATATTGCTGAAAACCAAGATAAGACAAATAGCCTTCTTAGTTTGGAAACTTGTAGAAATCCATAATGAGAGTAGGCCTGAAATTTTAATGAATGGGAAGATACACAGAAAAGAGTTAACATAGTCTTCTATGGCTAAGTATATTAACTTCGACCCTTCTTATTCAGTGACACATCTGTGACTTAGAGAAAAGAGATACACAACAGTCATTCCTGTTGTTAGGTCCCCAAATGCAGGGGGAGATTTACACAAAGTCTGTAGTTCCAGCATGGAATAATAAATTGAAATATTTTGCAGTAAATAAATTAATGACTTAGAAGGATTTAATCTCTGTTGGAAAAAAAAGCTCTCTAAATAATAATGGTAAAACATTCTGTAATCTTTTTTTAGCACTAATTTACAGAAGGCTTCTCATTCAATTGAGCTTTGAATTACCAAGGAACACATTTCAGGAACAAACACTAACAAAGAGCCTAGACAGAGGGTTAGAAAAAAAAGATAAATACAGAAGAACTTCCCACCCAGACAGGATGCATAGATTCATATTTGTTATTCTTCCCTGCTAAGTACAACTATAAATCCTGGAAATAATATAAGAGGCGACCAAAAGAGGACTCTGAAAGGTAGAAAGAGGTAGGTGGGCTGCTTAGGGACCCTAGGGCTACAGAAACAATATAGAGGGTGCGAGTCTTAGAATTCCCCACCCAAGAGCGAAAGGTGAACCAAGCCCAGCACTTTCCAATCCACAACTGAGCGGCAAAAGGCTACCCAGGTAGGCTCATTCCTCCCCTGGATTAAAGAAGAATCCTGACGAAAGATCTGGCAATTCTATATCTAGCAAAACTATCCTTCATGAATAAAGTGGAAATAAAGACATGCTCGAACAAGGTAAAACGGAAGAATCTGTCACTAGCAGATGACCTTCAAAGAAGAGCAAAAGGAAGTTCTTCAAACAAAAGGAAATAATAAAAGTGAAAGAACGAACAGTGGAAAGAGGAGATTTGTGGATAAATACAAGAGAATATATCCTCATGAGTTTTCTAAATCACATTTGATTAAACATTTTAACACCTTCTGATACTCAAGACAGTATCTGAAAAAGTGAGAAAGTAAAAGGAATGGCAGTATGGTTTCCACACTTCACTTGAAGTGGTAAAACATATACGCCTTATAAAACTAAGCAGGCAATTACCGTATTACCCTGCAATTGCACTTATGCATTTATTCCAGAGAACTGCATGTTCACATAAAAACTAGTACATGAATGTTCCTAACAGCTTTAATTGTAGTAGCCAAAAAACGGGAAAGAACCCAGATGTCCTTCAACAGGTGAATGGTTAAACAAACTGTGGTATATGTATACCACAGAATACTCCTCAGTAATTAAAATGAATGAACTATTAATACATGCAAAAATTTGGATGAATCTGAGGAATTATCCTGACTCAAAGAAGTTAATTCCCAAGTGTTATATACTATATGATTATGCTTAAACAAATTCTTGAAATGACAAAATTCTAGAGGTAGCAATTACCAGTTAACAGGAATTGGGGAAGGGGAGGAAGAGAGGAAGGTATGGTCATCAGTGAGTATCACGGAGAATCCTTGTGATAATGGAACCGGTCTTGACTGTGGTGGTGAATTAACAAAACTATGCACAGGATAAAATTTCATATAACCAAATATATATAGACATACACAAAAGAATACAAATAGAAGTAGGGAAATCTGAATGAGATCAGTAGATTGCATTAATGTCAGTTTCCTGGTTGTGATATTTTACTATAGCTTTGCCAGATGTTATACCACTGTGGGGAACCAGTAAAGGACACACAGGAAGAGAGAATACACATTATGTTTTACAACTGTGTGTGAATCTATAATTACCTCAAAAAAGCTTAATTAAAAAATAAAACACTGATAACGTACTCAAAATATAGAGGGCTTTGAGAAATACCTTGTAAACTGTCAGAATAAATGTTATCTCAAAATGTTTTAAGTAGCTATGAAGCTAAAAAAATCTACTTGTAAAAATAAAAACACTTTTTAACCCTTATTTGTAAAGATTTTTAAATCTCTCCTACTTAAAGGCAGATGATTAGTTATGACTTGGGGCTCAGACTCAAGGAGGATTTGTAGCTACTGGTTTCATGCTGTGAGTCCATAAAGGTCCTTACAAATTTGCCACAAACCTGTGACTAGTAAAACTTATTACTTCCTCTACAGCAAAGGAAGATTATAGCAAAAGTATTGCTATATAAATCCCAACCGGAGTGTTCTATTTTTCCAAATTCTTACTTTATATATTTTTGAATGATAAAAGTTCTGTTTTTATTTGTTTGTTTTGGGGCTATAAAAGCCAACTGCACTTCAAATTTATTAAAAATAAATTTTTCAACATAAAAATAATTGCACAGTAAAATTCTGAGCTTGCCCATCAGGACTTGAAACTTTGGAGATCAATACTTCACTTAATAGATGATGAAAGAGACATCATAAAAGGACAATTGGCATTATCAGTCCCTAGTCAGTCACCCACACAAATGAACGTTTCCAAATATTTAATCCAAAAGTCCCAATGAAAAATAATACAACACATATGTCGTGCTAAAGGTTTGCTAGAAAACATTTCAGAGTTGTAACAACAAATTTTAAATTAAACACTTGTTTTAAGAATACTGAACATATTAAAAACATTTAGCCAAAATAATACTTCACATTGGGTGTTGATGATTAGAAAATGGTTTGCCAAGACTACTGCTACTGTGAATAAAGAACACCAGTATGAGCCTATGTGCTTTTATCTTTTTTTCTGCTGTCTTTCAAAATTCCTGAGAATGACACATATGTGTTTTGGCATTTACTCCTTCCCTCAGGTTCTAGCAGAGGATATGGACAAAACTTGAGGGGCAGGGGTCAGGGAAAGATAGCTATAGGAACTAATTAATACTATTAATGACCATGGTAATTAGTGGCATATGGACTGGAATTTATTACTGTGTCCAGGCTCTGTGACAGACATTGTGCATCCTCAATTCTCACAAAAACCCTCCCATGATTACTATAAATAAATCTCTCTTTTCCAGACGATGACACCACCTCAGAGAGGTGAGTAAATTGCTCAAGGTCACGAAGTTAACAGTGGTTAAGAACAGCACTGGCTTTGAATACTATCTGAATCCAAAGCCCATATTCCTTATACTACCCCAAACAAGGAGCTATAGAATACAAAGAGATAATTTTGTTGGGCGAGATTAGGAAAGCTTTATGGAAGAAGGAAATGACTACTCCACCTTGCATTCTACAGTGAAGGCAATAACTATTAGTATGCTGGAAAAGTAAGAAACCCAGGAGAGCAGGCAATGCAAGTAAAACAGAGAAAAAGCCTTAAATGAAATTGTAGCAATAAGGACAAAGAAGTATCTCAATACAGTACAGGCAAATGTCCTGCCACAGGGATATAGAATAACCTTGAGAAGTAACAATTAACAATACTGTGAACAGAATTGTTAGATGTATGAGTTTGATGTCACAAAAGTAAAACATTAATGTGGAATTGATTTAACCTAATGACAGGTTAATTTTTCATAAGTCAGATTATATATTACATTAGACATTAAATTGCTGTTTTTAAGGTTTAATTTTTAAAAGGTAAATATTGGCCAATGTTGGCTCACACCTGTAACCCCCGCACTTGGGGAGGCCGAGGCAGGCAGATCACTTGAGGTCAGGAGTTCAAGACCAGCCTGGCCAACATGGTGAAACCCCAGGTCTATTAAAGATACAAAAATTAGCTGGGTGTGGTGGCGCATGCCTGTAGCCCCAGCTATTTGGGAGGCTGAGGCAGGAGAATCGCTTGAATCTGGGAGGCAGAGGTTGCAGTGAGCAGAGACTGTGCCACTGCACTCCCACCTGGGCGACAGAGTAAGACTCCGTCTCAAAAAAAAAAAAAAAAAGTAAATTTAAGGTTGGGGGAAAGCATGATTTCTTAAATCCAGAAATTATTAGATGATATTGAAGATGGTATCCCAAAGCAGTTTCTTACACATTTGTGGATTAAAGGTCATTTACAGAAACATTCACAACTACAACTCATAAAATATTAAAATACATTAAAAGAAAGGGTAATGAAAAGGTCTTTTTCTGAAACACTAGAATCATTTCCAGGTAAAGTCATCTTAATTATGTAGGTAAATATAAAAATTGTGGGAAAATTATAACTCCCCTTCTGGGTTTCTACACCCTATGAAGATATATTCTATTGTCAGTAATGTTCAGATTTTAGGGGATTATATACTGCTTTCCACAGCTGCTTTTCTTGTCCGTTTTGTCAAGCTCAAAGTCAAATGAATAAAACTCAAATGAATAAAAAAGTAGCCTAGGGAGTAGGTTCTCTTTTTCAAAGTCAGGATTCAGATTTCATGTTAGAAAATACAGAACAAAGTTTTGTTTTTGTTTTTAAAAAACTGTATTAAAAGTCAGTGGTTTTACTACTAAATTTTTAGTCATGTTTTCCACTGATGTTTTTCCTCAAAATAAAAATTGTTATTTTTTTGTCCTCCTCAGTTTAAACAAATCCCCTAAAAATCTGAGGCATCCTGTTATCAAAGAGAATAGTACTTCCCTAGCTTTCATACATCAGCAGCATTCTGACACTGCTTAACATATTTTATTTCACCTTAGCTTAAAATAATCAATCTATCTGACTCAAAAGCCACAGTATATATTCCTTTTCCTTTGACTAGGTCCTACGTTATGACTGAGGAATTCACAAAGAAAAATAAAAAAACAAAAATCTCTTTCTGTGTACAATATTTTTAGATTTACATCCTAAATGGGGTTATACAATATTTGTTTAATCTTTGCTCTGTGTACTGTTATGTCCTTTGTTCTCATCTGTGTAGGGGATGAGCTGATTATTTATGTTGTAACAATAGGAGTTCATGTACCACAGTGAGGATTTTTTTTTCCTTAATCTGAGAGGCAGCTACTAACAAGCTTCAGCTGGAAATGCTTGATGTAAAAACAGTGTGAACCTGTTTCTCGGCTAATAAACTGTTATTTCTGCCAACAAAAGAAAATCAATTTACAACTGTAATTAATTTTTAACATGCTCATTATTTTTATACGTTCATAGGTTGTTATATGTCCATTGACTTAAGAAATATCCTATCCTGCTTGTCCTGGAGGAGCTTCACAATCTGAAACATATTAAATTATTTAAATAAATGAACTTAACAAATGAAATTTCAGTGTATGAGTTCCACACAACCCAACAAGCACCACATTTGATCTGAATTCAGGAGACTTGACGGTTCATGGCATATATTGAGAGTTCAACTGACATTTTTACACACACAAAGCAGAGGTGGTAAATGCAGCACATGGCAGAAATAGGCAAATATCATCAAAGCAGTTCAACTTTAAATCACTACCATAAATTTTCATTTCAAAAAAAAAAAAAGGAGAGTGGTTTGCTAGTCTTCAAATATGCTCAGATAAACAAAAAGTAGCATGTATGTTTATACACAGAGCAACTGAAGATAAAGCCTCTAATCTCTGGAACTTTTTAGCATGCAAACTGCCTGCAAATCTTTAGCAACCATGAAGACCATAAATGCCTGTTAGGAGAATGGGAGATCATTCAATCAATGACTCTCATGTTCATGGATGGCATTGTGCAAGAGATACAAAAATGAACAGACAACGTCTATGCCCTCAAACATCAGGGTAGTTGGAGACAAACACATAAAATGGTAATGACATAAAATGAGTGCTATGTTAGTATTATAATATGCATAAACATAATTATCTGACTATAGAGAAGAAAATGAACTAAAAGGGAGGGAGGCAAAGTGCAGATTCACTGAGAAATGACATTTGGGAGATGGACCATGATGCGTAAAAAGAGAGCTCGATAGTTGTAAGGGGAAAGTACATGCAACAATATAAAAACATTTAAAATTAGTGTGTTTTCAGAGAGGAAACAGCTTATTGTGAATGGTATATATGGTGAATGAAGGAAGTGGTAGAAATTGGGGCCAGATTATGAAGGACCTTGCAATAAATGCTATTGAATGTAGACTTGGTTCTGTAAATAATGTAACTCATCAAAAAAAAGTATAACCAGAAAAGAAAGACCAAATTTATTTTTCAAGATTTATGCTGATGACCGTATGGATGATGAACCAGCAAGTGCCTAGTGACAAGGAGACCAGATAGAAAGCTGGTGCAACTGCCTAATAAGGAAGCTACTGATTTAAGGTAATGTCAGTGAGGGTGGAAAAAAAGGAGAATGTTTAAGAGACATTTGTATTTAGGAAAAATAGACTAGACTTGACCAAGTAAATGAAGGAGAGAAAATGAGACGGTTCAGAGATAATTTCTCCATTTAGCTAAACTAAAAACTAGAAACTATATTATCTTTGTTTTTCTAGCATCTAATAACGCGTATACTACATGGCAGGTGCTTAGTAATGGATGAATTAATAAATGATTAGTTTTGAAATCTAGGTAAGGCTGAAAACCCAGGGAAAGATTTAGGGAATGATTTGGTTTGGGGCACACCAGTGTCTGACATATATGGGTCATCCAGGTACAGTTCAGGTTCAGCTGGCAATTTGGATGGAGAGCTAGAGAATAAGAACTAGAAATATGTATTTCAAAAGCCACCAACATACACAGAGCACTAGCGCCAAGGGAGTAGATAAGACAGCTCTGGGTAAATCTAGTTCCCTTTCTTGTTAACTATGGAGGAGGCATGATTACTTTTGATTCTAAGAATTCAATTAACCACCACCATTCAGAGTGACCAAAGGTGAGGGAGCATTCAGGTTCTAAAGGCTACCTGGGCCTAAGAACCCTAATTTTTCATCTAGGAGAAAAGATAAAGAGTCTTCTCTGAAGCACCAGCTACTGCTGTATGTCTATAGATGGGCAGGTGTGGCCAGTCTCCTTCAAAAATCTCCAATTCATTGTGTGCTGACAAGGAATCAAGACAATTTCTTACTGGAAACCCTCTTTAAGCACCAACATGTCTTTTAATCATCTTTTATAGATTTTGTTTTTTGGGGGGATGGAGTCTTGCTCTGTCACCCAGGCTGGAGTGCAGTGGTACAATCACAGCCCACTGTAGTCTTGACCTCCTGACTCAAGTGATCCTCCCACCTCAGCCTTCAGAGTGGCTGGGATTACAATCACGCACCACCACACGCAGCTAATTTATTTATTGTAGATACAGGGTCTCACTATGTTGCCCAGGCAGGTCTCGAACTCCTGGGTGCAAATGATCCTCCTACCCCAGTCTCTCAAAGCGCTGGGATTACAGGCATGACCCATCATGCCCAGCCAGAAGTATTTTTAAATGTACCACACATTTCCACAACGAAGATTTTTTTCTAAATCATTTATCTCCTATCTGTTCTTATTAAAACTCTTCTCATTTAAACAATCTAGTCATTAAGTTCTATCTAATGCACAAATTTGCCTATATAGTCACTATATATTAGTAGTATGGAATCTCTTAAACATGCATTTGCAAGCACATATCCATACAAACTTTTTTGTGTGTTGTCAGCTAAAAATCTGCCAAGTTAAATAAAATTTATTGGGGTTTAATATATTTCCCCCAAAAATGTGAATAAAGGATATACATTTAGTAAACTTATTGGAAGTAACACTAATCTTTGAGAAAGGTAGTTATAAAATATTGCCCACAAAAATAAAGTACCAATGTATTATTTTATACAAAAGTAGAAAGCATAATTTATGCAATTTTTTAAATCCCTTAGGCAGTTTTTTATATGTCACCCTTAGGCACTGGTTTCATTTTTCTAGAGTTCAGTAAAAATGCCCACTGCTGCAATTATACATTCACAAAGGCAAAGTGATTACACTAAGAAATTTAATGGCAGATTTAGAGAAGATAAGAAAATAGCAGGGGAAAACACTGTTCTTTTACATATGAGAACAAGAAAAACAATCTTTTATCCCTGCGCAGTAAAATAAAATATGCTGTGCTTTTTAGTATCCTTGGTAATAATTAATACTGGTATTCCTTACAACAGTAGTACAGCTAGTAAAAATCATAGGTTAACTTTACTCTTTGCAAACATGAAACATCCCAAAGCAGTTTTTTAAAAAATCTCCTGAAGTAGGTATCTACTGCAGAGTGGTCTGATGGCAGAACAGTAATATGTCCACACCAGGGGTAGTAGGAGATTTGAGAATCTCATTTACTGCACCAGTGGAGACTGAGCATCATGGCGGTGATGCTCTTAGAATCTAGAAAAGAGCCGGCCTCTATTAAATAGCATCCCTGCTGACCTCTTCATCAGCGAAGTAGGCATTAAGTAAGGCTCCTTTACCATCTTGGAATGCAATGTCTCACAATCTCAGTTGTTGTTAAGAAAAAAACATAGTAAGATTATTAGGAAATGTTAGCATTCAAGCTATTTTCTATGATTTACATAACTTACCTTAATAGCATCAAGCATTACAGTCAAATATTACAGAAACACTGGAATGCTGGCACAGGACAAATGAAATGCAGAGAAATTGCAAAGGAAGAGCTCTTCACGTTTCTAATAATTTAGTATCCATGGAATTTTAAGGAAAACTGTCCCTTTTAGTCACCAAGTTTAATGTCTATAAAGATAATGCCCACACTCAAATCAATTTATATAAATATCTTACAGCTAGATTTTAGGATGTTACTCTTTATGTCTACAAAATTCAAATTGTTACCTGATCAATAAATGGATTAGATATTTTTATCTACTAGATTTCTAGTGTTATCTGACTAGCGTTTAATGAATGTAGCTACTTTTTGTAGAAATATAAATATTATGTAATATGCAAATTAACTTTTAAGGTAAAGAAATTTTATCATAAAGTCTTCATAAAATTTATTTAAAGTGCTTTTGGTTAAAAATCTATAAAAGCAGTTTGAAATAATGTATATTAAAAAAGGACATGAGTATAATTTTCCATTATGAAGTATTTCAAATATAGCCATGTAACTTTTTAAGAAAAGCCACTCAGACTGTATATACTAGGCCATATACAATATACTGATTACTTCTCCATAACTTAAGTTCCAAGTCTTGAGATTGTCTGACACCAATGTCATAACTAAATTTAATTGGGTATTAACAAAATTTAGTTATAAATATCAATCATTGCTTCAAACACTAAGTTCAAGGCATGTCAGAAGGAAATATTCAACAAACAGGTTTGTTATGACTCAGTAGAAAACACTTAAATATCTAAGTTATAAAATATTAAGAACTACTTAAGTAAAAAACTCTTATTTATTCACTTTAAGTACTTATTAGTATTCACTTTAAGTATTTAAGTATTAGTTCCTTCAGCACATATATGTCTTCACAGTAAATACATATATACACCATTAACTCTAAACATATAAAATAGAATCTGGTGGCTGCACCAGCACAAATGAAGGGCTGTGGAATCCACAGACACATCTTCATTTCTGTATTCTCTTTATCCAAGACAATGCCTGAAACATAGTAGACACTTAGTAAATATTTGTTAAATGAAATTTTAAGCAGAGAAAGATAAATTTAATTCCAACCATGGAAAAAAAATAAACACTGACTTTGAACTTGAAATGTGAATTAGATTAAAATATTTTTATTTATAAACGTTTTAGAATTAAATAAAAATTAACAACGTCTCCTCTTTAGAAAACTGAAAACTATATAAATTTACCACATATCTACCTGTATTTGAAGAAATATGCCAAAATCTATTTTTGGTGTAATAAAACGTTAGCTACCTTAACAAGTACAGTATAGCAAAAACATCTTCCTACAGCTATGGTGAATTACAGATGAAGTATTTGCTAAAAAAAAAATTTTCATAGATGAAACAACTAAATTATCATTCTGCTTTCTGACTGATGATAAATTCATTTGAGAAAAACAATTGGTTTGGATATATCCTACATATCTTATAAAACAACACCTAAATGAGTAGTAAGGTTGTCTAAATGCTATTACAATAAATAAAACCTCCGTAAGAAACGATTGTTGATTCATGACCAATAAGTTAAATCGATGTAACAAATAACTCCAAGTGTATCCATAGTATCATGACATGAGTTCATAAGCAGAGAAGGTACAAACAGAAAAGGTATATATTTGTATATTAAACTATGCTACAAAATGTTTATGTTCTTATAAATGAAAATAAATTTGCAAAAACACTCTAAATTTTTTATTATGTACAACTAAGTATGAAACCACTCAGAAATTAGGTATTAATTATGGAAAAATCCAACTTGTCAATATGGTACACAGAACTATTTTTTAAAAAGAACTATGCTCCTTTTCTAATCTTTCAGCTGTTTCTTGGTATTAATTCAGAATACATTATTTTATAATATAGTAATATTATTAAAATAAAACCTTTTAAATGGCAGAATTATAGTAAACTACTTTCAAAAATTATTTTCCAAAATGCAAATTGATCGAAGCAGATCAATGAAAATTAAAACATATTCCTTTTACAAGTCACTTTAGAAACCTATACCAATGATTTTAGAAATAAACTCTCCAGCAATTTTATTCTCTGGGAAAAAAATAAAGCAATATGGCTTTGAGATTTTAAAATAAGTGGTATCTCTGATAATCTTAAAGAACTGTACTCCTATTGCTCTGACCTAACTACAAGAGTATTTGGGTAGGGGAGGTAAGAATGAGTAAGAGGAGACATAGAACTATAAAAAGAATGAAACAGATAATTCGGAAATTCCCATATTTTTTTCTTTTAAGAAAAAAAGAATTAAAAAGCATAACTTGGCTTTAATATATTTCTGGAAAAAAAGACAATACTATTTCTTTAAAAGCTGACAAATGGTCTTCAAAATCATAACTGATCAAATTAAAAATTTAGAAAGAATACCTATAAACTTTACCCATTTACTGCATGTATTCCATTCTATCTTATGATGAGAGCAGAAAGGAAAGGAGAAAAGAATGAAATACCAGAATTAATGCTTTGTCACCCATGAAGTTCAGGCATACATAGAAGGGCTACATTTATCTTACTGGAATGAAAATTTTAAAAATGACCCAAGATAATGACTGCAAAATTGTACTAAAGGTAAAAACCAGGTAAGACTAAAATAATAATCTAAAAAAAAATTTAAAGTCATATTTAAGTTCAATAAATCTGAACATTAACATAAAATGTTAAATGTGCTACTATTCTCTTCACTTACTTGTGAGACTAATGAATAGAATTTTATTTAAAATTCAATAGAGAATGAAGAAATTCAGAATAATGCCAACTACAATACAATATTGCTGCTAGTACTATTATAAATTTATTATTCTCAATTGGAATTTTAATAAACTTTAAAGAGTCCTTGAGTTACTATTTTTATAACTTCATTATAGAATAGATTAGATTTGAAATACAATGGAAATAAACTTTTGCTTCAGGAGAATTCTGAATGTCTATATCATACATGATCAATTTATACACAAAATAAGTTTAAACAATTATTTAGTCAGTAAATCCAGCTATAAAAATAGCATATCACTATAAAATAAATTCTTAAAACAGGTGAATACAAAAATAATACATGATCATCTCATATAGACACATTATAACTAATAAAAAGCAATTTACCTCCAGGTACGAAATATAATTCATTGCCAATTTTATTTACATTTTCATAAAAGTGTAAATACACACATACATGTTTATAATTACATTTTTCAGCAAGTTTATTTCCATTCAAATGACCCAATATGTTAACAAATTTCTCTAGATATCACAGACAGTATTAACAGGTAAAAGGTCTGTTTGCCTGGCTCATCTTAAAGCCAGAATGCAAAAACATTGCCATCTAGTGTTCGTACCAAATAAGCACTTTGAAAACAAACGTATTTCTGTTTTTCACTTAAAAAATTAAGTGTATGTAGGTTAAATACAAACTGCCATTCCCATGGTTAAGAGTATAATTTTGATAGAAGAATAAAAGGAGAAAGAAGAAAACTAGAAAAGGTCACTGGGAGTCAATGGGAAGAAGAAAATATAAGGCATGTGGGAGAAATACTCTTTGGATGAGATTCTTGCCACATTTTGTTCTGGAACACAATATATATGTTATTAGATTTTCTTGGATACTTTACTGACCAAGCAAAAGTAAAGATCAACTCCTTAGAACTAGTTGCATCTATCTCTACCTACTCCCCGACCCTTTGTATACCCAATGAGAATAACTAAGATTGTGTTCCTAAATGACTTGCTATTAAATTCACCTAAATTCATGTATAGCAATACTTTAAATATACAAATTTATCATTTTGATTATAAAATGTTAATTAGAAGAGATAAAGAATAAAAAGATCAGCAACTACAATTGTCAAGTTTGAAAAAAATTTAACTTCATTAACAGACAAAGATACATTTTGGGCCAAGTTGTTTTCTTAACTGTGTAATATTACTGGCACTGCTATAACCACGAAGACTGCGGACATTGTTCATCATAGTCAATGGCTCAGAGCAGCTAGTAAATCTCTAAATCAGAAGCCTCCCATTGTTTTTAATTGCCATATATTTTCCCCAGAGGATAAAATTGCTGAAGAGTTTATTTCTAAAAACAGAAAATGCTCTACGAATGTAAAGAACAATATGTAAGGTACCAATAGTAAGGTGTGGCATGTGGTGGCAGTAGTGTTACTATGATGCTACTATTACAATCACAACTACAATGACAACTACCACTACAATATAACCCCATTCAATTCCAACCAAACCAGGGTGACAGTTCACAGGTATGCCTTGCTTTTCAAACCTTTCTTCAGATCATATTAACCTTTCTTTCTGAATCTCTAACCTTAACTCTATCCTTTGGAAATAAGATATCAGGTGATTTTAAACTATTATTTCTCTATTTACCCATTTATACATTTCTGTATAATAAACATGTATCACTTATGTAAATGAGAAATATTTAAAAAACAAAAACTCCTACTCATTCTCCACAGCCAAGCCTCATTTTTCATCTTCTGTGAACTCTTTCAACCTGCCCAATCTAGAATTGATCTCTTTCTGCTCTAAACTTCTCAGAAGCACTATCTAGCATTCATTTACAGCCTTAAGAAAGTATTTAATAAATGGTGCTGGGAAAACTGGCTAGCCATATGTAGAAAGCTGAAACTGGATCCCTTCCTTACACCTTATACAAAAATTAATTCAACATGGATTAAAGACTTAAACGTTAGACCTAAAACCATAAAAACCCTAGAAGAAAACCTAGGCAATACCATTCAGGACATAGGCATGGGCAAGGACTTCATGTCTAAAACACCAAAAGCAATGGTAACAAAAGCCAAAATTGACAAATGGGATCTAATTAAACTAAAGAGCTTCTGCACAGCAAAACAAACTACCATCAGAGTGAACAGGCAACCTACAAAATGGGAGAAAATTTTCACAACCTACTCATCTAACAAAGGGCTAATATCCAGAATCTACAATGAACTCAAACAAATTTACAAAAAAATAAACAAACAACCCCATCAAAAAGTGGGCGAAGGATATGAACAGACACTTCTCAAAAGAAGACATTTATGCAGCCAAAACACACATGAAAAAATGCTCATCATCACTGGCCATCAGAGAAATGCAAATCAAAACCACAATGAGATACCATCTCACACCAGTTAGAATGGCGATCATTAAAAAGTCAGGAAACAACAGGTGCTGGAGAGGATGTGGAGAAATAGGAACACTTTTACACTGTTGGTGGGACTGTAAACTAGTTCAACCAATGTGGAAGTCAGTGCGGCGATTCCTCAGGATCTAGAACTAGAAATATCATTTGACCCAGCCATCGCAATCCTGGGTATATACCCAAAGGACTATAAATCACGCTGTTATAAAGACACATGCACAAGTACGTTTATTACGGCACTATTCACAATAGCAAAGACTTGGAACCAACCCAAATGTCCAACAATGATAGACTGGATTAAGAAAATGTGGCACATATACACCATGGAATACTATGCAGCCATAAAAAATGATGAGTTCATGTCCTCTGTAGGGACATGGATGAAATTTGAAATCATCATTCTCAGTAAACTATCACAAGGACAAAAAACCAAACACCGCATGTTCTCACTCATAGGTGGGAATTGAACAATGAGAACACATGGACACAGGAAGGGGAACATCACACTCTGGGGACTGTTGTGGGGTGGGGGGAGGGGGGAGGGATAGCATTAGGAGATATACCTAATGCTAAATGACGAGTTAATGGGTGCAGCACACCAGCATGGCACATGTATACATATGTAACTAACCTGCACATTGTGCACATGTACCCTAAAACTTAAAGTATAATAATAATAAAATAAAATAAAATAAATAAACTTGTAGAGAAAGCCAAAAAAAAAAAAAAGTATTTTCATGTATACATTTTAATGCCCTAGAATAAGTTATAAGCTCATTGAAAGAAAAAACATGTACTATCCTTCACTGTGCCCCTCACACAGGTAATTTGTGGGCACCTGAGAAGTACAATCACATGTGATGCAAACATGTTTCTGCTCTGTTCAAAAGCACTGTCTGTCTCACTTCCCTAGGCTTTAAATCTCAAAGGTTTACTCATTGCATCATATTGTAAAAGTTGTTTAATCTCTCTGACTTAATGTAAGGCTCCATTGCTTATAATAAAGACCTGATAATTCAAAATACCTGCTAATCTAGAGTTACCGCAACAGTAAACACAAAACAAAAAATTCCTATGTTGTATGTAGAAAGCTATTAATAAAAGGTAAAGTTTTATTAAAATCCAATTTCAGACAAAGCTTTTTTAGAAAATACATGGGAAAAATCCCTGTAACACAAATTAAAACTGAATTACTTTTTTAAAGTTATCAGCATTAGTGATCTACCTACCTATCTAGGTAGCTATCTACCTATATAGCTAACTATTTATGTAGCCTAGTAACTGAGTGAACTGAGTTTCTTCAAGAACACAATAAATGTAGATACAATTTTCTATACATGCTGACTTTTATAAAAACTATCTAAATTCAATGTTGAGAAAATTGAGATTATATTTGTTACTCAAACTCTTCTCTAAATGAAAAATTAAAAGTTACCAGCACACATTAGATTACAAAGTCTGACAGCTATTCTGGGGCCAGATTTATTCAGTGAATTAATTAAAACGCAGGCATTATTTACATATTTCTCAACCTAAAAATGCATAGAGAAAACAAAATGCTCACTGCAATATCTGACATGACTTTGCTTTTAAATAAATACTAGTTATATCATTTTGCTTTTTCTTCTATCCACTTGTACCATGTGCTAAGCATTGTTTTTCTGGACCATTTAAGAAATCTACTGTGACTATAATTTTAATAATTTGTTTTTTCTTAAAATGTCAACTAAAAAACAAACCTTAACTACTTGTTTTTTTTAAAGTCATATTTTCTATTTTTATGCTTTGCTGCCACCTAGTGAAATTCTGAGAACTTAATTATTCTGGAAAACAGCATTTTTTAATAAAAGCACATCTATCTGCAAAGTACATAGATGAGGAATAAGAACATTGTAGATTACTCTGTTACAAAAAAAAATTTTTCAATTTTGTTTTCATTAAATTACAATTCATCAACTTGGTCATCAAGCCACTTGTTTAATTAGCAAGATAATTATGATTATTTAATTTTAAAAATTCCTTTATTGAAAAAGAGCCAAATTAAATTATTTGCCATGAGGTTATACTTGTAAACATATGTAAATTTAGTGATACCCCCAAAGATTCTATATACGTAATTTTCAATTACTTACCAAAAACATGGTTCATTATATAGTTAAAACAGTAACATATGTTGAACAAAAATCTGAATGCCTGGAATTCTATTGACTCTACTATCTGAAGAATCCCACAAAGATGACAGATAATAATCTATGATTAAGCTTACCTGGGAAAAAATATTTGCTGTTGGAGCAACTCTGCTGTCCACGATACTATATAATATTGCTAATAATCTGTCTAGTGGAAATGGTTTTGGCCCAAGGAGATGATTGCTTGTCTGTAAAAAACAAAACAAAAACATGGATTTTCTTCTTATACCAGAGCACTCACTTTCTGTACTACAAAACTGCCAGTAACAATGTATTTTTGTTATATATAGTTCCCCTAAAAATGCTAACAAATCTAACCTGCAAACTCTAAGTTAAAAGTTTAACTGATATGATCATGATTTATCCTTTTTTTAAGTTTGTTTTGTTTAGAGACAAGGTCCGCTGTCACCCAGGCTGGAATGCAGTGGCAGCGCAATCATGGCTCACTACAGCCTTGAATTCCTGGGCTCAAGCCATCCTCCTATGTCAGATTCTCCTCTTGAGTAGCTAGGACTCTAGGCACACACCGCAATGTTTGGGTATTTTTACAAATTATTTTGTAAAGACAGGGTCTCACTATGTTGCCCAGACTGGTCTTAAACTCCTGGCCTCAAGCAATCCTCCCCACCTTGGCCTCCCAAAGTGTTAGAATTACAGGCATGAGCCACCATACCCAGCCATGAGCCACCATACCCAGCCATGATTTATCTTTTAACATATTCCTCAAGATTTCTGACTTAGTATCAACAAATATTAATTAAAGAACTCACAGTCATCCGGTCTAGTCCTAAATATGCCTCCTATTTTACTGTTATAACCAGGTGTTAAGTAATTTTGCCAAATCCAAGATAATAACCAAACCAGATTCCTAAGTTGTAGACTAGAGCTTACTACTTATTTCTCACAATTCCTCTTTGTACCACTGCCAGGAAAATTCAACACCAGTAGCTCTAAAAAGATCAATTACAGTAAGTCGTAGCTTAACTTAGAAAACTAATAAAATATTTTATAAAGTAAATAAGCCAGCAGCCTAAAACAATGTAAAATTTAAAAAAATTTTTTCAATATTGTAAAATGTTCACACTTGTATACAAACTCATATAGTATAATTCATGTCATCAGAAACGAGACAATGCTCAAGTTCCATTCTATTAGCAGATAATTTTAATAGCCAATAAATATTTATTTCTTTTTTTGAGACAGAGCCTCACTCTGTCACCCAGGCTGGAGTACAGTGACACGATCTTGGCTCACTGCAAACTCCACCTCCCAGGTTCAAGTGATTCTCGTATCTCAGCCACCCAAGTAGCTGGGATTACAGGCATGCACTGCCACACATGGCTAACTTTTGTATTTTTAGTTTTGCCGTGTAGGACAGGCTAGTCTCGAACTTCTGACCTGAAGTAATCTGCCCACCTTGGCCTCCCAAAGTGCTAGAATTACAGGCGTGAGCCAGTGCACCCAGCTACAAATAAGTACTTTATATTAGCAATGGCAAATAAAATTGGAAACTGTATTTACATGCATGGGAGTAACTATTTATTTAAAACAAGAATGAATGTAAAGAAGAATACCTACTCAGAATTATACAATGAAGTTTTTACCTCGGCTAGAAATTATTTTCCAGGTCTTAAATTTTGTATGCTTTTGTCACTAAATACTTCAAATATATAAAAGAGTACAGAAGTGAATATAATGAATACCAATGGACTCACCACTCAATTTTATCAAATATACTGTGCAATAAGTGCAGAGAAACAAAACATTAGATCACATTACAGATAAGTTGAAGCTTCCTTGAACCCTCTCCCATCCTATTCTCCCTTTCCTTCTCTAGAAAAATTCCACTATCTAGAATTTGATGTACTCTCATGAAGGTTTTATACTACCGCATATGTATCCACAAACAATACACAGCATTGTTTGCATGGTTTAAAATTTTATATAAATGATATCATTTGGAACATACCTCTCTACCAATTGCTTTTTGAGATTTATCCATATAGATACATGTAGCTCTAGTCCATTTTTAAATTACCTTACAGAATTCCATTTTATGACTACTTAAAAAAATTCATTATTACAAATAATCCTGTGACTGATAATCTTGTACATTTCTCCTTGTGCACATGTGTGAGTTTCTCTAAGTAGGATTGCTGGATTAAAGCACAAGGCAGAGTCAGTGCTATGTGTCTGCCAACACTGTTTCTTCTCTGACACACAAGAAGACTACATTTCTCAGTCTCTCCTGCAGTTAGATAGAGGTCACGTAACTGGGTTCTGCCAGGCCAATGAAATATGAATAGAAGTGATGTAAACTACTTGCAAGCCTAGTCTTTCACCTTCTTTCCCTTTAGTGGCAACTTCAGAGGCCACAATGTTTCACTTCATATCACTATGAGATGAAAGAGGGTCACTCAATTCACAGTTATGTTGTAAGCAACATAAAAACTTCTGTTGTGTAAAGCCACCATGGTTTGGGGGGTTTTGTTTTGTTTGTTTGTCTGTTTGAGAAGGAGACTCACTCTGTTGCCCAGGCTGGAGTGTAGTAGCGTGATCTCGGCTCACTGCAAGCTACGCCTCCCAGGTTCACGCCATTCTCCCGCCTCAGCCTCCCAGGCAGCTGGGACTACAGGCGCCCACCATCATGCCCGGCTAATTTTTGTTTTTGTATTTTTAGTAGAGCCGGGGTTTCACCATGTTAGCCAGAATGGTCTCGACCTCCTGACCTCGTGATCCACCCGCCTCGGCCTCCCAAAGTGCTGGGACTACAGGTGTGAGGCACCCCGCCCAGCCGGGATTTGCTTTTTACTACAAGCATAGCTAGTCTATCCTAATATTAACATATTAACTTCACATATTAACTTCAGTAGATATTGTCAACCTGCAGAACAGGCAGACTCTCGCTCTTCTACATTATCTCCAGCACTTGAAATCATAGAATTTTTTAGTTTTGTCAAACCAAGAGTATGAAATATCTCACTGTTGTTTTAACTTTTTCTCTCATTAGTGAATAAGGCTGTTAATCATGTCATGATTGTTAGACATTCAGGTTCCTTATTGTATCATTTATCCATTTTGCTATCGAATTTTTGTCCTTTTCTTATTGGTTTGTAATGAGTCTTTAAAAATTCGAGACATTAGGTTGGGCATGGTAGCTCATGCCTGTAATCCCAGCACTTTGGAAGGCTGAGAGGAGTGGATCATTTGAGACCAGCCTCGAACTCCTGGGCTTAGATGAGTCCCTGGTGAAACCCTGTCTCTACAAAAAATACAAAAATTAGCCAGGCACAGTGGCGTGTGCCTGTAGTCCCAGCTACTAGGGAGGCTGAGACAGGAGGATCACTTAAGCCCAGGAGGTTGAGGCTGCAGTGAGCCATGATCACGCCATTGCACTGCAGCATGGGTGACTGAGACCCTACCTCAAAAACAGATAAATAATAAAAATTCTAAACGTTAACCATTTGTCTATTGTAGGAGTTCAAGAACAGTGGTAAACATCATCGTAGGCTTTGGAGTCAGGAAGTCCTGGAATTGAGCAAAACTGCCTCTAAGAATAAGGGAAACAAAACTTGCAGTTTCTATAGTGCAGAGTTTATATTTCAAAATTCTCCATCTTCTGACAAGAAAAGCAACAGTGGTTTGGACATACAAAGTGGAAGAAGTGATCTAAATAGTCTAAATGCTTCTTTCACCAGTTTCAACCTTATCTGACCCCACCTTCAAAAGTACTTAGTGCTTCTAATCCCTAAGCTTTTTTCCAGATTCCTAAGGCCAAATTAGCTAAGTTTGAGGCTTAGGTTTTAGCGTTTTCTCTAATCTGCTTGGTCACCTCAATATCTACCTACCATGCAATTGCAAATTCTGGGGGTCTCTCATCTGCTTAGTATTTATGAGTTTACCTTTTTTATTTGTTGTGGGTGCTTCAAAGGGGAAAGAAAAGAGGAAAATGCCTGTATTCAATTGGCTGTATTTAACTAAATAATCCAGGGTAAACTTCTTCATCTACTAAGTCACTAAAAAACTTTGTCAACTCAGTTTTAAACTCCAGCAGCAGCTCACCTAAATGTGCATTCAATCACTATATTCAATATAACAAAATTCTATTACAGTATAACGGTACCATATCAACACAAATAAGTTCCTATATTCAAATGACAAATACAATTACAGATGTATCTATTTCCTATATTATCTTCATTTCCTAAGTTTCTTCCATTAGAAATTAAAATGTAAATACCTTTTCGTGTTTTTTTAGAAAGTTGGTTTTCTTGATTTTTCCATGATGCTGCAATTAAGGAAAACAAATTTTAAGTTGAAAAGACAGTATTCCACAAAACCAGAAAACGTT
This sequence comes from Homo sapiens, assembly GCF_000001405.40. NCBI lineage: Eukaryota > Metazoa > Chordata > Mammalia > Primates > Hominidae > Homo > Homo sapiens. The sequence continues at coordinate 104,165,346 of NC_000007.14, forward strand.
ATTTATTTAAAACATGGCACACATAATACTAATCTGTATATCTCAGGTTTTTAAATAGTTATTCTTCTTATCACCTTGTATATATATTAGACTTCAACATATTTTAGGCCAATTTCGTTTAGACTTGGATTGGATATAAAATTACTTTTGCATGTAAAAAAAGAATTTCTAAAATAAAATAATGACATTTCCTAAAAGAGCTTATTATATTGATTTAGTTCAGCATATACATTGCTATAAAAATGAAACTTCCAGAGATATGGATTTTTATTCATCCCATAAGTCTGGCAATCCACATAATAAACGCTGACGGAGGGCATTTTAGTTAAGCACAGTTCACATAATAAACACTGATTGAGAGCATTTTAGTTAGGCACTCAGGATTCAATAGCAGGGGAAAACAATAGATGTGGTCCTTGCCCTCTAGAAACTAAAGAGGGTCAGGTACAGTGGCGCACACCTGTAATCCTATCACTTTGGGAGGCCGGAGTGGGAGGATGACTTGAGGCCAGGAATTTGGGACCAGCCTGGCCAACATGGCAAAACCCTGTCTCTACCAAAAACATAAAACTTAGCCAGGCGTGGGGGCACACACCTGTAATCCCAGCTACTTGGGAGGCCGAGGCTGTAGTGAGCCAAGATCACACCACTGCACTCTGGCCTGGGTGAGAGTGACACTCTGTCTCAAAAAAATAAAAAAAAATAAAGTCCTGAAGAGTAGCACAAGACATGACAAAAAAATGAATAAATATAAATTGTTGTAAGTCCAAAGAAGAAAGCAAACATCATGTGAAATAGGAAACAATAAAGAGGACCTACTTTAAGATAGGTTGTACAGGGAGAACTGCTTTGAGAAGGCAATATTTAAACTGAAGCATGAAGAATGAGTAGAGAAGGAGCTTTCCAGAAAGACAGAACATACAGACAAAGACCTTAAGGTAGGAAAGAGATCAGAATGTTTTGAGGAAAGAGGAAAAAGGAAAAAGTCTAAAGTGACAAGAACATAGTGGGTAAAGAAGAAGAAAAAAACAACTCTAAACTGGGATTTCTCCAACTAATGTATGTACAGGAGAGGCTCCTTCAGTGTGATGGATAATTATTCACTACAGTGAGTTTTAGAACAACAAAGAGTTACCGCTCTTAAAATTATTTCCATCCTCCACACTTTAAACAAAACCCTATGTATTTTTTAAATCTGAATTATTACCTAAGGTATACCTGATATCCTCTTTTCTATGAAACTGCCTACCTTTTCTCAAATTTGAGGTTGTGACATTAATGTAAAGCCTTTAAAGAATGAGTCCTAAATACATATTTGGCAATCTTATTCTAATCTCTTCCCCTTAGAAATTTACAAGTGTTAAGAAATTTCAAAATATTCCTGGGATCTTAAAAAATAAAGTGAAAAGAAGTATGTTATTATTACCTTAAGAAAAAACCTCTTGTCAGTTCTTGCTGGATTGTATGAAGCAAGGTATGCAGCAATTAGAATGAACTTAGAGTAATATGGAAGTTCCACATGAGTATGCGCTGAGAGGCCTATATAACAAAACACTTTGATGAAGTACTTATTAGGCTAACATTGGGTTTTAAGTATCTCTTCTCACTTGACTTTTCATTTCCATATGGTATTCTCTAGTCAAAATGACCTATTTCCTTATTTTAAAAAGTGTCATGATAATGATGGTCGTGGTGGTGATCAACACTATTATTAATGACAGGCTTTACTCAATCTATTATTTTTGCTTGGCTCTTCTCATTCTGAAGTCTAAATCCTACTCGTTCTTCTCTTCAAGGCCACGCTCTCCATTAAACCCCTGGTGTTCCCCTACCACACCAAAATAGAGAAACTTATTTCTACTATGAATTCCTACTCTGAGTATTCCCACATAACGTGATGCCTTATATTAACAGTTAACTGTACAGGTTGAGTATACTTTATCTGAAATGCTTGGGACCAGAAGTGTTTTGGATTTTTTCAGATGTTAGAATACTTGTATATGCCAGTTGAACATCCCTAAATTCTGAAAAATCAAAGAAAACAAGCATTTCCTCTGAGCTTATGTCAGCACTCAGAAAATTTTGGAGCATTTTCTATTTGGAAGTTTTGGATTCAGAATGCTTAACCTGTACATAAATCATACCCCTTAGTAAACAATACTATTTGTTGAAGGAGCTATGTCTAATGTTTTTTTGTATCCCTACACTGCCTTGCACATAGAAAATAACTGATGAATGGATAAATATTAAAACAGTAGGGTCATTCAAGTAGCACTGATTCTTAAGGGAAGGGAAGGAATCTGATATTTACTGAAAATCTACTATGTGTCAGACACTGTGTTAGGTGCTTTACTTAAGCATCACTTTGAATCTTTGCAGTAATGCTAAATATTCTTCCTATCTCACAAGTGAAAAATTGAGCTGGGTTCAAGGTCAAACAGATAGAAAGTAGTGCAAATCAATTATTACAGATTTGTTCTAACTCTGGCATCTATCCCTTTTCCTAAAAACACACAACTAGAAGTCACTTGTAAAGCATCTGGAACACATAAAAACCAAAAAAACACAAAACAGCACTATTTCATACCATTTTCTTTAACCATCAGCCACTGACTTTTAAAAAAAAATTTTTTTTCAATATTTGCTCATTTTTTTAAGTAAAATTAGTTCTATTTAATATTTGGGATGAATCCAAAGTAGTAGTTTTCTTAAACAAAAGCACAATGTTTTCAAAACATAACCACCAAAGTGCATATCCCAAACCGATTAACATAAAATTACATTTTATTCCATAAAACTCATGAAATATAAACATAATGAGATAAAACTGTCACATAATTAGATTGCTTTAATAAAAGCATTTAAAGAAATAGAAACTGCTTGATTTTCATGATATAATCCAATATTTAGAAAATAGAAAGCTGGTATTCAAACTTTTATTTCCTCCCATTAAATTAGAGCTTCAGTTAAAGAAAAATCATTAATCAAAATAGCATTATAGCTTGAAAAGTAAATTCTCTTTTATAACACTATTTCCTGACTGAATGCTCTTTAGTATTAACTTTAGTATCTTGATAATTAGCTGAAGAAGTATCTCCGGTAACTGTCTCAATACTTCCTCTGATACCTTTCAGTTGCCCCGGATCTGTGTCATCTTTCTGTAGCTTTTCCCACTGGGAACTGAAAAAAAATAGAAGAGCAAAAATGAATTAAAAATAAATAAAATCAATATGGTGTACTTAAAACAGAGCCCTAGAAAAACTAAATTTTTTTATTTATTAACAAAACAGAAAAGAAAAATATATACATGCAATAAACATGTTTGTACCTGTACAAAATAATTTAATGTATATATTAGAATGTCATAAATTTATAAAGCAATACCTAGATATTAACTATTTTAATAATCTCTTTTACTATGATGACTGTTGTAGCTATCAAAAAACTTCACCCAGGCCGGGTGTGGTGGCTCATGCCTGTAATCCCAGCACTTTGGGAGGCCAAGATAGGAGGATCACATGAGGCCAGGAGTTCAAGCTCAGCCTAGGCAACATGGGGAAACCCCATCTCTATTAAAAATACAAAAATTAGCTGGGTATGGTGGCGCATGCCTATACTCCCAGCTACTTGGGTGGCTGAGGCACGAGAATCACTTGAACCTGGGAGGTGGACGTTGCAGTGAGCTGAGATTGTGCCACTGCACTCCAGCCTGGGCGAGAGTGAGCCTGTCTTTAAAAAAAACAACAACAAACAAAAAACCAATAAATACTACCACCTACCACTCGGTAAAACTCCCAATGTTCTAGTTACCGTATTAGATGCAATTGTCATATACTATTTCTAAACTCTATAGCAATCCCTCAAAGTAGGTATCACACCAGAAAACTGAGGCTCAAAGATTAAGTCACCCAAGGACATTTAGCCAGTCAATACTAGAGCTACGAGTCGAATCCTTGTAGGATGCTTGCAGAGTTCAAGGTATTTTAATTGCCCCATCCTGGACTTATTTGCAATTAAAACTGTTAAACAACCAAAACACTATTAAGAATATGAAGTGATTATGACACGACAAATTGAATTTATAAGGCAACACACTATAGTATAATGAGTAAAGAATGCCCTACGACAGTTTTAGCTGCATGACTTCGAAAAAATGAATAGTTTACTCATAAAAAAAAATAAGGCAGTTTGATGCAAAGGTGCTCACCAACTCTAAAACTCTCACAGAACTCTTAAAAATGAGCTAATTTACAGGGCTAATTTAAAAATAATGCCAGATTAGAACAATTAAATATCCAAAATCTGCATGAAGAACAGGGTGGAAGTGATAAGGATGAGTGTGGGCCTTCTTTGAGTATACTTTAAAAAAAGTAGTTTTAGCTTTTGAAGTATTCTTTGATGCCCATCTCTCACCTGTATAGCAATCAACAAGTTTAATTTTCCCCTTTCTCTTTTCCTTCTTTTCCCAATTTTTAAGTTGTAATATTCCTACCTTGTCAGAATACATAATATTTACATACTATTCTTCTACTCTTATTTCCACCTTAATTTTAGTTTGGAGCTAAGCTTAATTAAATTCAATGTTCATCATCAATCCTTTTGTTAGTTTCTCCAGTCATCTCTTTTTCACATCAAGGTCGTCCTAAGAAATGTCTTATGAGTAGTGTTCTCTGAGTTCTTCCATGTTTAATATTGTTTTTCTCTAGCCTTGATAGTTCAATGACAGGTTTGACTGAACATAAAATTATTTGGCTTACACTTCCTTTCTCCTTGAGTTTCTTGAAATTGTTGATCCATTTGTTTCACTTTTTCACTGACTTTCCTTTGTAAGTGACTTTTATTTTTTGCCTGAAAGCTCAGAGGTTTTTTTCTGTTATTTTTAAAGTCTAAATGCTTTCCAAGAAGTCTCTGTAGTAGGCTGAATAATGGCTCTGCCTCCAAAGATACCAAAGTCCAAATCCCTAGAACATGTGAATACATTCTTATGGGGTAAAAGGGACTTAGCAGATGTGACTGAGTTAAGGATCTTCAGATAGACATTACACTGCATTATCCAGATAGGCCCAATAGAGTCAGAAGGATCCTTCTAAGAGGAAGACAAGTCAGAGAGAAGAGAAAATGCTACACTGCTAGCTTAGAAGATGGAGAATGGAACCACAAGCCAGGGAATGAAGGCAGCCTCTAGAAGTTAGAAAAGGCAAAGAAATAGATTCTCCTTGAGAACCTCCAGAAGAAAAGCCCTGTGGACCTGTTTTAGACTTCTGACATACAAAACTGTAAGACAGTAACTATGTGTTGTCCTAAATCACTAAATTTCTGATAATTTGTTACAGTACAATATACTAGTACAGTTTCAGAATTGATCATTCTGGATTAATTGGGAAAATGAACTGTTTTAATGTGTAAAGCTAGGTCTTCTATTTCTGGAACGTTTTCTTGGATTATAATTTTAGATCTTAACTCCAATCCATTGTTCTTTTCTGTCTTCAGGAGCTCCAATTAAATATATGTTAAATCTTCTTTGTCTATCATATTTGTCACATCCTACCTGATTATTTTTACCTCTTTTTTTAGTTTTGTTCTCTTGATTATTTTCAGTCCTTTCCTCAATGTCTCTTACTATATTCTCAGTTGAATCTACTTTCCTTTGGATATCTTATTTTTTCATTTTCATTTCTGAGATAACTACTATTGCCTGAACTTTGCTCCTGAGTTTGATCAACTTTTATTTCACATCCCCCTGTTCTTTGTCCATTTATTCTAAGTTATTGAATTTCAAACTTAAAGAATGCTTTCCATACCTGAAAATGCTTTTTAAACAAACCTAAACCAAGTAAAGGTGTGGTATTGCAGTCTTCCTCTGCTTTGTTTTGGGTGTTAAGGGGGAAATGTTCATCAACTAAACTGTTTTATTCACATTTTCTGTTTCTTCCTAAATAATACCTTTACATGGCTTTTCCATGTTGTCTTTTATTCATTTTGAAATACCTAATGTTTGGCTTGGTCAGTAATAACAGGTGACTTTATGAATGCAGGGGTAAGGTTGCGGAATGGCACAATTACTTAATTCTAAAGTGCTCCCTTCTGGAAAAATAATGAAGTCAAGTTTCTTTAATATATGGTGCTATTATGAAAAGGAGGGATTAGCTTCTGATTTTGTCATTTCTTTTTTATTTGGGGGATGAGAGGAATCTTTAATTTCTATCCTTTCTTTCCATTCTTTTCCTTCATTACCAACTCTCAAAGGAATACCACACCCTTCTGAATCAACTACTTGTCTCTCCTCAAAACAGTACTTTCCCAAGACTATCATGCTAACTCTGGCCCCCATACTCTTAAAACAAAAAAAATACAAAAAATTAGACAGGTGTGGTGGCGCATGCCTATAGTCCCAGCTACTCGGGAGGCTCAGGTGGTAGGATCACCTGGACCTAGGGAGGTTGAGGCTGCTATGAGCTGTGATCTTGCCACTGCACTCCAGCCTGGACGAGACAATGGGACCCTGTCTCAAAAAAACAAAAAAACAAAAAACAAAATGTCACTTTGATTCTCCAGTAGCCAGTGCTCTAATCCTTCCAGCCTCAGAACTGTTCAATACTTTCTCACTCAGGGTTGAACTCTCTTTCTTCAAGTAATTTCATTTGTATTTCACCACTACTAGTCAACGTATCCCTTGTCCCAACAATCTTCTCTTTTCCTTTCAGTCTTTGTTTGACTTTTCACCTCAGCATGAGCTCCAGAGCTGGCCCTGTTGGTTTCAGTTGTTTACTTCACTACTGGTATATAAAATGAAGCTTGTAGCAATCTCTAACTCCTGTTAATACAGCAGGCAAGAGTTATGGGTGGTTCTATTAGCTCTCTTTATTGATATTGTGGACACAATTGAATTTAGGTGGCCATAATTATCCTATGGGACTAGAAGTCCTTTCATTATTATGTAAGAATCATTTTAACAAGCAAACAAGTTTTCCTACATTTAGAAGATCACAAGCTTTTCCATTCTATGATTTCTAAAAACTCTCATTAAATGAATTTTTGTTACTGAAAAAGGAAAAGGAGTAATAGTATCTTTGTAGTATTTCTGCTAATTAAGAAACTACCAAATTTTTACCTGAATTATAGGCTAATCAGTTAATTAAACTGAAATCAAACAAAATTATTAAGGAATAGTTAGTGATAGAATAAGGCATTCATGAGAGAAAAATGGTAAAAAAAATTGACTAGAAAGAAAAGCAGACAGTGTTGATATTTTTAGGTTTCCTATATTGATTTGTAATCTAGGCTTAATCTAATATCTATAAGACACTTCAATATTTACAATAATTTTCAGATACATTATCTAAATCTTCTAAGGACTGTTAGAGGAGAAAGCCAAAGCCTAGAGGTTTTAGGACTTGCTAAGTTCACATACGGCAGACAATGGCTGAGCTGGAAGTCAAAATCATGTTCTTCTCACACACTATGTGCCACCATGTCTCTCCTGAGCTGTTTCACTACTAAGAAATTTTAATAATAGACAAATGTCGATTTATAACGGTTCATATATTTATTTTAAAATCAAATTTTCATTATATCATTCAAATATCTAGCATAAATATGGCAAAGCTAGTACTGACTTTCCTATAGCTTTCCAGGTTAAAAAAAAAAAAAAAGGCTTTGTTACAAATTGTGTAACATAATGGAGTCACATGTGCTAAAACCCCCAACAAGTAGAGCCAGGGAGGGCCACGAAGAAAGTGTTATCACGGATAATGCTTGATAAAAGAACCATCACAAAAAACTGAAAAAACCATAACCTTGCACAAAGGCCATCATAACCTTATACAAAAATCCTGTGAGGATGTTTGCCCAGCAACTGCCTGTCAAACTCCGAACTGGTACCACCTTTGTTGTTGATCCTTGTAGCCAAGAATAATTATCTCAAAACAATTATGTAATTCTCCTCATTCTTCCTTTAAAAACCTTTGCCTCTCTTTACCTTCCTGAATATGCAGAGTTTACTACAGCATATGCATTCCCACTGCAATGCCCATCCTCAAATAGATTATCATTTTCTTTTAGAGTCCCTCTCTGTTGTTTAGGTTGACATATCTGGAGTCAGAAGTGGGACTTGCAGCAAGATCACCTTCAGAAGGAATCAGCAATTCTTAGAACTGGTATATAGTACTCACTTGAGCCCTCTGAACTTTCTGCTTCCGCAGCTCACCTTTTCTGCCCTGGTGAGCCTCCTGCTTTTTGATGGAAGCTCCTGAATTCATTCAGGATCTCATTAAGGGCACCTTAATAAAGGGCCTTGCAATCCTCTTGGGATAATAACAACTTTTTGCCTTTTCTGGCAATCCCTTTCTGGTAAGGACAAGTGTCCTTCTGGTTTGAATACTCCGGTTACTATAAAATTTGTGTTCTGTGAGGTATGTCTTTTCTGGTGAATTCACTTCTGGTTCTGCATGCCTAATTTAGTATTTTGTTTAATCTGCATACCTGGGTTTAAAATTTTTTCTTTTTTTTTTTTTTTTTGAGACGGAGTCTCGCTCTGTCGCCCAGGCTGGAGTGCAGTGGCGGGATCTCGGCTCACTGCAAGCTCCGCCTCCCGGGTTCACGCCATTATCCTGCCTCAGCCTCCCAAGTAGCTGGGACTACAGGCGCCCGCCACTACGCCCGGCTAATTTTTTGTATTTTTAGTAGAGACGGGGTTTCACCGTTTTAGCCGGGATGGTCTCGATCTCCTGACCTCGTGATCCGCCCGCCTCGGCCTCCCAAAGTGCTGGGATTACAGGCGTGAGCCACCGCGCCCGGCCGTAAAATTTTTGTGAATACTCTTATCTTGGTTTCATTTTGGTTTGGTAACACACATCTGTAAATAATTTAGCTTTTTTCCCTCGCTTATTTCTAAGAATCTACAAGAAGCAAAAATAAACATTCTAAATGGTGGGCACAGCCTAGCTAATTAAAAGCCACTACGATGGTCCCCACCATCTAAAACACTGGTCCAAATGCCTAATACTCCCTGACAAGATTTATGGGATTTTCTTTGTTCTTGAGTGATTAATAAGAAACAAAATGGGATCCTCAAATTCTAAAGGCATGCCAAAACAATCTACCTTTGGGGATTCCAGCCAGCTATATTATGGACTGTTCTTGGGCATATTTTTTAACTGATGGGCAAATTGTTACAGAAGGCAGCTAGTCAGGCATGAGCAGGACAGGAGAAGGCTCCCCCTACCCCACCAGGAACAGCAGGCGACCCTAGGGTGATGGGCAAGCTATTGTCACACTGTATCGCTAATAATTGGTCACAGCTGGCACCATGCAACGGCAGTCTCCCAATAGATAGAAACGCCTGAAACTGGTGATCAGCAGCTTTCCAATAAGATCTCAGGAGTTGGGTAGGTAAGCTCAGGCATGTGCAGTAAGAGGCAAAATAGAGGCATTTAACTAGTATATGACCTTCCAGGGACATTCCACTGGTAAGGGAAGAATACCTCCAGTGAGCATGTGTACAAGGCCAGTAAACACACTGCACATGCTCACCTCCCAAGGACTAGCAGGCCACTGCACACACATGGACAGCCAACCACAAGGGAAGAATCAGAGAAGGGTTGTAGGAACCCAGAAGTAAGCCAACATATAAAACTCTAAGTAAAAGGTCAATGGGGCACTTATCTTTCAAGTCGCCTGCTTGGCCTTCCTCCAAGTGTACTTTCCTTCCTTTTGTTCCTGTTCTAAAGCTATATAATAAATTTTCACTCCTGCTCTAAAACTTGCCTGTCTCTCCTTCTGCCTTGTGCTTCCTTGGTAGAATTCTTTCTTCTGGGAAGAAAAGAATTGAGGTTGCTGCAGGCCCAAACGGATTTGCCGCTGGTAACAAAATGACATCAAGGAAAATTTGGAGCACAATGGCCATTATTTGAACTCTTTAAACTTATTTAAAAAAACTGCAACCAACTAAAGAATTAAAATATGTAGAGCATTCTAATTTCTCTACCTCTCTATTTTTTTCCTGCCTACTTTGAATCTAGTAACTTTTTCTGCTGGTATTGAGATAAACTTGCTGCTATGGCATTCCAGCCAAGATAGAAACAAAGGGGGAAAAAGTTTTAGAGTGCTTTCAAATTATTGTTTTACAAATTACATCAGCTCCATGGCAACTGACAACCTACACATTTTCTGGAAATGTAAATTTAGGTTTGCCTTACTAACAATTGCTTTGAGTGATGGAACAGTTAATTTAAGAGTTGGATGTTCTAAAAGAAAAGAAGAGATCAATGTTTATAAGAGTTAGGCTCTCAGATCAAAGAGGTCAAAATCTTGAGCTCAGAGCAATAATATAACATTTCTCTGTCTGGCATAAAAATGGCTTTGTCTGCCATGCAGGGACTAGAAAAAGCTGAAACAAACCAAAACCACCCTGCTAAAACGCTTCCAAAACCACCCTGCTAAAACGCTTCCTCATCCACAATGACTAGTCAAGCAAATCAGACCAATAAACAAAAGACAGTTTTGTTACTAATTCTAGGATACTTGGAGATTTTTTTCTTATATAATTCAGCTAGTCCTATCTAAAAAATATAAACATTGGAATGTGTAACACTAAACTTATTTGAAACTGAAAAAAGGATAAAAAGAAGTGTTTTTAAAAATCAAACTGCTACAGAAACTGCTTTATCCAAAATGTTGGTACACAGTCTTCATAAGATTGCCTACTGGGACAAATAAAGTTTAGTCATGAGAACAGGTCCCAATTTTATCAGAAATATAGTTTGGATCCAACTATCCTTTTATAAACTGGTGTGTATATGTGTTTGTGTTTATACATATATACATATGTTGTGTCTACGTGGTAAAATCTGGCACAGTTGTCCAGAAATCCCTTAGGGCATTCTATTCAGATTGGCTTCAATAATAATGAAAACTGTTAAAATAAACAGTAATTAAACCAAATGACATGTGACTTAAATGAACCTTTAATAAATAAGCTAGTTATCTGGGAAAGGCATAGACAGGGAAAGCCTGGTTGCATTAAAAAGGCTTTACAGGGCCATTTCAAAATATGTCAAAGAAATATTTTGCGGTAAAATACTTTGATTTCTTTCGGTGTCTGCTATCTGTCATGTGATTCTATATCAGAGTCCAGTTGGAATTTGGTTTCTTATTGACACAAAGAGTCTGTTTTGTCAGTCTTACGATCTCTCTGCTTTAATGTTAATGATGGTCAGTTGTGCCTAAGCTCTAAAAGGGAGGGGCTATAATGGACGTGTCTAGCCTCCCTTTTCCTCATGGCTAGGAATAGTTTTTCAGGTTTTTGTGAGGTCCCCTTTGCCAAGCAGTCCATTTAGTTGTTGGGAGCTCAGGATTTTATTTTTTGTGTACAGTAGTTCAATACTTTTTTAAATATAAAAATAAATAAGCAAGCTGGTTTTAAACTTGTTGATAAAATAAAAATAGAAATGTCTTCAGAATTGTCGGCATAAACTTTTGCCGGGATTTATGGGCCGGGCAGTTTTATATTTGTCTCTACTAGACAAGAGGTTTTAATAAGGTATAAGGGTTTGACACAGAAGTACAAAACTATAAACTCAGCCTAAATACAGAACAATCTTTGTTTGTGTAACTCTTTGATAAATAAGACCAATTGAATATTGTTGGTTTAATAAAAACAGCTGTGTCTCCAAAGTAATCAGCAAAATACCCACAACTTTAAGATTCTCACTTAGGTGAACACCTGATATTCATAGGCTATAAAAATGATTAACATGGAAATAGCTTGAACTAATGACTAGCCTTGCCTAATGCCTCAGTTTTCGTAAGAAATCTACTTATACTTGTTAAAAATAAATAAATTAGATGAATGTAGGTGGCATAAACATTTACAAATAGTTGAATTAAATAATACTCATTAAATGTCTGAATCACTTCCAAATAAGAAAAAATACTGAAATATAAATTACTAAACATAAGTTTGTTCTTGGCTTCTTAAAGTCTAAGAAAAGACTATATTTGGGACTATCACTACACATAAAAGTTAGGTTATAAACATATTTATAAAATTACAAAATTGCTCATATCTATAAAAAACTGACATGTGACAAAATTTCTTGCTTCCTAGGTTTTTACTAGAAATTGAGGTTACTAAAAGTAACCTTAACAATTCTAACATATATAATTCTGTACACAAAGTATACCCCCAAAAATAAGATGTGTTTTTAATGAGAATTATTGTTTTTTTAAATTTTACTTTAAGTTCTAGCATACACGTGCAGAACGTGCAGGTTACATAGGTATACATGTGCCATGGTGATCTACTGTACCTTTCGTCCCATCATCTCAGTTTTAAGCCCTGCATGCATTAGGTATTTGTCCTAATGCTCTCCCTCCCCTTGCCCTCCACCCCGCAAAAGGCCCCAGTGTGTGATGTTCCCCTCCGTGTCCATGTGTTCTCATTGTTCAACGTCCACTTAGAGTGAGAACATGCAGTGTTTGGTTTTCTGTTCCTATGTTAGTTTGCTGAGAATGATGGCTTCCAGCTTCACCTATGTCCCTGCAAAGGACATGAACTCATCCTTTTCATGGCTGCATAGTATTCCATGGTGTTTATGTGCCACATTTTCTTTATCCAGTCTATCATTGATGGGCATTTGGGTTGGTTCCAAGTCTTTGCTATTGTGAATAGTGCTGCAATAAACATAGGTGTGCATTTGTCTTTATAGTAGAATGATTTACAATCCTTTGGGTATGTACCCAGTAATGGGATTGCTGGGTCAAATGGTATTTCTGGTTCTAGACCCCTGAGGAATCACCACACTGTCTTTCACAATGGTTGAACTAATTTACACTCCCACCAACAGTGTAAAAGCATTCCTATTTCTCCACAGCCTCACCAGCATCGTTTCCTGACTTTTTAACAATAGCCATTCTAACTGGCTTGAGATGGTATCTCATTATGGTTTTGATTTTCATTTCTCTAATGACCAGTGCTGATGAGCTTTCTTCATGTTTGTTGGCCACATAAATGTCTTCTTTTGAGAAGTGTCTGTTCATATCCTTTGCCCACTTTTTGATGGGGTTGTTTTTTTCTTGTAAGTTTGTTAAAGTTCCTTGTGGATTCTGGATATTAGACCTTTGCCAGATGGGTAGCTTGCAAAAATTTTCTCCCATTCCATAGGTTGCTTGTTCATTCTGATGATAGTTTCCTTTGCTGTGTAGAAGCTCTTTAGTTTGATTAGATCCTATTTGTCAATTCTGGCTTTTGTTGCAATTGCTTTTGGTGTTTTATTCATGAAGTCTGTGCCCATGCCTATGTCCTGAATGGTGTTGCCTAGGTTTTCTTCTAGGGTTTTTATGGTTTTGGGTTTTACATTTAAGTCTTTACTTCATCTTAATTTTTGTATAAGATGTATGAAGGGGTCCAGTTTCTGTTTTCTGCATACAGCTAGCCAGTTTTCCTAGCACCATTTATTAATAAGGTTACTAAAAGTTACCTTAACAATTCTGATTAACATATATAATTCTGTACACAAAGTGTATCCCGAAACATAAGATGTATTTTTAATGAGAATTCTTACAAAGCCAAAAAAAAGTGTTCTTTATTGAGAAAAAAGAATAATTTTGTCAAAATTCTGAAGGTTATTTAAGGTTATTTTAGAAAGTAAATTTAAGAAAACAGAAACATGACAGAAAGGAACCAGTAAGTAGGAGACACAGATGTGCAAAGTTAAGGGTATAAAGATGTATTTTTGGTAAAAGAAGGTTAAAAAGAAAAGTGAATTTTTTTTTTTTTTTTTTTTTAAGAGACAGGGTCTCACCATGTTTCCCAGGCTGGTCTTGAACTCCCATGCTCAAGCAATTGTCCTGCCTTGGCCTCCCAAAGTGCTGGAATTATATGTGTGAAGCATCACACCCAGTCAAAAAAAAGGATAAATTTGAGAAATAATTTTGTGTGGTAAATAGTTTGTCCTAAATGTAGTTATTTAAAAGTATAAGAAAATAACTAAAGATCTAAGCATGTCATGGATGGTTTACGTAAGTCATTACAAGGTTTGTGAAGGGTAGATTTATTAAATTTGTGTGTGATCAAGCTGGCTGTAATTAGAAGGGAATTATTTGTAAGTCTTTCCAAAGATTAAACTTCGACATAAATATATCCCTCAATCCACAATATAAAACTAAAACTTTGGTCCACTATATTAGAAAGAAGTTTTTTTTTTTCCTAAGTATTGATCTGCTCTTAGTAAAAATTAGAGGTTTTCACTTTGAATTCTGAAATCTGCTTCTTAATAGCCATCTTCTAAACTGCAGTTTTTTTTGTTGTTTTTTTTTTCTGTTTCACAGTCTTCATTTAATTTTCTAGTTTCACGTTAGTAAAGCTGTCTTCTTCACTTAGGATGGTAATTTCATTTCTTGAGGTAGAGTTTTCCTCTTAAAGCTTCTCAGACTTATATCTCAGAAGTTTAATGTTTGCTGCATCTTACTGCATGTCATACATCACTGCTTTCAACTCTTTCTCCCCTTGAGAAAGTACACCTTTAATCTTGATTGAGGTGATAACTCTCTCTTTTAACTTTTTCATCAGCTCCTGTCACTTTTTTCCTCTGATTATAACTCTGCTGTTAAAGTCTAACTCTAAAATGTTTGTCTTGATGGCCTACAAAAGCAATGTTTTCCTCCAGTATAACTTGATTCTGTACACTTGGCTTTTCTTAATGTGTCTGAATTATTCCATGTAACCAGAAAAGTTCCCATGCTGTTACTAAAAGCCATGTACTTCCCTGCTCAAGGTACTAGTTTTCTGTTTACACTCATAGTGTGTTCTCACAAGCTTGACCACACATTCTTCCTGTGTCTGATTAAATTCAAGTACTGTTTTCACTGGGTTCAACTTCCAGGTTATCTAAATGGGCTTCCCATAAGGAGAAGCAATCATACTGCAAGAGGTTTTTCTTTACTTTTTTGGTAACTGTCCCAAGAAACAAATATTTTGCATTTTATCAAGATAACTTTCTGTGTTTTCTTACTAGTTTTTTATTTTTTATTACTCAGGAAAATAGCTTTGAAAGGGTTAATGTTTTTTAAATCCAGGTAACTTTCTATATTGCTTTTGAAGTCCTCTGATTATCATTCTGGTTAAATGAATGACTATCATTTCACAGTGACCTGTGATCCTGTTTTGATCAGGTGTTTTAAACCTTTTCACATCTTTGATAGACCTCCCTCCCCAATATCAAAATTCTAAATTAAATATTTTTGACCTAGAACTAACTTGGATTTTCTAGCTAGGCCCCTGGAAAGCCTCAAAAGACATATTTTTCATATTGTAAAGATATTAAATGATTAAATTTATTTTGTAAATTGTGTAAGAAGCATTGCCAAATGGTAAGTAATACTGGATCTTCTTTCAGTTATATTTATAGGTATGTGTTTAATATCAGTGTAAAATTACATAAAACTTAGAGATCTAATATATCATCAAGTCATAATTGTGGTCATTAT
Organism: Homo sapiens; assembly: GCF_000001405.40. Taxonomy (NCBI): domain Eukaryota; kingdom Metazoa; phylum Chordata; class Mammalia; order Primates; family Hominidae; genus Homo; species Homo sapiens. The sequence goes on from NC_000007.14 coordinate 104,180,832, forward strand.
ATGTATGCCACAAAAATCATCAAATTTCCTTGTCAATTTCTGATTATGGTAAACTTTCATCAAATTTTTATCCATGGCTATTCTAAGTCTCTGTCATCCTACAGTTATTGTTCTGATTTTTATCTAAAAGCATTTGCAATCAGATTCATAAAATAAGATTCTAACAAGTACTCTTAAATACAAGTTTCTAGTAACTTAAAGATCAATGGACTCAATAAAAATCTATCAGAACTCTAATGAAGAAATGATGGGCTCATGAAACTGCTAATCAAGATCAAACAGAACAAAAATTAATTACATGAGATTGAATAACTGATGAGGATGTTTTTATGATTTTTATTTGAAACATTAGTTTTTTGCTTGTTTTTGTTTTCCAGATTTGAGAAAATTTTCTCTCTTAATCTACCTATAGTTTATAGTTTTATGGAACTGCTAATTAGCAATTTAGTAAAGTATATTTTGTGAACCAAGGTGAAGCACCTGCTTTTTCTCCCCATTTCATTCCTCTAAAATTCAAAAACTATTCATGGGTATTTTTTTTCTCCTTGAAAATATGTTTATTCACTAAGTTCAATAAGAATTTGCTCTCTCTTTATAACAGGATATAATTGGAAACACTGGTTATATTACCAAGACTTTGACTGTCATATCATATTAGAAAATGTGCACAGAGGCCGGGTGTGGTGGCTCACGCCTGTAATCCCAGCACTTTGGGAGGCCAAGGCAGGCAGATCACGAGGTCAGGAGATCAAGACCATCCTGGCTAACACGGTGAAATGCTGTCTCTACTAAAAATACGAAAAAAAAAAATTTAGCCAGGTGTGGTGGTGGGCACCTGTAGTCCTAGCTACTCGGGAAGCTGAGGCAGGAGAATGGCGTGAACCCGGGAGGAGGAGCTTGTAGTGAGCCGAGATCGCGCCACTGCACTCCAGCCTGGGCGACAGAGCGAGACTCCGTCTCAAAAAAAAAAAAAAAAAGAAAATGTGCACAGAATTGCCTGGTTTCAAGGATTCTCAGCCTTACAGTGAGTGAGTAAAAAATGCCACTTCCTGGCAGGCCCAGGAACTAAAATCTTAAATCGGCCTTGGTTTGACTTCCTAGACTCAAGAGGTTTTAAAATCTATGTGATCAACATAGAGAGAAAAGGTTATGTTTCTTTAAAAAAAGCTATAATGTACCTGTTATTAGTTTGCAGTTTTATGCATTGTATTTGAGTTTTAATCAACCTGTAGCCTAGACTAGATTCTAAATTCTTCTAGGTTCCCCCAATCCAACTTTCTTCTATAAAATTACTAAAAAGGGGGACTACTTTGTTCCTGAAGCCTTATACATTGAAGCTAGATGAATTTTAAGGAACAAACCTTGTACCTGATGTGTGGACCACACAGAAGGGTCAACAAACCACTAAATGCCATAACCAGAGACAGTCGAACTGCAAAGCAGGATAAGAAGTTGACAGTTTCATGATAGAAACAGTTTTTTCGAAGATATTAGAACAAGACTCCACATCATAATGAGACTCTTACTCCTCTTAATGCCTACCATTTTCACTTGATAGGATAATGGTATAATTGAAATTTTACAATTAGCAGCTTCTGCTGGTAAGTTGACAGAACCTGACCTAAAAGATTCTTTAGTCCATCTAGTGGGCAACTTTGGCAACATCCTTAATACAATTGTTGCTCACTCTGCTTTGTTTCAACTCAGTCATGTAATACTAGATGATAAACGGATTGGTTACATAAGGAAATGTCGGTGTTACCGCTAATACCACAAGCTGTACCCGAATAAATTCCTCTGGAAAAGGTGAGACCCATATATACCAAATAAGAAAATAGGCCACATGGTTAGAAGTCTCACCTAACTCTCTGTGGTCATTTGATTTATTCAGTAGGTTCCCTTTAAGCGGAGGTTCACAGTTCAAAAGCACTATACAAACTGAGATTGTCATATTACTATACATTTTACTTTGTATTTTCCTTTGTAAACTTTGTACTTGTTGCCTGTCAAATTTCTGCAGTGACCGGGTGTGGTGGCTCACACCTGTAATCCCAGCACTTTGGGAGGCCAAGGCAGGTGGATCACCTGAGGTCAGGAGTTCGAGACCAGCCTGGCCAACATGTTGAAACCCCGTCTCTACTAAAAATACAAAAATTAGTCGGGCATGGTGGTGCGTGCCTGTAATCCCAGCTACTCGAGGGGCTGAGGCAGGAGATTCACTTGAACCCAGGAGGCAGAGGTTGCAGTATGCCAAGATTGCGCCATTGCACTCCAGCCTGGGCAACAAGAGCGAAACTACGTCTCAAAAAACAATTTCTGCAGAAGTACAACTCCTAACAGAACAATGCTGGCCCAAGCACTTTGCAATGATAGCCAACACCTATGGAACACACAAAATTAACTTAACAACGGACTCTAGGTAGACTCAGCCACTCCCTTCAAACCTCCCTTGTGGCTAAAAGAGTTCTGACACTGACTCCTAGCCACCATTCACTCCCTTCGACATGTGAACAGACAACAACCCAGGACAGCTCCGTTCTGGCACCAAGGGACAATAAAAATCTAACTACAGGATGACTGATCAGCAATGATTTTGGAGAAAAATCTTGATTAAAAGAAAAAAGTTGTCAGAATCAAAATGGGGTCACATGTGTTAAAAATCCTGACAAACAGAGCCAAGAAAGGCCATGAAGGAAGGGTTCACATGCATAATGTCTGATAAAAAGAACTATTACAAAAGACAGGAAAAAACATAACCTTGTATAAAGGCTAATGCAATCTTCCACAAAAAATACCTCCATGAGGACATCTGCCAGGCAAATCCCTGTCCAGCTCTGAACTGGCGCCATCCTTGTAATTGATCCTTGTAGCAAAGAATAATTATCTCAAAACAATTATGTAATTCTCTTCATTCTTCCTTTAAAAACCTTGTCTTCCTTTACCTCCCTGAAGATGCAGAGTTTACTACAGCATGTGCTTTCCCATTGCAATGCCAATCCTCAAACAGATATCTTTTTCTTTTAGAGTCCCTCTCTCTGTTATTTAAGTTGAGAGAGTATATATCCCAAATAAAGATATAAAAACTAGTATGCATACTAAATAGAAAATTACCTTGATATTTCCCTGAGATAAACAGTCTGCATAGCTTTCTTCAAATGAGGTTCAATATTTCTCCACAGTTTGCGAGTATCACGTTCACTTGCTACCCCAAAGGGAAGAAAATTTCAGTAATTTATATCTTGTAAAAACCTTTCTCAAAATAAATATTAATGAGTAAAATTACACAGTTACCTTCTCCTTTAACCACGGGTTCACAATATTTAGGAAAATTAAGTACTGCCTGTAAGTAAAGAAAAAAAAAGAGAAGAAAAAAAGCACTGATCGATCACAATTAGAAATTTATTTTTCAAGTAAAATCTGTATTGCAGTTCAGGAAATTTTACTTAACACATTTGCTCAAGTCAAATGTAATTATACGCAGTGGCATGTGCCTGTAATCCCAGCTACTCAGGAGGCTGAGGCAGGGGGATTGCTTGAGCCCAGGAGATCAAGCCTGTAGTGTGCTGTGACTGCACCTGTGAACAGCCACTGCACTCCAGCCTGGACAACATGGCAAGACCCTGCTTCTTTCTAAAAAAAAATGTAATTGTAGCTTATTACTATAATAACAAAACAGCAAAAATACTAATAATGACAGCACAACATAAAATATTCCTTAATTGGCTAAATTCTGCCTAATACATTAGCCTCTGTATACAAAATTAGGAGAATGGAGCATCTCACCAAAAATATACTTCTTTGGTATATTTTGATATGGCTAATCAGAAGGGCTGCAAGCACAAGAACAGCCCTGAAAAGCTGTATTTTGTGAGGGAGATTTGCATCTGTAGAGGAAATAAGAAAACAGCAGATGCAAACAGGCTTTCTCTGATCACCCCCCACCTTGGATCTAGGAAAGATTAACTCTCAAGAAAGAGACTTGAGGGTCTGACACCTTTGAAGGTGTGACAGAGAAACTTAGCACAGGCTACCATCTATTCTTTCTGAAAGTTGCTGCCTATGAGGTTTCATTTGCACAAGACTGCCTTCCCTAACCAAGTCTTTGCTCCTCTCCCTCCAATAACCTGTTATGCCATGCTCCAAGCCCATTTTCTTTCTGTAACCTCAGGATGTCATAAAAATTTGAACCAGCTGGCCCCCCTTTCTGCCCCCCACCTTTTGAGTCTCATATTTTGTGTAAGGCTCCTGTGCCCATATGCATATTAATAAATTTGTATGCAATAGCTAATGCATGCAGGGCTTAATACCTAGGTGAGGGGTTGATAGATGCAGCAAACCACCATGGCACGCATTTTACCTATGTAACAAACCTGCACGCCCCTGCACATGTATCCTGGAACTTAATATAAAATTAAATTTAAAATTAAATTAAAATTAAAAAATAAATTTGTATGCCTTTTTTTTCCCGTTAATCTATTATTAGTTTGTTTTATAGATTCAAATTATCAAAACTGCAGGGTAAAAATGTGAACTTCCCTACAGTAACAAAGCATAATTTGTTCTTTTAGGTTATATTTATGTCACATAGAACCATAAAACATATAATGAAAAACCTCAAGCACAAATAATTAACTGTTGTTTTCTAAGGTCTGAACATTCTCATAAACTAAACATCATTGAGTTTCGTATGACTCAAAGTATTTGGATTGGCAGCACTACCTGCGATTGTTATAAATGCAAGTTCTTGGCACCATCTCAGGCATACCAAATCAGAATCTCTGAGGATGAGACCCAGGAATCTATGTTTAACGATCTCTCTAGAAACTCTATGTATTCTAAAGTTTGAGGAGTACTAATTAACTAATTATAACTACTTAGTAGTTTTCCATGAATCAACACTGGAATTCTACTGAACAGCAGTTTAAGCAAACTGGTTAAAAACATACTAATTCCATTTATTTAAAAAAAATATATATATATTAGTTTGTTCCCAAGTATTTCATATCAAAATAATTCAATAAGGCACAGAAAAAGATATATATAAATGTGTAACTATATAACATATAACTAGATAACAGAAAACTAAGAACCAAATCATTAAAATAATTTCTTCCTATTCTACTTCATAAAAAACAATGATTTAAAATAGAAAAATCTTCCAAATTCTACTAAGTGTAGAGAAGAAGAATCAAAAAGAAATTATTCGCTTTAGCCAAACTTTCTTACCTTAATTTTAGATTTTCAGATCTAAGCATGGTGTAATAACACTAAAGTGTCATAATGTTAACAGCAACTGGTACACAATTTGGCTAATCAAAATAAACAACTGACCCTTGAACGACATAGGTTTGAACTGTGAGGGTCCACTTGTCTACAGATTTTTTTTTTTTTCCAACCAAACACAGATCACAAACACAGATCAAAAACAGTACTCAGGGAATACAAAACCCATGTATATGGAGGGCTAACTTTTTTACACTCAGGTTCTGCGGAGTTGATCGCAGGGTTTGAGTGTGCTAGGATTTTGATATATATGGGACTGGTCCTGGAACCAATCCCCCAAGTATACCAAGGGGCAACTGTATTGATTTTCTCTTTGGTTGAAACACTAAAATATGTTTAATAATTTATGAATAACAGTTAAAAAGGCAGTATCATAAGGTTTGTTAGAGAAAACAAACCTAAATGAATATCAAAGTAGTACTTCATTTTCTCCTATCTTAAGCTACCTATAGAACTAGCCTCTGAAAAATACAGAAATATCAATTCATAAAGCATCTTTCCAGAAAAGATCCCTGAAAAGAATATTTTTCAGGTGATTTAATAAACTTTCAAGAAATATGCCACTTACAAACTTTGAAACAAACACAAACAACACTATCTGAAGAAAAAAAAGAAAATGAATATCTTTATTCTTCCATGTTCTATATATAGAGAAAACTAAGAACATTGTGCTATTTTTCTCTAATGTTTAAGGATCCTTTTCTCTATTATTACCAATAGTAGTATAAGACTTAAACCATACTACACATTTATGAATATTATTTTTTAAAAAGCTGTAACCTCACCCTAAATAAAATCATTCCACAGTGAAACTCGAAGAACTTTAAAAAATACCACATTTAAATATATATTTCTCTCTTTACATTTTATTTTCCCATAAATATTTTCCCTAAATTTTTCCTTCTTGTACTTTATAATCTACTTTGAAATGGCTGTCAGCACAGATTCCCACAGGATTCGAGTGCTAAAGAGTGGTAACTGCAAGTTACTTTCCAGGAAAGACCGAGGAGGATTATCTGCTCCTAAGTCCATCTCACTCAGGTGCGTTTTCCTGACCCTCTCCTCTCTGTAAGTCTCTTGTGTTATCATTTCCCTCAGAAGCCAGGGATCCCAAGACATCCAACTTCTAGAGGAATGTTAGTGATAAGCTTGAACTGGAAAAACTGTTTTGTTTTTTCCCAGCTGAGAAGATGTCTGAAATCTACATGTAAATCAGAGGAGCCCTGAAATCTGAAACTTTCAAAAACATACTAAATGTGAGCATAATTTTAAATGATTGCCTTCTGTGTTCTGTCGCAAACACACACTGAAACTAAGTAATACTTTTCAGGGCAAAAACAGAAAAAGAACAAAGTGAAGAAAATGTGCTAAGAGACATAGAATCTGTTACTTTGAAAGTGACTGTTTTCCAGCCTCAGATATATTACTATTTTCTGTTAAATGGAGATAAGATCTTAATTAATTGAAGATTTCTAAAAGGGAAAACAGAAATTCTTGTCTCTTTCCTTTCCCATCCCTACAATTAAAACAAAAAAGGTCAAAGAAAAATTAAACATCAACATTTTCCAAACTGTCTATGAAATATAAACAGCTATTCTAATTGTTAAAAAAAAAAAATTAAAAAGAACCATCTATACAAAGATTACCAGCTCAGGGTCAGTGGTTAATGAAAGACCTGCAATGAAAGCTTCTGACCATACTCAAATCCATCTAGATTCTAGACCTCAATCACCGCATACATAAAACTTGAACAAAATCTGTTACAAAATATTAACAGAGTTGTAAAACTGCTCAAGTTTTTACATCTCTTTTCTGTTATTCCTCATTTTGATTTTTATGGAGTTCTGCATTTTCTGCAATTAGAGAAAAAACAAGGAAGAGTAAGAAGATCTGAGAATGACATTTTTCTGATCAGATCAAACAATCAAAGTTTGTACTAACCCACAGACATCTACCTTCTTATGGTATGTTAGTCTCTAGAGGCCATATGCAAATTCCCAGAATAAAATTTCAGTTTCTAACCTATCTCATACCATTTCTACATGGAAAACATTAAAATACATATATACACATATATGTATACACACACACACACACACACACATATATATATATTCAAGCAAAATGTTCATTTACCAGATGTCTGAGCTCTTTCAAATCTCGACAAACAGTGTAGAAAACTCCAAGAAGAATGTTAATGTAGGCAGCATAGAAATCAGCTGAATACTCTGGAGGATGATCATGGGACAGGATCTTTTGAAGGTTGCCTGTTCACAGGACACAAAATAACTTATAATGATTAACATAGTACACTAATCATATCTTCAAGCATTTTATAACAAAGGTATTAAAAAAAAAACACCCAGACCCAGCAACAATTAAGGAATAATAAAACTATTACAAGATTAGAATACAAAAGTGTGATTTGTGATATAATAAAAAATATATATTTGATCTTCACTGCAGTTCCTGGCACAGAGCTTCTAAAAACCCTCATAATTCCCTGAATGAGAAGGATAAGAGGAGTATCTTTTGTTACTCATAATAAGTCCTTTTAAAACATACCTCAATTTATACTAATGAGGTGTTTCTTGATGGGTGATATGGTTTGGCTCTGTGTCCCCACCCATATCTCATTTGAAATTTTCAGTGGAGGAGGGGCCTCGTGGGAGGTGATTGAATCATGAGGCAGACTTCCCCCTAGCTGTTCTTGTGATAGAGTTCTCATGAGATCTGGTTGTTTCAAAGTGTGCAGCACTTCCCCCTTCATGCTCTCTCTCCTGCTGGCCATGTGAAGATGTGTTTGCTTCCCCTTCACCTTCCACCATGATTCCAAGTTTCCTGAGGCCTCCCCAGAAGCAGAAGCCTGTACAGCCCACAGACTGTGAGTCTATTAAACCTTTTCTTTATAAATTTATAAATTACCCAGTCTCAGGTATGTTTATAGCAGTGTGAGAATGGACTAATACAGCGGGCCCCTAGATAGCTTCAGGATGGGGACTGGTTGTCAGAGGAACCAACCAAGTGATTAGAGCCCTGTATTGTCACATACACTGCTATGAAGAAATACCCATGACTGGGTAATTTACAAAGAAAAGAGGTTTAATTGACTCACAGTTCTGCATGGCTGGGGAGGCCTCAGGAAACTTACAATCATGGTGGAAAGCACTCAACAGGGCAGTAGGAGAGAGAATGAGTGCCAGCAGGGAAAATGCCGGATACTTATAAAACCAACAGCTTTCGTGAGAACTCAGTATCTTGAGAACAGCATGGGGGAATCGCACCCATGATTCAATTACCTTCCAACAGGTCCCTCCATGACATGTGGGGATTACGGGATTATAATTCAAGATGAGATCTCAGTGGGGACACAAAGCCAAACCATATCAAGGCCCCACCTCCTGTCCTTGGGAAAAGGAGAAGGGCTAAAGACTGAATCCATGACCAATGACCAATGATTTAATCAAATCATGACTATATAATGGCACCTCCATAAAAAAATCCTAAATGATGAGGTTCTGAGAGTTTCCAGGATAGTAAATATATCCACATGCTGAGAGGGTAGCACACTCCAGCCCCACAGGGACAGAAGCTCCTGAGCTTGGGACCCCACTGGTCCTTGTCCTGTGTACCTGTTCATCTGGCTGTTCATTTGTATCCTTTATGATAAATGGAGTAAGTACAGTGTTTCCTTGAGTTCTGTGAGCTATTCTAGCAAATTATCAAACCTGAGGAGGGGCTCATGTGAAACCCCAATTTATAGCCAGTTTTCTGGAGTACAGGTAGAAACCTGGGACTTAGAATGGTGTCTGAAATGCTAATATTCTTGTAGGACTAAGCCCTTAACTTGTGAGGTCTGCACTAACTTCTGGTAGTTAGTGTCAGAAGTGAATTGAATTTTAGGACACCCATTTGATATCTAGAAAACTGAAGAATTTGTTGTTGGGTGAACAAAAATACCCCACACATTTGGTGTCAGAAGTGTTTTGAGTAAAAATACTTCTGAAAAAGTAAATCACAATTTTGAAACTGAGGGTAAAAAAAAAATTATTAAATACTAAGACAAATAGAAAACAATGACATCTAAAGAAAATCTCAACAACCTTATTACCGGCAAAATCAGTAACAAGGGAAAAAATACTGTAGATTCTAGTTTATTTTTCTTCCTATTAAGTAAATCAACTAGGAAGAAAAAGGGGATAGTACATAAACTGCCAACAAACTAGAAAATGCTCTTCATGTTTTATAAAATGAAAAGAATTAATCTTTTTTTACAATAATCATCACCTGATCCTAGTCCTTACTTTGTTATTCCCCCTTGTATAAAACGTATTTTCTCCCTACAACTTTGATATCTTTACTCTACTTCTATTATATCTCAGACTCTTTATAAAATACCACATTAAGAGTCCTAACCTTATACTTTATCCTGCTGGAAATAATCATATTTTAGAAACACAGTAAAATTTAAAGGGAAACAACCATATATTATTCAAAATTTCCCAGTCATAATACAGGAATCAATTAGTCATTCATTCCTTATTGTAAGATCCTCTGACTTCTTGGTGCAATGCTCTCCTTAGACTTCTTAGTTAAGAGCTCTTTGCATATGACTACAACTTTAAACCTAGTTCCAGAGGGCTCAAGTTTTTTGCAAAAATTACAAGGAAAAACTCTTCCAGGATATTCTAATCATGTCAATTTCCTTTTGTTTAAGGTTCCCAGTAAGTTAGTATTTTTAGCCAGGCCATTTACCATTGGCCCTTGATTTTAACCACTCTTGTGCCTGCCAATCAATTAGATGCAGGTACAAGATCAAAAAATATATATGAACTATCTGAAAATTTATAAACAGAAGTTTAGAAATAGCTCTATTAAGGAATATTTAAACACAGAAGTTGACAAAAAAAATTTCAAAGCCTAGTTTTATACTTAGAATATTAGCCTGAATGGATACTAGATGAGACACTGTTACTGAATTTGCTTTTTTATTTCAAAACTGCTGAAAAAAAAAAAAAAAGCCAAAACTTCCCTGTAGAGTCCATGTACTTTTACATTCTAATAGCAAACTTTAAATATAATGTCACTAAGTTTTTTTAACTAGGCATGGGGAAATAGTTAATATACTGAAAATTTCTAAAAGGTACCATAAAACTTAGAAACAAAGATATCTACCTATAAAACCTACCAAATAACTGGATGGATGTAAGAAAAGAGAGATGGAAGGAAGAGATAAATGATCACAGAGATTAACATACATAAAGCAAAACAACAACAACAACAAACTTCTATAAATGAATGGCTAAGAAAATCTGGAAAACAGTTGAGTCTCCAGCTCAGACTGCACTTCTGAGTACCCCTTGAACATCTCCATCTAGGTATTCCTTACAGGTAGCCCTCTGTATCCCATAAGACAGTTGATTAGATGTTATCACCGGCCGATTTCAGCCCTGATGAAAGTCTTATAAGAATAGGAATCCTCACTGTGTTGCTGTAAAAGTAACCTAGCAACTTGTTTATAGACTACAGACAAAAATCTCAGAGTATAATTCTATAATAAGCAAGTCATGCCAGCTCTAACAGTCTAGGACTATTCAAATTCATTAAAAAAAAATCCCATCTATAATAGAAAGCTGAAAACAGTGTATCATGAGGTAGTAAACAAAGGGTAGGAGAAACCCACTGGTTGTCTCCTTGGGTCTTAAAATTTCACTATCCAAGTATAGGCTAATGTGCAAAGAAAAGCCATTCCTACCTTGGAGAGAGACTTCTGCTTCCAGTTGTGAGGGAGTAGGAACATCCAGAAATACCCTCCTCTAATAATCAATTAAAAACTGGACACACTATAGAAAACAACTATTTTTAAATATCAAACAAATGGCAGTAACGGACCGTAATACCTGAGAAAAGGTAAACAAATAAGGTGAGTCCTACCATCAGCCAGGCTTTCTAACAAGAAGTAATTTTAAGACTGTGGTACAAGGAGACTTTCAAAAGGAGCTCATTTATCCTACTGAGTTGAGGAGACAGAGACCAGAGCTGAGGGAGCTGAGGTAGCTAGAATTTGCAGGGCAGAGTACCTGAGGGGAGGAAGCTATGCCAAAAAAGAGCTCCAGAAATCTGTACAGGGGTTCCCCTCAAGTCTTAGCTTAATACCAATCTGTGTATGCATAGGGTAAAACCCTAGCCATGCAAGAACAACTTTTAGGGAAAAAACAATTATTGGAGAGCTATATGTCAATTCCCAGAAATCACACAGGGCTGTGAATTTTTCATGTTGCCACTAGTCAGAAGGCAGAGACCATGCTAAACATACAGGGCATTCAGTAGAGATTCCAGAAAAACTATGTCTTAGAAGTAGAGCTAAAATTAGCCCTGGAATAATGGCTACTCTGGATCATCTCTCCAAAAAAAGCTTAAAAATAGCCTTAAAAGGGTCAACTGTATCTGTAAGTAATTAAAAATGCTAATGAGAAAAAGTCCAAAACACAACAAAAAGCACAATGTCTATAATTCTATCAAAAACTACTAGACACATGAAAAAGCATAATGGATACCCAAGATGGAGAAAAATTACTCGGTGGGAACAAACCCAAAACAAAAGAGGTAACTGAATTAGTACACAAGAAAATTAAAACAACTATCATAAGTATGCTCATATGCTCAAGGATACAAAAGAAAACAAAAGCATAATGAGATCAGTAATGAAATATTCTACAGGATTAGATTAGCTGCCCACTAGACACTTGTTAAAAAAAAAAAAAGAAGTCAGTGAACTGAAAGATATAGAAACAAAAAACAATCCCAAATAAAACACACACACACACAGATTTAAAATTTAAATAAACAGACTTTCAGTGGGACAATATAAAGTGCTCTAACATAGCTATAATGCAATCCCACACAAAAAAGATAGAGAAGAAAAGGTGAGGGGGGCAGACAAAATATTTGAAGAAACACTGCCTGAAATTTTTCCAAAGCTGATGAAACTATACACCCACAGACTTAAGAACTCAACAAATCCCCAGCAGGATAAACAATAAAAGTTATTTTCTTTTTTGTCCTGTTATTTTTTAAAGCCAAAATAATAATATTTAATATCTGAGGTTTATAATAATAGTTGAGGTTTTATAATTAATATAGTATTACATGGTTTATAATAAATATAGAAGTAAAATGTAAGACAACAGCAGTACAAATGTTCTTAGGTAGGAAACTGTAAGTCACTGAAATTTCAGATTGTTATCAGAACATAACTTAATCTATCCAAACTGACACAATAACTAAACCAAAAACCTAATCAAATGCATTATAATCTCTCTAAAGAAAAAATATCCATCATTGAAAGATGAGTAGTCTGCATGAGGTAAAGACCAGAAAACGACTTCCAAACTGGGCTCCTAGCCATAACTGCTAAGAGGAGAGCGGTCCTTAAAATCAGACACCATATTCCTGAAAAGGACATGTTTCAAGTTATTACGACAAGGTAACACTAATCACTTAGATAATCTCTTTGCCCTGGTTCCACACTTAACCATAATTTCAACTTATCAATTAATATTCCCCTTCTGAATGGCTTTTTGTCTGACTACAGTGTTTTTGCTTAAAAAAAAAAAACAAAACTGAATATGTAAAACCCCCTAAAATTTAATAATCAGAATTTAACTTGGCTCCATTATTATATACTTTGCAAAAATCTATTATCCTATACTCACTAAAATTAGTAAGACCATTTTATTTACTTTTGTCCTCAAACTTTCATCTATGCTGCTTTGTATCTTTACTTTTTAAATTTTAAATCTATAAATTTAAATTATAGAATTTTAAAAATTTAATTCTGTAATTACTTACATTAATTCAACTTGACTGAAATGTGTAATATCAACATTTTTTAATAATTTTCTTAAATTCTAAATAATTTTTCAGTACTTAAAATGGGTCATGAAAAACTGAACTATGAACAGTGCTGACACAGGTACAGAGCCTTTTTTTTTTTTTTTTAAATAAAATCCTTTATCACTTTTCCTCTTACCCTTTTTTATTTTGGGATTTTTATGGATGAGAAATTAATGACAATAAAGACTCCATCTATTTTGGGTTGCTGTTTAAAAAAAAACTCAGCTAATTGGCTATGACAGAAGGTGTTATTTCACTGCTGTTCTGGTGGAAACAGACAAAAATGTGTTAATCTTAAGGTATGTTTACAGCTGATTAGTTCAGAGGGATAGTGTTAATGAGGCCAAGGTCATGGAATGCTATTTTTTTATAGACTGCTAACCATCTTATACTTCACAGTTATAATCTCTGAATCCCAAGTATCATCTCTGTATGACAGCCCAGTCTTAATCCACAAAGCTATTCAGCAACACAAAAAGCTATTGTGTTCTTCCAAAGACCAAAATCATCAGGATCTATGAAATTTAAGATTAAATAGAGCCCCCAAGAAAATAAGAAACACAAGGGCTGGTAATTGGTACTGTATGAGTTACAGTAAAGAAAATGAGATTTATAAAATCAAAAGATATAAGCGCAACATGGTACTTAACCCAAGTATATGGTAAATGAAGATTTCAACACTCTTAATATGCTTTACAAGTCTAGTCTGATTATTCGTACAGATGTCATAATCACAATATAAATATACATCTTAATGTAGTGACTAAAAAAATGAAGATACATTAGCACAAATATGAGAGCTGCTCATCCAAAAAAATGTAGTAATTATACAATAACCTCTCACAGTTCCAAAATAAAAATTTTGTAAGTGCAGAAATACAAACATCTTATTTGAGATTGGCAGCAAACCTTAACAGTTTAATACTTTGATATTCCCATTTGAATGGCAATAATACTTTGATATTCCCATTTCAATATCAAATTCCCATTTGAATATCAAATTTATAATTCCCATTTGAATATCAAATGGGAATAACAAAGTATTCCCATTTGAATATGCTAGTTTAATCTTTCAAACAACAAAAACTATTCTCCTGCATATCATTTGCCAAAACAATGTTTTAAGGTTTACCTATGCTGTAATCAGGGAAATATAAGACAAACGGCTCAAAGCATCCAGTATTTGGACGAAACTTTTCCCAAACAATTTCACTGAGAAAGAGAACAGTCACATTTCTGTCAGCCTGTAAAAAGAAAGAAATAAAAGTAACTTCGCATTTAAAAATCTTAATCGGAGCAGTATTTCCATTTGGATTTTTCTTTCAAATACATCCCCCCAGAGTTCTAACCTATAACAAATTATTTGCATATTAATAAACCATATTTAGAAAACCTAATCAAGGAGCTCATTCGTTTGCAAACTGTCACACATCCAAGCTGGAGTGCAGTGGCATAATCACAGCTCACTGTGGCCTCAACCTCCTAGGCATAAGTGATCCTCCTATACCTCTCAAGTAGCTGAGGCATGTGCCACCATGCCCAGCTAAATTCTGTATCTTTTATAAAGACAGGATCTCTGTATGTTGCCCAGGCTGGTCTTGAACTCCTGGACTCAAGCGATCCTCCTGCCTCAGCCTCTCAAAGTGCTGGAATTATAGGCATTAGCCATCATATTGGATCTGATTTTTTAAGAATCTCTGAATTTATTTCTAGAGGGGTAAAATAGCATGCCCTAATCACATTCCTAATAACAAATTATTGAATTGTTTTTGCTATAAAAATATGATTATCTAAAAGCATTTTATAAAATCAGTTTAAATATATTGAGAGGCTTAAAAGAAGAAGATATTTATTGGGCAGAAAGATTTTAAATTGGTAATGTTCTCATCTATTCATCTGATAAGTACTTTCAGTATACATGATATCCACCATATTTTAAACTTCCCTTTACTTAGATAAATACTTAACATAAAAAAATGAGAAATGCTTTTGCCAGATTTCTCTTAAATGAAATACATTTTTAAAAATCAAGCATGTTTGCAGAAATGTCAAAGCAATTCTCTTTTCCAGTTCAGCTGAGATTACTCTAAATCTTTTAATTTTCTTCAAACAGTTTCTGTAATTGAAACTAAAAAACGGTGAAAAGTCCTAATTGTTGTGAAGGGATGCATGATCACCATTACTGGGCATAAGGAGGAAAAAACAGGGTGATCTACACTGAAAAGGCAAGAAGACAATACTGCACTCTGGATACCAGATGGTGAGTTCTAGAGCAAAGCAACAGGAAATAGTGGATGAGTATGCGAAAACCCACAAATACAAATGAAACAAATAAATAAAAGGAAAGGAAATAGGAAATGAGTAGACATCTACTCAAAGAAGATAGATCTTGAGTCTCAGTAATAAAATGTCAAGAGTTAATGAAACAAAGAAAAGCAAGACTGTGTGAGGTTAACTTCCAGAATAGGCCACCAATAGCTACACTTATTATCCTGTCCTCTCTATACCTCTCGTCCCTCAACTATTACTAAAAGTAAACTTCAGGAGTCAGCCTTGGGCACACAGTAATTTCAGTGGCCTCTCTAAACTTCCAGCAGATTCTCAAATTTGAGTAATGTATTTAACTTTGAAAGGCAGAAATGCTTTAAGCACTTCTCCCCAAGTATTTACTTTATTATAATATTACTTAATACTTTAATACATACAAACATAAAATTAGGTAGGTATAAACTGCTTATACTCAAAGCACTTACAAAATTATAAAACCAAAATAAATTTATAAATACGAACTATAAAACCAATAAAATTGAAATTAATATTAACTGAATATATTGAATAGTATTGTTTTGCTCAAACTAAATCTTTATTCCCTTTATGAATACGGTGAATATGGTTTCACCTGGAAACAACCACAGCTATTTCCCTCACCAATTTTCCTTATTCAAACTATTACAAAACCCTGTTTCATCTGTGATATTATTTGGCTTTCACCTGACACAAATGCCTAGTAAGTCCGCCCCTGTCCTTTTCTTATTGGGCCATGACATTCACAGTAGAATTAATTAGTAACCCTTCGCTTAATATTGTTGATAGGTTCTGGGAAACTGTGACTTTAAGTGCAACATATAATGAAACCAATTTTTTTTCCTCAACAATGTTATAATGAAATGATGCTGAAGGTAAGGAAGAACCTGCTGTAGGCTAGTTCACTTAAAGTTGCAATTTCCAAGAATCTACTGAGATGTTAAGTGAGGACTTACTGTACTTTGTGAAGCCAACACAAGAGTAAACTGAAATACAAAAGTAAACTCTGACACTGAGTGATTATAAGGTAGAAATCCAGATGATCCAGAATAGCCATGCTATTCTTATTTTAGATTATCCTTATTTTGAAATGCAAAGAAAATTTTAAAATCCTTGAGATTTTAAAGTCTGGCCCTCTGCCATTTATTCTAGCAACATCTAAAACTTTTAATAGAAAGCAGTGACTTCATAATTACAGAGAAAAAGCTAAAATAATTGAAGAATAAATGCTATCAAATCACCAACTGATTTTACTATGAAAAAAACACTGAGCTTTACTGATAAAAGAAATGCAAACTAAAATTATATTAAAATACTAATTCTCACCTATCAAATAGCAAAATGAAAAACTTTTACAACACAATCCATTGATTAAGTTGTGGGGAGAAAGCACTTTCTCACATTACTTACCAATTCTTGTAATCTAAGAAATCCAGGCAAAAGATTTGCTTCCATATCTCTTAGATACTCTGCTTTATCTAGAACCTTTAAAAAACAAAAAAACAAAACAAAAAGAAATGCATTTACAAAGCCTTTACAAAATGACATGATTTGACTATGTCCCCCAAAGTTCATGTGTTGGAACTTAATCCCCAGTGTGGCAGTATTGGGAAGAGAAGCTGCATAAAAGATGATTAAGTCATAAGGGCTCTGTCCTCATGAATGAATTAATATTGTTATCAAGGGAGTGGGTTATTGAGAGAATGGCTTTATTATAAAAGGGACTTCTGCCACCTCTTGCTCTCACTCTCATCCTCTCTTGTACTTCTACTTTCATCATGAGAGGAGGCAGCAAGAAAGCCCTTGCCAGATGCAGGGACCTCAACCTTTGACTTCCTAACCTCCACAACTGTGAGAAATAAATGTCTTTTCTTTATAAATTACCCAGTCCTTGGTAGTCTGTTATAGCAACTGAGTAATAGGCAGAGGTTGGAACAGGATGGAGGGCTCAGAAGACAGGAAGAAATGGGAAAGTTTGCAACTTCCTAGAGACTTGTTAGATGGCTTTGACCAAAATGTTGATAGTGATATGGACAATGAAGTACAGACTGAGGTGGTCATAGATGGACATGAGGAACTAATTGGGGACAGGGAATAAAAGTGACTCTTGCTATGCTCTAGCAAAGAGAAGGGTGGCATTTTGCCCCTGCCCTAGAGATCTGTGGAACTTTGAACTTGAGAAAGATGATTTAGGGTATCTGGTGGAAGAAATTTCTAAGCAGCAAAGCATTCAACAGGTGACCTGGCTGATTCTGAAAGCATTCAGTCATATGCATTCACAAAGAGATTATCTAAAACTGGAACTTACATTTAAAAGGGAAGCAGAGCATAAAACTTTGGAAAATCTGTGGCCAGACCATGAGGTAGAAAAGAAAAAACCCATTTTCTGGGGAGAAATTCAAGCCAGCTGCAGAAATGTGCATAAGTAACAAGGAGCCAAATGTTAACAGCCAAGACAACGGGGAAAATGTCTCCAAGGTCTTCACGTGGCAGCCCATCCCATTACAGGCCCAGAGGCCTAAGAGGGAAAAATGGTTTTGTGGGCCAGGGCCTTGCTGCTTTGTGCAGTCTCGGAACTTGGTGTCCTGCATCCCCACTCATGGCTAAAAGGGGCCAGCGTATAGCTCAGGCTGTTGCTTCAGAGAGTGCAAGCCCCAAGCCTTGGCGGCTTACATGTGGGGCCTGCAGGTGCACAGCAATCAAGAATTAACGTTTGGGAACCTCTGCCTAGATTTCAGAGGATGTACAGAAATGCCTGGATGTCCAGGCAGAAGTTGGCTGTAGGTGCAGGGCCCTCATGGAGAACCTCTACTAGGGCAGTACAGAAGGGGAATGTGGGGTTGGACCCCCCCTACAGAGTCCCCACTGGGCACTGCCTAGTGGAGCTATGAGAAGAGGGCCACCATCCTCCAGACCCCAGAATGGCAGATTCAACAGCTTGCACTGTGTGCATGGAAAAGCCACAGATACTCAACGCCAGCCTGTGAAAACAGCAGAGAGGGCAACTGTACCCCGCAAAGCCACAGAGGTGGAGCTGCACAAGGCCATGGGAGCCCACTCTTGCATCAGTGGGCTGGATGTGAGGCATGGAGCCACAGAGGTCGAGCTGCATGAGGCTGTGGGAGCCCACTCTTGCATCAGTGGGCTGGATGTGAGGCATGGAGTCAAAGGAGATCATTTTGGAACTTTAAAGTTTAATGACTGCCTTATTGGATTGCAGACTTTCTTGGGGCCTACAGCCCCTTTGTTTGGGCCAATTTCTCCCATTTGAAAAGGCTGTATTTACCCATTGCCTGTATCTCCATTGTATCTAGAAAGTAACTAACTTACTTTTGATTTTATAGGCTCATAGGTGGAAGGGACTTGCCTTATCTCAGATGAGACTTTGGACTTGGACTTTTGGGCTAATTAAGCTGGAATGAGTTAAGACTTTGGGGGACTATTGGGAAGCCACAGTTGACTTTGAAATGTGAAACCGACATGAGATTTGGGAGAGGCCAAGTGTGGAATGGTGTGGTCAGGCTTTGTGTCCCCATCCAAATCTCATCTTAACTTGTAATCTCCATAATCTCCATGTGTCAAGGGAGAGACCAGGTGGAGGTAAATGAATCTTGGGGGTGGTTCCCCCATGCTGTTCTTGTGATAGTGAGCTCACATCTGATCTGACGATTTTATAAGGAGCTTCTCCTTCCTTCTACTTTGTGAAGCAGGTGCCTTGCTTCCCCTTTGCCTTCTGCTGATTATAAGTTTCCTGAGGCCTCCCCAGCCACGCTGAACTGTAAGTCAATTAAATCTCTTTCCTTTATAAACTATCCAGTCTTGGGTAGTTCTTATCCAATTCCAAAGATGATCATTTTAACATGTCTTCAGAGTAACCAGGCATATTTGTTGCTCTAAAGTCTTTACTATCTCCTATCCACTCCCTAAGAAATTAAATGAAGTGCTTTAGTATAGTTTTCTAGACCTTCCACAATCTGCCCAACCTATCTTCCAGTCTTCTTTTTCTCCCGTCATACTTTATAACCCACTAAAACTAGACTATTTGGTACTCTCTGGCCTCCATTTTCAGCTGCATGCCTTTACTTATATAATTCTATCTGAAATTCCTCTACTTCAATTTCTTCCTAGAATACTCTGATTCATTTAGGTCTGTCTCAAATGCTAATACCTCATGAAGCTGTATTGGACACACACAGTCAATATTTTGCATCTGGTGACAATCACTTATCACATTCTGCATGTAGTCGTATGTATGTGTCATACCTTTTCTATTAAATGAAGCTTCCCTTGGATAAGGAATATATTTAATACATTTCTGTATACTAAAAGCACCTGGCACAGAGCACTGTACATAATGAGACTCAAAACAAATATATGAAAATTGATCTAATAAATTATCAGTTTTCAAGATAAGAGATGATCTAATCAAATGAAATTACTTACAATATATACAGTCTGATCTTTAAGATTTTCAGCTGTGGTTACTTGTTTAAACAAGCGAACAAAGTCATTAAATGTTTCACAGGTTATTTCAGTAGAACATCCATCCTCTGAAGAACTAAGATGATTCAATTTGTTTAAAATTTGTTCCAAAAGCAGCCTCAATGTAAAGCATTCAACACAATTCACAAACACATGTGGGAGCTGAAAACGAAAACCAAAACACTGTAAGTAAAGAAGAAAACACACAAACACAATAATGGCTGTGCTGGATAGTCTCCATTTGCCTTTCTAAATCTATATCCCACCAAACCCACCCCATGCCCCAAGAGCCTGACAGCTACAGAATTACATCACCTGGACTCTCTTATTTTCTGTCTCTGGATGGAGAAGCCAATGGAAAGAACCAGCAGGAGACTAAGGGAGAATGGTGGGAGAGAAGTTTGGATATTGATTTCCTTGACTCCCACCATGACCCCTCAGTGGCCCTAGCTTGGCAGTGGATACTCTTCTACCAAAGATCAAGTTGGACAGCCCCTCTTCTAAGGCTACACCTCTTGTTTGGTTCCAATAACAGCTCCTTTCTATGGTCCCTTCAGGCCTGGAGGTGGTAAAGGCCCTGGTGTACCATCATCCCTTAGTGATTCCCATAAAATTTCCATTATAAAACTGTCCCTTCATTAAACTCACTTCAATTATTTCTTTCAGCTTGCCATTTCTTTCTTATGGAAATTCAAAGCAAATTTGTATTTTCCTATAAAGAATTCTTATAAAGAAATCAGCCAGGCATGGTGGATCATGTCTGTAATCCCAAGGCTTTGGGTCAGGAGTTCCAGACCAGCCTGGGCAACATAGCGAGACCCTGTCACTATTAAAAAAAAAAAAAAAAGAAAAGAAATCTAAGCATATTTGAATGTTAAAAATCTTAATAGGAATTTCACACTTATAACTTTAATATAATATCCTTGAATAAACGTTTACTAAGTCAAAAAAAAAAAGAATTTTAAGAGTTAGAAACCATAGCAATCCTCCTACGAGGACTGTAAGCACTAGCTCTTTGCTAGGCATATGGCTCCTGCCTGTAATCCCAGTGCTTTAGGATGGGTGGGAGGATCATTTGACCCCTGGAGTTCAAGATCAGCCTGGGAAACACAGTGAGACTCTGTCTTTAAAAAAGTAAAAAAAATTAGACAGGCCTGGTGGTGCACATCTATAGTCCCAGCTACTTGGGAGGCTGAGGTGGAAGTATCACTTGAGCCCAGGAATTCATGGCTGCAATGAGCTATGATCATAACACTGCACTCCAACCTGGGCAATAGAGCAAGACCCCATTTAAAAACAAAACAAAACAAAAAAAACTAGCCCTTCATTTAAAAAACTATCAAAATATCAACATGAGTTAACTCCAGAAGTAATAAGGTCACAAACGAGACTTGCTCACCAATACAGTCTATCCTCAAAATAAGATCACAAAAGCAGATTCATTCTGAGGAAGATAACTTGTGGCACTTGGCACAAATAATGGAACTGGTAACTATTTTTAGTGATTTTATAAACTTTATCCAATAAGGAGGCTTTTCTTTCTCTGAATAACAGTGTCACTAAAGCCACATTAAACTTACTTGGGGACAGTTTCACCAGCATTTGCTAACTCACTTCTCTCTCACTCCTTTACTGTCCTTTAAGAACAAAAGTCCACAACATCTCTGTTATGAATAGTGTCTTGCTTACGGCATTTGTACCATCCATGACTTTTAAAGGCAGCATATTCTAAGTGCCTGTCTGAGTCCCTGTATCAGAAGTAGTAACAATAATCATATATTACACTGATTAAGTAACAGCAGAAACTACAGTGTGATAAAAAATGGAATACAGTCCTTAAATATGAAACTTCCTTACTGGGTTTTATTGCTTTTATTCAACATATATTTTGGGGGCACTTCATTCAGGGGGTTCTGAAATGCAAATGCCTGGACCAAGACCTTGTACACTCAGATTCTGAAGTCCAGTATATAGCCCAGGCATATGTGTTTTTTAAAATGCACAGCTGATCTTTGAGATCAAAAGCTGAAATCTACAACTTAATAAGCTGAAATCCACAAGTTAATACGTGCCAAGTAATGTGCTTGGTGCTGGGGATAATTTCAAGAAACTCACAATCTAAAGCCAGGGAAACATAAACACAAAATCATAGCTGAGAAGGCTAAATATTATGACAGAATTAAGCACAGGGTGCTAAGGTTGCAAAACAGGGGGGCATCTGATACAGCCTAGAGGATCAGGAAAGACCTTGTAGAGTATAAGTAGAAGAAAACCTGGCAAAATAAATAAGCATTTGCCAAGCAACAGGAAGAGCGAGTACAGGAAAGCCATTCCAAGTAGGGGAGCAACATGTGCCATGGCTTGAAAGTAAGACAGCAGGAACTGTACACAGTTCAGTATGCTATCCTAAACGTGCATCCTCAGTGCTAGAGGAGGACGGGGTTAGCAAGCCAAAGCCTGTGGGCTAGCCACCTGTTTTTGTACATACTGTTGCTTTGAAACACAGTCATGCCCATTCACATAGAGAATGCCCATGGCTGCTTTCACAATACAGTAGAGTCAAGCAGGTGAGACAGAAACTACGTGGTCCACAAGCACAAAATGTTAGTTATCCGGCCCTTAAGAAAAAGACTGCCCATCTCTGGTTTAGGATATGAAAGGGAGTATGGCAATACTCATCAATAATAGCAGCTAACCTTTATTGAGTGCTTACTACGCACTATGTACTGCAGAAAGCACTTTCCATGTGCTAACATTTAATTCTCTTAATCCCAAATGTTGTCACTATGAGCCAACTTTGCAGATGGAGAAAGCACTAACTGGTGAATCCAAAAAGGAACATGAGTCTGCCAGACTCCACAGCCCAAACTCTTAACCACTGTGTTATGAAAGATAAATTCAGCTCATGAAAGGTCTTATACAATGGGCGAATTACTTGAACACTGTCCTGAAAATATTAAGATTTGCATGGCCTAGCTGCTGGGTGAAGATTGCAAATAAGAGGCTTACAGAAATACATGGAAAAAAAACAATGGTAAATGAAAATCCTAGCAGCAATGGCTAGGATTAAAGGTAGATGGAGACATGATTTTAACAATGTGAAGCAACAGACTAAGTTTATTGATGTGATTTACTAAATGAGGGAAGATGAGGAAAGAGTTAAGAAAGTGCAAGTTTGGACAACTGTGTCAATGACAGTAGACCATTCATGGAGAAAGATAATATGGGAAGGAGAGTAATGTAAAGGTGGTATGTTCAATTTTGCATTTGTGGAGATTCACAATTATCAGTACCAATATTATACACTAAAAATGGCAAAGAAATATTTAATATTTTTATTCTTACCTCTAAAGTTTTCAACAACGTTTGTGTTACATAGGTCTTTCCACTAGCAGTATGTCCATAAATAAAAATGGATGGAAAGCTGAAATGATGTCTCTAACGAGAGAAAAGACAAATATGAGGCTGCACATACAAAATAGAAAATAAACACTTATCAACTTGTGAGAAAGTTGTACGTGGAAAAGTGAAATATTCAATCCAAATTCCTAACAATGAGCATATTGTGGATGCATCAACACACTTTGAACCTACTTGAATTCAACTCTAAGCACTTTCTTTGTTATGAAATTAAAATGTATGTAACATATTTGGCATATTTTATTATGTACTATATATTTATATTTTTATTATCGTACAGGTTTACATATACAAACTAGTATTTTCAACTTCATAGCAGATTTAAGAGATTTTTCAAGGATAATTTTGTTCATACTCCATTTTTATATTACTCCTTCTTAAAGACTCTTATCTCCTGCGATGCCACAACTTCACTATACATTTTAATGCTATGAAATAAAGTACATATAATCAAAAGATTAAAAGGAATTTCAAGGGTCCTCATTCTTAGGAAAACTTATAGACTACTTCTGAACTATGCATACTCACTGATGCTGGCATAAATGCATACATTAGATCACATAAAACACTAATAAAATCTGCATAGCATTTATTTTAAAATACATATGTGCAAGATCCTCTTGCAGTACATTAGGTTAGCAGCTTAGAGAAAAGTAAATATTGTCAAAGGTCTCTCTGGTCTAGTTAATACTACAAATACTTGTACTTCATTCCTTAAATGAACGCTTTCATTAGATACCTACTAAATGCTGAAAACCATGAGGTACTGAAGAGAACAAATAACAGTAAAAGACATTATCTACTTTGGAGGAAATTATAGTCTACATTTTTAAAATAATTACGGGAAAACTTGATTTTTTAATAATACTCTTTTTTTTTTTTTTTTTTTTTGAGATGGAGTCTCACCCTGTCACCCAGGCTGGAGTGCAATGGCGTGACCTCGGCTCACTTCAACCTCTGCCTCCCGGGTTTAAGCGATTCTCCTGCCTCAGCCTCCTGAGTAGCTGGGATTACAGGTGTGTGCCACCACACCCAGCTAATTTTTGTATTTTTAGTTAAGACGGAGTTTCACCATGTTGGTCAGGCTGGTCTCAAACTCCTGACCTTGTGATCTGCCTGCCTCAGCCTCCCAAAGTGCTGGGATTACAGGTGTGAGCCACTGTGCCTGGCCTATTTTTTAATAATACATTTTTTTAAATAATTACAAGAAAATGGGATTATGCAATTTCTATCAGAAAGTTAAGTCTCTATTAATTATCATCGATTACAGCAACAGTCACAAACATTTATTACATTCAAGTCACTAAGTTAAACATTTCCTTTTACAAGACAAATCAGGAACTCAGATTTACGCAGGAAAAAGACTTTCTAAATGGCATACAGCTATGGCAAAAGCAGCTCAACTGCTAAAAATAGACTAAAAATTTACTTGAAATGAATAGGTAATGTAATACATGAATCTTTTTCTGAAGTTTATATGTAACAATCATAAATTAACTGGCCCAAAAATTCTGTCTCAGCAGGATGCAGTGGCTCAAGCCTGTCATCCCAACACTTTGGGAGGCCAAGGCAGGCAGATCACTTGAGTTCAGGAGTTCGCCTGGGAAATACAGTGAAACCCCATCTCTACAAAAAACACAAAAATAGCCAGGCTTGGAGGCAAACACCTGTGGTCCCAGCTACTCGGAGGCTGAGGTGGGCGGACTGCTTGAGCCTGGGAGGCAGAGACTGCAGTGAGCCAAGATCATGCCACTGCACTCCAGCCTGGGAAAGAAAGCCAAACCCTGTCTCAAAAAACAAAAACAAAAAATTCTGTCTCAAGAATTAAATGCATGTTGCTGAGTATCTCTGCTATCCATTACATGTTGTTGCCTAATAATACCTTAAACATCTTTTCTATTGTGACCTAGAATTATATTGAACTGTTCCACTGTTATTTAACCTTTCACCTTCATAAATCTCGCTAACATAAACTGCAATAAGCTAGTACCTGACACAGAAAAGGTGCTCGGTAAATATTTATTTATTGAACAAATAAATGAGTATTCTTAGAAACATGAACCAATTTTTTATATTTCTTTGCTATAGTTGTTTGTATTTCCCACATGCACAGCACCTTGCAGAAAACTGATATTAAAATATTGTTAAACATAATTTTCATTAAAAGCAAAGGTCAAAAACTCTTCTGTGATCCACCACTAAGTTTACTCATCCCTATTTGCCAATTTGCTCTTTCAGCAGGAACATTTCTGGCTGGAGTGATCTGCGTTCCATAGATGAAATGCAGAGAACATAATCAAGAAAATGCTCCAGTAATAATATAACTATAATTGAAAGCAGTATAAATAGAAAATTAATTGAAGATGCAGTTGTTGACCTCTAACTTCCCTAAATAATGCACCCCTTTAGACAGAGGGTAGTACTTTTCCACTAATGCTTCACAGGCCACCTCAAATTGCCATGCAATATTTCTAGTTGGATGAAAGTACAGTCACGTGTACATTCAAAGATGGACCACATATACAACAGTGATCTCATAAGATTATAATACCCTATTTTCACTGTACCTTTTCTATGTTTAGACACTTTTAGATGCAGACTTATCACTGTGTTACAACTGCCTACAGTATTCAGTATAGTAGCACCGCTGTAGAGGTTTATAGCCTAGGAGGAACAGGCTACACCATACAGCCTAGGTGTATAGCAGGCTACACCATCTAGGTTTGTGTAAATACACTTTCTGATATTCACAGGGATTAAATTGCCTAACGATGCATTTCTCAGGACGTATCCCCCTCACTAAGTGGCAGCAACGCATGACTGTACTTAAAAAAGCAAACCAGAAGATGGGGGTATGAGTATGACCCTGAATTCTCATTCACTCTCTTCGCAGGTAAGATCCAAGTTTGATTAATTCCAATTCTGATTGAGTCTGAATCAAAAAGCACATCAAAGACCACCAGAAAATAGTCAAAAATAGGTTAAATTTTGAATTGGTGAACGCTACCCTCTGCCTATTGAAAGGACTCCCTACGTATCTATGTTCATCCAGACAAGACAAACTCCTCTCTAGGGCATCCTGTGAACTATCAGTTAAGGAGAAAAGTTTACCCTAGACCTCTTCTGGACTGTTACAATTCTGGAAAAGCCAGTAAATTTTTAAACCTGAAGCACTGCTTTGGCCCTTAGTGGCCTTGAAAGCAACCACCTCTCTACACTTGACTCACTCCAACTACCGCACAGAAACGTGTGAACTTACATTTGAATAAATAACACCCTGCAAACACATCTGTTACATAAATGTCATTGGGTTGGGGTAAGATAACAAGCAACTTCTAGGAGCTAATGTGGGCAAACTTCTGAAAAGTGTGGCGTGTTTCAAATACGTCTTAGGCAACGTCCTATAGTGCAGGCCGGTCGCTCTCAGACTGTCTCCTCTTCAATATTCGGAAGAGACTGTGGGTGAAGCTGCAGTACAGAACCACAACACCCCTATTTAACGTAAAAACGGCCTTTTGGCCCTCAATCCAAACACGAAAAAACAAATATTGGAACAGGTCGCAAGACTACCGAAACGTCTGCCTCCAGGATCTGGAAGACAGTTTAACTACAATACCTCTCCAAACAAGGACTGCAAGATGGACACTTGAGACTCGCGACAAAGCACCACGTTTTCCAAGTGGGGCATTCTGGCAGGCACCACCGCAGAGGCCAGTGCAGCCAGCCCACAGGACCCTTGCACAAGACGGAGCCTCTCCCGAGTCTGGCGGCCCACGCTCCCGCCGGAAACCGGACCCGCAGCGTCGTGGGAGGAGCCTGCGCTGCCGGGCTGCGGCGTGACGGCAGCGCGTACGCCGAGCGTCGCCGCCGCTCTAGTCTCAGGGCCGGAACCATCCTCTTCTCGCT
The DNA here is from genome assembly GCF_000001405.40 of Homo sapiens. Lineage (NCBI taxonomy): Eukaryota > Metazoa > Chordata > Mammalia > Primates > Hominidae > Homo > Homo sapiens. The sequence continues at coordinate 104,208,123 of NC_000007.14, forward strand.
GGTCCTGTGCGCGCCGAGGTTTTGCCCATTCTTGGGCTTGGTGGGGATTTCGGGCTGACGCTTTTTCCACTCAAAGGCTAAGGAGACGACATGGAGATGGGCGAATAGGGAAGGGGTGGAAGGGGTTAAGGGGGTCCCGTGGGCCTCCAATGACCCCTGAACCCCGTGCCTTTAGTTTTACCGGCTGGAAGCCCCAAGTTTAGAAACCTTGAGTGCCTAAGAAGACGGACCCGGAGCTGGGGCCCTTAGAGGGACGTGGAAGGCGGACTTAGAAGACTAATATTGTCAAAAGATGTTTTTGTTGTCGTTTTTTTCCCTGACGACGTTGTGGGAAATTAGTGGCATTGAGTACAAAACAGGGTGTAATGGGGTTTAATGCACAGCTTGGAATTACTATTTTTTGTGCAAGCTTTAAACCAGATGTGGAAAGCCTCTCAGTCCTAATGGGATGAAGTCGTAGTGTGTGTTGGTGAGGTTGATAGTAAAAATAATGCTACTTTTAGCATTAGGCTTTCACGTGTATTTATTTGTGAGGCACCTACTAGCGACTAAACACTAGAAGATTCTGGAAATAAGATACAGAAGTAGGCAAGTGCATGGTGGAAAGAGAGCTTGGCGTCCTGAAACCCCTGGGTTGGGACCACTGACTGACTCAACTGCTGAATAGGGGGACTTTGGAATAGTTGAGCCTCAACTTCCTTATCTATAAAATAGGGATAATACTGGCTAGGTTATTGCTAGGAGTAGAAGATCCTGTACATACTACCTGTTATACATAAATTTAAATTGTGGACTTCAATCTGCCCATAGATTGTAGATCAGTCTTAGATTTGTGATGGTCAAAAGGATCTTTTGAGAGTTGTGGTATATAACGTATTAGCTAGTCAAAATAGTATTTTCACAGCAACAATTCAAAAGCATTTGCCCAGGTACTTTTTAATAGAGAATTCTAAAGGTTATAATGGGACCACCCATTAAATTTCAATGTCTCCAAGGGAAGCTGGCCTCTGATACTCTCCTAAGATGGTTATACGTCCGTAACATACTGTGCATATAAGGTATACATATATTATAATCATAACACGACATCTTTATAGCATTCAATAAAACTGACTAAACTGTCTAAAATGTTAGTCTCCCTCTCTATATACTTTATGAGGACAGGAAACACTGTCTTCACAGTTCAATTTCCAGCATACACAGTTAACGCCTGGCAGTTACATAATAAAGATAATTGTTGATCTGAGAGAACATGCCTTACCATCTGGATGATTTAGGATGGTTTCTCAGAGGAGAGAACCTGGAAGCTGAGGCTGAAGAAAAGATTCACCTGTGAGACCAAGAAGGAAATTGTAAACAAAAGAATGTACAGACAAAAAGGGACAAATGGGCAATCCCATAACTGAAACTAGCAAATAGTTTTTACATATAAACCTGGAGAGTAGTAGGAGGTCAGGCTGGGGACCAATAAAGAATTGTAGGCAGAGAAGCAAATGTTGAGATTTGACTTAGAAATATTCCTTCTGGCTACAGTGTGGAAAGTGGAATCAATTTCATTTGTTGAAACGACTATTGCAGTCTCCCAAACAGTGAATAATAATGGCCTCGATAGGCAGCCAAGATGGCCGAATAGGAACAGCTCTGGTCTACAGTTCCCAGCATGAGTGATGCAGAAGACGGGTGATTTCTGCATTTCCATCTGCGGTACTGGGTTCATCTCACTACGGAGTGCCAGACAGTGGGCACAGGATAGTGGGTGCAGTGCACCGTGCACGAGCCAAAGCAGGGCGAGGCATTGCCTCACTCAGGAAATGCAAGGGATCAGGGAGTTCCCTTTCCTAGTCAAAGAAAGGGGTGACAGACAGCATCTGGAAAATCGGGTCACTCACACCCTAATACTGCGCTTTTCCGACGGGCTTAAAAAATGGCACACCAGGAGATTATATCCTGCACCTGGCTCCGACGGTCCTACGCCCACGGAGTCTCGCTGATTGCTAGCACAGCAGTCTGAGATCAAACTGCAAGGAGGCAGCGAGGCTGGGGGAGGGGCGCCCGCCATTGCCCAGGTTTGCTTAGGTAAACAAAGCAGCCAGGAAGCTAAAACTAGGTGGAGCCCACCACAGCTCAAGGAGGCCTGCCTGCCTCTGTAGGCTCCACCTCTGGGGGCAGGGCACAGACAAACAAAAAGACAGCAGTAACCTCTGCAGACTTAAATGTCCCTGTCTGACAGCTTTGAAGAGAGCAGTGGTTCTCCCAGCATGCAGCTAGAGATCTGAGAACGGGCAGACTGCCTCCTCAAGTAGGTCCCTGACCCCTGACCCCTGAGCAGCCTAACTGGGAGGCACCCCCCAGTAAGGGCAGAATGACACCTCACACAGCCGGGTACTCCTCTGAGACAAAACTTCCAGAGGAATGATCAGGCAGCAACATTTGCTGTTCACCAATATCCACTGTTCTGCAGCATCCACTGCTGATACCCACGCAAACAGGGTCTGGAGTGGTCCTCTAGCAAACTCCAACAGACCTGCAGCTGAGGGTCCTGTCTGTTAGAAGGAAAACTAACAAACAGAAGGGACATCCACACCAAAAACCCATCTGTACATCACCAGCATCAAAGACCAAAAGTAAATAAAACCACAAAGATGGGGAAAAAACAGAGCAGAAAAACTGGAAACTCTAAAAAGCAGAGTGCCTCTCCTCCTCCAAAGGAACGCAGTTCCTCACCAGCAATGGAACAAAGCTGGTCGGAGAATGACTTTGACGAGTTGAGAGAAGAAGGCTTCAGACGATCAAACTACTCCAAGCTACAGGAGGAAATTCAAACCAAAGGCAAAGAAGTTAAACACTTTGAAAAAAATTTAGACGAATGTATAACTAGAATAACCAATAGAGAGAAGTGCTTAAAGGAGCTGATGGAGCTGAAAGCCAAGGCTCGAGAACTACGTGAAGAATGCAGAAGCCTCAGGAGCCAATGTGATCAACTGGAAGAAAGGGTATCAGTGATGGAAGGTGAAATGAATGAAATGAAGTGAGAAGGGAACTTTAGAGAAAAAAGAATAAAAAGAAACGAACAAAGCTTCCAGGAAATATGGGACTGTGTGAAAAGACCAAATCTACGTCTGATTGGTGTACCTGAAAGTGACGGGGAGAATGGAACCAAGTTGGAAAACACTCTGCAAGATATTATCCAGGAGAACTTCCCCAATCTAGCAAGGCAGGCCAACATTCACATTCAGGAAATATAGAGAATGCCACAAAGATACTCCTTGAGAAGAGCAACTCCAAGACACATAATTGTCAGATTCACCAAAGTTGAAATGAAGGAAAAAATGTTAAGGGCAGCCAGAGAGAAAGGTTGGATTACCAACAAAGAGAAGCCCATCAGACTAACAGCAGATCTCTCAGCAAAAACTCTGCACACCAGAAGAGAGTGGGGGCCAATATTCAACATTCTTAAAGAAAAGAATTGAAAAGAATTTTCAACCCAGAATTTCATATCCAGCCAAACTAAGCTTCATAAGTGAAGGAGAAATAAAATCCTTTACAGACAAGCAAATGCTGAGAGATTCTGTCACCACCAGACCTGCCCTAAAAGAGCTCCTGAAGGAAGCACTAAACATGGAAAGGAACAACCGGCACCAACCACTGCAAAATCATGCCAAAATGTAAAGACCATCAAGGGTAGGAAAAACTGCATCAGCTAATGAGCAAAATAACCAGCTAACATCATAATGGCAGGATCAAATTCACACATAACAATATTAACTTTAAATGTAAATGGACTAAATGCTCCAATTAAAAGACACAGACTGGCAAATTGGATAAAGAGTGAAGACCCATCAGTGTGCTGTATTCAGTAAACCCATCTCATGTGCAGAGACACACATAGGCTCAAAATAAAAGGATGGCGGAAGCTCTACCAAGCAAATGGAAAACAGAAAAAGGCAGGGGTTGCAATCCTAGTCTCTGATAAAACATACTTTAAACCAACAAAGATCAAAAGAGACAAAGAAGGACGTTATATAATGGTAAAGGGATCAATTCAACAAGAAGAGCTAACTATCCTAAATATATATGCACCCAATACAGGAGCACCCAGATTCATAAAGCAAGTCCTGAGTGACCTACGAAGAGACTTAGACTCCCACACAATAATAATGGGAAACTTTAACACCCCACTGTCAACATTAGACAGATCAACGAGACAGAAAGTTAACAAGGATACCGAGGAATTGAACTCAGCTCTGCACCAAGCAGACCTAATAGACATCTACAGAACTCTCCACCCCAAATCAACAGAATATACATTTTTTTCAGCACCACAGCACACCTATTCCAAAATTGACCACATAGTTGTAAGTAAAGCTCTCCTCAGCAAATGTAAAAGAACACAAATTATAACAAATTGTCTCTCAGACCACAGTGCAATCAAACTAGAACTCAGGATTAAGAAACTCACTCAAAACCACTCAACTACATGGAAACGGAACAACCTGCTCCTGAATGACTGCTGGGTACATAACGAAATGAAGGCAGAAATAAAGATGTTCTTTGAAACCAACGAGAACGAAGACACAACATACCAGAATCTCTGGGACACATTCAAAGCCGTGTGTAGAGGGAAATTTATAGCACTAAATGCCCGCAAGTGAAAGCAAGAAAGATCTAAAATTGACACCCTAACATCACAATTAAAAGAACTAGAAAAGCAAGAGCAAACACATTCAAAAGCTAGCAGAAGGCAAGAAATAACTAAAATCAGAGCAGAACTGAAGGAAGTAGAGACACAAAAAACCCTTCAAAAAATTAATGAATCCAGGAGCTAGTTTTTTGAAAGGATCAACAAAATTGATAGACCACTAGCAAGACCAATAAAGAAGAAAAGAGAGAAGAAACAAATAGACGCAATAAAAAATGATAAAGGGATATTACCACCGATCCCACAGAAATACAAACTACCATCAGAGAATACTACAAACACCTCTATGAAAATAAACTGCAAAATCTAGAAGAAATGGATAAATTCCTCGACACATACACCCTACGAAGACTAAACCAGGAAGAAGTTGAATCTCTGAACAGACCAATAACAGGATCTGAAATTGTGGCAATAATCAATAGCTTACCAACCAAAAAGAGTCCAGGACCAGATGGATTCACAGCCAAATTCTACCAGAGGTACAAGGAGGAACTGATACCATTCCTTCTGAAACTATTCCAATCAATAGAAAAAGAGGGAATCCTCCCTAACTCATTTTATGAGGCCAGCATCATCCTGATACCAAAGCAAGGCAGAGACACAACCAAAAAAGAGAATTTTAGACCAATATTCTTGATGAACATTAATGCAAAAATCCTCAATAAAATTCTGGCAAACCGAATCCAGCAGCACATCAAAAAGCTTATCCACCATGATCAAGTGGGCTTCATCCCTGGGATGCAAGGCTGGTTCAATATATGCAAATCAAGAAATGTAATCCATCATATAAACAGAACCAAAGACAAAAACCACATGATTATCTCAATAGATGCAGAAAAGGCCTTTGACAAAATTCAACAACCCTTCATGCTAAAAACTCTCAATAAATTAGGTATTGATGAGACGTATCTCAAAATAATAAGAGCTATCTATGACAAACCCACAGCCAATATCATACTGAATGGGCAAAAACTGGAAGCATTCCCTTTGAAAACTGGCACAAGACAGGGATGCCCTCTCTCACCACTCCTATTCAACATAGTGTTGGAAGTTCTGGCCAGGGCAATCAGGCAGGAGAAGGAAATAAAGGGTATTCAATTAGGAAAAGAGGAAGTCAAATTGTCCCTGTTTGCAGATGACATGATTGTATATCTAGAAAATCCCATCGTCTCAGCCCAAAATCTCTTTGAGCTGATAAGCAACTTCAGCAAAGTCTCAGGATACAAAATCAATGTACAAATATCACAAGCATTCTTATACACCAATTACAGACAGAGTGCCAAATCATGAGTGAACTCCCATTCACAATTGCTTCAAAGAGAATAAAATACCTAGGAATCCACCTTACAAGGGACGTGAAGGACCTCTTCAAGGAGAACTACAAACCACTGCTCAGTGAAATAAAAGAGGATACAAAGAAATGGAAAAACATTCCGTGCTCATGGGTAGGAAGAATCAATATCGTGAAAATGGCCATACTGCCCAAGGTAATTTACAGATTCAATGACATCCCCATCAAGCTACCAATGACTTTCTTCACAGAATTGGAAAAAACCACCTTAAAGTCATATGGAACCAAAAAAGAGCCCGCATGGCCAAGTCAATCCTAAGCCAAAAGAACAAAGCTGGAGGCATCACGCTACCTGACTTCAAACTATACTACAAGGCTACAGTAACCAAAACAGCATGGTACTGGTACCAAAACAGAGATATAGATCAATGGAACAGAACAGAGCCCTCAGAAATAACGCCACATATCTACAACTATCTGATCTTTGACAAACCTGAGAAAAACAAGCAATGGGAAAAGGATTCCCTATTTAATAAATGGTGCTGGGAAAACTGGCTAGCCATATGTAGAAAGCTGAAACTGGATCCCTTCCTTACACCTTATACAAAAATTAATTCAACATGGATTAAAGACTTAAACGTTAGACCTAAAACCATAAAAACCCTAGAAGAAAACCTAGGCATTACCATTCAGGACATAGGCATGGGCAAGGACTTCATGTCTAAAACACCAAACACAATGGCAACAAAAGCCAAAATTGACAAATGGGATCTAATTAAACTAAAGAGCTTCTGCACAGCAAAAGAAACTACCATCAGAGTGAACAGGCAACCTACAAAATGGGAGAAAATTTTCACAACCTACTCATCTGACAAAGAGCTAATATCCAGAATCTACAGTGAACTCAAACAAATTTACAAGAAAAAAACAAACAACCCCATCAAAAAGTGGGTGAAGGACATGAACAGACACTTCTCAAAAGAAGACATTTATGCAGCCAAAACACACATGAAAAAATGCTCATCATCACTGGCCATCAGAGAAATGCAAATGAAAACCACAATGAGATACCATCTCACACCAGTTAGAATGGCAATCATTAAAAAGTCAGGAAACAACAGGTGCTGGAGAGGATGTGGAGAAATAGGAACACTTTTACACTGTTGGTGGGACTGTAAACTAGTTCAACCCTTGTGGAAGTCAGTGTGGCGATTCCTCAGGGATCTGGAACTAGAAATACCATTTGACCCAGCCATCTCATTACTGGGTATATACCCAAAGGACTATAAATCATGCTGCTATAAAGACACATGCACACGTATGTTTATTGTGGCTCTATTCACAATAGGAAAGACTTGGAACCAACCCGAATGTCCAACAATGATAGACTGGATTAAGAAAATGTGGCACATATACACCATGGAATACTATGCAGCCATAAAAAATGATGAGTTCATGTCCTTTGTAGGGACATGGATGAAACTGGAAACCATCATTCTCAGTAAACTATCGCAAGAACAAAAAACCAAACACCGCATGTTCTCACTCATAGGTGGGAATTGAACAGTGAGAACACATGGACACAGAAAGGGGAACATCACACTCTGGGGACTGTTGTGGGGTTGGGGGAGGGGGGAGGGATAGCATTGGGAGATATACCTCATGCTAAATGACGAGTTAATGGGTGCAGCACACCAGCATGGCACATGTATACATATGTAACTAACCTGCACATTGTGCACATGTACCCTAAAACTTAAAGTATAATTTAAAAAAATGGCCTTTATAAACAATGGGAATAGGCGAGAGGGAATGGTAATTAAAGTTTATTAAACATAATGTGGCTGACACTGTGATAGATATATTACTCCCATTTAAATTTTAACAATTTTTTTTTTTTTTTTTTTTTTTGAGACGGAGTCTCACTCTGTCGCCCAGGCTGGAGTGCAGTGGCAGGATCTCGGCTCACTGCAAGCTCTGCCTCCTGGGTTCACGCCATTCTCCTGCCTCAGCCTCCCAAGTAGCTGGGTCTACAGGCGCCCGCCACTATACCCGGCTAATTTTTTGTATTTTTAGTAGAGACGGGGTTTCTCCGTTTTAGCCGGGATGGTCTCGATATCCTGACCTCGTGATCCGCCTGCCTCGGCCTCCCAAAGTGCTGGGATTACAGGCGTGAGCCACCGCGCCCGGCCTTAAATTTTAACAATATTATAATAGAGATACCATTCTTGTTTCACATTTAGAAAAACCAGCTGGGTTAGGTAATTTATCCAAAGGTTTATAGTTCGTAATTACTTGAACTTAGATCTGGTTAATCCTAAAGCCCTTAATCTTTTTACTACCCCATACTGAGAATGGGCTAAGTCTGAGAGAAATTTGGAAGTATATTTTATAGAACTCAGTAGCTGTTTGTAAGAGATGGAGGGAGGAGTCATAGAGACTAGCATTTAGGTTTCTGACATAGGTGATTTTAGGTTTTGCCAGTAGTGAAATAAAAAATAAGGAATACAGATGAAAAGCCAGATGGAAAAATAAGGAGCAGGTTTATAGATTTAGTTTTATCTTTATGGGATAAGAAATGACCCAAGTGGGTTTGTTATATTAAATTTGAAGTGTCTGCGAAACAACCAGATAAAGAAGTCCAGTAAAAATGGGATCTGTAGCTCGAGAGAGAAGGGCCCGGAGAAGGAGACACAGAAATATATACTTATAGGTAGTATATAGGTAGTTGAGCCAGTCATTTAAATGAGATTATTGATGGGTGTTTGTTTCATGGATTTCATGGAATTATTTGAAAGTAATTAACTAGAACTAGGGAGTAGAAGGGAATTTTGTCAACTGGATAAAGAGCATCTATGAAAAAAACTACAGCTAATATCATAATTAATCATGAAATACTAATGCATTCCCCCCTACATTCAGGGACAAGGCAAGGGTGTCTGTTCTCACTCCTCTGTGCAACATTGTACTGGAGGTTGTAACCAGTGCAATAAGAAAAGGAAATTAAATGCACCCAGATTTGAAAGAAAAAAAAAACACGAATTTACTTACAGACAACATGATTGTTATGTAGAAAATCTGATGGATTCTACAAACAAGTTTCTAGAACTAATAAGTGAGCTTTGCAAGGTTTCAAGATGCAAGATTAACATAGAAAAAATAGTATTTCTATGTACTAGCAATAAGCGATTGGGAATTGAAATTTAAAATAACAGCACAATTTCAATAGCATCAAAAATTATTAAATACTGAAGAATAAATCTGACACATGTAAGACTTGCACACTGAAAACTACAAAATATTACTGAGAGAAATTAAAGAAGACATTATTTTAAAATATAGAGGTATCATGTTTAAGACTCAGACTCAATTTTGTTAAAATTTGTCACTTTTACCCCAAATTGATGTGTAGATTCAACACAATCCCAGTCAAAATCTTAGTGTGCTCTCTCTCTTTTTTTTTTTTTTTGGCAGAAAATGACAATTTAAAAATAGGCTTGGCCAGGCAAACTGGCTCACACCTGTAATCCCAACACTTTGGGATGCCAAGGCAGGTGAATTGCTTAAGCTTAGGAGTTCGAGACCAGCCTGGGCAACATGGTGAAACCCCGTATCTACAAAAAATACAAAAATTAATTAGCCATAGTGGCTTGTGCCTGTGGCCCCAGTTACTCGTGAGGCTGAGGTAGGTGGATCACTTGAGGCCAGGAGGTCAAGGTTGCAGTGAGTCATGACAGCACCACTGCACTCCAGCCTGGGCAACAGAGCAAGACCGTGTCTAAGAAAAAATAAGTAAAATGAATTTTACAAAATAAAAATAGGCTAAAGATTTGAACAAGCACTTTACTGAAAAACAATATACTGACCACAACTAAGCACATAAAAGAATGTTCAACATCTTTAGTAATTAGGACAATGCAAATTAAAACCACAATAAGATACTACTACACACCTATTAGAATCTAGCCTGAAATTAAAAAGACTGACCATTCCGAAGTGTTGGCAAGGATGTGGAGCAACTGAAACCTTCATACATTGTTGCCAGGAATGTAAAATGGTACAGCCACTTCGAAAAACAGTATGACAGTTTCTTAAAATTTAAGCAGACACCTACCGTATGACCCAGCCATTCTACCCCTAGAAGTTTACCTAAGAAAACATGAAAACGTATGTTCATACAAATACTTAGACACTACTATTCAGTGGTTTATTTGAAATCCAAAAAATGGAAACAAATTCCATTAAGAAGTAAATAGATTTAAAAATTGTGGGATATTCATACAAATATTTTTCAGCGATATAAAGGACTAAGTATATGAAATAGCATGGATAAATCTCACAAATAATTATGCTAAATGAAATAAGCCAGATTCCCTCCCCCTACAAAAAAGTATGTACTGTATGCTTCTATTTTTATAAAATTCCAGAAAAAATAAACTATAGTTAAAGCAGTAGTAAAGTAGTAGTTAAAGAAGTGATAGTGGCTGTCAGGTAATGAGGAGGTGGGTCAGAAAGGAGGTATTATAAAGAAGAGTGAGGAAATCTGGGGAATGGTGGATATTATAGGTTGAATTATGTCCTCCTCCCAAAATTCAGTGAGGTTCTAACTCCTAGAAGCTGTGAATGTGGCCTTATTTGGAAATAGGGTCTTTGCAAGTTTAATCAAGTCAAGATCAGGTCATTTGGATGAGCCCTATTCCAATATTATTTTCTGTTTATAAGAAGTGGCCATGTGAAGACACAGAGGCTTGGGGAGAATGCCAAGGGAAGATGGAGGTAGAGATTGGAGCAATGCATCTGCAAGCCAGGGAACGCATAGGATCACAGGCCCTCCACCAGAAGCTAGGAGAGGCACATGGAACAGATTGTCCCTCAAGGCCCTCAGAAGGAATCTATATTTCTGACACCCTGATTTTGGGCTTCTAGCCTTCAGAACTGATAGAGAATTCATTTCTATTGTTTTAAGCCACCTAGTTTGTGGTACCTAGGATATAAATACAATGGTTATAGTCATTATCTTGATTGTTGTCATAGTTTCATGGAAGCATATATATTTCAAAACCTATCAAATTGTTATTAAGGTATGCTAATTATACCTTAATAAAATTCCTCAAACTTAATCAATTAAAATAAAGGAGGATTGTGCATAGAATAATGATAGTATATTATGACCGATAGTACTGATTAATCCAATTCTATTTCTCTGAAATCCATTTAGAAAACACAGAAAACCATCATCAATCTGTGACTGCTTTACTTGTGTCTCCAGTACATTTCTGTGCTTTCTCACCTTCAAGTCTCTGCTTCTACAGTCACTTCTTGCACTACCCCACCTACATCCCAATTGAATAAATTATTCATTCACCAAATGAATTGAGTATATACTTTCTCTGAAATGTTTTCAGTGTTCAGGTAGAGCAGTGAATAAAACAGATACCCCCTCCCTACACAAAGGGTCATTATGAGGCTTATGTTTTTGCCCACCTACACCTTTAGGCTCCATTTGAATCTGCCCAGTTCTGCCTCTAGAACCCCAAATCAAATACATGAAAGAGTGCTGGGCCCTGCCTTTTGCAATCACCATGAAGGCAGGCTGACTAGTGCCTCTCATTTACATATATATATCCTATTGGTTTTGTTTCACTGGAGATCCCTAATACATATTTTTTTAAAAATTCAGATTTATTGAGGCATAGTGCATATTTTCTCTTTTTAGTGTACAGTTCTGAGTTTTTATAAACATATACAGTCATGTCACCACTATCAAAATCAAGATATAGAACAATTTCATTACCCACAAAATTCCCCAGCACTCCTCTGTAGGCAGCCTCTTTCCCCTTCCCCCAGAATCTGGCAAACACTGATCTTATTTCTTTTCTTATGGTTTCACCTTTTCCAGAATGTCATACAAATGGAATCATATAATATGCAACATTTTGAGTTTAATTCTTTTTCTTCGCATAACACATTTGAAATTTATTCATGTTATTCCATGTATTAGCAGTTCATTCCTTTTTATTGATGAGCAAAAATCCATTACATAGATCATCATAGTTTATTCTCTAGGTTAAGGACACTTTGTTTACATCAAGTTTTTAACATTATGAATAGAGTCACTATAAACAATCATGAACAGGGGTGTGTGTGTGTGTGTGTGTGTGTGTGTGTGTGTATGGTAATCACCTGACAGGTTCTTCTTGTCCACTGCACAGATAGAGCCAATTTACTGAGAGCTGAGACAGTGGTATTGCAATAGAGAAAGAAGTCAATAATTGCAGGGCCAGCCAAGCAGAAAGAAGGGAGTTTTTACTCAAATCAGCCTGCCTGAAAATTTAGAGGCTAGGATTTTTCAAGGATAGTTTGGTGGGCAGGGGGCTAGAAAATGGGAAATGCTGCTTTATTGGGTCAGGGATGAAATCACAGGGGGTCAAATCTGTCTCCTTTTGCTGAGTCAGTTCCTACCTGGTAGTCACAAGACCAGATGAGGCCAGTTTCTTGGTATGGGTTACCAGTCCAGATGGCGCCAGCTGGTCCATCAGAATGCAGGGTCTGGGAAGTACCTCAAACACCAATCTTAGGGTTCACAATAGTAGTGTTATCTATAGGAGAAATTAAGGTTACAAATCTTGTGACCTCTGGCTACCTGACTCTTGAATCATAATTCCAAGCTTGTGGCTAATTTGTTAGTTTTACAAAGGCAGTTTCAGTCCCTGAGCAATAAGGGAGTTAGTTTTGGGAAAGGATTGTTGTTATTGATTCCTCCCATGTTTAGCTGTGCCTATACTCAGGAACGAATAAGGAAAGCTTGGAGGTTAGACACAAGATATAATCAGTTAGCTTAGATTTCTCCATTAAAATTTTTGCAAGGGCAGTTTCAAACATAGGTATTTCACTTCACTTAACTAAAATATAGAAGTGGGATTGCTGGATTGTATGATAAATGTATGTTTAAGTTCATAAGAAATTGCCAAACTGTTTTCCAGAGTGACTGCACTATTTCACATTCCCACTGGCAATTATGAGAATTCCAGATATTTGACATTCTTATCCTGTTACTTTTAGCCCACCTGTGTTCTATTTTAAAATGGGTTTCTTGTAGGCAGTGTATGCAATTGGCCTTTTGTATCTGTGGTTCCACATGCATGAATTCAACTAACAGGAACAAAAGATATTAGAAAAAAATAATAAGGAACAATACAACAATACAAATAATACAAATAAAAACAATACAGTATAACAACTACTTACAGAGCATTCATATTGTTTTAGGTATTGTAAGTAATCTAGAGATGATTTATACAGTATACAGGATGGCATGCATAGGTTTTATGCAAGTACTGTAGACATTTTATAAAAGAAACTTAAACATCCACATTTTTTGGTATCCTTGATGGTCTGGGGGAACCAATCCCCCACAGATACCAAGGGACAGCTGTAGTGAGAACTTTCTTATTTATCCTTATTTATCTTGTCTGACAATTTCTGTGTTTCAATTTGTGTCTTCAGATGATTTATATTGCCTTAATGATTGATACAGTTGAACTGAAATCTATCATCTTGCTAGTTGTTTCCTATTTGTTTCATCTGTGTTTTTTCCTTTTTTCTCGTTTTTGCTCCTGCTTTTAGGTTACTTAAGCATTTTAAAAAATTACATTTTGCCTCTGCTTTGGGCTTATTATGCCAGTTTTTAAAGTTGTTGTCATGTTTGCCCTAGGGTTTATAATACATACGTTTAATTAACTACCATCTACCTTTAAACATATTAAACTTCTTCAAGACTACTGTAAGAACCTTACAACGGTATTCTCAATTCTCACCCCCACCTTTTGTGCTTTTGTTGTCACATCTTTTATATCTTATTATATTATATAAACCCAAAATATGTTGCTGCTAGACCAGTGCTGTGCAATAAAGCTTTCTGTTTTGTCCAATACAGTATTCACTGGCCACATGTGGCTGTTGAACTCTTGAAATGCGGCTAGTTATAACAATGGACTGAATTTTTAGCTTTTATTTTTAAATTTTTAATTAGTTTACATTATATTGCTACCTTTTGTTAATGGCTAGTGTATTGAACTGTACAGATTTAGATAAATATATTTTAGAATGACTAAAATAAAAAATAAAACGGACTGGGCACAGTTGCTCATGCTTGTAATCCTGGCACTTTGGGAGGCTGAGGAGGGAAGATCGCTTGAGCCCAGGAGTTTAAGACCAGATTGGGCAACATGGGGAGACCCCAACTCTACAAAAATAAAATAAAATAATTAGCCAGGCATGGTGGTGTGCGCCCGTAGTCCCAGCTACTTGGAGGATCTAAGGTGGGAAGATCGCTTGAGCCAGGGAGGTTGACACTGCCGTGAGCTGTGATTGGATGACAGAGCAAGACCTTGTCTCAAAAAAAAAAAAAAAAAAAAGAAAAGAAAAAGAAAATTAAAATTAATAAATAAATAAGGCTAAGGCTTTTATAGTAACATTCATTTAATCATTTCTGGAAATTTTTTATTTCTTTTTGTAGATCCAAATCTTTGCCTAGTATCATTTTCCTTCTGGTTGAAGAATTGTAATATTTCTTTTAAGGCAGATCTGCTGTTAACAAATTCTCTCATCTTTTTTTTCACCTTTATTTCTAGAAGATATTTTAGCGGAGTATATAATTCTGGGTGAGGATGGATTTTTTGCAGCATTTGAAATTGACATTACATTGTCTTCTGCTGTGGTCATCTTCAAGATTTTCTCTTTACTTGTCTTCAATAGTTTGGATATGATGGGTATAGGTGTATTATTTTTACTTTTTCTGTTTTTCTGCTTGGGTGTTCTCTGAGCTGTTTAGGTCTGTAATTTGATTCTTTCATTATTTAAAAAATTTTTTAGCCATGATCTCTTCAAACAGTCTGCCCCTTTCTCTCTATTCTCTTCTGAAATTCCAACTGCAAGTATGTTAGACCACTGGTTGATGTCCTGCAGTATTTATATGTTCTGTTCTGATATTCTCATCCCACCCCTGCATACTCTATTCTCTCTGTGTTTCAGTTTCTGTTGACTTATATTCATATTCACTGATTGTTTCTTCAGCTTTGTCAAATCTACTGATGAACCCATCCAAGGCATTTACCATCTCTGCTACAATATTTTTTATTTCTAGCATTTCTATCTCACTCTTTTCTATAGTTTCTATCTCCAGTAAAATTCCCATCTGTTCATTTCTACCTTTTCCTCAGATTCTTTTCTTTTCTCTTTTCTTTTCTCTTCTTTTCCTGAGACAGAGTCTCACTCTGGAGTGTGGTGGTGCAATCCTAGCTCTCTCCACCTCCTGGGTTCAGGTGATTCTTCTGCCTCGGCCTCCCAAGTAGCTGGGACTACAGGCACGTGCCACCATGCCCAGACAGTTTTTTGTATTTTTAGTAGAGATGGGGTTTCACCGTGTTGGCTAAGGCTGGTCTTGAACTCCTGGCCTCAAGTGATCTGTCTGCCTTAGCCTCCCAAAGTGCTGGGATCACAGTCTTGAGCCACTGTGCCCGGCCCAGATTCTTTAACATAGTAATCAAAGTTATTTAAAATTCTCTGTCTAATGGCTCAAACATCTGGATCAACTGAGTCTCATTCTGTTGATTGCTTTGTCTTTGTCAGAGGCTTTTTTGTACTTAAAAAAATTATATGTCTCATAAGTTTTTATTGAATGCTATACATCATGTGTAGAACAGTAGAGATTGTGGTAAATACATGTTGAATACTCCTTATCTGAAATGATTGGGACCAGAAATATTTCACATTTTGGATTTTTTCAGATTTTTGAATATTTGCATTATACTTACGGGCTGAGCATCCCAAATCTAAAAATCAGAAATCAGAAATTATCCAATGGGCATGTCCTCAGAGATTCAGATTTTAAATGCTCAAATTTGGAATGCTCAAGTAGATATTAATGTGTGACTGCATCAAGTCAAAGTAGTTCTGAGTGAGCTGCATCTGGGGCTTGTTGTTGCTATGGTTACTTTCAGCTTCAGAATTTCTGTAGTGTTTCCTTATCCTTAGGGTGGGAGCTGGGTGATGCCAGGGTTTGCTGCCTTTCTGTCAAAGGCTTAGGACTTTGTTTTATAAAGGACAAAGGTCAAGGCAGGGCTTCATTCATTTCTCAGTTTCCAACATTTTCCCACATTCATTTTCCAAAGGAGAGGTTTCCACTCCTTTTCTTCCAGACTTGCACATCTGAGGGAGGCTTTCTCCTGCTCTGCCCTCAATCTTTCTTGTGAGTATCCAGTGAAGGTTCGTGGAGATGAGCCTGTGAATGAGTGTGAACTCCCCTTTTTTCTGTGGCTCCATGCTAGCCACAGTTGGCCTTTACCAAACCATTAAAAATTTTAACTGAATGTTTTTGCCTGCTTGTATGGCAGCTGCCTTTTTTCCTCCAATATTCTGCCATCAGTGACTCAGCGCTCATGACTCATCTCTCCTTGAGGGAGCCTGTCTTTGCCTACATTTTAGGCTGCTTGGTTTCCTTGTCATTTTATTGTTATTGTTTTTGTTATTTTTTGAGATAGAGACTCACTCTGTCACCCAGGCTGGAGTGCAGTGGTGCAATCTTGGCTCACTGTAACTTCTGCCTCCTGGGTTCAAGCAGTTCCCCTGTCTCAGCCTCCTGAGTAGCTGGGGTTACAGGCATATGCCACTATGCCTGGCTAAGTTTTGTACTTTTATTGTACAAAAATTATTTTGTACAATTTTTGTACTTTTAGTAGAGACATGGTTTCACCATGTTGGCCAGGCTGGTCTCGAACTCCTGACTTCAAGTGATCCTCCCTCCTCAGCTTCCCAAAGTACTGCGATTACAGGCATGAGCCACCGCTCCCAGCCTCCTTGTCATTTTAGCTCTGTGATTGGTTAAAAAAGAATTACAATTTTTTAGTTTATCTAGCTTTTCTTATTGGAGTAGGAGCGATGCTCTTTCCAGGTTATTACACTCTGGATAATAGTAGAACTCAACTAGATATTTTTAAAATCCAAGCTCACATATCTTCTCTTGTCTCAGTTTTCTTTTTATTCACCCTCTGTCCTGAGTTTGAACCTTTCACATGAACGCTTTCATCATTGACTCAGGCTACATCTTATAGGGAACCAAACTTAAGACATCTACCTATATAGTTCTAGCTCCAATGCTATAAAACTCCCCCAATGTTCGCAGCCCATAGATTGATTATTTGCATTTGTTATAGCACCTAAAATCTCAATCTTGTATTATGGCTATTTCTGCTTGTGTTTTTTAGGTACCAATGGGATTAAAATACCCATAGTCATTTATTAATTCCTTCATTCATTAATCTAGCTTTTGTTTTTTTTTTTTTTTTTTGAGATGTTTTTACATTTTTTTTAGAGACAGGGAGGGTCTCTGTCACCCAGGCTTAAGTGCAGCAGCTGTTCACCGGTGCAATAATAACACATTATGGCCTCAAATTCCTGGGCTCAAGTGATCCTCCTGCCTCAGCATCCCAAGTAACTGGGGCTACAGGCTTGTGCCACCATGCCTGGCTAATCTAACATTTGCTGAGGACCTGTTATGCTAGAGTGCCAGACTGTGACCAAGAGACATATGGTAATAGTTCTCATGAAGCTTACAATCCAGTGGGGAAGACAATGAAGATGTAATTAGAAGCTTACTGAGTGCTATAAATGCAAAGCCTCAGTAAATAGAAATATAAACACAGAATAAATGAGAGGTTGAATAAATGTATAAATAATCCCTTCTCCACAATTACTTATCTCTCTTCTTTGTATTACATTTCACCTAAAATATAATGCTTCTTAAGTTCCTGATCATATTATTCTAGAATTTTACCATAAATAGCTGCCTCAATTTTTTTTTATAAAACTTTTTCTCGGTTTGACAAGTGATGAAAAAGTAGCGCCAAGCATTGACTTTATATTGCGGGACCACAGTCTCCAATACTTCGTATTCCCTGAGAGCTACTAACATATATTAGAAGTCTTATATAATATTACATTGACTAGGACAAATATTTTGAAATTTGCCTCAACTAAAATTTATTTCATTTATTTCAATGAAAAATATGTTTAAAAATTACACCATAATAGAAAAAGTAATAAGAAAATGTAATAAAACTATACTCAAAAGTGATTTATATAATGAAATATAAGAAAATTCAATATCACAGTGAAATTAAATCAATATTAAGTTGAAAAGCAATTCAGTTAACTTTTCCACTGCAACAGCCAGATCAATTATTTACATTACTTCTTTTCAAACTTTCAACATTGAATTTCTAAAGAAAACTTTATCAGACAGGCTAATTTAACATTTCTTAAGAGACATATTCACTTCTACAAGTAAATATTCATGAAAACATTTTTATTCAAAAGATAAATAATAAAGCACAGGATCTAGACTTCAACAGACATGGGTTAGGATCTTGGTTTCGACACTTCTTAACTGTGACTTTAGGCCTTGGTTTCCTCATTTGTAAAGTTGTGGGGAAGGGGAAGAAAATAACATCCACCTCACAAGGCTGACATCTCTGTATTTCCAAGAAGAGATTATCTCTGCCCACATTGAATTTCCACAACTGTCTGACTATCCTTCATTAAAATACAAACATCACAAGTGAAGACAGTGATTTTTGTCGACTTTGTTCAATGCCCTATCCTTACCTGCAAAATAGTGACTAGTACATATAAGGAGCTCAGTATGTGTTGAGTGAATGTATGTGATGTGTTTAACCTGGTTCCCAGCAAGTGGCAAATACCCAATAAATATTATTATAATTATTATTTTATTGATTCATTAACTTTACCAAAACCAAACTTTAATTCTTACCCTGCCGTTCCTATACCCTTTCCATCTCATTAAATTGGCACTTCATTTTTCTAGTAGTTCAGGCCAAAATATTTTGAAGTCTTATATTTGTTTCTCTTTTTGCTCAGTACCTCACAAATCTCTCATAAGTCCTGACTCTACCTTTCAAATATTGTGGTGAGACATTGCTCCCAGGGTCTCTCAGATTTCTGCATGTCTTGTGAGTAAGCCATTGACTGCCCTTTCTTTAGGACTATGTCTTCCAGGATATTTATCTACCAAACAGTTTTGGAAGCTAGAGATAATGTTTCCCTCTGGAGAAAGGGGAGCAGAGATGCATTTCTGTCCAGTATGGTAAAGATAATGTATACCATATAAGCCAAGAGCAGGCCTGTTTATGTTTACTGCCCATTGTAAAAGTTTCAGGTTCCCCAAGCTCAAGGTTTCGTCTCTTGTAACAAAATCCACTGCACATGCAACTGTCATCATATTTATTTTGTTGCCCTGTGGGAATCGAGGTTTGGAGAACTGACACAAAAATGCTGATACTGGGACATGGAACCAAATGCATAGATCATAGAAGACTTCCTAGAGGAAATGATCTCTATTATGAATAATGAAATATATGTAGGAGTTACTGAATGAGAGAATAATGCGCAAAGGTTCAATGCTTAGAAAGAGCATGAAAACATTGGGATACCTGTGGGGGTTTCAGCAGAGCGCAAGCGTTGGGTACACAGTAGAGAAAAGAATATGGAATAAGACTGAAAAAGAACGTTAAAAAAAAATAGGAAACTGGGGAGGTAAGGGTGTCCTGACATTAACAGTCTTGTGTGCCATGACATGGAGTTTAGACATGATATAAAGATCATGAGGAGCCACTGAAGGATTTTAAGCATGGATATTTGCATCTTGGAAAGATCACAGTATCAAAAACATTGAAAACAACAGAATTAGAAACACAGAGGCCTTTAAAATCTCTTACTTGGTAAACTGGTTTAGAATTTATAAGGAATTCAAATAGGAAATGGCAGAAGTAGGGTCACATTAAGGACTCAACTATTGCAAAGATTATGATGTATACTACTGTACCCCATGTGTATTTCAAATAAAAACTATACTGAGCCATAAAATAATTGCAAGAAAACTCAATTATGTTATGATATTTTCTTACGTTAAATATATATTTTTGATATATCAAATATTAAGTTACTTTCAATTTTTGTTTGTTTCCTTGATTCCTGGTGTTTTGAAGAAATTATCTGACAAAGATTAAGGATGACTTTCTCCTCCTTGCAAAGTGTAAATTAATCATCTGGTTTGAAAGACTCAGAATTTTAGGCAACAGATATCAGTCAAAAGGTTTTTTTTTTTTTAATAGACAAGATTTTTCTAACAGACAACGTTACCCAGGCTAATTTTGAACTCCTGGCCTCAAGCAATCTTCCTGCCTCAGCCTCCCAAAGTGCTGGGGTTACAGGCATGAGCCACCATGCCCAGCCCAGACAAAGGGCTTTTAAACAATGTCCTTTTCTTCTTCTTAAACATTTTTGTTCATTTACAGTTAGATATTATCTACACACTGGTTTCTCAATTTTCTACTGGTGAATTTTCTTTTTTGAAACTATTTCTTAATTCTAAAAGTGAATTCCTTTCCTGCCCTCTGAGTAGCTGATAATGTCTATTTACAGTTCAACTCTGCAGATATGATCCGGTCATTGCTTACCTAGGGAGGAGGTTGCAAAGTAAATGCCTCTTTTTTACATTTGAGTTGATCAACAGTGAGAATGTCTAAGTACGGTGTTTCTTCTCTCTTATTTGGAGCTTTTAGAGATGGGCTTCCTCTACTGCTTATCATAAACATGACAAAGTAAACAGTGTACAGAAATTCCCAAGACTGAGTAAGATAAAATGATTCTGAAGAACATCTGATGTTTTAATTTCTTCCACTTACATTAATGTATCAATTATTTCTTAGAAAGAGGACACTGTACATCTTTCAGTATTATGGTCTTCTGGTACCTGTTTATCAATGTTCATCTTTTTCTCAGATGAAGGTATTACAGAATTCTTACATGACAAAGAGCCTAGAGTCTTGGCCAGTGAGGAATTTCTGAGGGCTACTTGAAATCTCATAGTCTGCTAGTGCCTTACTCATGCAATAAATCTGTCTGTTAGATAAACCAACACCAGGAAGAGAAAATGAGGAGAAATACACAGATTTGAAGGCAATTTAGATGGTATAATAAAACTTGTTTGGTTAAAGAGAGGGAGAGTACAACAATGACTGCCAGGATACTGAGTGGAGCAGTGGCCATCATGAGGTCAGGAATACTAGGAGAGGGAAAATGAATTCTGTTTCAGGCAGGTAGAATATGAGGGGCCTGGAAAACATCCAAATGGTGATGCCAAGTTAGCTAAATGATTCAGGAGCTCAGGAAAGCCATTTGAGCTAAACACTTAGATTTAGGAGTCATTAACATTTAGATGGTTGTGAAATTCATATAATAAGTGAAGTCACTCAAGGAGAATGGATAGAATGAGAAGATAAAAGAAGGAGAGTATGGAAGCCTGAGAAACATTAGCATTCAGAAGTGAGCAAAAAATAGAGGAGTATCAGATGGAGAAGGCCTAGGCAGCCAGAGAAATTACAGAAAAATTAGGAATGAAGAAAGAGGTGTCATAAAAACTACGAAAGATTTAAGTAAAAGGGAATAATCAGCAGTGTTAAATGGCGCAGAAGGTCAAATGAGACATGTACTGGGAATTGTATTAACCCATCCTCTCATTGCTATAAAGAAATATCTGAGACTGGGTAATTTATAAGGAAAAGAGGTTTAATTGGCTCATAGTTCCACAGGCTGTACAACAAGCATGGCAGCATCTGCTTCTGGGGAGGCCTCAGGGAGCTTTTACTCATGTCAGAAGGCAAAGCAGGAGTAAGCTGTCTTCACATGGCTGGAGCAGCAGTAAAGGTGTGGGGAGATGCCACATGATAACTCACTGATTATCATGAGAACAGCACCAAGGAGAAGGTGCTAAACCATTTATGAGAATGCTAAACCATCTCATGATGGTGAAAACCATTCATGAGAAGCTGCCCTCATGATCTAGTCACCTCCCACCAGGCCCTACCTCCAACACTGGGGATTATAATTTGACGCGAGATTTGTTCAGGGACACAGATCCAAACCATATCAGGAACATATTACATGTACTGTTTTGTAGATTGCTTTACTCCTTACAGGAAATTGTGAATATGTTTTAATTTCAGGAACTACAGATCTCCAGTGTAATTTAAAATGGCTACAACATAGCTGTTACATAGAATTCATTTGCATAGGTGCACCGTGATTTATTTATCCAACCACCAACTAAACCTTAAAGTTATTCTCAATTTTTCCTTTTATAAAAATTTCTCTGAATATGTTTGTATATAGATCTTGATGTGTTCAATTATTTTCTTGGGTTAACATCCTAGAATTGGAATTACTAGGACAAAATGTCTATAGAGTTTGAAGACTTTTAATGTATTTACCAAACTGCCTTTCAGTAAGCTGATTCTGAAACTTCTAGATTAAACCAGGGAGACTGGAAAAGGGGTAGGTGGTCAGTAGTGTCACCTGATTCTGGGCAGAAAAAAAATGGACATCCTCTAGAGAGAAGCATCTATGGATGGGAACTCCATAGATTAAGATCAAACAATTGCAGGGCCTACTATTGCTGGAAAAATTGCTGGACTGACCAAAGAGGAGGGGGCAGGCATGCCCTCCCCATTCTTGAACAGTATTGACGTGAGCTTTCCCTGAGCCAGAGGCTGCACCATCTGGAGACAGCATGCCAAATTAGGAAAATCCCTCAATTGAGTGGAGGGGTTGTCAAGGACAGTGATGAGGTCTGGCTCTGGGCCCATTTCCTTGGGTGTTCGTAGGCAGCTGCAGCTGTGGGATAGAGAAAGAAAAAAGCAGAGGACTGATAGAAAAACCCTGACTGGATGCACGAAAGCTTCTGGGGCTGGGTAAACGGGAAAGAAAAAAGCTGGAGCAGTTTTTTTGGGGGACTGGGGGACCTCTTGGAAAGTCAGTGAGGAGGGAAGAAAGCCATGAGGAAGACAATGGGCAAGAAGGTCCTGGGGATGGCGAAATTCGATTCTCCTTAGAGATCAAGGAAATTGTCCTTGCCCTCCAAATCCACAGCCTCCCAGTCCTAGAAGGTGAGTGTGACCCGGCCAGGCCTCACGCTGGCCCCATCCACCCAACCCTGGTGCCGCCCTGCAAACCAGCGCTAGCAGAGAGCCAGAGGATTCCTACCCTGGTCGTGTCTGTTTGGACTGGAGGACACGTGTGGGGCTTGGTCGTCTGCTTCATCCGCCCTCCTTTCCCGCTCCAGGGGGGTCGCTGATGCTCAAAGCAGGGAGCACACTTCTTACCGGACTTAGTTTTTGGTCTTTTGCTAAATCTTGACAGTTCATCACGACTCCCTGCTGATGGCTTCCAGAGTGGAGGGCCAAGTCTGACCGGAATGCCGTCTGAAATGGGAATGAAGGATCGAAATTGTGGGAGAAGTCTCTGCCCGCGACCCCTGTCCCCTGGCCGTAGTCCTGGTCACCCGGGAAAGGACCTCAGCTGATTGCTGAGAGGAAGATTCAGATACTGAAGGTAGCGCTGCAGCTACTCGGCTCTGCCTCTAGATGTCACCCTTGGAGTCAAAATAACAACTGGCTCCCGAGAGCTGCTCACATCACAAGGAAAGGACCCAGAATGTGCCTTGCCCCTCAGGGATTTAACAAACCCCAACTGGTGAATTAGACATATCCGAACCCCAAAATAAAGGACCTGGGGTGCAAGGGGAAGCAAATAACTGCTCACTCTCTCTCCTCCCGTGTCAGGTATGTGAGGAGAGCTGAGGTTAGAGGATGGAATGATGGTACCGCAATGAAAGTAACTGATAGAGATTCCAGGACTCTCTTTTGCCTGGACAATGAACTAGTTTGGGCAGGAGCTACCTTCCACCCGCAACAGGAACGGCTGCAACTTCTTACTGGCCCCAAGACTTCTAAAGTGCTAGGCAGCTGGGTTTCCCAGAAAATTCCTGTAAACAGCTAACATCTAAATTAAGTCAACATCAAAATGAGCATTTCCCTATCACCAAGTAATCTATAGTTGGCCCACTGAAAAGATTATTCTTATGCTCTCTCAATTAAAAAAAAAAGACATGAGAGGAGAGGGGTGCCTCTTCGCCTCAACTTGGCCGCGTGTCCCACAGTGGCATAGCTCTCGACAGGGTAGAGGAAGAACTGGGACCCACAGATTCTTGCTCACTGTGAATGTTGCCCAGCACTGCCTGTTCCTCACCCATGCCATGTGATACTGCAGAATTTACTTTAATCCATCTCACCACACTGCAGAATACCAAAAACAAACAGAAGATCATACAGACAGAGTAAGAGGAAAGTCAGATACCTAACAGGGAACCACAAATAGCAAGTAGACTTCTGACCTCAACAATGAAGATCAGGAGGGGGAGAATAGCTACAAAGTGCTGAGAGAACATATCTAACTCAAATTTTGTATGCAGAAAACCTTCCTCCAAGAATGAGAACAAAATAAATAAATTATTTAATTTGATAAATAGAAACTTAGTTTGTCACCAACAAATTTACACATAAGGAACACGTAAAAGTTAACTTCAAGAAGAAGGAAAATGATATGAAAGGGAAGGTCTAAAATCCAAGAAGCAATGGTGATGAAAGTGGTTTACAGATAAATCTAAAACATTACAAAAATGATGATAATAATAGTGATAATGTCTAATTTGAAGGATTTGAAAAGGGACAGAAGTAAAACATGGGACACAAATGACATGCAGATGGCAGGGAGCTGATAGGAGTCTAAGCATTCCAGAGACTCTCCCATAGGGGAATAGGTTAAGATACAGTATCAACTGTAGACATCAGTACACTTTTTAAAAACATATATTGCTTTATATAAATAAAATCTTACATAAACTTCATAAGGGAAAAAGAGAATGTAAATCTGAAAACTCTAGAAGTATATAAAGTAGAAAGTGGAAATCTCTCCTTATTTCTATACTTTATACTTCCCAGATGAAATATTTTGTTTACATGCATATGTGCACCCATACACACAAGCATAACCTTTTTTTTTTAAACAAAAAGATCACTCTTTATCTTGCTTTTTCACTTAGGAATAACTGTGGACACTGCTCCAATTCAATATGTTTGTATCTACCTCATTCTGTTTAACTGCTGCATAATATTTTATTGTTTGAAGCTACCATAATTTTTAAAAATTCCATTGATACGTAGTTTGGGGGTTTTATTGTTGCTACTATTATTTCATATAATGTTGCAGTTGACATTTCTCTACATATATTTGCTAGTTTGTGTAATTATTTCTATAGGATAGATTCCTAGAAATGTATCAAAAGATATATGCAACTTTTATTTTGATAGATACAAATTACCCTTCAATCCACAACCCCACAACAACATATGAGAATGCCTGTTACTCCCCACCCTCCTCAACAATGGATATTATAAATCTTTTGAAAGTTTTTCATCTGATAAGCGAAGATAATTTTTAAAACTTGTTGTTTCAAGTTGTCTTGATTGATAATTAAGGTATCTTCTTGTCTTTTTATTGGCCATTTGCTTTCTTCCCTTGTGAATTGGTTATGCATACCCTTTACTTATTTTTATTGGGTTTTAGCCTTGAGTTGATTTCTTGAGATTTTTGAAGTGTACCTGAACATATAATAAACTGTACAAATTTGAAGGGTACAGTTTGATAAACTTTGACATAATATATACCTGTGAAACCATCACCACCATCAAAATAATGAACATATCCTCACTCCAAGAAGTTTTGTCATTACTCTTCATCATTCCACCCTCTTGCATCCCAGCTTGGATCAAGGCAACCATTGATTTGCTTTTCATCACTACAGGTTAGTTTGTATTATCTAGAATATTTTTGTATTTTGTTACTGATATGTCATAGTTGTACATGTATTTGGGGTACATGCAATAGTCTGAAGCATATATACAATGTGTGTTGGTCAAGTCAGGGCAATTGGGCTACCTATCACCTCAAACATTTATCTTTTTTCTTTGTGTTGGGAACATTACAATTCTTTTCTTCTAGCTGTTTTGAAATATACAACAAATTATTGTTAACTATAATTTCACTACTGTACTATCAAATACTAGAACTTATTCCTTCTATGTAACTATATTTTTGTACCCCTTATAGAATTTTATATAAATGGAATAATGCAGTATGTAGTCTTTTTTTTGGTCTGGCTTTTTGCCATTTGCCATAATCATTTTAAGATTTATCCATGTTGCTGCTCTTAAGAGCTCTTTCTATATCATAAGTATTAGCCCTTTTTCTGTTATATATAATGCAAAGATGTTCTGGAGTTCTGTCTATATCTTAATGGATTTTGAAGTCTTTTTTATCATAAGAAATTAAATTTTAAAATTTAATAGTAATCTCTATAAGGACTCTGCTTCATGACCTGATTCATAGGTTTAGAGTCATCATCAAAAGCCTTCCTCAGGCCGGGTGCGGTGGCTCACGCCTGTAATCCCAGCACTTTGGGAGGCCGAGGCGGGCGGATCACGAGGTCAGGAGATCGAGACCATCCCAGCTAAAACGGTGAAACCCTGTCTCTACTAAAAATAAAAAAATTAGCCAGGCGTAGTGGCGGGCGCCTGTAGTCCCAGCTACTTGGGAGGCTGAGGCAGGAGAATGGCGTGAACCCGGGAGGCGGAGCTTGCAGTGAGCCGAGATCCCGCCACTGCACTCCAGCCTGGGCGACAGAGCGAGACTCCGTCTCAAAAAAAAAAAAAAAAAGCCTTCCTCATTCTACAATTAGAAAAACATTTCAGAATTTCCTAGTCCTTGTTTTTTTTTGGATTTACATTAAACTTATAGATTGACTTGGGAGAAAATTAAGACCTTTAGAATATTGACCCTTTCTGTCCAGTTACATCTTTCTCCTTTTATTCATATCTTCCTTTATGTGTTTCACTAAGATTTTACAGTTTTTTAAATATAAGTTTTGCCTATTCCTTTTTGTGAGCTTATTTATAAGGATCATAAGTTTTGGGCAGTTATTGTGAATAATATTTTCTTCCTTCTATTTCTTTTGCTGCTTTTCTAATCAGATTGCAATGTACACTCTGATTGTTGCTCTGAATTTTATAAGGATAAGCAATACATACTATGTCAACTCAATGTAGTCCTCACTTGGCACAGTTCCAATATCCACAAATTTTAGTTACCATGTTTTTTTTTAAATTTTATTATTATCATACTTTAAGTTTTAGGGTACATGTGCACAACGTGCAGGTTTGTTACATATGTATACATGTGCCATATTGGTGTGCTGCACCCATTAACTCGTCATTTAGCATTAGGTATATCTCCTAATGCTATCCCTCCCCCCACCCCCCACCCCACAACAGTCCCCGGAGTGTGATGTCCCCCTTCCTGTGTCCATGTGTTCTCATTGTTCAATTCCCACCTATGAGTGAGAACATGCGGTGTTTGGTTTTTTGTCCTTGCGATAGGTTGCTGAGAATGATGGTTTCCAGTTTCATCCATGTCCCTACAAAGGACATGAACTCATCATTTTTTATGGCTGCGTAGTATTCCATGGTGTATATGTGCCACATTTTCTTAATCCAGTCTATCGTTGTTGGACACTTAGGTTGGTTCCAAGTCTTTGCTATTGTGAATAGTGCCGCTATAAACATACGTGTGCATGTGTCTTTATAGCAGCATGATTTATAATCCTTTGGGTATATACCCAGTAACGGGATGGCTGGGTCAAATGGTATTTCTAGTTCTAGATCCCTGAGGAATTGCCACACTGACTTTCACAATGGTTGAACTAGTCTACAGTCCCACCAACAGTGTAAAAGTGTTCCTATTTCTCCACATCCTCTCCAGCACCTGTTGTTTCCTGACTTTTTAATGACTGCCATTCTAACTGGTGTGAGATGGTATCTCATTGTGGTTTTGATTTGCATTTCTCTGATGGCCAGTGATGATGAGCATTTTTTCATGTGTTTTTTGGCTGCATAAATGTCTTCTTTTGAGAAGTGTCTGTTCATATCCTTCGCCCACTTTTTGATGGGGTTGTTTGTTTTTTTCTGTAAATTTGTTTGAGTTCATTGTAGATTCTGGTATTAGCCCTTTGCCAGATGAGTAGGTTGCAAAAATTTTCTCCCATTCTGTAGGTTGCCTGTTCACTCTGATGGTAGTTTCTTTTGCTGTGCAGAAGCTCTTTAGTTTAATAAGATCCCATTTGTCAATTTTGGCTTTTGTTGCCATTGCTTTTGGTATTTTAGACATGAAGTTCTTGCCCATGCCTATGTCCTGAATGGTATTGCCTAGGTTTTCTTCTAGAGTTTTTATGGTTTTAGGTCTAACATGTAAGTCTTTAATCCATGTTGAATTAATTTTTGTATAAGGTGTAAGGAAGGGATCCAGTTTCAGCTTTCTACATATGGCTAGCCAGTTTTCCCAGCACCATTTATTAAATAGGGAATCCTTTCCCCATTTCTTGTTTTTGTCAGGTTTGTCAAAGATCAGATAGTTGTAGATATGCGGCATTATTTCTGAGGGCTCTGTTCTGTTCCATTGGTCTATACCTCTGTTTTGGTACCAGTACCATCAGAATTGGAAAAAACTACTTTAAAGTTCATATGGATCCAAAAAAGAGCCCGCATCGCCAAGTCAATCCTAAGCCAAAAGAATGAAGCTGGAGGCATCACACTACCTGACTTCAAACCAGGTTTTAGTTAGTTCAAAAAAACACAAATCTCCCAACAATTTGGTTCAAATTTTAGTTACCATGTTACGTTAGCTGTGAGTAATTGCATAAAGAGCACATTCCCTAATCAGTGCATAAAGAACAGATGAGCATCATGATCAGTGCCCAATCACAGTACTTCTTCCAAAATCTAACCATGATTGGTCACTGCATATGTTATTAAGTGCACACACAGACAGCAGAGCATGGAGTTGCATTGCCTTATTGTCTCCTAGTGATAAATCCACATGACATCTAAGAAATAGATACTCAAAAGAGGGAACTGGTCACCAACTATGAAAGTGCAGCAAAATAATGAGAAGTGATAAGGCTGACAGTGAATTTGAACCAAATTCAAGAAATCTAGACATGCAGCCAGAGGAACTCTGTGAAGGTGAACTCATCAACATAAATAAGGGAAGGATTATGAAAAGGATGATGCTGTCTCAGAGGAAATGACACTGACAAAAATCTTCCCCTTAAAGGAATTCTCAGAGATACTTCACAGCATTGAAAGCACAAAGGATGAAAGTCAATAACATGTTTATATAATAGTAATACTATAAAAATATAATTTAAAGGGAAATTGTTGCCAAAGCAACAATAAAAGCAAATAAGCTCCCATGAATAGATCTAACAAAAAATAAGCAAGAGTTTTAAGAAACCGTGGGCTCATCACTCTATACATGTATGAAAACTTAGAGCTATTTGGCCCCACCTGCAGCCACTTGGGAACAACACCTGCAAAATTTGCAGGAAGGAAGACCCTGGGGGATGGGAAGGCAAGGTGCAGAGAAGGTCTAATATGAAGCTGAATAGGTGTACCATCAGGAAAGCCCCAAATTTGTACTGCTCCTCTTTTACAATACTTTGCAACAAGATGACTATGGCCCATTAACGATGTGGAATGCTATCTGAAGGGTCTACTGGAGGCTTCTCTGTGGGCAACTTCCTGTGGCATCTTGGGAACACCTTTATGTCTGAACATCCTCGATATGCAGTTACCAAGGTTCACCCTTCATCTTTTATGCTCTCAAGGACTTAGCATTGTCTGGGTGGTGTCAGCTAGAGAGTATTGTTGCAGTTGTGGAGGACCTTATGCAAGGCACTTGTTCATGCCTGCTTACACTTGGCCGCTGTCATTCACTATCAGCTCAGCAGCAAGGAGCAGAACTCTGCTTAGGGCTTCCCCACTTTCACACCCAATCCCTGTTCCCAGTTTCCAGCCCAAGCCAGAGCCCTACCTGGTAGGGGACATAGATGAGCCAAGGCTATCAAGCAGAAACAAATATAGTTTAATGGATTTGTTTGTTTTGGCATTTTGCATTATATGAAGTCACACTCAAGCATTCCAATGCTCTGTCTCTATTCTTGTCCTACTAAATCACCTTCTGAGAGGAGATTATTCCTCATCAGGAAAAGAGGAGAGTAAAATGGAATGGTAAGAAAGAAATGTGGAGTGAAAAAAATGTAACATATAAAGAATGAAAAACATGTATCAAATTATGTGTCAGGAGTGGGAAGATAATATATTTTAAAAAGCAGCCAAGAGATAATAAAGAGACAGAGAGAGGTTGGAAAATTAATGATGGTAAATATGAATCTACATACTCATATGTACAAAATCACTTCAGTAGGGTATCTTGCTAAAATCTAACTTAATTTAAAATCTAATTTAATATGACATTGGCCCAATTTCCATGACCAGGTTAATACAAAGTTTAATCTCAGTCATATTGGAACTTTCTGGCCTCCCCTACCCCTCATACCATGAAGTATTTCAAGGGACTTAGAAAATATTATGGGTAGCACCTTTCATCTTCAGTCCATTGTCATTACCACTGATACTATTGTCCTTGCTAGACTTTTGGAGGGTTCTTCTATTTCTTTGGGCATGTGCGTTTCTGCCAAAGTTAGGTGACCATGCAGCCAACTTTCCACCCAAGTTCTGTCACCTTCCCCAATCCAACCTCAGGTCCCCACTCCCTGTGAAGCCTGCTGACCTCCAAACTCTTCTATGGCTTTAAAAATTCCACCTTTTCTCCTCTCTCTCAAAATCATACACTTCTTTCCACTACTTCCTAATATAATCCCCTTGGGATCTCAGGCTTTTGGAAAACAAATGACACAGAGGGAAAGTAGTTTATGTAGAAGTCAAAGAACATAAGAGGTCTGACTACCTTCTTGGAACTGAGGGATTGGGAAAAACTCTGAGGAAAAAAATACAAATTTATATCTCAACAAATTATCCTTTTGCATAAAGTCAAAGGAACCTTGCATAGCCTCAGCCAGCTTCAGCACCTTGATTAGGCCCCAGATGGATCACACAGGAATGGGTACTTGCACTTCCTGGACTCAAGAACAGCGCTGTATGAGTGAAGACCCCTGTCCAAAGACTCCTGATTCACAGTGTCAGCAATGCAATAAACTCAGCAGGGGATTGGCCAACTCTGGATAAATAACCACACACTACAATTTGCACTCACCAAAACCCCACTATTAGCTACAGTTTATAATAGTTCAAAAATCCAGTGAACTCTGAAACTGAAGAATGTTGGTGGAAGAGTACTTTGATCTTACTGGTTCATGCACAGGGCAACTGTTCCAGATAGACTCCTCAAGTCACCTGTTTCCAACCACAGAGAAATATAACATCAGAGAAGACAAGCAGGATAATCACTCTTGAGGTTGATTAACCTGGAAGTTTGACCTCTCCTGAGGGCAGACAGGGAGCAGTGAATTCTGGGGAGAGCTAGCATGTGGTTAGGGCTCCCTGGCTCTCTATCTGGCATGTAAGTCTGCTGGCCATGGAAGCAATAAATACAGGACCACATTAACTTCCTGTTGGCTGGGCTCTATCCACACATTGGGAAAAAAGGGAAGCTGAGGCTTCTATGTCCTTGAGATGGAGGTGAGGGGTAGGAAGAGAGGGAAGCTGCTAATAAGCTGCTGTGACCCAGCCTACAGCTTATTAGCAGAAAGGGAGATTTCAGTTTATTCTGAAAGGCAACTCCATGTTTTGTAGCTTACCGAGAGGTTTTACCAGGAAGAGACCACATGCTTAGTAGATCTCAGTCATACATGAAAAACATGATGAAGGCAAGGAAGAGAAAGCAG
Organism: Homo sapiens; assembly: GCF_000001405.40. Taxonomy (NCBI): domain Eukaryota; kingdom Metazoa; phylum Chordata; class Mammalia; order Primates; family Hominidae; genus Homo; species Homo sapiens. The sequence goes on from NC_000007.14 coordinate 104,239,884, forward strand.
TGAAGAAAATGAAATCAGAAATGGTCAATTTCTTTTTATAAGAAGACCCAGAACTAATATTCAAACAGGGAATGCTCTAGGAAGTGAAACTGCGAACAAGAATCCGAGAAAACTAAGAAGAAAGGTTCATATGTGGGCCTATTTGCAGCTATTTCACAGTGGGAAAAGATACCTGGGGGTTATTTTCACAGTTTGAGGAAGCTCCATAATGTGAACATTTTCTTTTATAAGAAAGCATTAACGTAAGTTGGTTCAAATGCTTTGGTGCTCAAGGGAGATATAAATAAGTAACTAAGCAAATATAATTTAAAGTTATCTACCACAACATATATAAAACATATTTATCTTGGAGATGTTCAGCATATTTCCTATATGATACTATTTCTGTGAGCTTTAAGGAACTCACCACAGGATTTGACTGGCTTAGAATCTTTCTTCACCATTTGCAACCTGGAAATCTATCTGTCCTGTAGAGATCCTTGTTAGCTATATGCATTAGAGTAATGCTTGCTCCATAATGCATATTGTCATGAAGCAGGCTGAGAAGGAGGTATAATTCTCACAAGCTGATGTATTCAACAGATCAGGGTAAGGTTCAGGCAAAGTTCCCATTTTCCTATCTAGGTCGTAGATGCGGCAGGGCGGGCTTCTACCCCTGTGCCTTCCCGGAGAACCACTGGCAGGTTTCCAGCAGAAGCTATAGAAGAGGCCCTTGACCTACTTTCACATGCTGCTGGGCTCGCATTTGACATGACTTCCAGCATCTTGCTAATTGTCTTTACTCCCAGCTTCTGACTGTTTTCTCACTTTTTCTTGGCTGCCTCCTGGGATTACCTTCTGTTCACCCTTGGTTTGTGTTTTACTCTCTGGCTTTGGAATATCATCCATTTTACTTGCTTGCCTGGTTCTCATCCCAGATCATCTCTGACTAGATTCAATATATCTTGTCCCCTCACCCGTTTTCTGAGAGAGGCTGTGTTATTTTTTCCTCTCATTTGCCTCTTTCTTCTATGCCACACTCTCTTTCCCAGCCTCTCCTTTATTATTTACACATTTAGAAACTAGAAACTGCCAGACATGTCATTTAAATTCTGCGTAATGCCTATCTATGTTACTGGGAATTATTAATTTCTCATTGAATATTTGTCATAGTGAATATGAATCAAACTAATTTTCAAGCTACTCAATTAATTGTGATCATAAAAGTAGTTTGGTGAGTCAGGATTTTTTACAAAATGAAGTAGAATGTGATAGAATGGAAAATGCCAGAGTACATAGTAAAACAGAGTATTGTAGAGTATTTGTGAAACTTGTGTTTCACAAAAGTTGGGGATCATAGAGTTATTTTTTAATACTGTAGGTCATGGTTAAAAAATTTGAAAGCCATGAATTAGACTGAAGGGTGGGTTAGATAAATACAGTTTACCCCACCCACCCAGGCCTTGTCATTGGGCAGCTCTATGCTCTGGTCATAGTGATTGGCCGAGGAAGACACACGTGACATAAGCCAATCCGGAGTCCTCTCTGAGACTGTTTTTTTTTTTTTTTTTCTTGAGTATCAGGAACAACCTTTTCTTTTCACTGGAGTGACTAAATTGATAAAACATGAGTTTAAGGTTACTGATGGACATATTGGAGAAACTGGGAGGCAGAGACAGTGCCCCTTGTCCCAGTGTATCCCTGGACTTTTCATTACGTAAGGCAATGCATTCCCGTTTTGGCTTAAGATAGTTTAAGTTGGATTTTTGCCCTTTGCAACAAAAAAATCCTGGGCAACTTAAAAGAACATGATGAGGAGTGAGAATAGCTGGATTTAGGCTTGCCAGTGTCACATACTAAATATATGACTCTTGGAAAATCTCAAAGGCTCTATAGCTCTCAATTTGCTTCTCAACTGAAATAAGAGGAGTGCATCAAATTGGTGACTCACAGTGCTTGTTGGTCATCAGAATTCCCTGTGGAGCTTTAAAAAATACAGATATCTTAGCTCCATATTAGGTTTTCTGAATCAAAACCTGGTGGAGTGTGGTCCAGGCAGGTACTTGCAATTTTTTAAATGACCTTAGATGATTCCGACGTACAACCAAGGTAGGTAAGTGCTGAACTAGGTCATCTCTCTAAGATGTTTATACCCCTAATACTCAGTGCCTTGTGATTCCTCAGAGGTCACACAGTCTGATTGAATTTTCAGCTGTTGGTATAGTGACAAATACAGAATTTGGACTCACTCTATTTTTGTTCAGTGGCCTAGGATGAATGATGTAATGTAAATGGGAATAATGACTAATAAATAAATGCTATCACAATTCCTAATTAGCCTTATAGACAAGCAGCAATCACCACTGCATCAATTAAGTGTTCTTAGTGCAGACACTCACAGGACGGTCTAGCATCATAACAAACTCTTTTAGTCTTTTGAGAAGTAGGGGGTTCAAGGGGAGGAGTGTTAAAGAAAAAAAAAGTGCAAGAAAGTGGGATGATTAAATTTGCTTTGTGTCATTACAAATATTTCTAGTATCCAGAAGTGTCACATTTCAGTTCTTTCCTGTGTCACAGCACGAATGTAAATTAGAAATGTTAGACAAGCGATAATACAATGGCCTCAGTGATCTTTCTTAAGTAATTTTCTCTTGCCCAAAGCTTTCATTCTGTATAGAAATGGCATATTTCTGTCATTAATAAAAAACACATGGAGATAAGTCTCACTACCCCTCCAGATTCGTGTCTATTTTCCTCTTTAACATGCTTCAAGATAATTTATTCATCTATTCATTGTTTTTCACAGGCACACTAACAAGACGAGCAGACTTGAAATGCTTTGTCTAGGAGAGTGGTGTCTTGGTACATTTTCGTTATGCTCCTCTCACTCCTACTCTTTGGAGGAAAATACAGTGAGTTATGGGATAGCTGCAGGGATGTATACACATCCTTCAAGTGCACATATTCATCATTTTCACATTCTGGGGGCTCCAGGGCAGTGGCCACAGAGGAGAGAAGGATGTGTAGTGTGTGTTCTTGAATGATTGCTGAAGACCTTTGGGGAGGGGAAGGAAGATGGATGAGGACCGCCAAGTAGGTAGAATGGGGGAAGTAAAATAGGATACATTTTTGCACCTAAGGAAATAACTATTTTTGAAATGTTAGAGTAGCCTGTCAGCCTTGACAATTTTTTTTCCAGGTTTTGAGGAAACCAGGTTGAGTAATTACAGGCAGTGACTGTCATTGTCAAGATAGTTCTGTAATTAGAGAAACACAAAATATGTCTCATTTAGAGGCACCTCAAATAGAGCCACTGGGTCAGCCATCAGTTGGAAAAGGTTAATAAAGTCAGAATGGCCAGGCGATGGTGACGCTGAGGACTGTAGCAAAGGTCCGTCATAGGAGAGGATGTTCCTTCCTCCTTAAAGCATGGGCTTTCCTTTGAAGCCAATTTGGAAGGAGCAGTCTGGAAGGAGAAATGGATCTGAATTGAACTCTGCAGTAAAATTAAAGGGAGGGGCAGGCAGGAAAAGCCTCATCAAGTTCCTAGGCATTCACTGGTCAGGGTTTTTAAACCCTAGTTGCTTTCTTAAGTTAATGGAGTAAAAAATACTTCAGGGGGAGGAGCAAGATTCTTTCTTTAGACTCGTGATATAGTTAGAATCCATTTTTGCCCATGTATAAATCTTACGAAATGCTTTAAGCTGGGTAGCTCACAGTCTAAGCAATCAATATTTTAATAAGCCTGGAGTCAAAATCTTAACTACCTCACAATTTGGAAATAAACAAGGAGCCTTTACCCATGAAAGCATGTAGAAAGCAAAGCATGTAGAAAGCCAGCATACATGAATTAAGGTGCGAGTTGGAGGATATCATCATCATTTATTTAATGAATATGATAAGCAGTTGGATGCAGCTGCCTTCAGGCATCTAGTATAGATTTATGGTTGCCCAAGTAGACATCCTGAATTCTAATAAAGGCAGCTGATCAGAATAACTGATTGCACAGACAGTCATGTTATGTGTGGTTTTCATTTTGCTTTTAAATTTAGAAATGTCTCCCTTGTTCTTATCACACTGATAATAAGTGCTTAAGAAATGAACATATCTTTAGCTTTTAATGGAATTACACACCTAAAATGATTTTCAGAATATAAGAAAAATCCAAGAATTTTAAATTCTCTATAAAGCCAGGTAATGTAGTCTCCTTTTCTCCTTTCCCTCTTCCCTTTCTCCCCTCTCCTTTCTTTGCATTTTATATTTAGGATGTGAAATCTCTCTAAGCAAAATATGAGAACTATGTGAAAATTATGCTAAAATGGACTTTTGTTCAAGAAAGCTTTATTCATCAGCCCCCAATGGATGTGATCTTTAACTACTAACACCGTATCTTACTCTGGATATAAGAATAATATTAAAAGTCAGGCTTAAAAAGGAAACGAAAGTATTAAGATTTCAATTGACTAAACCAAAGGTGTTTGCCCACATACCTAACTTTTTCCTTCTTATTTAATATTCAATGTAACAATGTCCACTTTTTTTTTTATTATACTGTAAGTTCTGGGATACATGTGCTAACATGCAGGTTTGTTACATAGGTATATATGTGCCCTGGTGGTTTGCTGCACCCATCAACCCATCCTCTAGGTTTTAAGCCCCACATGCATTAGGTATTTGTCCTAACGCTCTCCTTTCCCTTGCCCCCACCCCCCAAGAGGCCCCGGTGTGTGATGTCCCCCTCCCTGTGTCCATATGCTCTCATTGTTCAACTCCCACTTATGAGTGAGAACATGCGGCGTTGAGGTGTTTGGCTTTCTGTTCCTGTGTTAGTTTGCTGAGAATGATGGTTTCCAGCTTCATCCATGTCCCTGCAAAGGACATGAACACATTCTTTTTTATGGCTGCATAGTATTCCATGGTGTATATGTGCCACATTTTCTTTATCCAGTCTATCATTGGTGAGCATTCGGGTTGGTTCCAAGTCTTTGCTACTGTGAATAGTGCTGTAATAAACATATATGTGCATGTGTCTTTATAGTAGAATGATTTATAATCCTTGTGGTATATACCCAGTAATGGGATTGCTGGGTCAAATGGTATTTCTGGTTATAGATCCTTGAGGAATCACCACACAGTCTTCCACAATGGTTGAACTAATTTACACTCTCCCCAACAGTGTAAAAGCATTCTATTTCTCCACATCCTCTCTAACATCTGTTGTTTCCTTACTTTTTAATGATTGCCATTCTAACTGGTGTGAGATGGTATCTCATTGTGGTTTTGATTTGCATTTCTCTGATGACCAGTGATGATGAGCTTTTTTTCATATATTTGTTGGCCGCATAAATTTCTCCTTTTGAGAGTGTCTGTTCACATTATTCACCTACTTTTTGGTGGGGGTGTTTGTCGTATTCTTGTAAATTTGTTTAAGTTCCTTGTAGATTCTGGATATTAGCCCTTTGTCAGATGGGTAGATTGCAAAAATGTTCTCCCATTCTGTAGGTTGCCTATTCACTCTGATAATAGTTTCTTTTGCTATGTAGAAGCTCTTTAGTGTACTTGGATCTGATTTGTCAATTTTGGCTTTTGTTGCAATTGCTTTTGATGTTTTAGTCATGAAGTCTTTGCCCATGCCTATGTCCTGAATGGTATTGCCTAGGATTTTTTCTAGGGTTTTTATGATTTAAGGGTTTACATTTAAGTCTTTACTCCATCTTGAGTTAATTTTTTATATAAGGTGTAAGGAAGGGGTCCAGTTTCAGTTTTCTGCATATGACTAGCCAGTTTTCCCAGCACCATTTATTAAATAGGGCATCCTTTCCCCATTGCTTGTTTTTATCAGGTTTGTTGAAGATCAGATGGTTGTAGATGTGTGGTGTTATTTCTGAGGCCTCTGTTTTGTTGCATTGGTCTATATATCTGTTTTGGTACCAGTATTACACACTATTGGTTACTGTAGCCTTATACGATAGTTTGAAGTCAGGTAGCATGATTCTTCCAGCTTTGTTCTTTTTGCTTGGGATTGTCTTGGCTATACAGGCTCTCTTTTGGTTCCATATGAAATTTAAAGTAGTTTTTTCTAGTTCTGTGAAGAAAGTCAATGGTAGCTTGATGGGAATAGCATTGAATCTATAACTTACTTTGGGCAGTATGGCCATTTTCACAATATTGATTCTTCCTATCCATGAGCATGGAATGTTTTTCCATTTGTTTGTGTCCTCTGGTATTTCCTTGAGCAGCAGTTTCTAGTTCTCCTTGAAGAGCTCCTTCACGTCCCTTGTAAGTTGTATTCCTACGTATTTTATTTTCGTTGTAGCAATTGTGAAAGGGAGTTCACTCATGATTTGGCTCTCTGTTTGTCTATTATTGGTGTATAGGAATGCTTGTGATTTTGCACATCAATTTTGTATCCTGAGACTTTGGTGAAGCTGCATATCAGCTTAGGGAGTTTTGGGGCTGAGACGATGAGGTCTTCTAAATATACAATCATGTCAACTGCAATCAGAGATGATTTGACTTCCTCTCTTCCTATTCCCTTAATTTCTTTCTCTTGCCTGATTGCCCTGGCCAGAACTGCCAATACTATGTTGAATAGGAATGGTGAGAGAGGGCATCCTTGTCTTGTGCTGGTTTTCAAAGGGAATGATTCCAGTTTTTTCCCATTCAGTATGATATTTGCTATGGGTTTGTCATAAATAGCTCTCTTTTTTTGAGATATGTTCCATCAATACCTAGTTTATTGAGTGTTTTTAGCATGAAGGGGTGTTGAATTTTGTCAAAGGCCTTTTCTGCATCTATTGAGATAATCATGTGATTTTTGTCATTGGTTCTGTTTATGCGATGGATTAAGTTTATTGATTTGCATATGTTGAACCAGCCTTGCATCCCAGGGATGAAACTGACTTGATCATGGTGGATAAGCTTTTGATGTGCTGCTGGATTCAGCTTGCCAGTATTTTATTGAGGATTTTTGCATTGATGTTCATCAGGAATATTGGCCTTAAATTCTCTTTTTTTGTTGTGTCTCTGCCAGGTGTTGGTATCAGGCTGATGCTGGCCTCATAAAATGAGTTAGGGAGGAGTCCCTCTCTTTCTATTGCTTTGAATAGTTTCAGAAGGAATGGTACTAGCTCCTCTTTCTACCTCTGGTAGAATTCTGCTGTGATCCCGTCTGGTCCTGGGCTTTTCTTGGTTGGTAGGCTATTAATTACTGCCTCAATTTCAGAACTTGTTATTGGTCTATTCAGGGATTTGACTTCTTCCTGGTTTAGTCTTGGGAGGGTATATATGTCCAGGAATTTATACATTTCTTCTAGATTTTCTAGTTTAGTTTCATAGAGATGTTGACGGTATTCTCTAATAGTAGTTTGTATTTCTGTGGGATTGGTGGTGATATCCCCTTTATCATTTTTTTATTGTGTCTATTTAATTCTTCTCTCTTTTCTTCTTTGTTAGTCTTGCTAGTGGTCTATTTTGTTGATCTTTTCAAAAACCCAGCTCCTGGATTCATTGATGTTTTGAAGGGCTTTTTGTGTCTCTATCTCCTTCAGTTCTGCTCTGATCTTAGTTATTTCTTGTCTCCTGCTAGCTTTTCAATTTATTTGCTCTTGCTTCTCTAGTTCTTTTAATTGTGATGTGAGGGTGTCAATTTTAGATCTTTCCTGCTTTCTGATGTGGGTACTTAGTGTTATAAATTTCCCTCTTAACACTGATTTAGCTGTGTCCCAGAGATTCTGGTACATTGTGTCTTTGTTCTTAGTGGTTTTAAAGAACTTATTTATTGCTGCCTTAATTTTGTTATTTACTCAGTAGTGATTCAGAATCATGTTGTTCAGTTTCCATGTAGTTGTGCAGTTTTGAGTGAGTTTCTTGATACTGAGTTCTAATTTGATTGCACTGTGGTCTGGGAGATTGTTACGATTTCCATTCTTTTGCGTTTGCTGAGGAGTGTTTTACTTCCAATTATGTGGTCGGTTTTAGAATAAGTGCTATGTGGTGCTGAGAAGAATGTATATTCTGTTCATTTGGAGTGGAGAGTTCTGTAAATGTCTATTAGGTCTGCTTGGTCCATAGCTGAGTTCAAGTGCTGAGTATCCTTGTTAATTTTCTGTCTCATTGATCTGTCTAATATTGATAGTGGGGTCTTAAAGTCTCCCACTATTATTGTGTGGGAGTCTAAGTCTCTTTTAGGTCTCTAAGAACTTGCTTTATGAATCTGGGTGCTCCTGTATTGGGTGCATAAGTATTTAGCATAGTTAGCTCCTCTTGTTGCATTGATCCCTTTACCATTATGTAATGTCCTTCTTTGTCTTTTTTGATCTTTGTTGGTTTAAAGTCTGTTTTATCAGAGACTAGGATTGCAACCCCTGCTTTTTTTTTCTTTCTATTTGTTTGGCAAATATTCCCCCATCCCTTTATTTTGAGCCTATCACTAAGATACTCCTTGAGAAGAGTAACCCCAAGACACATGATCATCAGTTTCTCCAAGGTTGAAATGAAGGAAAAAATGTTAAGAGCAGCCAGAGAGAAAGGTCAAGTTACCTACAAAAGGAAGCCACTCAGACTAACAGTGGATCTCTCTGCAGAACCCCAGCAAGCCAGAAGACAGTGGGGTGCCAATATTCAACATTCTTAAAGAAAAGAATTTTCAACCTAGAATTTCATATCCAGCCAAACTAAGCTTCGTAAGTGAAAGAAATAAGATCCTTTACAGACAAGCAAATGCTGAGGGATTTTGTCACCACCAGGCCTGCCTTTGTCACCACCAGGTCTTCCTGAAGGAAGCACTGAATATGGAAAGGAAAAACTGGTATTGGCCACAGCAAAAACATACCAAAATATAAAGACCAATGATGCTATGAAGAGACTGCATCAACTAATGTGCATAACCAGCTAGCATCATGATGATAGGATCAAATTCATACATAACAATATTAACCTTAAATGTAAATGGGCTAGGCTAGGTGTGGTGGCTCATGCCTGTAATCCCAGCACTTTGGGAGGCCGAGGTGGGCGGATCACCTGAGGTTGGGAGTTCGAGACCAGCCTGACCAACATGGAGAAACCCTTTCTCTACTAAAAATACAAAATTAGCTGAGCATGGTGGCATATGCCTGTAATCCCAGCTACTCAGGAGGCTGAGGCAGGAGAGTTGCTTGAACCCAGGAGCCACAGGTTGTGGTGAGCCAAGATCATACCATTCCACTCCAGCCTGGGCAACAAGAGAGAAACTCCGTCTCAAAAAAAAAAATTTTTTTTAATGGGCTAAATGCCCCAATTAAAAGACACAAACTGGCAAATTGGATAAAGAGTCAAGACCCACTGGTATGCTGTATTCAGGAGACCCATCTCATGTGCAATGCCCACTTTTAATTCTGTGCTTGAGCCAATGGTATCATAGTCAGTGTTCAACTCTACCCACAGATTGTGCTAACTGCTAGTAGGTGCAGGGCTAGCTAGCTGAACATTACTGATGGTAAAACGATAATTATGGTTGTGTGTGTGTGTGTGTGTGTGTGTGTGTGTTTTAAGTACCTGTAGTTTAAACCATTGTGGCCTAATGAGGTGGCTAAAAGTTAACATTTTTGTTTGAAACAATAAAGAAGGGAAGTAAAATCCTGTTCTTTAAAATTACGATTTTGTATTTGAGAGGTCCTGGGCATAGAACACCATCAGGCATGTTCCATCTCTGTGAATTGACCTCTCACCCAGAAGCTGGGAAATTATCTCTATAGAAATTATATAAATATAATTTCCAGATTCTCCTACCTTCAAACATGTTGGAACTATTCTTTCATTCCTCAAATATTCATTAAGATACTGGAGTAGAGATGCTAAAGAAATTAAGATGAAGGAAACATGGCTCTACCATCAAGAAGCCCACAGTTTAGCCAAGAAGAAGGATATTTACAAATACATGTGTGTTAAGTTCAGACATGGAAATATGTCTAAATGTTAGGAGAGTCTAACTCTACTAAAGAGAGTCAAAGGAAAGCTTAAGAAAGAATTTGATTTGGGTTTCAGTTTGAGTTAAGTCGTGAAGGATGATTTCATTTGAGTTTCAGTCATGAGGGATGATTAGAAGTCTTGCAGGCAGACAAGAGTGTTCCAGAAAAGTGAAGTGTATGCAAGGACATAAAATGTTTGAGAGCAGCAAGTACATAGTTTAATTTGGCTAGAACACAGATTGAAGGATTAGAGGTTAACCAAATAGGAGATGAGAAAGATAGTTGGAGGTCAGATGAAGTTTGCATTTTATCCAAATGACCAGTGATTCCTAGCCTCAGTAAATGCACACAAATCATATTGCAAAAAAATTCAACATGATTCAGACTCTTTCCCTACCCTCTACCAAAGTTTTCAGGTTAAGAACCACTGAACTGCTAAAGGCAGTGGGGATCACTGAAGTATTATATTTTAAGCCAGAGGCTGATACAATAAAACTAATGTTTTAGAAAGACCGCTCTTATAGCAGTGTGGAGATTGTTACTTATCACCTCTGATGTGCCAGGTTTGAAGAGAGACAGATGAGAGGCCAAGAGACCCATTAGTGTCTCACCCAGCTCAGTTTCTTTAAAATCTGGCTCTCATTCCCATAGGTGATTAAAACATACATAAAGAAACATGTCAGTGTATGAGTGGCATGTGTGTTGTCACTGGTTTCCAGCCCAGCCTCTCTCACCTGTCACACCAATTGACTTTCTTCCTGACCTATGACCTTTTGACTCACTGCCTGGATCTTGATTAAAATCCCTCATTTGACAGGAAATATCACATATTAATAATTTGCTACAAAATCTCTTTTGGTACAGCCTCAAGACCTCTCACATCAATGTATGCTTCTCACAGGCTGCTGATAGCAGATTTTCTCTAGTTCCATGGGCTAGTTTCAGAAAGTAGGTAAGCCAATGTCATCTCTCGGTGAGAGCTGACGAAAGACTAAACAAAGATAGGGGTCTTGGAGATAAAGATCTGTCACAAGTAGAATTAATAGGACTTGGATACCAATTGGATGCAGAGGATGAAGATGGAAATGATGAGGGATTGACAGCTCTCAGGTTTCTAACTTAAGAGACTGAGATGCTTGACAAAAAGGTAAAGAGGAAAAGGAAAGCAAGTTAACTCAAAGAGAAATCAGTTTGTTTTGGGTCTGCTGCTGATGTTGAACCTTCTTCAATTTACCCAGGTTCAGTAGGGCATATTCTGCCTATTAAATGTTGATGAATCCTGGGGTTTGATTCTTGCTTGCCTTTTCTTACTCTTGCCTGCAGACTCTGCATAATCTCATCCATTCTCCTGGCTTCAACCACCACCTGCTAGTCTCTCTGCCTCCATTCTCTCCTCTTTTCAGCTGGATACTCAATGAATATTCATTGAATGAATAAATTAATTATGGTCGGGTGACTCCATCTTCCATAATGCCTCCAGAGTTCTTTTTCTTAATTTTTTTTTCTGATATGGGGTCTCTCTATGTTGTCCAGGCTAATCTCAAACTCCTGAGCTCAAGCAATCCTCCCATGTCAGCCTCTGCCACCATGCCTGGCTAATAGTTCTTTTTCTAAAATATGAACACAAGTCACTCTGGAGTTAAGATCCATTAATGTAGAATCAATAAATAAAGCCATGGCAATAGAAGAGTTTGCCCAGGGAGAATACATGGCTAGATAAGTAAATATAATAGAGAAAAGAACAGAATTACACAGAGGACAATGAACCAGGGGAAGTTACTGAGGAAGAATGAAGAGGGAGGCAGGAATAAAACCAGAAGATCCTTGTATCTTGGAAGTTAAGCAAGAAAATGTTTTGGCCAGGAGGGCCCATGAGTGAAGTCGCCATGGTGACAGTCCCATGGATGCCCAGCAACATGGATATCCGCGTATCAAAACTGATCTAGTTATAGCCATTGGTAAATATCCAACCAGCTATTAATAGAAACCAACACTGAGCTCCCAATATGTTATCATCACCTCAAAAGGCTGTTGATCACTTGGTAATAAGTTGACCACATTGGACCTCTTACACTCTGGAAGAGCCAGCAATACTTTCTGACAACAATAGATAAATATTCTGGGATAGATTTGCCTTTCTACCCCCAAGGCCTCCATCAGCATCACTATCCAAAGGCTTACAGAATGTTTCATCCATAGACTGAGGATCCCACATAATGTCGTTTCAAATCAAGGCACTCACTTTATAGAAGGGGAGGAGTGGGCATACACCTATGACTACCTAATTTACTATTCCTGTCATACGGGATCACCCAAGAGTGAGTAGCCTGATAGAGCTTTGGAACATCCAGTTAAAGGCATAGCTGACATGTAAGCTCGGAGACAATACTTGACAACGATGGGAGGATCAATATACACTCTAAGTTAAAAAAGTTAATAAGGTGCTATGTACCCAGTAGGAAGAATAAATGGGCCCAGGAAGCAAAGTGTGCAAGCAGGAGTGGCTGTGCTTGCCATCACTCCCAAGTAATTGGTGCTTCCCATCCCTGCAGCTCTGATCTCTGCAGGTTTAGAGGTTCTGAGTCTAAAAGGGAGGATATGTCTCCCAGGGAATGAAGCAAAAATTCCTTTGAATTATAAGCTGACTGCCACCTGGGCACTTCAAGCTCCTTGTGCCAAGGGACCTGCAGGTAAGAAGGAGACACACCATCCTGGAAGCAGCCATTGATCCTAGTCATCAAGAAGAAGGAGCAGTGAAGAATATGTTTGACAACTTTGGTGGCCCTCTGGTGGATGGAAAAGTACAGTAACCTTGTTCGGAGTGATATGACAGACCAGCAGAGGTGCTGGCCAAGGATGAGGGGAATCTAGAATGGATAGTGGGGGAGGGTGATGGTGAGTATCAGTTGCAGCCTTGAGACTGGCTGGAGTAGCAGGGGCACAATTCACTCCCTTGACCTTCTCTGCTAAGTTGCCCCATGGAAAGTAATCCACTAGAATCTTAGAAGACCTGCTACGAAGTGGATCAAGATACATACGAAGTGGATCAAGCAGCACAAACTGTTCACTAGAGTAAACTCTGTGAGGCACTGCCCAGATTCCTCTTCAATGAAGGATTTGTTGTCCTGGTTGCCAGGAGTGCTGTTTGCAAACAACCTTCAGCTCTCAGCCCCTTCAGGGATTGCCTCGGCTTTTCAGAGTGACTTTGCTTAAAGTCATGCCCCTTCTCAGGACAGTTTACATGTAGTAATTGATTGACATGGGAGTATAAAAGCTTGGGCATCATGGCCCACCTCAGGGTAAATTTGAAGGTCTATTCTAGCTCCAGCATTCCCCTCATGGTCAGCCAAGGGTGACGTCAGGCTTGCGCCCCAGCTTCACTTCTCCCCCTTTCCAATCTGGTGTTCTTTCTCTCCTTTCCACAAGTATTAATCTTAAGGATTCATTTTAATAAGGATCCTGCATGCTAAACTCAGATTCTGCTCCCCAGGGAGCCCAAGTTGTGACACTTCCCTAATGCCTAATGACATCATTATTCCCGGGTGAGGATCCTCTTCACCCCACTGCTTATCTCATGTTCAAGGTTGAGATCAGTATCCTCCTTAGGGTTCTTAAGCTCTTGGTTTCAGCTCATGGGGTCCTTTAGTCATAGGATCTTCTCTGAGCGGAGATCCATCTGGCTTGGCACCTTCTCTCAGCCAATCTCAAACAACTACATTTACCCTTGCATTACTGTGATTAAAAAGTAGAGCCTTGGAAGCCAGATGTGGTGGTTTGTGTTTTTTATCCTAGTTACTCAGGAGGCTGAAGTAGGAGGATTGCTTGAGGCCAGGAGTTCAAGATCAGTGTGGGCAATGTAGCAAGACCCCATCTTGGAAAAAGTGAAAAAAAATAGGTGGGCGTGTTGGTGTGTGCCTGTAGTCCCAGTTATTTGGGAGGCTGAGGCAGGAGGATCACTTGAACCTAGCAGGTCCAGGCACTCCAGCCTGGGCAACAGAGCAACACCTCTTTAAAAAGACAAAAACAAAAAGTAGAGCCTTGAAATACCCTATCAATTTGTCCAGAAGTGACACAGTAGAATACACAGAAAGGGAAATTCAATTCAGTTAATGTTTATCAAACATTGTAGGAGGGTGGATGTTAAGGAGTAGGACATGGAAATGCAAGAAAAAAAAAAGAATCTAAAAAGTATGAAAATAAGTGGCCAAGTAGAAATTAGGCTTCATGCCATTAAAGAGAAAATAAAAATACTAAAACACCGAAGGCTGAGCACCAAATGGACACAGGGAAACATCCAGGACAGTCTAGACTTGAGGGAATGAGGTTCAGGGAAGAGAAATGGAATAGGTCTTTTAAAGACAAACTGTGAACTGTGTCTGTCCCATACTAGGAAAGCAAAGCCTCTGAGTGTTGCTGATTGACAAGCAATGTCTGAAATTGTTGGATAAACAAGTACTAGACTAGCTGGAGGTGGTCTACAGCATGTGTGGGATGCCTGATATAGGCTTATGACATTGGCTGCCTCTGGTGCTGACATGAGAGATACCTGCCTTGAGATTATGGTGTTCAGCTGACCTCTGCTTTGTATGCAAAGTGCTTGAGTTGGGATTATGCCACCCAATCTGGTCTGTACTGCTGTTGTACCAGGTGTTTCAGGGTTTATCGGCTTTCAATCTTTCGCTTTCCTGGAACTTTACACCTGCAACTCCCTCACCAAGGCCTTGATGGGAATACAGACCGTCAGCACTCTATGCCTAGATCATTGATCTAGATCCCTCTTAGCTTCCAGACTCTAACTTCTTTCTGCCTTAATTCTCATTACATTGAGTCTGTCCCTCCCTTACAGGCCCTTGCTTGTTTTTCAAATTGAATTAAAATTCCAGCTCCAAGGATTCACCCCATCCTCCCATGGAAAGCTCCTGCTACATTCTTGCCTGTGCATGTGCTTTCTTCCATTAGGCTGTCCTTTGTACCCTCAGGCTCTCCCTCTCTGAATCTGGGCCAATTCCACTTCCCACTTGCAATGGCCTCCCCACTTTTCTCACCATTTGTAATTGTAATTTATTATTTTAATGTTGAAAGGTGGGCTTATTGTGATTTTATGGAAGTTCAGCATAGGAATGGAGTGACTCAAAGGGTAATTGACCCAAGCATGGCTTATTTATCTGAAAGATGGCCTCATCACTTTGGAAAGGACACACATTCTGTGGTAAGAAAGGAAGGGATGACTTCACCTGAACCAGGGTCTGGAAGCTACAGCTTGTTCGTCTAATCAAGGCTGTTGCCTGTTTTTGTCAACGAAGCTTTATTTGAACACAATTGTGCTCATACATTTACATATTGTTTATGGTTACTTTCATGCTACAATGACAGTAGTGAGTAATTACAACAGAGACCATATGGGCCAGAAAGCCTAAAATTAAAATTCGGTATCTAGCCCTTTACAGAAAATGTTTGCCAAACCCTGACCTAGAGCTTTCTTGTTTATTTCGGCCTGCCTGGTCTCCTCCATTAGACTGCAGCCTGCTTGAGAACGTGTCCATATTTCCCCCAGTGCAACTTGTAATGCACTCCATACAGTGAGAGCATTGGATTCCTGATTGAATGACAGGCATTCATCCAAGAAACATTTTTAAGTGCACCAGATGAGCAGCAAAACCTAGAGATTATTTATATTTTATGTGGTGAAAAGGCTATTTCTATGCCGTTTCTTCTCAATACATTGATTTTTTTCTTTGTTTTACTCCACAAGGTCATTTTAATGTAATTTTTAAAAAAACCTTCAAAGTATGTTGAGATTTTTAAGGAGACATAGTCTCTTTGAGGAAAGGGACTATCTAGTTCACTGTTGCAGCCTCCATCCTACTACAGTGCTTGGCACAGAGATGCTCAACAGACATTAGTCAAATGAATTATGAATAAATGAGCTTCCTTTTCTGGTTGCAAATAATTTTATTTAAAATATGTTGTTTGAAAACATATGTACACTTGAATTTCACAATGTTCATAGCTCCATGGTTAATTAAATAACACCCCGGCGTATGTTTGTGTGGATGATGCCAACGGATTTGCAGGGAGATGATCTAAAAAGCAAGCATTGATAAAAGGAGCCCATTAGGCCAATTCTGTATATTGCGAAGAACCCCTCCCACTCCAGAACAAATAATAGTATTATGATTAAGATGAATATAAGCAGTCTCCGTTTAAAAAACAGGTAGTGTTTCAGAATTGTGTTTGTATGGCAAGACTTTGACCTACATTTCCTTACATAAACATTCTCAGAAGGAATGGCTAGATTCTACTCCAAAGAAATTATTGTGGGGAAAGGGCTTTGTTTGGAAGAAAAGGAATCTGGGTTCAATGATTCCTGGCTGTCATTAATCAGCTGACTTGGACAAGTCACTCTCTGTGGCAGTTTCTGATCTTTGCTTATTTAATCTGTTAAATGAGAGAAAAGCGACACAGGGACTGTTGGGATAATTAAATGTGACAAGGTACACGAATTGACTTTTACTATTCCTGGAACCTCGTAGATACTTTTTTAAAAATTTAATTTCCAGTCAGGCGCAGTGGCTCACACCTGTAATCCCAGCACTTTGGGAGGCCGAGACGAGTGGATCACTTGAGGTCAGGAGTTCAAGACCAGCATGGCCAACATGGTGAAACCCTGTCTCTACTAAATATACAAAATTAGCCAGGCATAGTGGTGCATGCCTGTAATCTCAGCTACTTGGGAGGCTGAGGCAGGAAAATCACTTGAACCCGGGAGGCAGAGGTTGCAGTGAGCGGAGATTGTGCCACTGCACTCCAGCCTGGGCAACAAGAGTGAAACTCCGCCTCAAAAAATAATAATAATAATTAATTTCCCTTTCCTATAAATTGGTAAACTTTACATTTGAAACCTCTTCTTTTCTGCACTTTTATTTCACTTCTAGAACCCCTTTCCTCTCCCATAGCTCAGAGACCTAAATATTAAAAATATTTTTGCCATTAAAATTAATGGCAAAAACCACAGTTACTTTTGCACCAATTGAATAACTTTCCAGGTTCATCTCATTTCCCTTAGTGGAGGTTTCAGAATAATTAAAACTCTTCTTCCTCCAATGTATCTGATCTTGCCTAGGTGTTAAAAGAAAAGCAATCTGATTGAATTCACTTACACTAACGAGTTAATGGATCACCATCCCTTTACTCTCCCAAAATTGTTTATGTTTTCAAAAAGGACTACTAGATCTCCCACATGTGTTTCTAGCAGTCAAATTAAAGTGTAGGCAAAGCAAAAGAAGTGCCATTCCGTTTCTCCTCCTGAAGTGGCCTCCCCACTTTTCTCCCTGTAGGTGTGCTGGTCCTCTTTGGGAGGCTGCTGCTGCGGTCAGTTTTTCTAAGCCTGGGTTTCGGTGGATAAAGGACTCTAGAAACACCCTGAAATTCTGCGTGAGTAAGCAGATGTGCATTTTTTGTGGGCAGAGGGGCTTCAGCTTTCATTAGATCCTAAGAGTGATACCTCCATGACTCCAGAATGGTTAAGAATCTCTGTTCTATGCTGTAGCTGATTCCACAGCTTGTTTCCCACCTGCACTTCTAAACTCTTAGACTTGCTAAACATTCAAGTTCTGACTGCCTTCACTACAGGCACCTGAGTACTCTTAGTAGTTGAGAGAAAGGGGAAGGCAGACAGGGCATGAATAGTACTATTTTCTCTATAGGCATTTTTTCGGAACATAATTTTTCCTTGTATAAGTGAATTCTCACTAAAGAAAATGTAGAAACTGCTGGGCGCGGTGGCTCAAGCCTGTGATCCCAGCACTTTTGGAGGCCGAGGCAGGCGGAGCACCTGAGGTCAGGAGTTGAAGACCAGCCTCGCCAACATGGTGAAACCCTGTCTCTACTAAAAATATAAAAAATCAGATGGGCGTGATGGCGAGGCCTGTAATCCCATCTACTCAGGAGGCTGAGGCAGGAGAATCGCCTGAACCTGTGAGGCGGAGGTTGCAGTGAGCCAAGATTGCGCCATTGCCCTCCAGCCTGTGCAGCAAGAGAGAAACTCCGTCTCAAAAAAAAAAAAAAAAAAAAAAAAAAAAGAAAGAAAGAAAGAAAGAAAAAATGTAGAAACTAAGGACAAATAGAAGAAACAGGAGAAAAGTACTTATGTTTTAAGCATATGTACCACTTTTGTAGCTGTGTGACTATTGTTCCTTAGTTTCTTTACTTTTAAAATGGGTCAACTAAAAGCATTTGCATCATATGGTGGTTGTTTCTGTATTAATTTCTGGTATATGATTGGCCTTCAATGATTATTAACCATTTCGTTACTCTCAAGCCTGAGTTTTTCTGTAAAACTGAGAAGGTGACATTTCAGTTATTGTGGGGCCTAAAGATATACCTGTAAAATACCTGACACATAGCTATTATTATTGTGGTTATTATTATTATAACCTTTCATCAAATAACTTTAATAGCAGCATACTATCCCATTTTTAATAGCAGCATACTATCCCATTGAGTGAAGACACTGTCTTTCACATGACCACTCCCTCATAGAGGGCATTTTAGGGGTAAGAGGTCCTTTTTGGGGTAAGAGGCATAACAGCTATATATTTTTGTATTTAGGCTTATGTTCTCAGTATATAGTCCCAGAAGTAAAAAGTACTGGTCAAAGTACTTCACTTGTCAAAGTACTTCACTTTTTAAAGTACTTTACAATATACTCTTAGGTCAAAGTATATCCATATTTTAATGATTTGATCTATATTGCTAAATTAGTTTTCAAAATTGTATTACTATTTTGCCACTGGTATAACAATGTATATAAGATCCTACTTTACAACATCTCATCTGCAGCAAATAGCAATATTAAAAGTGATTCTGTTAATTTGATGGGAAAAATGGGGACAGGTGCAGTGGCTCATGCCTGTAATCCCAGCACTTTCGGAGGCCAAGGACGGGGGATTGCTTAAGGCCAGGAGTTCAAAACTAGCCTAGAAAACGTAGTGAGACTCCATTTCTCTCTCTCTCTCTCTCTCCCCTCCTTTTTTTTTGAGATGGAGTCTCACTCTCTTGCCCAGGCTGGAGTGCGGTGGTGCGATCTCAGCTCACTGCAACCTCTGCCTCCCAGGTTCAAGTGATTCTCCTTCTTCAGCCTCCTGAGTAGCTGGGACTACAAGTGCGTGCCACCACGCCCGGCTAATTTTTTGCATTTTTAGTAGAGACAGGGTTTCATCGTGTTAGCCAGGATGGTGAGACTCCATCTCTACAAAAAATAATTTTTAAAAATAGCCAGATACAGTGGTGCACACCTGTAGTCGCAGCTACTTGTGAGGCTGAGGTGGGAGGATCGCTTGAGCCCAGGAGTTTCAGGCTGCAGTGAGCTATGATTGTACCACTGCACTCCACATTGGGGACAAAGTGAGACTATGTCTCTAAAATAAAAAACAAAGGAAGAAAAAGGAAAAATAATACCTTGTAGTCATTTTCATTTGTAATTGCTAGGTACTGTTATGGTGAAAGAGAATTTTTTTTTTCCTACATGATTATTGACCAGCTTTCATTACTCTTTTGTAAATTGTTGGAACATTTTGTCTATATATCTCACATGGTCTTAATGTTTTTCTCATCAATTTCTATATGGTCTATTTACCTGGTAAGAATTAGTCCTTTGTTTGGCTTGGTTAATATTTTACCCCTATTTTATCTTTTTAGTGGAGTGCATTTTTTTAATGGCCAAAATAATTTTATTTTCATGTAGTCAAATAGACCAATTGTTTCATTTATTTTTAAAATTTAGTATTCTTCCTCTTTCCAGAAATAGTGTAAATATTCTCATCTCCAGTTCTTCTAGATTTTATTTTTTAATGATTTGATATTTTTATATGTAACTCTAAATCTACCTTAAACTTATTTTGATATATGACTAAAAAGTAACAGTCTAAATTTTGGTTGAAATTACTAATTCACAGTCTCAACACCATTTATTAAATAATCCTTCCTTCTCCAAATTGGATGCTCATTTATAAAATGAGTGTTTAAAAATTAGGGACCACTGGTAGGATTTTAGATATGGAAGGCTCTGAAACTCTGTTTTTATTTCCAGACATCCAAATGCAAATACCTGCAGTGTTAAGCAGGTAACATGACAGGTAAAGTGCTGGATGTTCCTTGTAAAATCAGGTGATTTTGAGGAGTACTGGTCAGGTATATTGTACAATGCTCTGTTATTGGAATTTGTCTGATGTTTTTCTCATGATCTTACTATAGTTATGAGTTTTTGGGAAGAAGATCACAGAAATAGTTCCATTTTTACCACAATAATCAAGGTTACATACAATCAACATGATTTATGACTGTTTATGTAGACCTTGATTACCTGGTTGAAATCATGTTTCTCAGGTTTCTCCATTGTAAAGTTACTCTTCCCCCCACCCAGCCCAACCTCCCCGCTTGCTGTACTATATTCTTTGGAAGGAAGTCACTATGTGTAGCCCATACTTAAGGAGTGGGAATTACACTCCTTTTCCTTTAGAGTGGAGTATCTACATAACTGATTTGGACTTCTGCATAGGAGAGTTTTCTCTTTTCCCTGATTTGTTGAGTTTTAAATTTTTTTTTCTTTTTTTGCGTTCTGGGGTACATGTGCAGAATGTGCAGGTTTGTTAATTTGTTAAATCATTTATATCACTATGGATTCATGGGTACTTATTTTATATTTTGGGTTATAATCCAATATTTTGTTCTAGCTTTGACCATTGAGAGCTCTTTTACCTGGCTTTTTTGCCCCTTTGATATACTCCTGTTGATATGGATTTTGTTTTGTTTTGTTTTGTTCCTCACTTTCTGTTACCAAAAACTGCTCCAAGCTCATCTTATATATTTTCTGTCATGGTCCTAGAATCAGCCATTTCTTTAAGGACCCCTATCCCTTTTACTAGAGAATAGCATTAGAAACCTATACGGGGTGCTACATGTGTTGTTACTATTGAGTGTCATTTCTTTAAGGCTCTGTCAGTCAACAGAGCAAAGAAGTGTATATGTGTATACTAACCTATGTATATATACATATCTATAAATATTTTTATATATAACCACCTGATCTATATGAAGTTAAACATGAATTCTTAATGATGTCTCCAACTCTAATTCATTACTACAAGTATCATTTTAGCATCCTTCCCTTGACTATCTGTAAAATTCCACTCCTTTGGTGAGAAGTATATCTCTCACAATCTGACATCCATTTACTTGTCTAATTCCTGTAAACATCGATAGCAATATCTGAATTGTTAACTTGTACTCCCCTGAGAAACTATTTTATTGACTACAGTATTTATGTGCAATTCCTTTGCTTTTAGTTTTACGTTAAAAGTTGGTCTATCTACATCAAGAGTTACTCTCGTGTTATAACGTTCTATGGTTTTGACAAACACGTAATGTCATGTATCCGTCGAGTACCCATCATTCATACAGAATAGTTTCACCACACTAAATATCTCTTATGCTTCACCTATTCATCCTTTTCATTCCTCCTTGAACATCTAGCAAACACTGATCTTTTTTGTTGTCACTATAGTTTTACTTTTTCCAAAATGTCATATATTTGGAATTGCAGGGTATGTAGCCTTTTCAGACTGGCTTCTTTCACTTTGTAATATGCATATGGGGTTACTCTATATATTTCTGGGCTTGATATCTCACTTCTTTTCATTGCAGAATAATACTCCATTGTATGGATCGACCACAGTTTGTTTATTCATCACCTATTGAAGGATATCTTGGTGGCTTCCAGGTTTCAGCAATTACGCATAAAGCTGCTATAAAGGCTCCTACGCAGGTTTCTACGCATAATTTTCTACATGGACCTAATTTTTCAAGTCAGTTCGATGAATTCTGAAGAGTGCAATTGTGAATCATATGGTAAGTCTATGTTTAGCTTTGTAAGAAACTGTTGGACTGTCAAAATTGTTGTATCATTTTGCATTTCCACCAGCAATGAATGAGTGTTCCTATTGCTTCCCATCCCTGCCAGTGTCTACTATTGTCTGTTTTTTTTAATTTTAGCCATTTGAGTTATGTGTAGTGGTATCTAATTATTGTTTTAATTTGCAATCCCTAATAACGATGATGTTGAGCATCTCTTCATAAACTTATGTGCCATCTGTATATATTCTTAGCCCAAGTACCTGTTCACATCCTTTGCTCCATTTTTTTCTTGTGGTTTTGGTTTTCTTATTGTTGAGTTTTAAGAGTTCTTAGTATATTTTGGATACAAGTCCTTTGTCAGACATATGTCTTTCAAATATTTTATCCAAGTCTGTAGTTTGCCTTTTTAAAAAATATACTTTATTTTATTTATTTGTTTATTTTGAGATGGAGTCTCACTCTGTCACCCTGGCTGGAAATATAGTGACGTTATTTTGGCTCACTGCAACCTCCACCTCCCAGGTTCAAGCGATTCTTCTGCCTCAGGCTCCCAAGTAGCTGGGACTACAGGCGTGAGACACCATGCCCAGCTAATTTTTGTATTTTTAGTAGAAATGAGGTTTCACCATATTGGTCAGGTTGGTCTCAAACTCCTGACCTCAAGTGATCCACCCTCCTTGGCCTCCCAAATTGCTGGGATTACAGGCATGAGCCACCGTACCCGGCCAGACTTTATTTTTTAGAACAGTTTTAGGTTCACAGAAACATTGAGCAGAAAGTAGAGAGTTATCATACATCCCCATCCCCTACTGTCAACCTCCCCCACTATCAACATCCCATGTCAAATTGGTACTTTTGTTACAATTGATGAAGCTACACTGATACATCATTATTATCCAAAGTCCTTAGTTTACATTAGAGTTCACTCTTGGTGTTGTATATTCTGTGGGCTGAGACAAATATATAATACAATGTATCTACCAAGAGCATCATACAGAATGGTTTCACTGCTCTAAAACTTCCCTATGTTGCTCCTATTCATCCCTCTCTCCCTGCAACCTTTGGCAATCACTGAACTTTTTACTATTTCCATAGTTTTGCCTTTTTCAGAGTTTCATATAGTTGAGATAATGCAGTCTGTAGCCTTTTCAGATTGCCTTCTTTCACTAAATAATGTACTTTTAACATTCCTTTATATCTTTCCATTGACTTACTAGCTCATTTCTTTTTAACACTGAATAATATTTCATTGTCTGGATATACCACAGTTTATCTGTTCACCTTCTGAGGAACATTGCAGTTGCTTCTAAGTTTTGGCAATTATGAATAAAGCTGTTATAAACATTCTCGTGCAGGTTTTTGTGTGGACATAAGTTTTAAACTCATTTAGGTGAATTACAAGGAGTACAATTGCTAAATTGTATGCTAAGAGTATGTTTTGATTTGTAAGAAACCACCAAATTATCTTCCAAAGTGGCTGTAGCACTTTGCATTCCCATCAGCAATGAAGGAGAGTTCCTGTTGCTCCACATCCTTATCAGCATTTGGTGTTGTCAATGTTTCAGATTTGGGGCATTCTAATTGGCATGGAATGGCATTTTGTTATTGTTTTAATTTGCATTTCTCTGATGATATATGATGTGAAGCATCTTTTCATATGCTTATTTATTGTCTGTGTGTCTTCTTTGGTGAGATAATCGTACAGATCTTTTGGCCATTTTAAAATAATGTTGTTCATTTTCTTATTTGTGGATAAACTTTTCATTCTTTAACCATGTCTTTTACAGAGTGAAGTTTTTAATTTTAGTGAAGTCTAACTTCCCAATTTTTTCTTTCATATCTAAAAACTCATCACCAAATCCAAGGTCACATAGATTTTCTTCTATGTTAACATCTAGAAGTATGGTAGTTTTGTGTTTTACATTTGTAGTTTTGTGTTTTACATTTATGATCTATTTTGAGTTAGTTTTGTGAAAAGTATAAGATCTATATCTAGATTCATTTTAAAATCTTCTCCTCTCTCCTCTTTTTCTGCCTTCTCTGGTTTTGCCCAGCATTTTATATAATTCCACTGTTTTTCTCTCTTAGCATATCAACTATTTTTCTTTTTAAAAACTTTTTAGAGGATGCCCTAAAGTTGGTGAAATATATATTTAGAACTAATCTTAGTCCACTTTCAAATAATACTTTATGGCTAGTGCAGGTACCTGACAACAGAGTCCCAATTCCTCCCTTCTCACATTGCTGCTATTCGTTTCGTGTAACCATATGCTATTGAAACTGCCTTTGCAAGAATTATAGGAGTGAAAGAAATCTAACCTAACTGACTTCATCTTGCTGCTAACCTCACAAGCTAACAGCTGTTGCTCATTCCTGGATGTAGGCCTTGCTCTGGAAAGAATTAAGTTTGTAGTTTAACTTTGAAGCAAAAATGATATTACCTCACAAAGCTGACCCTGTGGGGACTGAAACTCCTTTTGTAAGACTAATGAAAGGCAACAAGTTTAGGATTATGGGAAGGGCCTGAATTCTGCTAAAGTGTATGCCCAGTTAAAAAATAACCAGCCATTATTCTTTAGCTTGCTTTTCTATAATCACTTACTGCTCAAGAGTCGTGTAGCCAGAAGTCACAAGATGTGTATTCTCTCCAACTGCTCCTACAAATAATATCACTATTGTAAAACCTAGGATTGGTCTTTGAGATATTTCACACTTTTGTATTCTGACAACTAGCTGACTCCACCCAGATCCATGACTCATATCAAGGAACTGACTCAACTGGTCCTGGGATCACACTCAGAAACTGACTCAGTGCACAAGACCGTTTTCAACACTACTATGATTTCATCCCCAACCAATCAGCAGCACCCATTCCCTAGCCCCCTGCCCATCAAATTATCCTGAAAAACCCTAGCGTCTGAGCTCTTGAGAAGGCAGAGAAACATTCCCATCCTTCTACTTGGCTGGTGCTGAGATTATTAAACTTTCTCTACTGCAAGTTCTGCTGTTCTCAGCGTTTGGCTTTTCTGGGCAGCAGGCAAGAAGAACCCATAGAGTAATTACTCTATAGTCATACAATACATTGTTACTATTATTATTTTGGTAAACAGCTATCTCTATTAGATCAATTAAGAATGAAAGTAAAAGATATTATGTTGTTTTCATTCATTCTTCTCTGATGTGCTCTTCCTTCCTTTATGTAGATCTGAGTTTCTAGCCTACATAATTTTCCATTTCTCTGAATAACTTCCTTCACAATTTCCTGCGGAGAAGGTTTACTTGTGACAAATTTCCTCAGTTTATGTTAGTCTGAGAAATTCTTTATTTCTCCTTCACTTTTGAAGGATAATTTCACTGGATATAGAACTCTAGGTTGATGCTTTTGTTCTTTCACCACTGAATATTGCACCCCACTCTTCCCTTGTTTCATGATTTCTCTTGAGAAAGCCAATGTAATTCTTATCCCTGTTCCTCTACAGCTAAAGTGTTTCTCCTTCCCCTCTGGCCTCTTTGAAGGTTTTCTCTTTGTTTTTCTGTAGTTTAAATATAATATGCTTAGGGTATTTTTGTTGTTGTTGTTGATGGTGATGTTGTTGATGATGTTGTTGTTATTTTGTCATTGATCCTATCCTGCCTGATGTTCTGTGAGCCATTTGGATCTGTGGCTTGGTGTCTGCTAATTTTAGAAAATTTTCAACCATTGGTACTTCAAATGTTTCTTCTGCTCCTTTCTCTCTTTCTTTTCCTTCCAATATTTCAACTACACATATATTACACCTTTTGTAATTGTCCCACAGTTATTGGATACTCTGTTCTGGTTTTTCCATTCTTTTTTCTCCTTGTATTTCAGTTTAGGAGGATTCTGTTGGCATATCTTCAGTCTTATTGATTCTTTGGTTGGCCACGTCTAGTCTTATTGTAAAACCATTAGAAGTGTTCTTCTGTTACAGTGTTTTTTATTCTTTTGATTGTTTCTTAGCATTTCCATCTCTTTGCTTACATTATCCATCTATTCCTGCGTATTCTCCACTAGAACCCTTAACATACTAATAATAGTTATTTTAAATTTTCTATCTCATAATTCCAAAATATATCATATGTAAGTCTGGTGCTGATGCTTGCATTGTCTCTTTAGATTGTGTTTCTTTCTTACCTTTTAGAGTGCCTGTACTTTTTTTTTGAAATCCAGACATGATGTATCAGCTACATAGGCCTGACTAGGAGCTGGGCTGTGTTTAATGTTTTCTGTAGTGGTAGGTGCTAAAGCCTTCAGTTTCCTCTTGTCCTCGTCTTTTTTTATTTCCTCCCTTGTTGTCCTTGAATTCTTTTCTACTTCTTAAATAGAGTTTGTGTCATGCATTTCTTTCACTTGTAATCCACTGTTATTATTTTGGAGCCCTGTTGATATAGTGACAAAATGTAGGGGAGAGAAAGTGGTCTATAATCTTGTGATTAAATCTCAGTCTTTTTGTGGATCTGAGTCCTTGGGCTGTGACATTCAGAAGTGTTTCTTCTCCTTTTCTTCTCCACTTAGGTGAGACTGGAAGGCCAGATGGGGCTGCAAGTTAGGCAACTGCCCTTCCTCAGGGAGATAAGACCCTGGCGAAATTTATTCCCTTGGATAAGCAGGTCTTTGTCTTGGAGAATGCTTGAGCTGTGGTCATGTTTTGGGTGTTTTAGAAAATGGTTACCTTTCCCCTTTCGCCTTCTGAAACAGGAGAGGATTTTTCTCAGACCTTCACTTGTGAACCTCATGGAGTTCCTGGAAATAAAACCCACAAAAGTGTAGAAGCCCATCCTAATATCACCCCCCAGGAGTTTCTCAAGCTCAAATTAATTCATACTCAGTCTCCAGAAATTTGTCAAAATGACCATTTCAATGTTCCTACAAGTTTATGGTCCCAAGAGATCCTATTCCACACAAGCAGATCTTGGCTGTTTTGCCACTTTCCAGACTTTAGGTGTCAGTTTGCTGTATGATTTCAGTTCTCTAATGGTCTAAGAAAAATTGTTATCTTTCAGTTTATTTAGCCTTTTTCATGTTGTGAGGATTGAGGTGATGACTTCAAAGTTCTTTACATGTTGGGGCTAAAACCAGAACTCCGTGTGATTATTTTTAGTCCTAGAACCCATCCTGAAACAGGTCTGCTACATTGGCCTTTTTCTGCATATCCTCCCCTGATTCTCTGTCTCCTATTTTCTCAGACCAAACATAGTTTAGACCATTATCCTATATTCCGTACCTTAAGTCTGTGTTTCCTCTCATCCTATCCTATACTCCAAGTTTCCTTGTGTATTTGTTATTACTTTGGATATTTTAAAATGTATTTAATTTATAGCCTTCACCTTGTCTTACCTTCAAGAATACATTTGTTTACTTCTTTTATTTCTACTCTTGGAATAAAGTTTTTGATGAAAAAAGTATTGTCATAGTTGGGATATATTGTTTGTATATGCAGTAATACTATAAAGAATGCTCACTAAATATTGTTGAACAGGTCTTATTCAAGATCATGCTTAGCTATTGATTTTAAATACAGTTATTTTATTCTAAAATTTACCTAACTATTCAGACTTTTCTGATTCATTTCTTTATGGGTTAACTCTCTTACCCACTAAGGTTTTTTCTTTACAATTTTTTCTTCATTTAGAACAGCCAGAAAGTAATATATTCTATGTGTATGGATAAGGACTAGCTGAAATATGAGTAATAGAAGGGTAAAAATAGGCTTTAATTCCAAAATAATCTACTTCTACTATTTTCATTCATTAAAAATGGGAAGAGAGAATTAGAGTAATCCAAAATATTTTTAAAGTATTTTTTAAAATTGCTTTGCATAGAAAATAATAAGTCAATTTCAGTTTAGACATTCATTGTAAAGTCAAAGGAATAGCGAATAAATGGTAGGAGTCCAGGAACCATTGATAGTGGCAATTTAGTATTCATAACAACCATCATATAGCTATAAAATATTACTGATAGTTACAGCTACTATATACAATTCAATTGACTTCCTCAGGATTAGCACAGTAATGTCATTATAGTCTGAAATCATGTTATAAAGTTGTAATTATGTTGGCCTAAATAAAATGAGAGTTTGCACCAGAAAAAATTAATCCATTTACTTACATGTTGCATTTGACTTATCTCAAATGCCTTTTATCTAAATTGTACATCACATAGTCTTATCAGAATTGCATGAACTTAGGAAAAAATGGGAGCACCAACTAGGGTGCCATCTACAGGTTATCATAGAAAATGCAAAGATTAGTAGTGTGGGAATATTTGGTTAACAAGAAATAAACCTATAAGCTACTTTCTTGGATAGAGGACATCCAGGAGCAAGGTCTCAAAAAACAAAGCAAAATACAGAATTGAAGGAGGTAGTTAATTACTATTTTGACTGGATGGAGTAAACTGCTTATTTCCATTAATGAGCTTCCATTCTAACTTGTATTTGATCTTATGGTTTTCTATGCACCAAATCAAGTGAAAAAACTCATTGTGCAAAAAATTCCTTCTGTAGGTTTGATTTGCCCAGGGGGCATTTTAACGAAATAAAGGCCCTTAAAACAATGAGTTAAAAGATAGCTGGGGGTTAGGGGTGGTAGCTCAACATTTTGGGAGGTCGAGGCAGGAGGATCGTTTGAGCCCAGGAGTTCAAGACAAGTCTGAGCAACATAGCAAGACCTCATCTCTACACATAATTTTTAAAATACCCAGGTATGGTGGCATGTGCCTGTTGTCCCAGATACTCAGGAGGCTGAGGGGGGAGGATGGATTGAAACTGGCCAGTCAATGCTGCAGTCATGCCACTGCATTCTAGCTTGAGTGAGACCCCCATCTTAAAGACAGACAGAGAGAGAGAGAGAGAGAGATTGAGAGAGGGACCTGGGGTCAAGTCCAACTACCTCTTACTGTTGTGTCCTCTTGGATTATCATGATTAGAAGTGTGGGTGTTGGAGGCCGCATCATGGATTTGAATTTTCTCCTTTCTCTCCCAGCTCTTCCCCTCCCCTCATGACTTTCCACCCCCTCCAAATTCTTTCCTTTAGCATGTCCTCTAGATTCTTCCCTTTCACTCCTGCTCCTCTCTCACCCTCATCTCTGCCCTCCATTTTGTCTCCTTTTCTTTCCCCCAGTTCCTGTTCTCTTCTGGTCTTTTTTCTTCTAATGCTAAAAGACATTCACAAAACTTGTTCTTTTCAACCATTCACCAAATGTTGATAAAATAGCTAAGTAGGCACAACTTATGTGCCTACTTTTATTATGTCTTTTATTATGATATTTTATTTTCATTATTGTGAGTAGCATCTGTCATGTTTTCTGTCTGCCCAACCTATTTTTTAACAACCTTGCTATATTTGAGGAATTTGTAGTTTATGAATTTGATGCCTTCTCCCCAGTCTTCTTTGCAGTCAATGCACAGGCGTGTGACATAGATTCCAAATGGGACTCATTCACATGGCATTTAGATTTTCAAGACAGCAGCTTGGGGTAGGAGCATCTGCACACTGGCAAGGCATGGTGACAGAGGTGTAGTCACCACAGGAGTGCACACCAGACCTCCAACTGTGGGGAGTATCATTAGCCATGGGGCCCCAGCTGCTGCCCTCGAAAAGCCACCTGCACTGAGGCCACACTTCCACATGGCTGCCCAGTGAGTGCCACAGGACACCTAGGCAGGCCCTATCCCTGTCCTTCAAAAACTGACGTCAGCTGGAAGACTCCCTGATGGACCTTCCCAAATATTCCTTAGACTGTACAGCAGCCCAGCACACTTCTGCCTACCCTAACTCCCTTTTCCTGAACTCAAAGTCAGACTTTGGTGGAGGTCTGATGGCTCTCCCTGCTATTCTAGCATGCTCCCATTTTCTGTCACACACATGTTTTCCCTAACATAATCCCTGCATGCTTAGCTCTACCTTAATGTTCGCTTCTAGGAGGACCCAGATCAGCATAAGAGGCATTTAGCTTTGAAGGAAGTCAGTGGCTGCAAGTTGAGTCCCTGGCACCAGTGTAGCAGTGGTTACAGAGAAGTCAAGGTCTTGATATCAGTGCTTGGTGAGGGCTATGGTAGACATTTCTTTATCAGGGAAGTTCTAACATATGGGTTGGAGCATTTTCCCTAGAAGCATAGCCTTAATGCTCACTGTCTAGCTCTGCCTACACTTCCATGAGCTTCTTAATATCCTAATATAAAGCAGAGTTTGTGGTTAATCAGCCAAAGTTACTTTTTTTCCCTTATAACTAAGAACTCTTGATATAGAAATATATTACAAAAGTGATTACAGGCAACAGAAATGCAGAGAAATGGAGAAAAATTGGAATAGGCTATTTGAACTAGTTGGGACTGGTGGCTCCTAAAATTCATGTAATACTAAGAGATGGATTCTGGCATCACATGAAACACACACAGTGAAATGTACTAACTAAATTAGGTCATACAATTAACATCTAGAGTATCCATTAACGGCAAGGCTTTTGGTGACCCAGAGGCTGCTACTACAGGAAAAGTATGAAGATTGTGAGGAATTTAAGGGATAAGTCAGTTGCTTCTAACTGTATTGAATGCCTTAAAGAAAGAATAAAAGCCTCAACTTTCTAAATTCTCAGTTCACAGAAAAGAGAAAATCATGGAATGTCTATGATTGTTATGAAAATCTCTCAACAAAAGTAATTGCAGGATAATATACTAAAGAATCAAATTTAAAATTCATATCTGTTGAATTCATAACCATGCCTGTCTCTTATAAGTAAGTTAGTGGAAAGAAAGGGACCCCAAATTGGCATGGGAGCTTATGGAAGGATTTAGGGGCTGAGATGCCAAACTTATAAGCTCCCCTGAGCCTCCTTCCAGGAGAGGCACCACCTACTTCTCTGCATGAGGAGGCCCCTCCTGCGTGCAAGTGAGATAAAGACCCTGTGATTATCTCATCTCAGTTACCATTCAAGGAAAAGGCAATTCTCCTTCTACCATACTTGTACTACCTCACATTGTTTCCAGGCTTCTACCTGGAATCAAATTCCATCAAGCATGAGGTATGCAAATATAAAGTCATACACAAACATAAAAGATGCACACACTAAATGAATTGCAAAATTTAGCTAATTTGTGTTGATGAACGGAACGGAAAGAAGGGAGGGAGGGAAGGAAGGAGAAAGGAAGGAAGAATGAGTACATATAGTAATAGATCCTAAAAGAGATAGAAAAAGGAGGGGGGAATATACAACTTTACACCTAATTGACCTAAATTTATCAATATGAATGTACTAACCAGATTATTTGGATTAATGTTTGAGAAGATTATATTGGTATTGTTTGAATTGTTGGTTGACTAAAACACAGACTCAGGGTTGGCTGCTGTGAATGATCACCAGATGCCCCTCTGATAATCCTCTAGGTCAGCAGGTACACAACATAACTCACCTTGAGGCTGTCAGACAATTTCTTTCCTCTGCCAGTCCAAGGCTTACTCAATGGGCTCATGGAAAACATAGCTAGGTCAGTCAGAGTCAGATTCTATTGCTTGAAACTGAGAACTCTAATAAAATATGTATCTTACATTTTTAAAATTAAGCACCATGTGTATTATTCAGGGTCCTCCAGAAAAGCAGGACCATTAGGATGTGTATGCATATATAGAAAGATGTTCATTTTAAAGAATTGGCTCATGTGATTATGGAGTTTGGTAGGTCCAAAATCTGCAGTTTGGGCTGTGAAGCTAGAGACCCATGAAGTGCCAATGGTGCAATTCATGTCTGAAAAGATGTTTGCTGCAGAATTCCCTCTTGCTCAGGGCAGGTCAGCCTTTTGTTCAGGCCTTTAGATGAAGCCCACCCACATTATGGAGGCCAATCTGCCTTAATGAAAGTCCACTTATTTAAATGTCAACCTGACCCCAAAACATCCTCACAGCAACATCCAGAATAATGTTTAACCACTTATCTGGGCACTATGGCCTAGCCAACTTGACACATAAAGTTAACTATCATAGCAGATAAATAAAGATCTTTATCAAAAGAATTTTGATTATTAATCAGAATAATAATTATTAACTTTTAATCTGCATTAAATATTAATAATTATTTCTCTAGATTACTGCATTTAGTCTTTTTGTAAGTAAGTAATTGAAAAACTAAATGACTAGGACTATATAACTTGAGTCCAATTTAAAATGATGAACTTAAATCTACAGAATTCCCTACCACACATTTAAAACAATTGCTTGTTCTAGTGATTAACAGTTAGAATAGGAGGGCACCAACCTAGTATGTTTACTCTCACTTCTTTTCTCTAAGTCGATATGCTTTATTCAGAGATTCCAAGTAGGTAAACTTGGTATTCGTGGCACATACATGAATAGAAGCCTGTGAAAGATCATGAGTAAACATTAAGATCCAAAGTTCTGATCCATGGGGTCATCAGGCTATTTATCTTGCTTGTTTATATTTGTCTTGCCAGTGAAAATCATAAGATATGGCACCTTAGTGTGTATTACTAGACAATAACTGCAAAATCAAATAATAGATCATACACTTCAGTAAAAGGCAAACATATAAAAATGATTGAGATTTAGAGAACCTTTTTTCCCCCTTAGAAAAATAGAGATTTAAGAATGAAAGCATATTCTTTTAATTTAATTCAAGTCAAGGTTACTTTTCCATGATGTTAGGGTAATAGAGGCCTTATAGATAATATTCTCATAAAATTTATCTTCCAAATATGTACACTTGAGATATAAAAAGAATCAATGAATTAAATTATTCTGTTGAAAGCAACTTTTAAGAATAAAAATCTACAGAAAAAAAGAATTAATAATATAATTGTCTGACCTCCCTTGAATGGAGAATTTCAAGGGCTCTGAAAGCCATTTAAAGTCACTAAAGATTTTGTAAGTGTACTTTTTAAACCAGGCTTGGTTAAACCTCAAAGTGATGATTACTTAGTGATTCCCAATAGGTTCTTGGCCACTAACAGAAGCAATATACTAAATACACTCATTTCTTACCAGCCTTTCTGTGTTAGAACCCACAATCACGCCTCAATTCTGCCCCTTTGAACAAGCCTCGCTATTCTAAAAGCTGTATTTGACAGTGTAATGCTTTAGAACAGTCACTTAATTATTATTTCAAATCATCTTCAACAGTTTACTGATATAGCTGGGGATGGCATGGTAAGACATTTTCTCTTGTCTCCTTTCAGTTCATAAAATGCCTATGCAATTTCTGGCCATTGCAGTAGATGGCAGTGTCTTAAAACTTCCTCTGTTTGCAAATCAGGCTGGTTGGATGATTGTCTGTAATCAGGCTATTTATATTATATATAGATGAGTCTATACAAAACAGTCATGCTTTGATTCTTGCATTTATTACTTCCTGGGCAAATGCTAAAAGGCAATGAAACTTGAAATAGCAAACTATCTGTGTACTTGAGAGTTGTCAGATGTTACTTGGGGAGTACATAACATTCTCTAAGTTATAGTAGCAGGAAAAGTCAAGGTTAAATTGTATTAATAATGGTTATCAGCAGAGACTAATAGGGCCCAGAAAATATTAAATGTGCTTTAAAAGGAACGCAATACTGAAATACAAGTTTATATCTTATATATTGGACATTTAGTAAACCCACGCGAGGTGAAATTATTCTCCGCATTGAAAAACTTTTCTGACATTTAGATTTGCATTGGAAATCTAGAACATGCTTTTGGCTATTGTGATCAGTAATATGTTATTTATTTTCTTTCTTTTTTTTTTTTGAGATGGAGTCTCGCTCTGTCGCCCAGGCTGGAGTGCAGTGGCTCTATCTTGGCTCACTGCAAGCTCCGCCTCCCGAGTTCACATCATTCTCCTGCCTCAGCCTCCAGAGTAGCT
This sequence comes from Homo sapiens, assembly GCF_000001405.40. Taxonomy (NCBI): domain Eukaryota; kingdom Metazoa; phylum Chordata; class Mammalia; order Primates; family Hominidae; genus Homo; species Homo sapiens. The sequence continues at coordinate 104,273,598 of NC_000007.14, forward strand.
GGGACTACAGGCACCTTTCACCACGCCCAGCTAACTTTTTGTATTTTTAGTAGAGACAGGGTTTCACCGTGTTAGCCAGGATGGTCTCCATCTCCTGACCTCGTGATCTGCCTGTCTTGGCCTCCCAAATTGCTGGGATTACAGGCATGAGCCACCGTGCCCGGCCATGTTATTTATTTTCATTGATTATTATAGGCATATATGTCCTGACTTTTGCCAACTGCACTTAGAAGCAGTTGTTTAAGTTTTTTTTTCTTTTTTGTTCATTGCGTCTTTTTATCTTATAGCTACAATGAAAATAAAATTTTCTCCATTACCCCATGCTGATTACTACAAGCCCTCCAGAAATTATTTTCCTACAATTAGAGAAACTTTAACTGTAATGAGTTAAGGCTCCTCTAATTGAAGGAAAGTAATTTCTGGAGGGTTTGTAGTAAACAAGCTTAGCCCCCGATTATTTTGTGGACTCCATCCTTCTCCAGCCTGGCACTTTATTCTTTTCCAACACTGCCTGTATACAAAATACTAAACATTTCATCAACCAGTCATGAGCAGTGGTTCTGAAAATCTTTTTCATACATACCCAATATGTGTTGTTCCTATTTAAGACCAATCCCTGCATCTCGCCCTCAGTCCTACTTCCTACTGCTTCCTTGGGAGTTTTGCTCCATTGATTATTCGTTATCTTCTGTCTCTTAAACTTTTGTTTTTTCATTGGCATCCTCCTCTCATTGTAGAAACAGACTCAGTATTGCCTATCCTAAAACAATTAAATTTAAAAGCTTTTCCCTTGGTTCAGAATAGCATTTTTGTTATTGCCTGTATTAGTTAGCTCAGGCTGCCAAAATAAACTATCACAGACTGGATGGCTTAAACAACAGAAATTTGTTCTTACAGTTCTGAATGTTTGAAGTCTGAGAACAGGGTGCCAGCATGGTTAGTGACTGGTGGAGGCTGTCTTCCTGCCTTATAGATGGCCACCTTCTTGATGTGTCCTCACATGGTGGAGAGAGCAAGTGACTTCTTTCTCTTTCTCTCCTCATAAGGCCACTAATCCCATCATGAGGGCCCCACCCTCATGGCCTAATCTAACCCCAATCACCTCCCAAATGCCGCATCTCCAAGTACCATCACTTTGCGGGATAGTACCTCACCATGAGTTTAAGGGAGATACAAACATTCAGTTCATAACATTGTCCCCATTTCCCTTCCTCTGGAGCCTTTCAGATAACATTTTGGAAGAAATAAGCTTCAGTGCCTGCTCCCTTTTGTCACTTCTCATTTTCCCACAATCATTTACAATTTGGCCTCTGTCCTCACAATGTGACTAAAATCACTAAGATCACCAAAGACATTATGCTTGTCAAGTCCAAAGACTGCTTTTTCTGTTCTTATTTTACTTGACCTCTCTTTAGTGGAATGCTGTTGGCCATTTTATTCCTTCTTGGCTTCCTCATTTGGCTTCCAAGAAATGATACTATTTTCTGTCTCTTCCTAATTCTAGAGTTTCTCCTTCTCAATCACATTGGATTGTCAACAACTTCAAGTCAATGTTTCACCCTCAGTAATCTTCTCTTCTTAATCTATACCATCTCCTTTGATTCATTACATGTCTTAATTACTGCCTGTGTGCTGTGGTAGACCTTTCTCAGACCTACTGTAATGCAAATGAAAACCTGTAGCACTGTGCAAGTTATTTAAATAAGCATTCCTAAGATGGATCTGAAGTCTTTTCCCTTATTGATTCTGCTTTTGTCATTTGTTTTTTAAATGAAAACAAATTTATTATCTCATTTCTGTAGGAAAAAATGTTCAAATATATATTTCTAAATCTCTGTGATGGTCTTTCTTAGTTTTCTCTTATCCACATGAATCTATTGCTTTTCAGTTACCATAGTGTCCAGGTTGCTCCAATCACCACTGGATACTTCACAATTTGTCTATGTCTTCCTTAAGATGTGCTGCTAAAAAAATAAAATACAGTATTCCAGACATAAACTGTTCAGCCTAGAAGTCAAGAAACTATTAATCTCATGCTCTTGACTCTATTCTTTTAAAGGCGGATTGATGTTCTATGTGTTGTTTGGCAGCAAACTCACATTGCTTGACACTGGCTCACGTTAAGTTTTTTTTTTTCCTGTGTGAAAAACAACCTCTTTCCATACTTTCAAAGCATACATTTTTTAATGAAAAATACAGGAATTATCATTTATTTCTACTGAATTTCACGCTATAGATTTTAATCCAGTGTTCTAGCTCATAGGGATACTGAATTGTAATTATGTGATCTATGGTATAAGTTCTTTCTATTGCATAAATCATCATTCCTAATTTTGACCTCTGAAATCTTGCTTTCTGGGAGTTCAACCAAGTCACTGATATTGTTGACTTCAGTCACTTAAGTAAAGGAAGAGCCTCTAACACGCTACTGGAGATGCGGCTCTATTGGCAGTGCTGTGTGTCAAGATTCACTCAGGAAGTGGCAAACGACATCCACATGATGTCATTCATAAGCACCTACAGTGGTTGTGAAAGCTCCCATGACTCACCCATGGTACTGTCATGTCAACAACCCACTCATGAGACTGTCATTAAAATACACTTTAAATATTTATTAGAAATCAAGATATATCAAATGTCTATGCTGTTTCTCTGTTCTACCAAACCAAAATCTCATCCAAAAGGGAAAAGACTACTATAATATGATTGTTCTTTCTGAACTCATTTCTGTAGCCAATGAGTACTATGATTTCTGTTAAATAAATACTCTGTTTTGTCATGTCTAAGACTTTCACTTTACCTTGATTTTAATTTTCAGAGAAATTACAATTTAACTTTTTATTTTCTTTCTCATTTGCATACTTGCCTTGAATAATTAGGATAGATCACTGGCCAGAGAGAATTCCTCCATCAAGAATTGCTTCACACAGTCGGGAGCCAAGATGGCCGAATAGGAACAGCTCCAGTCTACAGCTCCCAGCGTGAGCGATGCAGAAGATGGGTGATTTCTGCATTCCCATCTGAGGTACCGGGTTCATCTCACTAGGGAGTGCCAGACAGTGGGCGCAGGACAGTGGGTGCAGCACACCGTGCATGAGCCAAAGCAGGGCGAGGCATTGCCTCACTCGGGAAGCGCAAGGGGTCAGGGAGTTCCCTTTCCTAGTCAAAGAAAGGGGTGACAGACGGCACCTGGAAAATCAGGTCACTCTCACCCCAATACTGTGCTTTTCCGACGGGCTTAAAAAACGGCACACCAGGAGATTATATCCCGGACATGGCTCGGAGGGTCCTACGCCCAGGGAGTCTAGCTGATTGCTAGCACAGCAGTCTGAGATCAAACTGCAAGGTGGCAGCGAGGCTGGGGGAGGGGCGCCCGCCATTGCCCAGTTAGTTGTTTGATTAGGTAAACAAAGCAGCTGGGAAGCTCCAGCTGGGTGGAGCCCACCACAGCTCAAGGAGGCCTGCCTGACTCTGTAGGCTCCACCTCTGGGGGCAGGGCACAGACAAACAAAAAGACAGCAGTAATCTCTGCAGACTTAAATGTCCCTGTCTGACAGCTTTGAAGAGAGCAGTGGTTCTCCCAGCATGCAGCTGGAGATCTGAGAATGGTCAGACTACCTCCTCAAGTTAGTCCCTGACCCCTGACCCCCAAGCAGCCTAACTGGGAGGCACCCCCCAGTAGGGGCAGACTGACACCTCACATGGCCAGGTACTCCTCTGAGACAAAACTTCCAGAGGAACGATCAGACTGCAGCATTCGCGGTTCACGAAAATCTGCTGTACTGCAGCCACCGCTGCTGGTACGCAGGCAGACAGGGTCTGGAGAGGACCTCTAGCAAACTCCAACAGACCTGCAGCTGAGGGTCCTGTCTGTTAGAAGGAAAACTAACAAACAGAAAGGACATACACACCAAAAACCCATCTGTACATCACCAGCATCAAAGACCAAAAGTAGATAAAACCACAAAGATGGGGAAAAAACAGAGCAGAAAAACTGGAAACTCTAAAAAGCAGAGTGCCTCTCCTCCTCCAAAGGAACGCAGTTCCACACCAGCAACGGAACAAAGCTGGTCGGAGAATGACTTTGACGAGTTGAGAGAAGAAGGCTTCAGACGATCAAACTACTCCAAGCTACAGGAGGAAATTCAAACCAAAGGCAAAGAAGTTAAACACTTTGAAAAAAATTTAGACGAATGTATAACTAGAATAACCAATAGAGAGAAGTGCTTAAAGGAGCTGATGGAGCTGAAAGCCAAGGCTCGAGAACTACGTGAAGAATGCAGAAGCCTCAGGAGCCAATGCGATCAAGTGGAAGAAAGGGTATCAGTGATGGAAGATGAAATGAATGAAATGAAGTGAGAAGGGAACTTTAGAGAAAAAAGAATAAAAAGAAACGAACAAAGCTTCCAAGAAATATGGGACTATATGAAAAGACCAAATCTACGTCTGATTGGTGTACCTGAAAGTGACGGGGAGAATGGAACCAAGTTGGAAAACACTCTGCAAGATATTATCCAGGAGAACTTCCCCAATCTAGCAAGGCAGGCCAACATTCACATTCAGGAAACACAGAGAATGCCACAAAGATACTCCTTGAGAAGAGCAACTCCAAGACACGTAATTGTCAGATTCACCAAAGTTGAAATAAAGGAAAAAATGTTAAGGGCAGCCAGAGAGAAAGGTCGGGTTACCCTCAAAGGGAAGCCCATCAGACTAACAGCGGATCTCTCAGCAGAAACTCTGCAAGCCAAAAGAGAGTGGGGGCCAATATTCAACGTTCTTAAAGAAAAGAATTTTCAACCCAGAATTTCATATCCAGCCAAACTAAGCTTCATAAGTGAAGGAGAAATAAAATCCTTTACAGACAAGCAAATGCTGAGAGATTTTGTCACCACCAGACCTGCCCTAAAAGATCTCCTGAAGGAAGCACTAAACATGGAAAGGAACAATCAGTACCAGCCACTGCAAAATCATGCCAAAATGTAAACACCATCAAAGCTAGGAAAAAACTGCGTCAACTAATGAGCAAAATAACCAGCTAACATCATAATGACAGGATCAAATTCACACATAACAATATTAACTTTAAATGTAAATGGACTAAATGCTCCAATTAAAAGACACAGACTGGCAAATTGGATAAAGAGTCAAGACCCATCAGTGTGCTGTATTCAGGAAACCCATCTCACATGCAGAGACACACATAGGCTCAAAATAAAAGGATGGAGGAAGATCTACCAAGCCAATGGAAAACAAAAAAAAGCAGGGGTTGCAATCCTAGTCTCTGATAAAACAGACTTTAAACCAACAAAGATCAAAAGAGACAAAGAAGGACATTACATAATGGTAAAGGGATCAATTCAACAAGAAGAGCTAACTATCCTAAATATGTATGCACCCAATACAGGAGCACCCAGATTCATAAAGCAAGTCCTTAGAGACCTACAAATAGACTTAACTCCCACACAATAATAATGGGAGACTTTAACACCCCACTGTCAACATTAGACAGATCAACGAGACAGAAAGTTAACAAGGATACCCAGGAATTGAACTCAGCTCTGCACCAAGCGGACCTAGTAGACATCTACAGAACTTTCCACCCCAAATCAACAGAATATACATTTTTTTCAGCACCACACCACACCTATTCCAAAATTGATCACATACTTGGAAGTAAAGCTCTCCTCAGAAAATGTAAAAGATCAGAAATTATAACAAACTGTCTCTCAGGCCACAGTGCAATCAAACTAGAACTCAGGATTAAGAAACTCACTCAAAACCGCTCAATACATGGAAACTGAACAACCTGCTCCTGAATGACTACTGGGTCCATAACAAAATGAAGGCAGAAATAAAGATGTTCTTTGAAATCAACGAGAACAAAGACACAACATACCAGAATCTCTGGGACATATTCAAAGCCGTGTGTAGAGGGAAATTTATAGCATTAAATGCCCACAAGAGAAAGCAGGACAGATCTAAAATTGACACCCTAACATCACAATTAAAAGAACTAGAAAAGCTAGAGCAAACACATTCAAAAGCTAGCAGAAGGCAAGAAATAACTAAAATCAGAGCAGAACTGAAGGAAATAGAGACACAAAAAACCCTTCAAAAAATTAATGAATCCAGGAGCTGGTTTTTTTGAAAGGATCAACAAAATTGATAGACTGCTAGCAAGACTAATAAAGAAGAAAAGAGAGAAGAATCAAATAGATGCAATAAAAATGATAAAGGGGATATCACCACCGATCCCACAGAAGTACAAACTACCATCAGAGAATACTACAAACACCTCTATGCAAATAAACTACAAAATCTAGAAGAAATGGATAAATTCCTCGACACATACATCCTCCCAAGACTAAACCAGAAAGAAATTGACTCTCTGAGTAGACCAATAACAGGATCTGAAATTGTGGCAATAATCAATAGCTTACCAACCAAAAAGAGTCCAGGACCAGATGGATTCACAGCCGAATTCTACCAGAGGTACAAGGAGGAACTGGTATCATTCCTTCTGAAACTATTCCAATCAATAGAAAAAGAGGGAATCCTCCCTAACTCATTTTATGAGGCCAGCATCATCCTGATACCAAAGCCAGGCAGAGACACAACCAAAAAAGAGAATTTTAGACCAATATCCTTGATGAACACTGATGCAGAAAATCCTCAATAAAATACTGGCAAACCAAATCCAACAGCACATCAAAAAGCTTATCCACCATGATCAAGTGGGCTTCATCCCTGGGATGCAAGGCTGGTTCAATATATGCAAATCAAGAAATGTAATCCATCATATAAACAGAACCAAAGACAAAAACCACATGATTATGTCAATAGATGCAGAAAAGGCCTTTGACAAAATTCAACAACCCTTCATGCTAAAAACTCTCAATAAATTAGGTATTGATGAGACGTATCTCAAAATAATAAGAGCTATCTATGACAAACCCACAGCCAATATCATACTGAATGGGCAAAAACTGGAAGCATTCCCTTTGAAAACTGGCACAAGACAGGGATGCCCTCTGTCACCACTCCTATTCAACGTAGTGTTGGAAGTTCTGGCCAGGGCAATCAGGCAGGAGAAGGAAATAAAGGGTATTCAATTAGGAAAAGAGGAAGTCAAATTGTCCCTGTTTGCAGAAGACATGATTGTATATCTAGAAAACCCCATCGTCTCAGCCCAAAATCTCCTTAAGCTGATAAGCAACTTCAGCAAAGTGTCAGGATACAAAATCAATATACAAAAATCACAAGCATTCTTATACACCAATAACAGACAAACAGAGAGCCAAATGATGAGTGAACTCCCATTCACAATTGCTTCAAACAGAATAAAATACCTAGGAATCCACCTTACAAGGGACATGAAGGACCTCTTCAAGGAGAACTACAAACCACTGCTCAATGAATTAAAAGAGAATACAAACAAATGGAAGAACATTCCATGCTCATGGGTAGGAAGAATCAATATCATGAAAACGGCCATACTGCCCAAGGCAATTTACAGATTCAGTGCCATCCCCATCAAACTACCAATGACTTTCTTCAAAGAATTGGAAAAAACTACTTTAAAGTTCATATGGAACCAAAAAAGAGCCTGCATCGCCAAGTCAATCCTAAGCCAAAAGAACAAAGCTGGAGGCATCACGCTACCTGACTTCAAACTATACTACAAGGCTACAGTATCCAAAACAGCATGGTACTGGTACCAAAACAGAGATATAGATCAATGGAACAGAACAGAGCCCTCAGAAATAACGCCGCATATCTACAACTATCTGATCTTTGACAAACCTGTGAAAAACAAGCAATGGGGAAAAGATTCCCTGTTTAATAAATGGTGCTGGGAAAACCGGCTAGCCATATGTAGAAAGCTGAAACTGGATTCCTTCCTTACACCTTATACAAAAATTAATTCAAGATGGATTAAAGACTTAAACGTTAGACCTAAAACCATAAAAACCCTAGAAGAAAACCTAGGCATTACCATTCAGGACATAGGCATGGGCAAGGACTTCATGTCTAAAACACCAAAAGCAATGGCAACAAAAGCCAAAATTGACAAATGGGATCTAATTAAACTAAAGAGCTTCTGCACAGCAAAAGAAACTACCATCAGAGTGAACAGGCAACCTACAAAATGGGAGAAAATTTTCACAACCTACTCATCTGACAAAGGGCTAATAATATCCAGAATCTACAATGAACTCAAACAAATTTACAAGAAAAAAAAAACAACCCCATCAAAAAGTGGGCGAAGAACATGAACAGACACTTCTCAAAAGAAGACATTTATGCAGCCAAAACACACATGAAAAAATGCTCACCATCACTGGCCATCAGACATGCAAATCAAAACCACAATGAGATACCATCTCACACCAGTTAGAATGGCAATCATTAAAAAGTCAGGAAACAACAGGTGCTGGAGAGGATGTGGAGAAATAGGAACACTTTTACGCTGTTGGTGGGACTGTAAACTAGTTCAACCCTTGTGGAAGTCAGTGTGGCGATTCCTCAGGGATCTAGAACTAGAAATACCATTTGACCCAGCCATCCCATTACTGGGTATATACCCAAAGGACTATAAATCATGCTGCTATAAAGACACATGCACACATATGTTTATTGCGGCTCTATTCACAATAGCAAAGACTTGGAACCTACCCAAATGTCCAACAATGATAGACTGGATTAAGAAAATGTGGCACATATACACCGTGGAATACTATGCAGCCATAAGAAATGATGAGTTCATGTCCTTTGTAGGGACATGGATGAAATTGGAAATCATCATTCTCAGTAAACTATCGCAAGAACAAAAAACCAAACACCGCATATTCTCACTCATAGGTGGGAACTGAACAATGAGAACACATGGACACAGGAAGGGGAACATCACACTCTGGGGACTGTTTTGGGGTCGGGGGAGTGGGGAGGGATAGCTTTAGGAGATATACCTCATGCTAAATGACGAGTTAATGGGTGCAGCACACCAGCATGGCACATGTATACATATGTACTAACCTGCAGATTGTGCACATGTACCCTAAAACGTAAAGTATAAAAAAAAAAAAAAAAAAGAATTGCTTCATTTTTCTAAGGTGTTTCACTGATACAATTCTGCAGCATGGTTTGTTACAGTGATTAGAAATTCCTCATAATCTGAATAATATGGATTCCTTTCCCTGAATAAGTCTTACCACTGTGTCACACAAGAGCCCAAAAATATAAAATGTATGCCTTTATTGTGCCTTGCATGTCAGAGTCTCCTAAGCAAGATAGTGAAGTTCGGAGTGGTTTTTATTCAGTACTTTAATCCTAGACATGTGAACATAAGCATATTTCAGGAAACCCTGATTAGCTACATTATGGGTTTGTATCGCACTCTGTTACAAATATTTCAAACACTTTGATTGGAGTATAAATGCTTAGCCTCAAGATTATTCCACCTTCAAAAATATTGCCTCATAATGAACAGTTGTGGATCCTTTCCTCCCAATCTTCACACGTTTCCAGAAACGTCTTAACCAAGCAAATACACATGTATAAATGCCACCACCTCTGAGTTTTGCCCATTCTTGACTTTACTCTATTCGTCATTAGAGTCTTACTCAACAGGGCAGAACAACTCTAGCTGCTCAGCCTTCTGCCCACTTACCACCAGGCTGTGTTTCCCCTGGAGCTTCTCCCTTAAGTCTACTCCTATCACTGACAACCTCCTCATTATTACAGCCTTCATAGTCTATCTTCCCAAGCTTACATTTTCAACACCCATAACAGCATTTGCAGTTAGATGGAATCTCATGTACACTGAAGTATAAATCTTCCAGGTGTTTACTCTTGGTTTCTAGCTGTAAAATGAGACACTTTGATTCCTGTGAAAATAGTATCAGACCATAGCCAGCAGGTAAAAGAAAGTGTTTTGTTTTGTTTTGTTTGTGTGTCGGGGGGAGTTATCTCCTCCTTGATCCTGAATCAAGATTACGTCTAAAGCTGTCCCTGAAAGTAAAGCTTCATTTAGGATGCTTGGGATAAAGGGGAGTTTCGTCAGAATTCAGAATGGGTAGTGGAGATTCTGGTCAGCCCCTTAAGACAACTATTTAAAGAAAGCCACGGAGGAAAGTTTTGGGAAGAAAAATAAAAACACGCACCCTCCCCAAATTTTATTATATGTAGCAATTAATTTGACTAGTTATGTAATTGTTGGGTCGATCTTAATCTATAGGAAGGTTCAACGCAAAGAATCATAAAAGATCTCTAGGATAGTAAAAATTGAAGTTACATTTTGACCTCTCTGTCAGCCAAAAGAAAATCAAATAACATATCTCCTTTATAATTTTAGGACTCCCTGTTCCTTAAGAACTGTATTGAAATTGTATGTTTGTTTCACAAACCTCATGAGTTATAATGAGTTATTGAATAGCGTAGTAAGCAGCACTTGACTGAAGTTAATTCTATACTCCTGATGGAAGAAAAAGTCTTACATGAGGTCAATTGTAATTTCAGATAAAAAATGATTAAGTCATGGTTCTTAGTGAGGTTGGTTGAGACAGGAAAATATTGGTCCCTCTGTTAAGTAGCCATGTTGGAGATCAACAGATGATCCATCCAGCCAAATTTTCGAGTTCTACTGTAACTCTACGTATTGACACACCATTGTCAATTCCCCGTGCAAGACCAATTTCATGCGGGAAAGAAAAAGCCCAGGAAGTGTGAAAGTAATCTTTGTTTCATAAAAATTAATCTACCCCTCAAATTGATTCAAATTATAAAAAATGCAGTATTTCATCTGGAAGAGTGAGATTTTAATCTTTGACACTCTACAGCAAGTTGAAGGGGTAGTATATGAGTGAGGCTGACATGAGAAGTTTCTCATGATAAGTTTCTCATGTTTACTTAGTTTCCCAGCTATAAAAACCAAAGAAAAGAAGGCCATATTAAGTATTAGTATAGATTTCCATAAATATAATAAGGATCTATTATTATTACATACACTATATGAGGAAGGCTAGCAACTTGAGGCATAGTGGGAACTTCTAAGCAAGTAGTTCATGTTCAGCATGTATTGCTTAACAGCAACAACAACAGGGACAAATTCTGAGAAATGTGTTGTTGGGCAATTTCTTCATTGTGTGAACATCATAGAGTGTGCTTGCACAAAGCTAGATGGTGTAGCCTATTCACACCTAGGCTATATGGTATAGCCTATTGCTCCTAGACTGCAAACCTATACAGCATCTCACTGTACTTAATACTGTAGGCAATTGTAACACAATGGTAAGTATTAGTGTATCTAAATATAGAAAATGTACAATAAAAATATGGCATCATAATCTTGTGGGAGTACTGTCATATGTGGTGCCCATTGTTGACTGAAACAAGGCTATGCAGTGCGTGATTATACACTGCGTGCTTATGAGACAGGGATAACTGGAATGCGTATGTTTGTTTGGTTGATTTATTCTTGCTAATAAAATAAACCTTAAATGCTGGAATTTTTGTGTAACTCAAAAAAAGTTTTTCATCCAGATATTTTGAATAAATATCTTTTAAAATATAGTCTTCCTTAGAATGGTAGGGAGATACTACATACATAGATATATGTATCTTTATTCACTTATGTTGGCATATTTTCAAAGAAATTGAAACTGGAGAAAGGTATGAAATCTACTATGTAAATGCAAAAGTCCAGTTTCAGTGAAATTGGTATTCTATCAAAGGTAGGAGGTTGTCTAGTGACTAAATGCAAATGAATGAATGACTTGCTAACATATCTAATTCCACCTACATAAAGCAGATGGCCTTCTGAGGTCACTCAATATCCCTCAGTCATCTTTCTCCTCTCTGTCCAGGATTAATTAGGATTGATTGAAAAAATAGTGATCTTAAACTATTTCTACTGCTTTGGTGTTAGCTTTTGCACTGTATCTCTCTCTCTTTTTAATGTGACTGGTAGAAACCATTCAGAAACAAGTCTTTGGGAATGGGGTGCCTGTTTCTATAAGAATAAATAAGTTTAGCTGAATAGAGAGTCACAAGCATCTTATGCAACATAGAGAACTCTATACCAGCAAAATCAAGTGATCCAGGTAATGGAATAGCCCTAAACTTCATGGGAACTTCTGAGTAAGTAGTTCATGTTTGGCATCTCCAAATAGCATCAAGGTCACGTACTGCTGATCTTGCTTAAGAATTTGCATTGTCTTCACACAAAAGCTGTGGCTTCTTGTGAAACAACCGAAGCAGGGCTCACAAAGTGGGTAGCAATCAGATGATTGCTGAAAGTTTTTAGTAAAGGTAGACCATGAAGCAAGGAGCATGTGTTTTAAGGAAATGAAGCTCTGCAAACAGCAGTCTTCCTTAGAGTATACCGTTCTCCTGTCGGGAAAGAAGAGCTGGTCACGAATGGACATTTTTAGCCACAGCTGGGCTATTGTACCTAGCAATAACAGAAGCAGTAGCAGCAGCAATAATATGAATGTATGGGTTTATATACTGGTGCCTATATGTCATATGTGTTTCTATATGTTGTGTTACTTAAACTTACTGAAGAGGTACATCTCAAATTGTATGTGAAGTTTATTCATTTAAGAAAAAGGCATTACAGGAAGATTTTACCTTTCAGTAATCTGTGGTCTCTTGATTTTAAAATAATCCAGTGTTCTCAGTAAAGACCTGTGTTTGCTTGGGAAAAAGCCAAATTAGCATTGAGAGAGTGTTAAAATATGGAACAGCATGGTAGGTGATGAGCAGAATAGACTGGGTTGATCTATAACTCCCCAAAGCATGGGAATCAACATTTTCACCTTTTGAAAGGATTAAGTCCTGGTGCAGTGGCTCACGCCTGTAATCCCAGCACTTTGGGAGGCCAAGGTGGGTTGAGATGCCGAGGCGGGTGGACCACCGAAAGTCAGGAGTTCGAAACCAGCCTGGTCAACATGGTGAAACACCATCTCTACAAACATACAAAAAATTAGCTGGGCATGGTGGCAGGTGCCTGTAACCCCAGCTACTTGGGAGGCTGAGGCAAGAGAATTGCTTGAACCCAGGAGGTGGAGATTGCAGTGAGCCGAGATCATGCCATTGCACTCCAGCCTGGGAGCAACAAGAGCAAAATTCAGTCTAAAAAATAAAAAATAACAAAAAACGGAAAGGATTAAAAGGAAATATGTGTGTGTGTGTTCAGCAATGTCCCAGCATTTGCCATTAATTGTAAGTTAACCCAGTTGCATATTGAGGAGCAGTTACAGTCCTTCAAGATTTATGTAACACTTATAGCAGTATAATTTATTTACAAAGAGCTTCTTTGATGTGCTCTTTGAAACGGCCCAGTAAAATCATATGTCTTCCACCCAAATAATGTTTGATTTGAATTCCAAATTCAGTCCTGGAAAGGAATGCAGACAGTCAAGTGCATTTTGCTTTGGGCAGGAGCCATGTAAGGATTCCACATGAGCTGCCCTGAGCTGTCTGGGCTCAGTAAGGCCTCCTGAGGCTACCTTCTTTATCAGCATGGTACCTTGAAGGCAGTGATGGTTAATACTGTGATTTTCCACTGGTTACCATCTGCTCACTCTTCTGTTGGTTGTCTCAATTTTGTCACAAGGGATTACCCCTCCCTCCCTCACTAGATACAAGCTTGATGGATGTATCAATCAAGGTGTCCTGACATCCTCTGGCCAAGGGTTAGAACTGTGACCCAATCAAGGCCATTAGAGGGTCTCTTCTGGGGATTTGACTTCTGAACTGAAACTGATACAGGAAATAATCTGTTTCAATCATGGCTCTTGAAGAGACTGTCCATTGGCTCTTGTAGTACTGAGGTCCCCAGACAGCTCTAGACCCTCTCTTTACTGTAGACTTCCTTATTTGAATTTGCAAGTCACCCCAACAATTTACTTTCCCTTCCCTTCCCTTCCCTTCCCTTCTTTTCACTTCCCTTCCCTTCTCTTCCTTTCCCTTCCCTTACCCTCCCTCCCCCTCCTACTCCACCCCCTCCTCCCCTCCCTTCTTCTCTTTTCTTTTAAGGCAGTCTTACTCTATCACCCAGACATAGTGGCACGGTCATGGCTCACTGTAGCCTCAAACTCCTGGGCTTAAGCAGTCCTTCCACCTCAACTTCCCAAGTGGCTAGGACTAAAGGTGCGCACCACAATACCTGGCTAATTTTTATTAATTTTTATTTTTTTGTAGAGATAAGGTCTTGCTATGTTTCCCAGGCTATTCTCCAACTCCTGACCCTCCAGCCTCAGCCTTCCAAAGTGCTGGAATTACAGGCATAAGCATGGCACCAGCTTTTTTTTTTTTCTTGATTAAGTTAGTTATTTTCTTCTTCTTGATGGCAAAAAAAGAGCCCTCACTGTTGAGCTATGCCTCTCAGCCTATAGAACTTTGCTCTCTTGAATGCCTGTCCACAAGGCAAATTTCTACACTTATTCCACTCTCTTCACAATCTCTAATTGTCACTTGTTGAATGATCCAAGGACTGCTAAGTGGAGATTATTCAAAAGAATATAGTAAGGACAGGAAAAGAGATGAATAAGGATTTTCGGAACAAATATTTAATATTTAGATATCTGTCCCTTTTTTCCTAAGGTTGGACTTTCTTTTATAACTGAACCCCTGATAGACCAAAACTGGATCCTACTTGATCAGAAATTCAAACAAAGATGTTCATCATCAACAATCAGCAATTCAAATAAGCACCTGGCACTCCTCCAGAGAATGTTGCATATCCCCACTGCTCTCAGGAATTGTTCTTGCTTATTTCTCTCAGCAAATTGTGTACTGGTCAGGCTAATGTGGGAGATTTCTCATGAGATATGTCCTGGAAATCACCATGGTGAGAGCCAAAATGTGTCCCCTAAAAGCTTTCTCTTTCTTACCTTTTCTTTTATCATTTATTGTCCTTCAAATTTTTCTAGCTCCCAATCCCATATTCCCTTTCTTATTTCCTAGACTTCTGGTTTGAGGTCTAGAGAGCTATTATGAAGCTCTTTATCTAGAAAAATTGCTTTTTATTAACATGGTAGAATATTGCCCTATTACAAATAAAGACTATATGAATCTTCACTACAAATCCTAAAGTAATGTTCTTCAAACTATGGATCAAAACCCATTTGTGGGTTGTGAAATCAATTTTAGTAAGTTGTATCCAGGATTTTAAAAAATGAAATTGTGTACAATAGAGTAGATCTGAATAGAAAACATCACAGTATTTCACTCATAAGTTTTTAAACAAAATTTTTTTTTCTCAGTAATGTGTAATTCATGGTCAGGTCTCTTTAAACTAGGTCAAGACCCAATTGAGATGCCTGATTCACATGATTTCTTCTCTTTCACTCACGGAAAACACCACTTTCTGCCATATCCTCCACCTAGCCTTTGGCCTTACTGGAAGATGCAGTAAGGCATCTACATGATGGTACAAAACTATGAGCTGAGTCCTTCAAACTTAGAAGTAGATATGCCAAAGTAGGACATGACAAAAAATTTTTTGCAATACAATAATGTGGCTAGCAAAGCTATTATCTTGTAGCCTAATCCTGTTATCCATGTCAGAAGCTGAATACAACGTTGCCATATTCTTATTCTGTATTCCTTCAGTAACGTTCCTAATCTCTCAGATAGACCTCCTCACCCACATTTGGATATCCAGGCTCAATGGAGTAAAGGTTAAGTGTGCAGGAAGGCCGAAGAGAAAATCACATTAATTTAAGAACCATTACTAGGTTTCTCATATGAATGTTTCATGCAGTGCCATGAAACATCCAAACGAGTAACATAGTAATGGTTCTTAAATTAATACCATTGTAGTATGTCCATGTTTCTCTGAATGACCGTTTTGATTTGACACCCTCTAAGTTTCTATTCAACTCAAGACTGTCATATTGAGAACATCTGTACCAGTTACTCTTTAAAATGCTTACCTATAACTCTTTCCACCTTTCCAAGAACCTAGTGCACTTTTGCTATTCTATGGGGATTTCTTTCTTTGGCCAGTGCCTCATTTACTGTTCTTTTTGGACTTTCCTCCTCCTAAGAAAATTGTTCTAAGTTGCTTTCCTCAGGGGTCCTCTCATGGATCTCCCCTCTTAGTGTTTTATATGCCTTCCCTGGGAAATCTTATCCAATATCATGACTTTAATTCAATTTATATAACATTAACATTCATGTCAATATCTCTACCCTGAGCCTCAAGACAAAATTTTAACTATTTATTGAAACTTTCTACTTGTATATCTCACAGGCTCTTAAAATTCTATTATGTAAAATAAGATTAATAATTCTTTCCCCCAAAACATTTTTGCTTCCCTGAACTGGTTAGTAGCAGCACCGTTTAAATAGAACCATTAATTTAAAACTTCAAATCACCTTTAATTTCTATTAGTCAATATTTTCCATCAATTTTACCTACTGAGTGTCCCTTTTCCATCTCTTCTTACACTATCTAGGTTTTGGGGCTCAAAACTTGTCAACTGTTCTATTGAAACAGCTTCTTGACTGGCCTCCTTGTCACTGCAATGTTCATTTTCCACAGTGACACCAGAGTTATTTTGAGACACAAATCTGATCATGGCATTCTCCTGCTTAAAAATGGCTAACGGCTCATGACTTTTTACAGGACAAAATCCAGCTAAGACCTTTCAGAGTCTAGGTAAAACTTGTTTTTTGTTTGTTTGTTTGTTTTCTTTTTAACAGGATGCCCCATATTTCCACTGGAACCAAACCAAATTTATGGTTCTCACCTCAATCTGCCTTTTCATGTTTTATTCTGTCTGCCTGAGAAGGGAGAAGGAGACCAATAAGCATGGAATGTCCATTATGTGCCAAGCATTGTGCTATCCACTTCCTCCTTCAATACTCCTAGAAATTGACTGTTTTTCCCATTTTGAAAATGAGGAATATCATGATTAGAAAAATTTTTAACTTTGCTTAAATTCACAGAATGATTAAGGGCTAGAACTAGAATCCAAACTCCAGCCTTCTTGAGTCTAAAGCCTAAGCTCTTGCCACTAAACCAGGCTATGCTATCTTTGCTATGGACTGAGTGTTTATTTTCCCTCAAAATTCATATATTGAAATGTAATCCTCACTGCAATGGTATTTGGAGATGGGGCTTTTGGGAAGTAAGTAGGTCATAAGGATAGAGCCCTCACAAATAGGATTAGTGCCCTTATAAGAGAAGACGTGGGAAGCTTGCTTCCTTTCTCTCTGCTCTCTGGCATATGTGGGTACAAGAAGAAGACAACCATCTGCAAAGCAGGAAGCAAAGTGGTTCCTCTTTGGACACAAGATCTGCCAGCACTTTGATCTTGGACTTGCCGGCCTCTTTAGAAGCGTGAAAAATAAATGTGGCATAAGCCACTACTTTATGGCATATTTGTTATAGCAGCCCTAATTAACCAAGACAATCCTGGAACTTATGCCCTTTTTGTCTTTCAAGACCCATCGTAAAATACCACCTCCTCCATGAAACTTTTTCTGATGCCCCAAGGTGGAGTAAGTCATTCCGTTGTCTGCACTCCAGTACCACAGTGTACACATCTCTGTGGCAGCTCTCTTCACATTGTATTGTAGTTATGTATGTGTCTGCCTTCACCTTAGCCTGAGGAACAAGAGCCACTTTCAATTCATCAGCAAGAAAACCAGTTGGAGAGGCAGAAACAGCAACAACTTGCCAAGAATTGAATCCCATTTCTGTATTTATTAACCATACAACCTTGGACAATTTACTGAACCTCACAGAATCTTTTCACTTGCCAAATAGCGATGATAGTTCTATAGGTAAGGTTTCTAGGACATAGGAGGCACCTCATACATGTTGAAAGAAAAACTTAGAGGAATATTCAATAGTTTAGTACTCCTTTCGAGACATAAATTAACATTTCAACCTACCTTCCACCGGGCTTTAATAGTGGGATGTTTGGTATTGCAGAAGACTGAAGGGAGAGGTGGTTTGGGGCAGCAGAATATCCAATATTCCCACCTCCCCACATCTTCCCTGGTATTTCGTTATCCCCCATTGCTTACATTAGTGGAATAGGCCTGCCCTCTAATGGAAACAACTTGTTCTTAGCTCTGTTTAGCACCTCTGCAAGAGCCAGAGCCCATCCCTGTGCTAAGCAAGTGTGGAGAACATACATATTAATTGACTGCTTTAATTGAAAACTCTTAGCTTTATAAAGGAAAAATAAGGTGTGTTTTTCTATACATCCTAGAAAACCATTCAGTAGTAGACATTGTTTCACAAAATAATTTTTAATAAAAATGTACCCCCAAAATATCTTTTATAAAACTAATTATTGTGTTTTGTATTTTATGTGAATCTTTTTAACTAAATAGACTTGAAAGCATTTTGCAAACAGATTTATTACCTATATAGTGTGTTCAAGTCAATTAAAGTAAAATTCAATTAAAAAGCAACCACCTCCGAAGTAAGGCACAGCAGATGTTTAACAGCTCACAGCAACACCTCACAGCAGTGCAACTTAAGCAGCAGTTTATGAACAAAAATGAAGAATTCCATTTTCTATTTAAGCAACAGGAGCAACAGAGAGAAACAGAACATAATTATCCAAATTAGAAATTTTCTGTGAAACCAAGGTCACCATCTCCGCTATTCACAGAAAGGCCACGAGATATTTATTGATCACATGCAGCCAAGAATTCTGCTTTATGTCTCTGCTGATGGACAGCCCCCTCAGGCACCCAGTCTCCAAATACTACAGTCATAAAAATTCACAAGGAAGCTGGGAATGATCTTCAGGACTTAAAATGGCAGTCCTTCCCTCCTTATTCTCCTGCTCCTGGGCTCAAGAGAGGGCTTGACCACCAGATTGTCTACCAAGGGACACAAATAGAATGGAATGTAAAGGATGCAGCCATAGTGTATCTTTTTGTGTAATGCAGTAGGGATTTTACTCCTATCTAACTTGATCTTGAGTCTGGATGGAGTGAAAAACATTCTGACCACTTCACTCCGTGATTTTCATGTTCATTGCTACTGAAGACTGAGGGGTGCTGAGGTGGGTCAGGGTTTCTTTCAGTGTTGAGATGTGATTCGAAAATAGTGACTCCACAATCTCAAAGCAGCCTTACAAAAAGCTAAACAGGAAAAATTAACTCAACCATGATACTGAAAAATGCCTGGGTGGAGAGCTGAGTATGTCTCCCTTCCAGATGTGAGCTTGTTCTGCATCCCCCGACTAGCTTGATCACCATGAATGTACCAACCTTATGCCTATTATATTGCTTTTAATTTAAAACTAAATAGACTAGGTTTCCAAATAAAAATGAAAAAGAGACTCCTTGGCTGCCGTTTATGTTAGACTAAATAATGATTTGACTCAGTTTTGCTTTTATCTGATAGAATTCTAAAATTAGAAGCAAGCAGAAACATGTTAATGGATTTATCTTTGGGTCAAATTTCTTCATCAACTTGTCATCATGATGCTATTAGTTAATTCGTTCATTTTGGTAATGGCCACTTGCAAACAACTTACTGATACATATAGAATTAACAATTATTCTCTCCCTGTTTGCTGATAAAAGGGCATCTCTCTGAAGGAGAGAGGAGCCAGCAGTTTCGATGGAAGCACTGTTTACCTCTAAATCAGTCTATTCAGATATCGTTATAACAATTTTACCTAATAACAAATATAATAAAGGCTGTTCAGAGATTGTGTGACCTTTAGCCTATGGATTGCAGGGATTAAATACTGAGATAGATATTTTCTTTCTGTGTAAGCAAATAGAAGACTTTCTCAAGAAGATTACATTGACCTGATTTTCTCAGGATCAAGCAGATGCAAATCAACATGATTATTATACACCTACCATGTGAACAAAACTGTGCTGAATGCTAGGCAGACATAAAGATCAACACAATGATCTCTTGAATCCTTACAATATTTCAGGGATCTACAGAGATAAGAAGGAGTAAAAACTAAGTAAGTCACAGGGGTCACACAGCACGTTTACAGTAAAGGCAGAAATTGTAGCTATTAGAACTTCTTTTCGTAGTCTGGTGCTACTCCTCAAAAGCACAGTTTTGAATTGGATCCTATAGGTCTCAAATTCTGTCTTCAAGAGCATAAAGAGTAATGGGACCAAGTAGGTCACCTTCAAGGCAGCAAAAGAGGAATTATTCCTGGTCACACAGAGGGGATATACTAAATTTAGAGAACGAGGTAGATGCTGTCATTTCTCTCCAGATTTAGATTTCTTCTGTCACCTGATAAATTTTATTCTATCAATAATCTTCCTCTCTGATATCCACCAGCCTCTTACTGACCAACTGTGTCTTTCTCAGCAGAAATTTGGTCAACTTTCTTATGTCCTAACTAGTCACATAGACAAGAGAATTTTGCTTGAACCCTGAGCATCAACTGCACATCTGTCCATCGTTTGCCTTTCCTTCAAAGCCAGACTTAGAGAAGGAGTTGCCTGCACTCATTGCTTCTGCTTGCCTCAGGCACCAGCAATTCAGCACCACATTCTTGAGATTGCTCTTCTAAGATCACCAACAGCCACTTTTCTGCCGTCCATCCCAAGGTAGATCCTGTCGATGGCTTCCTCCATGTTGAATCTCTCCTTCATCATTGCCTCTATGACACCACTCTTTCTAGTCTTATTCTCCCTCTCAGACCACCCCCTCTTCCTCCACCCACCTCTTCAACATCATTCTTTCACAGGGTTCCGTGCTTGGTCCATCTTCCAGAGCACCATGGGGAGTAGAAATAAAGTGAGATTTGGAGACAGGTGTGTTGGTTTGACCATTGATTATTCCATTCATTAGCTATGTGATCCTGAACAGTTTCTAGCTATGTGATCCTGAAGTTATTTGACCTCATTGAAATGCAGTTTCCTTGTCCTCAGTATGACGGGGTGAATCATGCATAAGTCACTAAATTCTTGTGAGAAATAAATGTAAAAATAAGTAAAGAGAGGAGCTCAGGTCTGCCACGTGATATGTGCTCATTAAATTTTCATTGTTTCTCACCTACACCTCTGCACTGATAATATCCTAACTTATTTCTCTAGCTTGGGCCTTACCCTGTCTTAGTGAAGGCATAGCAGCACGTTAGGTCCTGCAAGTCACCTTGGATGCCAACCTTTTTCTCACCCCCCCAATCCCCCCACAAAGGAGGCTCTTGACCCTAAAAATTCTTGCATCAATTATCCCCTCATTTTCCCACTACTGCACCAGTCTCAGTCTGGGCTACCATCAATTTTTATCTAGACAATTGCATCCTCATCAAGCAGATTTCCCTCCAGTTATTCCCACTACCTTCATCTCCACTCTATCTCCCTCCATAGCTACCATCTAATGCATCATCTCTACTAGCAAGCCTTTGCTGGCTCTCTATTGCCTAGAGAACTAAGCTCACATCCTTTGCGTGATATACAAAGCCTCTCAGAATGGTCTTCTTTATCTCCATCTCCTTTTCATGGAAATCCTGCTGTCCTGTCTAACCAGTCTACTAGTCCATTTCCTAACTGACATGTCCTTACATTCTCTCTGCCTTTGACATATTGATTCTCTGTTGGATACGCCCTATGCCCTCTTGTTTATCCTTCAATCTTCAGCTCAGGTATCACTTTCTCTATGGAACCTTCTCTAATATTTCCCCTAATTGCTACCCCATTTCCACCCTTTATGCATTTTTTAGGAACAATGTCTCTCTCTGTCACCCAACCTGAATTGTAGTGATACAATCATAGCTCACTGCAACCTCAGACTCCTGGGCTCAAGCAGTCCTCCTACTTCAGCCTCTCCAGTAGCTAGGATTACAGGTGTGTACCTCCACACCTGGCTAATTTTAATTTTTTTTTTTTATTTTTGTAGAGATAAGGTCTCACTATGTTGCCCAGGCTCGCCTCAAACTCCTGGCCTCAAGCAATTCTCCCACCTTGGCCTCCTAAAGTGCTGGGATTATAGGCATGAGCTACTATGCCAGGTCCATTTTTTAAAAAATCAACAAACATTTATTTTTTATATTCAATAAATAGTTATTGGACACCGAATTAGTTTTCTATTATTCCATAAAAATTACCTCAAAATTTAGTAGCTTAAACAACATTTATTAAATAGCAATAGTTTCTGGTCAGGAATTTGTACACAGCCAAACTGGGTTCTCTGGCTCAGTCAGAGCCTCCCACACACCTCAAATTAAGGTGTTGTTGAGTGCAAAAGTTGTCTTAAGGTTTGACTGGGGAAAGATTTGCTTTCAAGCTCACTCATGGTGGCAGGATTGAGTTCTTAGTGGGCTATGGACTGAGGGACTCGGTTTCTTGCTGGCTGTTAGCCTGAGGCTGTTCTTAATTATTTGCCTCTCCACAGGTCAGGTCACAACATGGAAGCCTATTTCATCCAGAGAAAGCAAGTGAGAAGATGAGGGAGAGAGAGGGAAATAAAGGACCATTGTTTTAGTTTGGGCTGCTGTAACAAAAATAGCCAAACTGTGTGCGTTAAACAGCAAACATTTATTTCTCACAGCTGTGGAGGCTGGAAGTCTAAAATCAGGGTGCCAGCATGGTCAGGTTCATGGTGAAAGACCTCTTTGGGTTTTACAGACAGCTATCACTGTGTTGTATTCTCATGTGTCAGAGAACAGAGAGAGAGGAAGCAAGCTCTCCTAAATCTCCTCTTATAAAGGGCACTAATCCCATTCAGGAAGTCTCCACCCTCATGACCTAATTACTACCCAAAGGCCCACCTCTTAATACCATCCCATTAATGATTTCAACGTATGAATTTTGGAGGGACACATTCAGCCCATAACAACCAGCAAGAGGAAAGATGCAGTCTTTTATAACCTAATCTCAGAAGTGATACCGCCTAACTTTTTCCATAACTTATTCGTAGAAGAAAGCCACCAGTTCTAACCCACATTAAGGGGAGGGAATAAGAGTCATTTCCAGACTACATCAGTTAGTTAAGTTTCCCCAAAATGAACCCAAATGTAAGAATTTAAACTACTGAATATGTTAGAAATATTGCTGCTAGATTACTATAGGTGATTTTTATGAATTGATATCTTAGTGTATTAATGGCTCCCAATTTTTAGGAACCACTTTTTCTTTGAAAATCACAAACATGTGGAGTTTATTCACTTCACCCACCAGGTTCCATAGAAACTACTGGTTTTCTTAAACTGTTATTAATAGCAATTTTAGGCAAGAATGACAACATTTTCAGCTACCAAACCTGGAATATTAAAGCCTGACTTCCCAGCTGTTGTACATTTAATTCATTCAATTAACTTAAGCTACTTTAATTCAGTTGAAAATCAGGAATAATTACACTTAGTTAAAGAAAAAACCCTCTATTTATAAAGAACATGATCGTTAAGTTCACATTACCTCTTACATTTTTCCTTCTCCGTTTTTTTTTTCTTTTTTTTTTTTTTTTTTTTTTACTATCAAAGAGGAAGCAGTTGGTTAATGTTTAAATTTGGTGGTGGTGGAATGGGGAGAGAGGCGTTATGAAAGCTTTATGTAACCCAGTCTAGAAACCTTCATCTCTGAGACAACCACAGAAGGAAATTAGCTTGGATATTTTCCTGCTTTCCTATTGGAATGAATCCCAAATTTAGGTTCAGAATGTAGGTTTGTCACCTCTGGTCACAAAGGAAGATCCCTTCTCATTTCGCTTGGGAAATGCTTCCTGTAAGGGATGAGATTTCGAAATACAGGGAATGAGAATAGTCTGTTCATTTACATCCCAAAATGTAAGTGCCTGGGCACTGGAATCTGACTTCCTGGATGCAAATCCATTGGTCACTCACTGATTATACTCCCTGTATCTCATTTTCCTTCTTTGTAAAGTGGGGGCGTTGATAACAATAACAGAACATGTGTCATTGGGTTGGTGTTGGTTTTAAATGCATTGATAAATATAAAGTGCTTAGAATGGGTCCTGGTCTGTGGTAGGTCTGTAAGAAATGTTAGCCCTTTTTGGCCAGGCGCGGTGGCTCATACCTGTAATCCCAGCACTTTGGGAGGCAGAGGCAGGTGGATCACTTGAGGCCAGGAGTTCGAGACCAGCCTGGCCAACATGGTGAAACCCCATCTGTGCTAAAAATACAAAAAGTAGCCGGATGTGGTGGCGTGCGTGCCTGTAATCCCAGCCACTCGGGAGGCAGAGGCAGGAGAATCACTTGAACCTGGGAGAGGGAGGTTGCAGTCAGCCGATATTGTGCCACTGCACTCCAGTCTAGGTGGCTATTCTGAATGATTTAGTGATTACTTACAAAAGTTCTATGTGATTTATTTCATCAAATCACAGAATGTTTGTACTGGAAAAAAAAATCCTAAAAATCACTTGGTCTAATCCCTTCTTCAAGTCTTCTCTATAATAACATTTTTTCCCCCCACACGGTGGTCATAGTAATTATTTTTAAATGCACATATGGCCAATGACTTACCACTCTCAAGGTAAAGACCAAATTTATTTTACCTGGTTTAACACTGTAGCAGCTCCCCTGCTCCCTCCATCGCATACCAACAATTCAAGTTTTCTCTTTTGCAGAGATCTCTTCTACCTCTACCTTGGGTTTTCTCAGAAGCCGTTGCTTCTGCCCAAAATATTTTTCTAGTCTTTTAACTATTCCAACTCCTACTTATCTTAAGCTAAGTAAGTACCCCTCCTATGGGCTAATGGAGAGGCCCTGTACTTTCTTCATTAATACCGATCACATTATATTGTATTGTCTCTTTGTTTGGCTGAATCCAGCTACTTATCCCAGTTTTTTGTTTGTTTGTTTGTTTGTTTTTGTTTTTTGTTTTTGTTTCTGTTTTTAGATGGATTTTTGCTCTGTCATCTAGGCTGGAGTGCAGTGGCATGATCTTGGCTCACTGCGACCTCCACCTCCCGAGTTCAAGCGATTCTCCTGCCTCAGCCTCCTGAGTAGCTGGGACTATGGGCACCCACCACCACGCCCAGCTAATTTTTGTATTTTTGGTAGAGAAGGGGATTCGCCATGTTGGCCAGGCTGGTCTCGAACTCCTGACCTCAGGTGATCCACCCACCTTGGCCTCTTAAAGTGCTGGGATTACAGGCATGAGCCACTGCACCCGGCCTACTTAAACACCAGCTCTATGAAGAGAAGGATCATGTCTGTCTTCTCCATAGGTTTAGCTTCAAGACTAAGTAGGTGGCATAGAATAGGTGCAAATAAATATTTGTTTTTTAAATGAACGAAACAATGATTTATCCCCCAGATTACTCAGAGCAAAGATGGACTTAGAATTAAGGTCAATTCTCCACAGATGTTTGATCAATTCTTTGAACAAAATGGAAGGGCTTTATTCATCAGTCATTGGAATTGCCAGAAGAAACATTTTTCCAAATACCAAATGTAAACACCCTTATCAGAGAAAAAAGCATCAAGATTATATTTAAATTCACTCATTTTTTTCCTACACCTATTCCTCACTTTACCTTCTTACAAATATAAACATATTTAAATTTCTTGATGATTTTATATTTTCTACTTGGCAGATAATTGTTTTTTCTTTGTGTATGTATGTTTAATGGAGCTGAGATCAACGCAGATATTTTTGCTTGATAACTTCAATTTCTGAAGCTTCTTATTATAACCAAACATCTTTAATTTGATGCCATATCAGTGATTAGGAAGAAAAAAAATCTTATGATGGGGAGTGTACATCTCATAGTTACTGACTGTTATCATAGTGAGAGAGATAATAAAATCATTCACCTGCTCTTGTAAATGTGGTGGAAGTTCTAAGTTAAGCAAAGAATAATTCTCTTTTATGCAAAATTGAAGAGAGAGCTTCAGAGCTCAGAGTTTCGGTGCTTACTGTAAGACCAGTCCATCCCAGCCTTCCCATGAATGTTGGGAACAGGAGATGGAGCCCCAGCACTCTGAATGTTCCTGGCAGTGCCCTTGCCTGTCCTCCCCACCCCCACAGGCACAGCTCTCTGGCCTGTTCTGTCTTGAAAATCCCAGGACTAATCTCATTATGTTCTTTATCCCTGCTGCTTTAGCTACCGGTAGAAGCTCAAGTTGCCAGGTCGTCTCTTCTCCTCCCACCACTGTAATCCTGAAATGGTTCTGCATGTCTCCCAGGGATTTATCCCACTCCTTCCCTTTCTACTAATTCTTGGAAACTCATGTTCTACCACTAGAAAATCTCCTTGATCTTCTCTAAACTTTTTTTTAAACTTCTTGTCCCTACTAAAAGGCAGCAATCCCCTCAGGACTCTCGAATGAAGTCAGTTGTCTCTCCCACACTCTTGTACAACTGGAATTGGAGGTGGTCCTTGCTTCTCATTGTCATTTGTAGATACTCGTCCTCTTTCCTCCCACCACCCAATACCAGTTTAGAACTTTGAGTCATCAGAATCTGCCACCCACTACTTGCCCTAGTTGATGTCACCTACGGACTTCCCTTCATTATTTAATGACTTTACTTTAGATCCATGAAACAGGCTCTGTGTGGGATATTTTCATGCAGCAGGTTTATTGAAGCGTACACTGTGAAACAGAGCCTGGAAGGTAGTAAAGACAGCAGGATCAGACTAAATAGAATTCGTCTCTCATCTAGCTGCAAGGAGACTTCAGCTCATCCCATGGGGAGTGCTGGAGTTGGGCTGTTCCTTCAGAGTTGGCCTCAGTTAATGGAAGGGAGTCAGGACTTTGTACTTCATCATCAAACTCTTACTTTCTGAAGTGCATCTTACCAAGGCCTTCAATATACCTACTATTTTTTGCTCAAACAGTCTGATGAGCATGATCTCCTGGACATAGTGGACCAATGTGGTATTCTTCAGAAAGTCCAGATATTCTTCAAACTATGACAGAGGAGATAATAAAAGAGTTAATATAGTCCTGGATCAAGACATAAATGTGTACTGTTGTCTATGTCTCATTAATACAAATTACTGTTGATCTTCTTTCCTGATAGTGATGAAAAAGAATGCATTCACCAGATCAGTGGCTGCATACCATGTACCTAGGTTGCAATGATCTGCCCTAGCAAAGATACCACATCTGACACTGCAGCTTCTACTTGGTTGATTTTTCAGTAGCCCACTTTTATCCACCTAAAAATCATCCTTATTTTTAGGAGCCAGACTGCTGAATGACAAAAGAATACGGTGGGTTGCATCCTTTATGTCTTTAAGGGTGGTACTAATCTCTGTAGTTGCCTCTAG
The DNA here is from genome assembly GCF_000001405.40 of Homo sapiens. Lineage (NCBI taxonomy): Eukaryota > Metazoa > Chordata > Mammalia > Primates > Hominidae > Homo > Homo sapiens. The sequence continues at coordinate 104,300,800 of NC_000007.14, forward strand.
AATGTGACAGTTTAAATTTATTCTCTTGGTTTAGTGAGGGGGATTCCTCAAGACTCAGCCTTACTGCTATTGTTCAATAACTCTTCCCCTGAAATGCCATGTCTGGTCTCTATGCAGAGCTTGACTGCCAAATCTCTGTGTCTAGAGAAGCTGGCAGTCTGTTACAATGTCAGAAGTCTCAGCCATGGCTCCATGACAGACCTTAGCCATGGTGGGTGCTAGTGATATTTAGATCAAAGCCTAGATGGGTTAGCCGACTTAAGGATTTAGAGACCCAACTTGTGGAGGACTTGAAGGCAATATAGAGGAGTTTAGAATTGATCTAACTCACAGAGGAGAAACCTTTGAAAATTTTTGAGCAGGAGCAATGGATGGAACATGGCAAAGATCTGGGCCAAGAATGATGGAAAATATTACAGTAACATAGGCAAGAAGTGATAGAGTCATGAACTAATATGGCAGCTGTGAAAACTGGAACAATGAAGTAGGAATAAGATTTTTTTTTGTTGTTAAAGATTCAAAAGACCTTGATAATGTCATTAGAATCAGGGGATGGAGGAGAGATAGCTGTCAAGAGTGAGTCTACCTTTTCACCCTTGAGTAATGGAGAAAGGCTATTGTCTTTTAGGTAATTCAGAAATGGAGAAGGGTGTGGAAAAGAAAAAGAAAACATTTAAAATAGAGCATGGTGAATTGAGTTTGGACATGTTGAGTGTGAGTTGATGGCAGAATTGCCTATTAGAATTGTCCCTTAACAATTGTAAATGTGAAATGATGGACTCAAATGAGCATTCAAAACCATAAAAATTTAAACCTGGAAAGGAACTCTTTTAAGGGACCAATTAGAACTTATTCAGGTGCTTCAGTGGAGGATGGCAGTGGTGGTTTTTAAGAAGTTGTAGAATATTTGTGAAGTATATGCCTGAATAATATTTGGTGATATTAGTTCATGTTTTTCCCCACAGCGTTTTCCTGCTCATTTCATTCTATTAACTCAGCAATAAATTCTGTGCTTCCTTGCCTAAGGGAGAGTAAAGGGCAGGCAGAAAGCCCGAAAATAGTCTATAGGACCTAGTATCTCTAAAGGCATAAACCCATTGGAAGAGGTTTAAGGAAGAAACAGTAGACTCAAAGAAGGAGGAAGGAAAGAGAGGCTCTCTCAGATAAAATAGAGACCCTCTTGGGCTGAGGAAGAGCTGAGAGGCCTATGGATCCTGGAACAGTGGGAACTTGTGTTTTATTTCCTGACAGTACATGGGACTGCCAAACCCCAGCGGGAAATAGCTTCATGGATTGTCCAAAGCAATAGTATCCAGCCATGGTTGCACGTCAGATTATCTGAAGAAGTTTCTTTAAAATTTTTTAAAGTTATTTTTTATTTAATAGAGGTGAGGTCTTGCTGTGTTGCACAGGCTGGTCTTGAACTCCTGGCCTTGAGCATTCCTCCTGCCTTGGCCTCCCAAACTGCTGGGATTACAAGGATGAGCCACTGTGCTCAGTCCAGAGTTGTTTTTGTTGTTGTTGTTGTTGTTGTTTTTTATCCCAATATCCAAGTCTATCTTAAATATTCTGATTTAGTTAGTCTAACTTGGGCCCAGGAATAGGTGTTTTTCAAAAGCTCTCCAGGTGATTCACATTGGCAGCTAGATTCACTGGTCTAAGGCAGAGTTTCTCAACCTCAGCACTATTAACATTTTGGATGAATAAGTCTTTGCTGGGGACGGGGCTTTTCTTGCATTGTAGGATATTTAGCACTATCCCTGGCATCTACCTGCTAGATTTTAGTAGCACTCACCACCCAGTTATGACAATCAAAACTGTCTCCAGATATTGCCAAATGTCCTTGGGGGACAAAATTGTCCCGGTTAAGAATCGCTGTTAGTATGTTTATAGCGGCACTATTCACAATAGCAAAGACTTGGAACCAACCTAAATGTCCAACAATGACAGACTGGATTAAGAATATGTGGCACATATACACCATGGAATACTATGCAGCCATAAAAAATGATGAGTTCATGTCCTTTGTAGGGACATGGATGAAACTGGAAACCATCATTCTCAGCAAACTATTGCAAGGACTAAAAAACCAAACACCGCATGTTCTCACTCATAGATGGGAATTGAACAATGAGAATACATGGACACAGGAAGGGGAACATCACACACCGGGGACTGTTGTGGGGTGGGGGCGGGGGGAGGGATAGCATTAGGAGATATACCTAATGCTAAATGATGAGTTAATGGGTGTAGCACACCAACATGGCACATGTATACATATGTAACAAACCTGCACATTGTGCACATGTACCCTAAAACTTAAAGTATAAAAAAAAAAAAAAAGAATCGCTGTTCTGGGGAAATCATAGGCTTTGAGTTTCCTGGACTCATCCATAAATGACACAGAAGCAACAGAGTGCATTTAAACCTAAAGAAGACAGTGGACAACTCAGAGGAAATATCTGAAGACCATGACCTATATGAACCAACGAATGATGATCAGAACATCCTCTTCCTCATTTCCCAAACCTAGGGCCATGCATTGTGACAGCTCCTGATGTCTTGCCACCACTCAGGGGTGAGGGTGAAGGATAGGGGACTGGGAGGAGAGCTCCAAATTCCACTATAGTGGAATTTCCTGCCAGCCTGGTAGTAGCGGGGCTTAGAATTAAAGAGGAAATATTAAGAGAGAGAGAGAGAAAGAGAAATGGTATTTCTTGCACACTTGAACTTGTGGCCTGATTTTCATGCCTTATACAGGTTCATATTGTATTGACTTATTAGCTAACAGAAACATCACATAAAGCTCTACTATGGATGTATGCCCATGCCAATCCTGAGGTAGCCTGGAAGACCAAAGCAGATTGGCTAAAACAGAAGCAGAGCTGCTACAGTGACTGGCTAAAAAGTCCATAGGAGACATCTGAACTTATCTAGGAGATATCTGAAGTGGCACGTTGCAAAATATGTGCTGGAAAACAAAGAACTTTGGGGGCTTCTTCAGCAGCTAGAGCAACCTATCATGTCTTGCTAGGGCCCCCAAACTCTCCCACTATGTGGAAGCTCAGTGATCTCAGATGGATAGCTTAGAGCCCAGGGAGACAACTGAATGAGGCTTTCTCTCCCCCATGGAGGGAGGACAGCTATGTCCCAGGAGGTTTGTAATCCCAGACTAAAATGCCCATCCCAAATAGCAACTGTTTATCTTCCAATCATCTCTTGCATTTATGAGTGGATTTGTTATCTCAATTACGTTAAGAACCAAAACATTCTTAATATCATCCAGTCAAATCCCATCATTTAATAAGTAAGAAACTTGAAGTCCCGAATGATTAAATGACACCGCCTAAGGTTATACACTTGGTAAGTAATAGCACCAAGACTAGAGCTCGGTTCTGATGACAAGGCTGGTAACTTCACTCATAGGGATACTTTAAGTCTAAATACAGATTTTCAAAAGATTTCTCTATTTACTATTAGAGATTAACATAAAAGGAAAAGCAAGATATGACAAGTATATAAATATTCTTAACTGTAAGGTTATTTCAGGCATATTTGACCCAGACTCCAGGAAGTCCTGAGCAACAGGGATAAGGAAACGACCCATATATTTCAGCAAGATGGCAACTCTTAGAAGGTTTGTCATGGGTGGCCTTGCCTTGCAATAGTTTGTGAATAGGGAAAGTTCCTCTTTGTTCCTGGCATAGCCAAGGTCCATGTGCAAAAAAGACTTGGCTCTCAGATGTGCATATATTCCCCACAAAAACTTACTTTTGCCATCTTGGGTCCCCCTTTATTACCTATTTTCCCTTAAGGCTCATGGAAGGAGCCTGCAGAGAAGGCTCGAGGCTAAAGGTCAGGTTCCTCACTTTCAGAGTAAAACATACCTTCAAAAGGAAGTGGTGATAGAGTACAGAGAAATTCCTAAGGGAGAAAGTGGCTTCAATATGGCAGGAAATTCATCTGATCCAGACGTCCTGTATCATCCTTTAATGTACAGAGTGGATTCTGGGGTGGTCTACTATATCTATTGCACCATGTAATGACTCTTCAAGGTGTCACTTGAATCCCTTTAAAGATATACTTCTTTAGAATTGAAATCTCTGAGGTTCAATGATTGGGTGACCTCATGATTCCCAAACACTGATGAATGGTGACACGGCAGAGATGAAAGGTGTCAAAGAGCTGGGAGCAGTGCTGGCTGGTGGTGTTGGGGCCAGAGTAGAAGTGGAAACAGAAGTGGGGTCAGCAGGTGGCACAGAGACTAAAGTTATGTTGGAGTCCAAATTGAAAAGGTGACGTGACAGGTCATGGAACAGCAACATTACCAGCCCAGTAGAAGTTAGAACTGGTGTGGCATGGGAGGTGATCCACTTCCCCGATCTGTGTTCCTTAGTAGGGACACAGCGTTATACCCTTCACCTTTGTCCTAGCAGTCCTACCAAGCCCAGTTCTGCAACATACCAGGAGCACAAGGAAATCCAATGAATAGATTAGGTATTAAAAGAGTTTTCCCTTCCAATCACATTTGCATTTCACAAAGGGTCCTTTATTGAATTAAACACTTATTCAGACCTACTTTTCTCATTCTAGAAAACAAACAAACAAAAAAAAACAAATAGAAATATTAAAAATTTACCTTTAAACATTGAGGAGTTGACAAAATAGTGGAGAACTGCCAGGCCAAATTCTGAGAGAAAGCCTGATTCCAAAGAGTAAGGAAAGGAGCCAGGCACCAACGCTGCCTTGAGGGCATTTGCCAATATTAGGCAAGATAACAGAAAACTTGAGCTTTCACTCAGCAGCCTCACAGGTAGGGGAACAGAAACCAAGTCCTCCAGTAGAAAATTCTACCAAACATTCAATGTGGAAATAAATCTGGCACGAACACTTCCAAAGTATAGGAAGTGGGAACATTTACTAATTACTCTTATGAGGTTAGCACACCCTTGATTCCAAAGCTCAATAAGGGTAGCATAAGAAAGGAAAAATAGAGACTAATTTGAACGTATGAAAATAGTTGCCAAACACAGGATTGTAAGATTGGGTTTAACGTTAAAAATCAGTCAAAATGTAATTCATCACAATAAAAGACTGAAGTAGATAAATCATATGATCAATTCTAGAGATGAAGAAAATAAAGCCCAAGTATCTATCAACAATAGAGTCCAATGGAATGCTATACACCAATGAATGCCACAACATAAATGAATCTTGCAAATATAATGTTAAGCCAAAGAAGCAAGACATAAAAGACTACTTTAACATAATTCCATTTTTATAAAGTTTTTGAAAACAGGCAAAGTGTAATTATATTGTTTAGAATACAGTATAGCTGGAAACACTATAAGAAAAAGAAGAAATTATTACTGTAAATATCTGGAATGTTATTACCTCTAGGAAAGAGGGAAGGGGCTGTGAATTGGAAGGGATATGTGGGAGGGTTTTGAGAATGCTGTCATCTCACTTCAGATGCAAAAACAAAATTTAAAAAAAAGAGTGCTGTCAATGTTTTATTTCTTGAGTTGAGTGGTGGTTACTCAGGTATTCACTTAATAATTACTGTAATTTTTAAACATTATTTATGGTTTATGCACTTATAAGTATAGATATTATTTCACACCAAAAATATTTTTAAAGAAAGCCTTTTAAGATCCACAGAAATAAAGCTTAAATAGTGACATTTCAGGCACCATATATGACAAGCAGCAGGAGAGATATTTTTGGGTAAGGTGGGCAGGCCTATGGGCAGGCCTAGTGCAGTCCCTTCCACCGCACTTCACACCCAACTGTTCACTCTGCTACTCAGACAACCTGGCCCTCCGCAATCTACCTCACTAGACAGGAAAGTGTGATCCTGGTCACTTATGCGGTCTATTGATCTTGCCATATTTCAGACCAACCAACATTGTGATTAATTCAACCATAACACATCATAAATTTAAATTGAAAGCACAGCAATTATTTACATGTCTTTTAAAAAATCTGAATTATCCAAACCAATGAATGTGATTCCTAAACAACTACGATGATTATTCGCTGCTTTGTAGTTTGTCTGCCCATGGGCCATAAGAAATAAGAAGAAAAACACACCAAAAAAAGTCAGTGATAGAAAATAAAAATGCAAAACTTAGTATTTTTTTGAATGATAGTTACAGCTCATCAGAGAAGAGCCGGCAGTTACCATGGCAACAGTAATACAGGAAAGTGAAACTCCAGCCTCCAAGTCTCCTTTTTTTCTCTTTCCTAGTCCTGGCACTAAATAGTAAAGAATGGTCCCAGACGATGTGTAAAACCCATAATGTTTATAAATTAGTCTCAGTTAACACATACAAGAACCTTGAGTTTCTAAACAAATAACATGCTGATGAATGTTAAGAGGATAGAGACATCTTTGATGAATGTACAATGCATTCAGATCCCATAAAAACAAAATAATAGGGCATATGTTTGTGTTTACTGATGGTCTCTCCATATTACACCTGATCTGTATCACATGTAGTCTCAATTTCTGAATTCCACTCCATCATTATGACACTTTACTGTAATATACCTCATCTTGGCCCTCACTCACAGATTCTCACCCACAATCTTCAATTAGCACAGACTTATCTTTTGTGCAATAAATAAGTAGTATCATGTACTGATTAAGATATGGGAATTTTGGATCAGATATATCTGAGTTCAAATTCCAATAATACCACTCATTTACTGGGGAATCTTGGGTGAGTTAGTTAATATTTCTAGACTTCAAATTCCTCATCTATAAAATGGAGATGACTATAATTATAATACCTCTTATAGAGTGGTTATAAGGGTTAAATGAGATAATGTATGTAAAAGCACTTAACACAATACCTAGCACATATTAAACTCCAAGTATTAATTTATTATTATTATAAGTAAAATACTGTCCATGGCCTATGGTCATAGATATATCAAGCAATTTTTGAAAACCACAGAAAAATTTGAGTTCTCGGAATTGTAATTCTTAGCCACTTTATTCTATTTCTGTTTCTATTCCTGCTTTGGTGTGTTTTATTTCTCAGTTAATTCTTGGAAGCTTTATCCAAAGACCACTGTGCAAGCCTTACTCTCTAGCTCTTGCTGCTTTGTCATGCTTTTGCCTGGGTCCCAATCTCAATCAAAATCAACAAGGTCAAATGCTAAGAGATAAGTTCCACTTAGTCTCTATTTTGGCTACTGTTTGATAGGTGAGATAAGAAAAGGGTATAAATATGTCATGTCTGTGGGTATAAAAATGGCAAATTGGGCAATAGCTGGGGAAAAAAAGCTCAAATGAATAACAACAATATGAGAGGACAATCCCACAGCAAGAATTGGTCAAAAGTGTGAAGACAAGGATTGGTAAGGTCTAATGAGTAGGAGAAGGATTATGGTAGGCTTATTGTGTCTACCCATTCTAGAAGGCAAAGAAAGGCCATAACCAGCCACCTGGAGCCTCATTCCATCCCTTGGCTTCTGGAAGTACAACAGAGAGGATGTAGAGAACCAAGGGTGAGCTTCATGACCGTAAAATAAAAACCTTCCCCATCAGCTAACACCTATGGGTTAGGAGCATAGACTTGAGCTAACACCTATGGGTTAGGAGCAAAGGGGGAAGATTACTTCCCCCTTTACCCATCTAAACTGTGCATACATACAGAAGCACAAATCTTTTGTGTATAGCTTGATGGATTTTCACAAAGTGAATACACTTGTGTACCTACTACCCAGACTAAGAAATAGAACATTATCAGTATAACAGGAGGCTTTATTAGGCTCCTTCCCAGTCATTACTACCTTCGGTAGTAACTACTTGCTTATCTGTCATTATCAATTAGTTCTGCCAATTTTTAACTTTATAAGTGGAGTCTGCTACATTTTGGAATTTTGTCCCCCAAAACCTCATGTTGAAATTTGATCCCCAATATTGGAGGTGAGGCCTAATGTGAGGTGTTTGGATCATGAAGTTGGATCCCTCATGAATGGCTTGGTGCCATTCTTGCAGTGAGGAATGAGTTTCACTCTGTTAGTTCCCAGGAGAGTTGGCTGTTAAAAAAGTGACAGTCACTTCCAACCCCGTCGCTTCCTCTCTCACCCTGTGATCTCTGCACATGGCTCCACTTCTCCTTCCATCCCATGTGGAAACAGCCTGGAGCCCTCACCAGATGCAGATGCTGGTGCTATTTTTCTTATATTACCTGCCAAATAAACCTCTTTTCTTTATAAATTACCTAGCCTCATGTATTCCTTTATATAATACAAAATAGACTAAGACCGAATCATACACTGTATGCTCCTGTGTTTTGTTCCTTTTCATAACAATATGCTTGTGAGACTCATCCATGTTGTGTGTAGTTATGGTTTGTTTATTTTTGTTGCTATATAGTATTCCACTGCATGAATGTATTACAGTTTCTTTTTTTTTAACTCATTTATTGTTGGTGGACATTTGAATTGTTTCTATTTTGGGGGCTTTACAAATGATGGTACAATAAATATTCTTGTACCTGTCTTTGGCATACATCTATGCACAATCCCATGCATTTTAGGGGGTTATATCTATGAGTTAAAATGCCAGATCATAGAGTATGAGAATGTTTAGCTTTAGTAGTTGCTGGAAAACCAATATGTCCACTTCTTTGAAGTTGTTCTATCAAACTGTACTCCCAAAAGCAGTATAGAAAATTTCCGGGTACTTTCCACCCTCACTAATAGTATGTCTGTCTTTTTAATTTTAGCCTTCCTAGTAGGTGTGCAGTGATATCTCACTATTGCTTTGATTTTCATTTTCTTGCTGAATAATGAAATTGAGCACATTTTCTTATATTAATTGGCCAGTTGGTTCTCCTCTTTTATGAAGCACCTGTCCAAACCTTTTACACATTTTTCTGTTGTATTGTCTTTTTCTTATGAATTGGTAAAAGATACACGCGTGCACACACACACACACACACACACACACACACACACACACACATATCTTCTGGATATTATTCCTTGTCAGATATAGATATTACTAATATCTTCTCTCAAACATTGTTTTCCCTTTTTACTTTCTTAATAGTGCCTTTTAGATAACAGAAGTTCCTAATTTTAATGCAATCCAACTTATCAACAGCATAGTGGTTAAATAAATAGGCTCTGAAGTTGGACAGATACATGTTAAAAGGCTAGTTCTGACTCCTACTAAATATCTGTGTGACTTGAGTAATTATTTTCTCTCTCTAAAATCCAGTTTCCTCATCTATAAATGAATAATAATCTCATATCCTTCATGGTGCTGCTGTAAAGATTAAAGAGGACCATTGGTGAGAAGCTACTATGTGCTAAAACTACTATTCTACTCCACATCATTATCAATGTAATACCCATTATTTTATTCCCATGTTAAAAATATATGTAATAAAATGTCACATCATGGGGTAAAAATAATTAATTTGTTCATATTAACTCTAATATAGAAACATGCTTTTCTAACACCATTTGGGATTGTGTTGCAGGCCTGGATCAGGCAGTGGAGTTGAAGAAAATTTCCTCTTCATCCGGTCTATATGATTATATGAAAATTTCCAGTCTACATGACTGTAAAATACTTCACTTTCCAGCATAGTTGATTTTGATTTTTTAATTGTCTTAATACACTTTTGTAGTTAAACATATCAGTTATGTCTCTCTTTTTTTGAGACAGAGTCTCACTCTGTCACCCAGGCCGGAGTGCAGTAGTGTGATCTCAGCTCATGGCAACCTCCGCCTCCTGGATTCAAGCGATTCTTGTGCCTCAGCCTTCTGAGTAGCTGGGACTACTATGCACCACCATGCTTGGCTAATTTTAGTATTTTTTGTAAATAAGGGGTTTCACCATGTTGGCCAGGCTGGTCTCAAACTCCTGGCCTCAAGTGATCTGCCTGCCTTGGCCTCCAAAAGTGCTGGGAATACAGGAATAAACCACCATGCCAGGCCAGTTATATCTTAATATAGTCAAATTCCATCGCACTATGTAGACAAAGCCTTTGAAAAGGAAACATACTACATCATTGTCCGTTTAACCTCACTGTGAAATCATTCTTATGATCATATTTAAATACATGTTCATCTAGATTTACCTGAAGCTTTATTAAACAATTCTATGGTGGTAAGTTTCTGGAAATCTATTAAAAAGCACTATTGTATTGTTCAGTGTGCTGTGTACTTAATTTTCTAAATGACATTCTGGTTCCCCAAGTTACTAGAGTAAACTAGGAGTTAGGGTTGTTCTTTTGCTGGTGAACTTGTAATAAAATTGCAACAGGCCGGGCGCGGTGGCTCACACCTATAATCCCACCACTTTGGGAGGCCAAGGTGGGCAGATCATGAGGTCAGGAGTTCAAGACCAGTCTGACCAACATGGCGAAACCCCGTCTCTACTAAAAGTACAAAAACTAGCCGGGGGTGGTGGTGCGTGCCTGTAATCCCAGCTACTCAGGAGGCTGAGGCGAGAGAATCGCTTGAACTTGGGAGGTGGAGAGGTTGCAATGAGCCGAGATTGTGCCATTGCACTCCAGCCTGGGTGACAGAGCAAGACTCCATTTAAAAAAAAAAAAATGCAACAAACATGGTCACAAGAGAAGTAGAAAGGGGAATGAATGATTTGATATGGTAAGAGATAGTCTTGAAGGTTGTAAACAGACTCATTTCTTCCAAAGTTGTTTCACACAAATCATAGTTCTATAAAGGTCATGCAGAGATTGGCTATATCGAATGAAACTAGAAGCAATGAGTCATAAGATGGACACAATGTAAGAGTTGGCACTTATTGAGCACTTCCTATGGCCAAGCACCTGCTGAATGTTTCGCATGGATTATCCCCTTTAACCTTCCTAATAATCTTCAAGATGTGGTACCATTTTGTACCTATTACACAGCTAAAAAATTGACCTTGAAAAGAATAATTAACCTGGCCATAGTGACAGAATTAAAATATGATAAGCCAGGATTCAAACCCAGGCAGCCAAACTGAAGACCTGGCACTCTTTATTTACAACGTACTATGCTCTGTTTGCATCCTGTCAGTAGACACTTAACTTTAATGGAAGACTGGAGCCGTGCTTATTATCAAGGTGTACTCCAGGGACAGATTAATGATATGCCCACCACACAAACATGAACACTTTACCAGCTTAATCAGCAGCCAGGTTGCAGCAAATCCAGTAAATTTCTCAGTTTGTACATATCCAATTAGCTACACCCTGCAAAGCATAAAAGTACAATCAAGAACCTAAACTATTCCAAATAATTTTATTCAGAAGAGTTGTCACTGAAAATTCCTTTGATCAGGTATTTCTATTATTTTTGTAATAGTCTTTTGAGCTACTTCTCTACTAATCACAAAATTGTCATCAGCCTGAACCCTGTATCACAAAATTTAGAACAAAGCAATTTTGTAGATTTAAATAGTTTAAAAATGTGAAATTAAGGTAGGAAAGAAGACAGACTGAAGAAGAAAAAGAGAGCGGGCAGAATAAGCATAGAACTGGGGTCTAGATTGGGTGAAAAGGCATACATCTTAATAAGATTTCTTTTTGACTCTTTGATGTGCTGCTTTGATGGTTACTTCCTCTCTATTCAATTATTGAAATGGTTAATTGAAAAGTACTTTAAGAGTGATCAAATATTCAATCTGACTTAGTGATCTTGACAACCTAATCTGGATGTTTTGTCAGTTAAGCATGAATTTCTTTTAGTATGTGTTCCAGTTCTCTCTTGCTATGTACCAAATAACCCCAAAACTTTGTGGCTTAAAACAATAGCAGTAATTTATTTGGGGGCAGGGCTTTACAGAGATGGCTGCTCTATATGATACTAGCTGGAGTGGCTCAACTGGAGGCTGGAGGATCCATTTTCAAGATGGCTCACACTCATTGCTCCAAGATGGTGCTGGCATTTTAGCCAAGACTGTGAAATGAATGTCTTAGTCCTTTATTCCGTGGGCTTCTCTACAGGCTATTTGTTGTCGGGTTTTTTGTTTGTTTGTTTGTTTTCTTTTTGAGACAGGATCTAGCTCTGTCACCCAGGTTGGAGTGCAGTGGCATGATCTTGGCTCACTTCAACCTCTGCCTGCTGGGGATCAGGTGATCCTCCCACCTCAGCCTCCCAAGTAGTTTGGACTATAGGTGCAAGCCACCACACTGGCTAATTTTTTTTTTTTTTTTGTAGAGATAGGGTTTCACATTGTTGCCCAGGCTGGTCTCAAACTCCTGGGCTCAAACAATTTGCCTGCCTCAGCCTCCCAAAGTGTTGGGATTACAGGCATGAGCCACTATGCCTGACCCAGGCTATTTGGATTTGGACTTCCCCATGACATGGTGACTGAGTTCCAGGAAAAAGGTCTCAAAAGAACCAGCCATAAGCTGTTGCCTCATATGGCCTAGCTCCAGAAATAACACAGCATCATTGTATTCACCAACCTACCTAGACTTAAGAGGAGGGATCATAATCTTCAGCTCTCAGTGGAGGAGAATTAAAGTCACATGTTAAAAAGAGCATGTGGAATAAAAGATATTGTTGTGGCATTTTTGGAATATGCAACCTGCCAGACCATATGTTTTCATTTATTGATTCATTCAATGAATATTTATTGAGCACTGAATTAGAAGTTAAATTTTCAGTAGTGGGGAGAAATATAAACTTACTGGTGTATATGGGGGAAAATAGGCATTATTCAAATGGTCACATAAATAGATGTATTATTGTAAGAATGATAAATGGTAAAAATTAGAGATCCATGGTACCATGAGAGAGTATGAGGAACTCTAAGAGGTCAGTAAAAGCTTCTTTCCAGAAAAACAATAATTTTTTTTTGACAGTAAGGACTACATTTTATTTTTTCTGACCATTAGTGCTTGCCGTCAAACCCTAAAACTTAAAGTATAATAAAAAATAAAAAATAAAAAAAAAACAATGACAAAAACAAACAAAAAAATAAATTTATACACTCACATTTTTAAGGGAAAAACAATAATTGAATTGAGATTTGAAGGATGGATAGAGGTGAATTTCTAAAAGAGCATTCCATGTACAAAGAACAGTATGGTAAAGGCCCTATTGCAGAAGGAAGACATGTAATGAGAACAAAAATACAGAGAAGGGCTTTGTAGATGATGAAGTGGGTGGGGAATAGAGAGTAGAGTAAGTTGAAGCTGGAGAAAATGGTAGAGGTGCTCAGAGCAGGCAGGGGCATGCTAAGCATTTTGCCTTTGGTCTCAGAGGAGCTAGAAGCCATTGAATTATTTCAAGCAAGGGCAATGGCATACTCAGATTTATACTCAAAAAGTATACTGCTCTCAGTGTGAAAAATAAATAAGAGAGGGTGAAAGCAAGGAGAACAATGATATGGCTAATATAGTAATTTGAGAAAAGAGGTGATTAACAACTTAGGCTAGTTTGGTGGTAAAGATGGAGAGAATTAAACACATTCAATAAAGAGGCAGGAGCAAATTATATGTCAACAAAAGGGGTAACCTAGAAGAAATGGAAGAAATTCTAGAAACATAATTACTTGGCCACCTCCCAGCAAAGAAAAGCCCAGGACCAGACAGCTTCACTGTAGAATTCTACCAAATATTTAAAGAAGAATTAATTACAATCTTCCTCAAACTCTTCCAAAGAATTGAAGAAGAAGGAACACTTCCAAACTCATGCTAATGAGGCCAACATTACCCTGATACCAAAATAAGACAAAGACACAAGAAAAGAAAACTACAGACCAGTATCTTTGATGAATATTAATGCAAAAATATTCAACAAAATATTATCAAAACAAATTTAACAGCACATCAAGAGCATTATACTCCATGCCCAAGTGGGATTTATACCTGGAATGCAAGAATGGTTAAACATATGAAAATCAATCATTATAACACTCACAATTAATAGAATGAAGAACAAAACCACATGGTCAACTGAATTGATGCAGAAAAAAAGCATTTGACAAGATTCAACATCTTTTCATGATGAAAACATTCAACAAACTAGGAAGAAAAAAAACCCTACTTCAACATAGTAATAAAAGCCATATATGAAAAGCTCATAGCTAACATCATATCTAATGGTGAAAGATTTGAAAGCTTTTTCTCTAAGATTAGGAACAAGACAAGGATGCCCACTCTTGCCACTACTACTCAACATAGAACTGGAAATCCTAGCCAGAGCAATTAGATAAGAAAAATAATTAAAGGCATCCAAATTGGGAAAAAAAGTAAACTTATTTGTTTGCAGCAAACATAATCTCATGCGCAGAAAATTCTAAAGATTCCACAAAAACCTGTTAAAACTAATAAAATATTTCAACAAAGTTACAGGACACAAAATCAATACACAAAAATCAGTTGCTTTTTAAAAATCACTAATAACAAATAATCTGAAAAGAAAATTAAGAAAACAATCCCATTTAATGTAGCATCAAAAAAGATAAACCTAACCAAGGTGGTGAAAGCGTTGTACACTGAAAACTATAAAATATTGATAGAAAAAAACAAAGAAGTACAAATAAATGGAAAAAGATCCTGTATTCATAGATTAGAAGACTTAATTTTTTTTTTTTTTTTTTTTGAGATGGAGTCTCACTCTGTCACCCAGGCTGGAGTACAGTGGCATGATCTTGCCTCACTGTGACCTCCATCTCCTGGGCTCAGTTGATTCTCCTTCCTCAGCCTCCCCCAGTAGCTGGGATTACAGGCGTGCACCACCATGTCCAGCTAATTTTTTGTACTTTTCTAGAGACAGGGTTTCACCATGTTGGCCAGGCTGGTCTCAAACTACTTGCCTCAAATGATCCACCCGCCTTGGCCTTCCAAAGTATTGGGATTACAGGCATGAGCCACTGTGCCCGGCCTTAGAAGACTTAATATTATTAAAATGTCCCTACTGCAGAATGCCATCTTTAGAGTCAGTGCAATTCCTATCAATATCCCAGTGGCGTTTTTTTGTAGAAATAGAGAAAATCATCCTAAAATTTGTATGGAATCTCAAGGGACCTCGAATAGCCAAAATAATCTTGAAAAAAGGAGAACAAAGCTGGAGGCCTCACACTTTCTGATTGCAAAATGCAAGTCAACAGTAATTAAGATGGTGTGGTACTGGCATAAAGACAGGTATGTAGACTAATGGATCAGAAAAAAGACACCCAGAAATAAATGATGACCTTGCTTACAAGGACAAATGATTTTCAACAAGCGTTGAAAGCTGGAAAGCCTGGTAGATGTGCCCAAGACTACACAATGGGGAAAGAATAGTCTCTTCAACAAATGGTGCTGGGAAAACTGTATATCCACATGCAAAAAAAAAAAAAAAAAAAATGAAGTCAGACCATTATCTTATGCCATATACCGAAAAATAGCTCAAAATGGAAAAAAGACTTAAACATAAGACCTAAAACTATAAAACTCTTAGAAAAAATATAAAGAAAAAGCTTTGTGACATCATGTTTGGAAATGATTTTTTAAAACATGACACCAAAAGCACAGGCAACAAAAGCAAAAATAGACAAATGGGCCCACATCAAACTTAAAATCTTCTGCACACCAAAGGAAACAATCCACAGAGTAAACAGGCAACCTATGGAATAGCAAAAATATTTACAGATTATATATCTGATAAGAGGTTAATATCCAGAATCTATAAAGAATTTTTATAACTCAACAACAAAAAACAACCTGATTAAAAAATGGGTAAAGGATTAGCAGGGTGTAGTGGCGGGTGCTTGTTGTCCCAGCTACTCATGAAGCTGAGGCATAAGAATTACTTGGACCCGGGTAGTAGAGGTTGCAGTGAGCCAAGATGGTGCCACTGCACTCCAGCGTGGGTGACAGAGCGAGACTCCATCTCAAAAAAAAAAAAAAAAAAAAAAAAAATGGCCAACAGGCATATGCTAAGATGCCCAACATATGTAATCATGAGAGAAATGCAAATCAAAGCCACAATGAAATATTACCTCATACTCATTAGGATGGACACTATCAAAAGTATAGAAAATAACAAGTGGTAGCAAGGATGTGGAGAAATTAGAATCCTCATACATTGTTGGTGGGAATGTAAAATGGTGCAACCATTATAGAAAACATGAAGCCGGGAACAGTGACTCACGCCTGTAATCATAGCATTTTGGGAGGCTGAGGCGGGAGGACCACTTGAGCCCAGGAATTCAAGACCACCCTGGGTGACATAGGGAGGCCCCAGACCCCATCTCAACAGCAAAAATAGAAGAAGAAATGAAGAAAACATTATGGAGTCTCCTCGAAAATAAATTAAAAATAGAACTAGCATATGATCCAGCAATCCCACTTCTGAGTATATATCCAAAAAATTTCACAGCAGGATCTCAAAGAGATATATTTATATCCATGCTCATTGCAGCATTCCTTACACTAGCCCATAGGTGGAAGCAACTTAAATGTCTGTTGACAAGTGAATAGTTAAGGAAATGTGACATATACACGTAGAGTAGAATATTATGCAGCCTTGAAGGAAATCCCATCACATGCTACAATATGTATGAACCTCCAGGATATTACGCTAAGTGAGATAAGCCAGTCACAAAAGGATAAATACTATATGACTCCACTCATATGAAGTATCTAAAGTGTTCAAACTCATAGAAGCAGAAAGTAGAATGATGGTTGCTAAGGGCTTAGGGGAGAGGGAAGGGGAGACTAGTGTTTAATAGGTATAGAGTTTGAATTTTGCAAGATGAAAGAGTTCTAGAGATATGTTTCACAACAATGTGAATATATTTAACACTACTTCACTGTAAACTTAAAAATGGTTAAGATGGTAAATTTTATGTTATATTATTTGTTTTTTAACACAATAATAAAAAAAAAACACAGGAGGTTCTATATTTATTTAGGTCTCTCCTGATTCACTGGCACTGCTTCCTCTAAAGTAATAGGAGTAAAATCTTAATAACCTTTGAGCCCCTATCATTTAGATCAACATCTGGAATTTAACAGAATTAATATGAGTGTTGGATGGATGGATGGATGGATGGACGGATGGATTGATGGATGGACAAGACTAATGAATAAGAGGACAGACATACCTCTCCTCTTTAATTCCAAGTTCTCTAATTCTGTCTTGCCTTAGTGCCTTTGCTGGTATTGTTTCTGCTTCTTGCAACATTCTTTCTGCTCGTTCTCACCACCATCCATGCCCTCACCAGTCTGTTCCTCATCAAGGGAGCTTTTGCGAATCCCAGGGTAGTTATATGCTATCTCTCTGTGTCCTCAGAGGCCATCTCTATCAGATGTAAGAATGTACTGCACTGCATTGCAATGCTTATTTTGCATGTCTCTTTAACTTGATTGTGTGAACTCCTTCAGACAGAGGCTGTGTCCTGTAACCTCAGCAACTAGCACAGTATGCAGCCTACTAACAGTAAGCACTAGTTAGCATTTATTTACATTAATGAATAAAAGGAATTAATTCACTAAACCTTGAAGATCTGAATAGTTAGACTGTCTTTTCAAATTTCTCTCAAATACCAGATTTTTAAAGTTAAGTTTTAGAAATGAAATCTTTGCAGAATTCTCTGAAAAATTTGCAAATGACAATGTAATATTACTCCATATTGCTGATTAATCAGAATTCTATGGGTGCAAGATCCCCAAATTCAGAGCTGACACCCTGTAGAGGAAATTTAGAAGTGCAATTAGTCTTCCTTTCTAAAAGGCTGCCATCGCCTTTGCCTGAGGGTGGGCCAGAAGATTGCTAATGAGCGGCCTTAATTTCCTCCTCACCCTCCCCACTGTGCGACCCCTCCACACATAACAATCTGCTTCAGTATTTAAATAAGTACTCAACTGAGATTTCAGAATTTTCCACCATAAGATACATCAGAAATGAATTGTGCCTGAGAAATATTTAAAGACAGATGTTTTCAATGAAAAACTTAAAAAACAGAATACCCCCCAAAATAGAATAATTAGTTGAAGCACTATTTCATGCTTTTATTGAGGATACTAATGAAAAATAATTACTCATAAAACTGAGAAACATTACCAGGTGAAATGCATAATGAGTTAGGTCAGTGCTTCTTAAACTGAGATCTACAACATGTTCTTCAGCATTTGTGAGTTCTGTAGGAGAGTTTTAAATTTTAGTTTTTAATCAAATGTTAATTTAAAAATTAATATAAGCATATTTCAAGTAATAAGATTCACTTACTGTCTGGTGGGGAAATGGCCTGGAAAACAGTACTGGCAAACACTTTTAGAGTAGAGGGCTCATATTTATGACTGCATGGATACTGAGTGATCCACCCAGGAGTTTAGTTCTTAATATATTGGTAAGCATGTCCAGCTCCACTAGACATTCTAACAACAAAATAACACTTATTCTACAACTACTACTGTGTAATTATTACTAATTTCAAAGACAAAGCAAGCAAACAAAAAATCTTTTCTCTTTTGCAGTGATAATTTGCAACTAAAATCATTTTCATGGAATAAGATGTTAATTTCTCATTTAGTAACTATGATACCGCCATTTGAAAATGATACAGTACATCAAAGTAATATCGTAAAATACTAACACATAATAAAGTGGACTTTATATATATTTTATTCATTTATTCTTTCAATATATACAATATTGCCATGCACTGTTCCATGCTTTGGAGATACAGTACTGAGCCAGAAAAAGTTCCTGTTTCTGTGGAGCTTACATTCTAGTAAAAGCCAAAGCACATTATAGTCCAACTGTGCAAAGAAAAGTTTTGTAGTAGTTTGAAGGAAGAAAAGTGGTGAGAGAATTGAGTTGCCAAGGAACACACTGTAGTCTAGACATTGCAGTCTCTAAAAAAACCTGACTAGATCAACCATGGCCAAATTTATACTGAGAGAGGATTTATTGAGTTGATCTTGTCTTTCTGCATATTAACTTGCACTATTTGTATAAGTGAGTATATAATATGCCAAAAAAAATTTGTTAGGTAATATCTTTAAATTTCTCAGTTATATTCTGGAAATGTTCATTTGAATTTTATTAGTTTGGTTGTTTGACATATTTAATTTGTGGATTTCTTTTAGGCTGATAATTTCTTGAGTTGTTTTTATAAAAGGTATAAACTATCCACAAATGCAATCATTTATCATGACTTACATGGCTAATATGGTCCAAATTACCCTTAAGCTCTCACTTTAAGTTCCATTAATAGCCCTAAGGAAAATCTACCATGGCATACACAGTCCTTTCTTGCTGAAGCAACCACTGTACTCTTCTGCAGCATATTTTCTAATAAAACTTTCCTTTTCAAACCTAAAAAAGGAGGTATAAGCATTAATTTAAATTTAATTTTGCAGATAGTTTTGTTGAGGTATAATTTACATGTTATAAAGTTCAACCATTGTAAGTGTGCAGTTTGATGATTTCTTAGTAAATGTCTAAGTTGTACAACCATCACCATAACCCAATTTTACAACATTTCAATTTCCTCAAAAACTCCTCCTTGTGCTCACCTGAAGTCAATCCCTATCCCAACTCCAGCTCCAGGCAATTATTGACCTACTGTCTCTAGAGATTTTCCTTTTCTAGAAATTTCATATAAATGGAGTCTTTTGTGTCTGGAATCTTTCACTTAGCCTAATGCTTTTGAAGAATCATCCATCTTGTAGCATGTATTAGTAGTTTTTCATTTTTATGGCTGATTAATTCTGTTGTATAGATTAAGCACATTTTGTTTATCCATTACCAGAAGGCATGGATAGATATTTGGATTGTATTTTAGCCAATCTGACAATCTCTGTATTTTGATTGATAGTGTTTATTCCATTCAGTTTTTTTGAAGTTTGGAATATGTATACATTTATTTTTACATATAATTTTAAAAATTAGACTTTCTATTTTGAGATAATTATAGATTCATATGCAATTATCAGAAATAATACAGAGAAATTCCTATGTTTTCTTTACCTAATTTTCCCCAATTGGGAACACTTTGCCAAACTATAGTACTGTAGTGTGACCAGGATACTGAATTATCCTTTGACTTTGAAGGATAATTTTCTTGAGTGTAGAATTTTTGGTTTATAGTTTTTCTTTCAGCACTTTGAATATGTCATTACAATGCCTTCTGAGCTCTGTTGTTTCTAATGAGGAGTTAGCCATTAATTGTATTGTCATTACTGTTTTCCCATTAATTACTTTTCTCTTGCTGCTTTCAAGATTTTCTTGTTGTCTTTGGTTTCAGGAGTTTAAGTATATGTCTAGGTATGTATCTTTTTGTGTTTATCCTACTTGGCATTTTTTTACTTTTTTGGGTCTGTAGATTAATGTTTTTCATCAAATGTGAGAAGTGCTCAGCCATTGTTTCTTCAGATAAACTTTATGGGACTCTCATTACACATTCATTAGTACACTTGATATTGTCCCACAGGTCTCTGAGGCTCTATTTATCTTTCTTTAATGTTTTTCCTCTCTGTTCTTCAGATTGGATACTTTCTGTTCATTTATCTTCAAGTTCCCTGATGCTTTCTTTTACCACATAAAATCTGTGTTAACTCCATCAGATAAATTTTTTATTTCAGTTGTTATACTTTTCAACTCTAGAATTTCCATTTGGTTCTTTTTTGTAGTTTCTTTTTCTCTATTGAGATTTCCTATTTGTTGGGTAGTAGTCATTATACTTTCCTTTAAGTCTTTAAATATGGTTTCTTTTCATTTTTAAAAATATATTTTAAATTGCTTTGAAGTTTTTGTCTGCTAAAACCAACACCTGAGAGTCAGTTTCTACTAAAAAATTTTTCTCCTAAGGGTGACATTTTCCTGTTTCTTTGCATGTCTCAATTTTTAATACAAAACTCAATATTTTGGATAGTAAATGATTGCAGCTTTAGATTCTGATTTTCTCTCCTGAGGGATTTTTTTAGAATACCTTTCCTGAACTTAATCTGTAGAATCTGTCTTCCTATGGCGTGTGGATGCCAATGTCTGTGTACAAGTTTTTAAAAGTTATTCTTCTTATTTTTATTTTTTATCCTGGTTTTCTAAAGAAAACCTGAGTCTGCAGATCTTAGTGGTCAGGCAATGATTTGGGCAGAGATCATACACAAATACATTAAACCTGTAAGAATTCCATCCTCTGACAATGGATTCAGCCATTTCTCAACTCTTTCTCAGCCTCTACTTTTTGCCAAGAAACACTCTTTTGTCTCCCCTGAATATGCATGTCATTCCGGGGTTGGCTACAGTTGTGTGGAGAGCTTATTTAGCTTTTGTACAGTTCTCTAATTTCCTGGGTAGCTTCATTAAATTCTGGACTAGTCCTGCTTGCTTCAGCTGTGACCTCAAGCTAGCAGAACTGCGGGTTTTCCATACTCATTTTCTGTTGAGCTTGCTACTTTCAGTGATCGTATTTTTTGGCATGTATCGTATTCTTCTAGCCCTTCAAATCAAATCTTCCCTTTCTGCAAGAAGCTGGTAGTTTTCACTGCTGGCCCTGTCACACTAAAACTAATGTGCTGATTGAGCTGGGGGTGGATAAGAAGGGTGGCACCCCACAAAAAAGGTCACAAACTCTCACTTTTCTTACCCAAACTCCAGCAGTTCTTCATGAATAAACACCTCTCAATTTATTGTTTGCCTATAGTCAGTCTTCAGAGCCCTGAAATGAATGTTTTGACAATTTTATTCAGTTTTACTTGTTCTGGAGGAGAAGATACACTAATTTCTTCATGCTGCCATGACTGAAAACTGATTAAATGAAATGTTATGCTTTTAGTATTTATCCTGTCCATTTAAGAAACATTAAAATAATAACTTAGCAAGTCATTATAGTAGGTCCACTAAGGTGTTTTTTTTTCTTTAAAAAGATTCAGGGTGGGCGCAGTGGCTCACGCCTATAATCCCAGCACTTTGGGAGGCCGAGGAGGGTGGATCATGAGATCAAGAGATCGAGACCATCCTGGCCAACATGGTGAAACCCTGTCTCTACTAAAAATACAAAAATTAGCTGGGGGTGGTGGCACGCATCTGTAGTCCCAACTACTTTGGAAGCTGAGGCAGGAGAATGGCTTGAACCAGGGAGGCAGAGGTTGCAGTGAGCCATGAGCCGAGATTGTGTGCACTCCAGCCTGGTGACAGAGTAAGACTCTGTCTCCAAAAAAAAAAAGATTCATATTCATATTCAAGTTTGGAAAACACTATAAATCTATAAATAGTCCTGAAAATTCATAAGGTAACTTTTTTTTTCTCCCCTTTGAAACTAAATACCATTTTTTACAATATGCACTTTAACAGGCAGAATGATATCTCATGTTTGAATATTGTAAAGTGAAGAGATTTAATATAAATTTAGCTTTTCATTGGCCTTTTTCAGTTTGCAATTTTTTAAACAAAAAGACAGAAACATATTCTTCAGTAAAATAGTGAGTGGGATAAAATGGCTATTCATTTTGAAATGATAATTTGATTTGAAAGCCTATAGCCTTCACACAAAAATCACATGTAGTCTTGCCAGGAAACATTTGGAAAAGTAAGTTGGTGTTAAAGTTTTATCAGCAGGGAGGGTGAATGTAACAACTTTTATTAAAGTTCTTGAGTTTTTCACTGGGCTGTTTTCTTTAAGAGGATAATACATCCCCATCACACTGACTTTCATATGATCTTCTTTAGCCAGTGGAATATGCTTTGGCCAATGGAATATAATATACCCATATTTGAGCAGAAGTTTTGAGCGTGCCATATTTGAGCAGAAGTTTTATATACAGTTTTATAATTTGCCTGAGCCTCTTGTAGTTCTGTCCTCATCATAAAATAATATGTCCTCAATAGAGGCTTTCAACTTGGACCCCACAATGAGAAGATAGATCTGCAGTCTATCTCTAGCAGGACCACAGCCAACCAACAACTCATCATGTGCTCTGGGTAGGAAGCAAATGATTGTGGTTATAAGCGACTGAAAGTTTGGGGTGCTTCTGCAGTAAGAGCTGACTAATACAGATATAAAAATGTGCCTCTACAACAAAAGTACTGAATTTTCAAGATTAATATTTTTGTGTTACTATGGCAGTAAAAGAAAGCACCTTTAGATATGTGTTTGGAATTATAGACTTAAAATATAGAATATATGGCTTGGAGATCTTCTCAAAAAGGCTGAACTTGAGGTTTGAGAGACGCAAGTGATTGCCAAGTAGGAGAAACAAGCTGTGTGGATACAGATGCCTTTAGGAGAGAATCCAAGTAGTGGGTTCAAATACAGGCCCCACACTGAAGGTACAAGGGTAGATGTTTCAAATTGTAGGTGTTTATTTTCAATCAAGCTGCACCTTGAGTGGGAAACTTCATGAAGCATGTTCAGAAGGTATAGCAGATAGAATTTTCTTTTTTAAAGATCAAGAAGACCAACTAGTGTTAGATTCAAAGAGAATAGGACCTGCATACTGAACTTTAAATTTTAACATAATATCACTATGACAGACTTTAAAAAAACCATACTTCAGGTGATGGTCATATTTCTACAGTATTTTATTCAATAGAGGTCACTACATATCTTTAGACAGAATTATTCTAAAATTACCAAGGGCTTAAACAGATTAATAGCAAGATAGTTCTTTTAGTATGTTCTTTTAGATGGTCAGCCTTATGAGAAAAGAACTTATGCTTTTAACTGAGTTCTGGAAAAAATTTAAAAAAAAAGAAAGGGGCAATTTACACATAATCCAATTCAAAATAGAGGAGAAAAGGAAAGAAGGAGAAAGCCTGGCATTTCTATTTCCCATTTTCCCCCTCATTTGGAGTTCTACACAGACCAAGGTGCAATGAATTCAGAGTCCTATGATGAATTTGGTCTTGATTTGCAGGGAGAGTTGAAATACTCAATCTATCTGATTGCCACTGCTAACTTAGTGATTGATTATCTAAGAGGTGGTTCCTGGTTTCTGAAAATCCCTAAAAGAAAACTAAAGGAGAGCAGAGGAAAGCCTTGATGAGTGAAAAGAGCTTCGTTATTAAAATCTTTATATTCTGGAGTGGAATCTGATACTGACCTTGGCAATAGCCCTAAAAATCGATTAAGTAACAGATTCTAGAAATCATCTCTTTCTCCATTATCCAAGGTCATAGCAATGACTCATCTGAAAACTCTAAGCAGCCATTGCTTGAAAAATTATACCGACAGGATTTCAGAAGGGGTTTTCAATTTTAAAGAAAATGTCTATTTCACCACGTCTGATATATATTCCTTAGGTCTCGACTAATTTTTTCCCCAAGTGATGGGTTGTTATCTCTCTTTTTATATTTTTTTTCAAAGTTATCTTGGAAGAGTATTCATAGAATAGAATAAAGCTGCTGCAGAAAGGCAGCTCAGGAAACATCTGAGGTCCTTTTTCCTTCACCATAATTTTAGAGATGAGAAAATGGATCCCTAAGATCCTTGGGCTTTCGTAGTTAGACAAAGATGGTGCTAGGTCCGGATCCCAAGCCTCTTGTCCTCTAAGGCTTTCACGCTCTCCCATACTGTCTCAGATTAGTTTGGGATCAAAATATTTAGCTCTTTACCTTACCCAGGATCTTTTTGCAGTGTTACAAGGCCCCCATTCTTCTTTTGTTGCTTTCTCTTGTATAGTCCTAACATTCATTGAGACACAGTTTGCAAAAAGTGAGGGTGTGGGTCTCAACACTGACCCTTTGCAGCAGTCACAGAAAAACATCTTAACAGTGAAGTTTGAGATTTGTGTGTTCAGTGTTTCTAATTCAATGCTGTCGATGACACTGGCTTCTAGTTATTTAGCACATATGAATCATGTTATAGTATCAAAATACTTTTCTATCAATAGCAACTTCTTAGCATGAATCAGGCCAGTTTTATTATTTCCTCCTCCCCAAAGCAGCTTTCCTGGTCACATCAGATTTAATGAGGTGCAATAAGTTGCCCAGATGCTTAGCTGTCACAACTCCTAAAGTGTACAGGGTGCAAGCCAAAAGTTTTAGATTAAGGGTAGAAATTGTCTTACCTCTGGGATTCCTGGTTACTAAGGACAAAGTTGGGGGGTGGGTGACAAAGGGGTTTGGGAAAGGGTAGAAGAATATCTTGCGTTCATTTATAGCAAGCCAGGAGTTCACAGGTATTTTAGCTCATCCCTAGTTGCTAGAGTCTTTAAAGATTCTGCTTCATCCTGAAAATCTGCTGTAGTACAGGGAAGGGTAAAGGTAGAGAGAAGGGCCACTGACAGAGTCCAGTTCATCCCCAACTGACCCTAACTTCAAGAGGCAACAACTCAAATTCTCAGAGGGAATGGGAGCACTTTAGATCAGCAATACACCAACACTGGTCTGATCCTAGTTGCTGTTGACAAGAGTGGACACTTTGAGTGTGCCCCTTGGCATGGTGATTCTGAACATGAACCCAGAGGTGATTCCAAACCTGGAATGAGAATAAGGCTTTCCTTGGGCATGACTCAAGTAGAAAAGCTCTTTGAATCACATTTGAATCTGAGTCACCCACCAGTCTTTTCTTTGTCCCATAAAGGCAATTCAAGCATTGAGGTATAAACCAGGCTTTTTGATTCTCAGCCTTCCCTTCTCAGCCACCTCACATCTCAACCACCCCATGGAAACAGTAAGATTTCTTTCAGGCATTTATTTTAAAGAGAGACTACTTCATACAACCAGGTTTGGGGGATTTGAGGGCTTAAGAGAGTTACTAGAAATTACTGTCAGTTCTTGCTGTAAAGCTATCTCTGCCCCTGGGACGCATGGCCTGCCAAATGGCCTCATAAATCTGATTATTCTCCTTTCCTTTTTCTCTTTCCATGTTAAAATTCTTCTGATTTACCAGCAACTTCAGGAGAGTTAAAACAAATGAAACCTAACAGAAATTCTGACCCTCCACTGCCACCAATGCACTCAAGATGCATCATCATGAACTGTATTTTTAGAGACTTGCAAGTGTTATATTGGGCTAACTCATATTTTGGTCATCTTTGTCACCTCCTCCAAATCCCTCTGATATTTATTTTGAAGACCTTCTGAGAGTCTACAACCACACTTGCTAGAAATTCTTACTCACTTAATCTTACATGTCTCATGCTACTGTTTAATTCTGTTCTCTTGATTTTCAAAGCTCTGTCTGATGGACCTTGTATTACAATGGACCTTGTATAAGATGGACCTTGTCTGATGGACATGTATTACAATACATGAATTACATGCCTATAGAAAAAACTGAATGGAAGATTCTGAAAACTCATGCTTTTAGATGCTTTCCCCAGTTTCAGCAGCAGCCCCTTCATTATCTTATGTGTCTCACACCCCTATTCCACTTTCTCCCCCTCCCTCTTCATAGAATCTCAAATCTTCAGACTATCAAATGAAAAGCATAATTTTCATCACTTAGGTTATGACCCTTCTACCATAGAATAGCCGTTGATATAGCCAATTAGGTAAGACTTAGGGTCCAATTCTATCAGAATTCTCTCTGATAGAAATGCTCAGAAAATTCTGTGATCATATGGTTCAAAACGATTTGTTACCAAAATCCACTCCTACAATTAAGCATTCTGGTTTCATGGCTGGGGGTGGGAGGCAGTTACATGTTTCTTTATATCAGAATCAGAAGGAAACAAACAAAAAAACCAACGGAAATAGGGAAATGCAGTTTGAAAAGTAGAAACTGTTAAAAGAGCAACAGAAAGACTGTTAAAAGGGAAAACATAAGCTAAGGAAACAGCACGAAGGGCAGGTGTACAACAGCAATGCCATGTGAAAATGTAAGGAATTCTATAGTGGTAATTCCGGGATAAATTAGCCTGAAAACAGCTCTCTGGTTAGCTTTGGGTTGTAGGGGGAGATGGAAGTTCCTGGACAATTAACCATCTGCTATGTCTTTTTGTACCCTTACCACCCAGCTCAGCGTCTGGGCACAGAGTAGCTGTCAATATTTGTATAGTAAGTGTAACACTGGCCGAACTACCCTGTTTTCAAACAAACTATAAAATTCTGTGACACAGTCCCTTCCAAGCACACACAGGCCCAATCTATGGAAGGAATTATCGGGGAAACGACCTAAAGGAAAGTATGGGGCATCCATTGGCTACAGTTCAGCTGGCTGCTTGGGGGAAAAACGCAAAGAGGACGCAAGCTCAGCTGTGCTTGATGTGAGACCACCCTTGAGATTTGTCTTTTACATTATTGTCTGCCAGGCTCCTGCGCAACTTCTATCTCCACCTGTGGACCTGAAGGCAACCGAGGAGTTAGCCAGGGGCAGTTCTGTGGTAACAAGAAAGACTCTTGGGGGCTGTATGCCTCCACTGCCTTGGCGCCTCTTGCCTGCAATTGCCGCGCTGCCCCTCGTGCCTCTGCAAAGATGCAGAGGTCGAAGCACGTTTCTGTGCGGTGATGAAATGCTCGCTGAATCAGCCTCTCGAGCCCGGCCTCTCACACCCACCAGGATCCTGGGGTTGTCTCTAGGATCCCTGTGGGTGCTCCTGCCACCTTCTTAGACTACCCTCGCCCTCCTAATCCAGGCCCACTTCTCTGGCTCATGTCCACCCCTTGATGGGCGTTCCGGGGTCGTCACTGTCCTCTGCGCCCCTGGGCACTGGCAGCGCGGGCCGGGCAGCGGGGAGGGAGGCGGGAAGCAGAGCGGGAGGCGCCCCGGGCTTGCGCGCCGCGGTGCTCCACGAGGGATTTGCCGCCTTCAGCTGCAGCAGCTGCAGCGGCGGCGGCGGGAAGAGGGGTGGAGGGTGGTGAGGAGGGCCGGAGCCCGGGCCAGGAGGGAGGGAGGGGAGCCGGGAGGCTGTGCCAGGCGAGCCGGAGGGGTGCTCCGCGCTCCCCCGCCCTCCTTCCGGGAGCGAGGATGCAGACTCTGAAACTGGTGCTGCTGGGCTGAGGCGGAGGCAGGGGAGTTGCAGCGCGCGAGGCTCCGTGAGTGTGTCTCCTGCGCGCTGAGAGGCGGGGGGAGGCGGAGGACCAGGAGGAGGAGGAGGAGGAGGAGGAGGGGGAGAATGCCCGGAGCCGCCGCCGCTGCCGCCGCCGCCGCCGCCGCGATGCTCCCGGCTCAGGAGGCTGCCAAGCTGTACCACACCAACTATGTGCGGAACTCGCGGGCCATCGGCGTGCTGTGGGCCATCTTCACCATCTGCTTTGCCATCGTCAACGTGGTGTGCTTCATCCAGCCCTACTGGATAGGCGACGGCGTGGACACCCCGCAAGCCGGCTATTTCGGGCTCTTCCACTACTGCATCGGCAACGGCTTCTCCCGGGAGCTGACCTGCAGGGGCAGCTTCACGGACTTCTCCACGCTGCCCTCGGGCGCCTTCAAAGCCGCCTCCTTCTTTATCGGCCTCTCCATGATGCTCATCATTGCCTGCATCATTTGCTTTACCCTCTTCTTCTTCTGCAACACGGCCACTGTGTACAAGATATGTGCCTGGATGCAGCTCACCTCCGGTGAGTGCGCGCTCACCTCCGCGGAGGCGGAGGACCCCGGGGCGCCCGAGCCGGGGAGGGGCCAGAGTGGGAGGGACGGGGGCTGTGCGCGCCGCTGCGAGCCAAGCCGCCTAATCCGCTCAGGCGTCGAGGTGTGGGGGGCGGGAGCCCAGCGAGGCCGGAACCCCCGGGGTTCCCCAGCCCCGGCGCTGGCGCCTCGTCCCGGGGCTTTCGTGAGCCTCCCAAGTGTGGGGGACGCCCACTCAGAGGGACGCCCCGGAGGCAGGGCGGTTGTGGGGCCGAGTCCGCTCAGAACTAAGGATGGTGGGTGGAGAAGTGGCCGCTTAGAGAGATGGGGCCGGGGTTCCGTGCTGAGGGACTAAGGAGGGACTGACAGGGCGAAGTGAAAAGCGGATTTGGAGAGGTCATAGTGGAAGGAGCAGCCAGCCTGCCCTGCCCCTCGCTGCTGGGACTATTTCTGTCATTGATCCTGGGAAAGGGGGCGGGGGGCGGTGGCTGGAGTGATACTGTTTCTTTCCATCCCGGGCAGTTAAATATGTTTACTCCTCCATCCGGAGGTGAAGAGATCTTAATTCTGTTTTGGGTTTCCCCTTGTAAGAAGAATGTAGCTTAGAACATTCTTTCGCAATTCCTCAATGTCAAGTCTTCAGTTTGCCTCCTTGTCCGTGCAAAGTTCCTTCCATTTCATCTTTAAACAGAAGTCTTTAGTAAATCAAGATTCCTCAAGATCTCATTTTTGGGAAGTGGCTTTGGGGAAGTAGGCAGAGAGGAGAATGTTTCATTAGCATCTCCGATCACTCTTTCCCTGTGGATGATAAATTGTTGCTAGCTGGAGGATATGAAAGTACTTTTTTTCTGTGCATCAAAGTTACTTTTAACCCAGAAAGGATGGGGTACATTTCCTGGTGACTTTGAAGAGTCCTGAAACAAAACTGACTCCTTGCTGTACTTCCCCTGATGGCGATTGCCTCTCTGCCAGCCAGCTTGGATGCCCTCCCTTCTAAAGTCAAGGGTCCAGTGGTCGTGACACATTTCTGTTCCAACATTGTTGAGGTCCTTTTGATTTTATGGATGGTCTGGTTGTAGAAGGGCACTGAATATCTTAGGCAGCTAAAGTTTTCATTTGCGTTTTCTTTTACTGTTCTCATTTTTAAGATGTTTCAAGATTTTGTCGTTTATTCTATTCCTGGGAAGGTTTTCTGGGGAGAGGGATTCAATCCCTGACAGAGTGTTGTAGGATGAGTAGATACTTAAAGGTGCTGGACAATAGCGTTAAGGTTCATAGTCCTATATTGCTAGTTTGATAAGGAAAGAGAAGCTTGTGGGAGACTACACTTGTGTGAAAGTATTTATTTTGTGTTTTGGCTCGCCTGATATTGATTTGCCATATATTGTAAAAGTGTGTATGTGAAAAGCAAGAAATGAGCAGCAGTAGAGACTCCCTCCTTTACACATACCATTATCTCCTGAACGGGGAGTTCTGCGTCTCCTTCTGCACCCCCATCCCCAACTTTTTCTAGCAATTCCTCACTCTATGTTTTTATATATAAAGTTAACTTTTATGGCCATTTCAAGCAGAATAACTAAGATTTGGAATAAATTCATGTATTATGGCTGTTCTTGACACTTAGCTCTGGTTTGACTTTGAAGAGGACACACACATGCAGATGCTGTAGAAAAAGAATTGACCCTGCACAGCTAATTTTAATTTTTCTAAGTTAAATGACCTATTTAGACAGGTGATTCAAATTACATCGTTTTTAAAAGGTCTGAAAATACTTTGCAGGTGCTTTCTCAACAACGTATTCTTCAATGTTTGATTTTTATGAGGTTTCCTACTCTAACCCCCCGCTTTTTGAAAGACAAAAAGAAAATGATCTTTGAGAAAGAAATACCAGCTTTGAAGTTAATACAAACTGCAACCATTACAAGGTTTTTTTGTTTTGTTTCGTTTTTCTCCTTTTCTCTTTCTGGAATAGAGCACAGAAAAATTGTCTGTCCTGGAGCAGTGAAATATAATGTTGTTCTCAGGCATTTGACATCAATGTTTATCCTGTTTTCCACGTCATGTAAAATGTGGGGATAGTTTTTGTACTAAAGATGTAAGGACATTTACTTCATTTTGGAGAAGTCCGGATCCTTAAGTGACATACTTTTTAAAACCTTTATTTGCAATTATTTGGCATTTTATTTCTAGGTAAACTATAGTACATGATTTTGTTCATTAGTGAAGTATATTAATAAAAGAAAAATTGATTCTGATGACAGGTCAAATAAGGATCTGTCACTCATTCACAGATTTTTAAGGAATAACATAGAAGATATTTCTAAACAATGTTACATTTAACATGGTTTTCAGGATTTTTCTAAAAAAATTAAGTCTCATTATACTAACAAAAAATTTAATATAAACTATTGTAAGTTACTTTGAAAGTTTAGTCTAGGCCGGGCGCAGTGGCTCATGCCTGTAATCTCAGCACTTTGGGAGGCTGAGGTAGGTGGATCATTTGAGGTCAGGAGTTCAAAACCAGCCTGGCCAACATGGTGAAACTCCATCTCTACTAAAAATACAAAAATTAGCCAGGCGTGGTGGTGGGTGCCTGTAATCCCAGCTACTTGGGAGGCTGAGGCAGGAGAATCTCTTGAGCTTGGGAGGCGGAAGCTGCAGTGAGCCGAGATTGCACCAGTGCACTCTAGTCTGGGAAACAGAGCGAGACCCCATCTCAAAAAAAAAAAAGAAAAAGAAAGTTTAGACTTTAGACTATTCCTCTTTAATGTTAAGTAGTCTTCTCCTACCTATTTGTTTACCAGTACCTAGGCTAATCTCAAGTGTAATTTGCTAAATATGAAAGATGAGACCTTAGTGTACTATTTGCTTATTAGAGACTATCCCTCATTGGAAATCAAACTATTCGCTTGTGTATTTAGTTATCTAAGCCTTTTTAATATACTAACATCCTATATGTAGTCAGGTAGAATATAAAATCCTATTTCTTTTCTTTTTTTTTTTTTTTTTTTTTTTTGAGATGGAGTCTCGCTCTGTCACCCAGGCTGGAGTGCAGTGGTGTGATCTCGGCTCACTGAAACCTCTACCTCCTGAGTTCAAGTGATTCTCCTGTTTCAGCCTCTTGAGTAGCTAGGGCTACAGGCGTGTGCCACCACACCAGGCTAATTTTTTGTATTTTTAATAGAGACAAGGTTTCACCATGTTGGCCAGGCTGGTCTGGAACTCCTCACCTCAAGCAATCCGACTGCCATGGCCTCCCAAAGTGCTGGGATTACAGGCGTGAGCCACTGCACCCAGCCAAAATCCTATTTCAAGTGATACATTAAGATGATGAAACAGACTTCTTATGATATTACAATATAAAAAATTATTATTTTTATGATTCTGAACGATGAACCAGAAAAATTAATTTATTTATTGGACCTGAAAATGATGTTGCTCGTTCATCTAGGTGTGTGAAGCACATTTAATTTTCGTGCCGTTATGAAC
This sequence comes from Homo sapiens, assembly GCF_000001405.40. Classification (NCBI taxonomy): domain Eukaryota; kingdom Metazoa; phylum Chordata; class Mammalia; order Primates; family Hominidae; genus Homo; species Homo sapiens. The sequence continues at coordinate 104,332,721 of NC_000007.14, forward strand.
ACCTTATCCTCTCCCTCCTCACTCTAAGTCTTTATCAAACACAGTAGCATGAAACTAGGAAGCACAGAATTAGGAGCTAATATATCATACTATCTTTGGATGTCATCCTGTATGTACAGACCATGTCTTATATAAAAACTGGAGACATAAAAATAATACATAAAATAATGATAATAAGAGATATAAAACTTTCCTAAATCTGTAGAAAGGCAATTTCTTCAGAAGGAAAAAAAAAAAAAGAGGCTTTCTGTGTGATTTCTCTGACACTAAAAGGAAAAGAGTAGATTTGTAATTGGTCAAGCAGGGTAATAAAGTCCAGATTTTTAAAAAATCAGGATAGAAAGGGAATTTTCTTCCCCTGGGAACCTTATTTTCTGCTTCTATGTTCTTGTTCTCTTTAAGTCAATATTTCAGTTGGTTTCTGAGTCTACTAATAACCACATTTTATAAACCACACTTTGTTTGTTCTAGTGACTATAAGCCATACCTTGAATTGTTTCCAGAAGCCCATGTGTTCACCATATTAGGCCAAAGAAATCTTTAGTTTTCTTTTCTTTTTATAAGCTGAAGTATTCAGTGGAACTTAAGGTTTTGTAGACATCGGTCATGCATTTCTTGGTCAAAGGCAACAGATGTGGAAAGATACTCGCTTTCATCTGTGGAGATGGGACACCTGATCCAGATTGGATTTTCTTATTAAGGAGAGATGAGGACAGAATGGGTTGTACTCCCCAGATTCCTCATCTGTATCATTCTGAGTGTACCAGCAAGAAGGGCCAGCAAGAAGTGCCACCAAGATGGCAAGGCTTTATGGCAAGGGGTAAGGGTTGAATTGTTTAGTCTGTTACCCCCTAGCCTCCTAGATTTAGTTCTGCCAAATTCTTTTTATCCCGCTTGCTACCTTAAATTTTATAACTTTGTCATTTAGGTGAGATGAGAATCACCAAAGGTAATCACTATATTTCTTAGCCTGCAAGAAGAGCCTTTGAAATGTTATACCATCCTATCTTGTGGCACCCTCCTGTTTTCTTATAGATCTCATTAGCATTTGAAATTACAGCACATTTCCATGTTTATTTAATTTCTGTCTTCTCCAGTGCATTGAAAGTTCCATAAGGCCTTGACTGTTTTTCTTTGTACAGCATAGAGGTCAAAAGCATGGAAACTGGAGTTAAAAGATGTGGATTTGAAGCCTGGCTGTGACACTTACGGACTGTGTGACCTGGAGAATTAATCTTCCTATGCTTTAGTTGCTCATCTGCAAATATGCATATAATTGTACCTGTCAGGAGACTGTTGCAAAGACTAAATGAGCTAATGTATTATTTAGTGTCTGGTTTACAGTAAGTAGGCCCTCTGTGAGTGTTGGGTATGGTTGCTGTTGTTGTCTTGCTATTATTACTATATCCTGGCATATAGTAGTATGTGTATATCTGGCACATAGTAGGTATTCGATAATTTTTCATTGAGTTAATAAATTGAAAAATAATGAATAATCGGGTGAAGAATGAAAGGAAAAAGGACTTTAAATTTCCCATATGTTGGGCTGGGTGCAGTGGCTCACACCTGTAATCGCAGCACTTTGCGAGGCCAAGGCGGGCAGATCACCTGAGGTCAGGAGTTCGAGACTAGCCTGGCCAACATGGTGAAACCTTGTCTCTACTGAAAATACAAAAACTAGCCAGGTATGGTGGCGTACACCTGTAATCCCAGCTACTCAGAAGGCTGAGGCAGGCGAATCACTTGAACCCGCAAGGCGGAGGTTACACTGAGCCGAGATCATGCTACTGCACTCCAGACTGGGCAGCAGAGTGAGACTCCATCTCAAAAGAAATAAAATTCCCATATGTTGTGGCAAGAAGTGAATGCTGTGTACTTTGAAAGCCGTGATACTCATTTCTCAGTGGTGTGTGGCGTCACTAGTAGTGACCACACTGAAAGAACTAGTCCTTGTTCTTTGATGACAATGGTTGTGACTTGACACCCTAATTTGTGATGAGCTTTTTCCCAGAGGCTTTCTGATGTATAGGTAATGATCTTTATTACAGCATTGGGAGATAATCATATCTCAGGCTTCAGCAAATTTTCCCTTACCATTTATTTTCTCATTAAAAAAACCTCATATCATCCAAAATGGAGGCTTTATGTAAAAATCAAGAGATTGGGTTTTCTTTCAGAAAGAGCAGGGACTTGTTCTAGGTTGGATTTCCTTATGTACCTTCAGGAGCAATAAAGACAGGAAAAGACTTTTCCTGTCCTTCCAGGCTTTCCCACTTCTTACTGGGCATCAGTGCAGATGTGCTCTTCTTGGACTCCCATGGAGCAGGCCAAGCCCTCTCTGACAGAGTGATTCTGAATGTACTGAGCTCTGATGGGGTGCTCTGAAGAGGGGACAGAACTGGGATGTACTCAGGTGTAGACTCAGTGTTCAGGACAATCATCTGTCCTTACCCTTTGGCTAGTGCTGAGCAGTGTGAAAAAGTGAGCTCTTGCCCCAAAATGCTGCTTATGCATCCTGAGTTCAGTGCCAAGGAGTGACCCTAAAGAGAGGCTTTTCCTCTATCAGAGCATTTCAAATCTTCTCCCATGTGTAGAGGAAAGGATACCTACAGCCAGTGAGGGCAGTTTTTGTTTTCTAACAACATATTTCACTTAAAATAATTTTTTATTTACCAAGACAAACTTACAAGAAAGTGATCTGGAATAATTTAGAACCATTTCCCTTATATGTAATGTGACAAGAAATGTGACAATTGGAAGAGATGTTAGAAAATAATGTGATGTCAAAACAAACAGTTTTTATAAAAGTGAGATTTTAAGAAAACATCTGTGAAAAATAACCGGTCCCATATAACCCATACAATATATTGTTAGGAATTTTTTTCTTGGTGCAAGGCTGCACAATCAACAAGTTTCCCACTGTAAAAATATAATAAAGTACTTCTATATTTCCGTAAGTAAATAATATAATAAAAGTCTAACCAGAATGTGGTATCAGAGGCTTAATATGAAAACACCTATTTGGTAATTTTTGTTTGGCATGTTGCTACCACTCAGGAAAGAGGATCCAGATGGCCAGGCTAGTATATTGCACTGTATGTACATACCTCAGAAATCTTTCAAAGGGAGTAAAATGAAAAAAAAAAAAAAAGAAACAGAAGAGCATATAGCTAGAGTTCCAGTATGTGGCTCAGTGCACTTCTGTGTGTGGTATCAGGAGATGAACTATGGGGAGGGGAGTAGAGAGAATTTTGGATCACATTGGCACGAAGCAAATAACGCTCTAGGAGAATTCTACTTTGAGGGCTTAATCTCGTGATAACTGGACTAGTTTTAAAGTGTAATTTCCATAATGTATTTGAACTTTGGGGGTCAGCACCAGCTTTAATTAATGTGAATTTTCCTTATCATAATGAGTCAACTGGAATTTTTATTTGATATGAGGAAAGACCAAGGAGCTGACCTTTATTCTTAATAATAAAAAGAAGTTAGTAATAATGATGGAAAGTAAGAGGCTGCTTCATATAGCAAATAGTAGATAAGTTATTTGATGACTTAAACATAATGCTCTTATAAAAAGTCACTGAGGCATTTGAAAAATAGAAATAATCTCCCTCAGCATCCTAAATGTTTACATAATTAATATCATAATTAAAGACATAAGCGCTTAAATTATGGCTACAGTTCTATGATATGCCCACTGCACAAGGTCCTGGTACTATTCATAGTTTAAATTGTCCTAACTATAATCTTGAGTGAGTGCATTTCTCACCTTTTTTGCTTAAAAAAAAAAAAAGAAAAATAAGGGGCTTGCAAGGGGAAGATAAATAGTTTTTCGACCAATGTAGACATGAACCATATCTGACTACTATTGGCTAGAATGAAAGAAGAAAGCAAACCTTTTGGAAATAGAGTTGCTGGCACAGAATTGCCATACTTGAGTTCTGATATCTCCCCCACCCTAATGAAACCAAGGGCTGCAGCAGGGTAGGGCTGCTATGTGTGCTCAACAGGAAGAAAGATCCTAAATGATTGTCTGAGTGAAGTTGATCTTCTAGTTGCAGGAAATTTTAAGATTATGACTTATCAATGAAAGGGCTAGTGGAAGGGCAGTGAAAAATAATGGGATAAATGAAAAATAGTTGTAGATCTGAAAAGAGGCCCTAACTCAGAAGCAGACATGCACAACCTAAATAATCAAGGGGGTTCTCCACATTCTATGCCCTGTTAGAGAACAATGGCAGATAGGATTTTGAAGGGGATTCAACTTTAGCTTTAGTACAGAATGCATCACAGGCCCTTTTTTTTTAAGTGTTTGTAGACTCCTTCTGGAAGTAGTCTGCAGGGAATGTTTTCTGCATGGCCCTTAGTTGGTTTCAGGGCAGATCAAGAGTGAGGTGCTGCAAAATCGAAATGGGAAATGTGTATTATAATTGACAGAAGGCTCAGTATTAAAACAAACAAACAACAACAACAACAACAAAAACAGGCAAACAAATCCAGCTGTGAAGAATGGCAGGTATATGGAACAGTGACACCAAAAATGAATGAAGTATGAATAGTAAAGAGATGATGAAATTCAGGGTTGGAAAGCCTGTGGAATTTCATAACATCAGATGCCTATTTAATTTGATATCATCAATGGCTTAAAAATGTATTGGCACAGGACAAGCAGAGAGCTAGAATATGTCATATGGTGCAGAGCTGTGTGCAAATCCCAGTTTTTAAGAAAGAAAAATTATGGCTTCACCCCCAGTCAGGGAATTATAATAGACTCTAAAATTAAGCTATTTAAAGGGAGAGATACTAGATGTATGGCAGGTGGAAATAAGTAGAAAGATTAAAATAAGGCAACCTAAGAAAGAATAGGTCATTGTAAAATTTGACGAAAAGCATTTCTAATGTTTCTTTTTGAAAACCTAGTTATAAATTGTGAGTTTAAATTGATTTCTGTAATATAATGCCTTTAATGGGGAAAGGGTACTTACAGTGAACATTTGGGTAAATACATTTACAGAACATTTTAAGAACCTGTATAATTACAAACTAGACTAATTGAATTCATCTAAAATTCAAATGATTAATAGCCAGCGATATTGTGGATCTGTGTGATGCCAAATATGAGCTGAATAGCTACATTTTAACCAGTTGACTGGACAAAACATAGTATTGACCACTTGGTATGTTATAAAAACCTTCATAGAGAAAGGAATGCTCTACTGTAGTGTTTTAAAAACCATGGTTGATGACCTTTTAATGGTCATGATATCAGTTCGTAGATAATCAACATTAGAACTTGGATTAAAAGAGAGTAGAAAATACGAATGCAAGGCATATAAAAAGGGTCTTATGATACCTTTATTTTCCTTTTTCTTTTTTTTTTTTTTTTTTTTTTTGAGACGGAGTCTCGCTCTGTCACCCAGGCTGGAGTGCAGTGGCGCGATCTCAGCCCACTGCAAGCTCCGCCTTCTGGGTTCACACCATTCTCCTGCCTTAGCCTCCTGAGTAGCTGGGACTACAGGCGCCCGCCACCACGCCCGATTAATTTTTTTGTATTTTTAGTAGAGACGGGGTGTCACCGTATTAGCCAGGATGGTCTCGATCTCCTGACCTCGTGATCTGCCCGCCTCGGCCTCCCAAAGTGCTGGGATTGCAGATGTGAACCACTGCGCCCAGCCAAAACCTTTATTTTCTAAAAATATTTACATACTTAAACACATACGTGTGTGTGGACTAGGTTGCAATATAAAATGTATTACTGTAGGCTGTAGTCACAATGTTTGAACAATACTATTCCAGAGCAAAGATGATTTAGTGTGAATTTAGGAAAATAATCATTTCTCCTTTGGAAAATTGTGGAAGATTTATACAAGTTATTCATAGCTAATTTTGTATTAGAAGGTAGATTAGATAAAATATACTTAACCTAAGCAATTTGAGACTTTTTTCCTTTGGTTTTATTTTCTCACCTCCATTTATGACTTTTATTGCTAATGTATTATCCCCAATTAAATTGTAGGTTGATTGAAAATTAGACTTATTTTCCAGATGTGATTTGATTGACCCTTTGTGCTGTAAAAAATGACATGGCCCACCTCTGAGAAACAATATAGCTTAAAAACCATTTAACAAAAGTATTTAACCTTGTGTCAAGTGGATATAGACTCATAGGCTTTTGAATGTTGGACAGATATTAAAAATCACTTAACATACTCTTCTCATTTTCTTGATTAAGAAATAATAATGGCCGGGCATGGTGGCTCACGCCTGTAATCTCAGCACTTTGGGAGGCCGAGGCGGGTGGATCGCCTGAGGTCAGGCATTCAAGACCAGCCTGACCAACATGGTGAAACCCCGTCTCTACTAAAAATACAAAAATTAGTCAGGTGTGATGGCGAGTGCCTGTAATCCCAGCTACTCGGGAGGCCGAGATAGGAGAATCACTTGAACCCAGGAGGTGGACGTTGCAGTGAGCCGAGATGTTGCCATTGCACTTCACCCTGGGCAACAAGAGCGAAACTCCGTCTCAAAAAAAAAAGAAAAGAAATAATAATGATAAATACTAACTATTGAGCAACGACCACTTGCAAAAACCTTTAGTTTGACCCTCATAACAATCCTACAAGGTTCGTATTATACCCATTTTGCAGATGAAGAAATTGAGGCTTAAAAAATTACTCAAAAGAACTTGTTCAAGGTCATAGAGACAATAGGTGGTTTGAGCCAAAATCAGACTCTTTCCCTGGCCTACGGCATGTTTCCACTAAGTCTGAGAGAGATTCAGAGTCTTGCCAAAAGAATACCTTGGAAAAATTGAGATCAACACGCATCTGATTCCCACTGCAGTTCCATTTCTGCCACTTTCTTCTGCCTCCCAATGTAACGTCCATTTCTTTAGTGTAAGTCTTCAATATGCATTTTCACCATTCTGTATCATCATGCAAGGAAGGAGCTGCTCTTTGCAGGGGAAATAATTATCTATGTATTTTCCAGAATTTCCTCGTCAAGCATACTTATGTAGCCGTCATACCATCCTTTTCATTTCTCTAACCTAGAGTCTGCGGTGATTCTTTTCCCCTAATGTGCCCTTGGTTACACCTCTGAGATTATTGCCATTAATCTTAGACTGTGAATTCCTACAGGACTAGAGCAACATCCACATTACTGGCTCTATGTCATCCATTCTTGCCCTCAATTAAATGCAGAAATTTTCTTAATAGATTTGCTTATTGATGGTGGTGGTGAAGATGGACAGAGTTGCTAAGGTACTGACACAGTTCCAGAGAAAGTAATAATAGACTTGAGCAGTTTCTGGGGGATCAGGGTGAGGAAGAGAAGCTAGCGTGTGGTCAATATTTGCATCTTGACCTGTCATCTTACTGGCTGGATGACTTTGGGTAAGTCATCTAACTAATTTTGACTTTTCATTTTCTTGACTTAATTTTTCTAAGGCTTGTACAATTCTATTCCAGATTTTTTTTAAAAAGAGATTGCAAGTTATAGACATTTAAAAAATAACATCTGCTAACCAAATGTTGCTGTGTATTTACCAAGAAAGTAAATGTTAGGCAAACCATCAAGGATAGAGTGAAATTAAAGCAGAAAGAAAATAAAGAAAAACTAGAAAGACGAGTAGGCATCTAAAGTTAAGTTTTCTCAATCTAATGAAACTTTAAATAAAATATATTTTCTTCGTTCTTAGGATTATTGAATTAATGCACATAAAACACTTAAAATTGTACCTAGAACATAGTAAGCACTCAAAAAAATGTTAGCTATGATTACTGTTACTATTCCTACTACTACTAAAGAGATCAGGGCCAGAGGCATGGTTAGTGTTTACAAAATTTAGTAAACAGAAAAATTGAACTTACAATGTACTACCTAATGAAGGCAATTGAGTGGCGCAATTTGTGTATGCTGGATCTACTTTGTTTTGAAATTAAGAAAATGTTTGCGAGTATTTTTAGTAAACTGCATGGTGTTATAAAAATGCTATTGTGATTCTTATAATGAATTGTATGCATTACTAACAAAACACCAGGTTCAGTTAAGAGTTTAATTTAGTGTTAACAGAACTAGCTCTTCCATTTTATTTGCCTGGAGTAATGACTGAAAATAATAGGAATGTATTTTGGAAATCATTTTGAACTGTTTGATAACTGCAACTACACAAACTTAAAAAAAGGAAGCCATGTTTTGAAGAATGCATGGCAAAACAGTTTTTTAATTGTGTTAAGACCTGAACATTTAGTCATTCTTACTAAGTTCTTCCAAATGGTAGAGAAATATTATCAGCTGTTACCCAAATTATTTCCTCTTCACAGTTATCGAAAGCAAAATTGAATATTCTCCATCTCTAATAACATCAGGAACAAATTAGAAATAGCATTTTCCTCTGCTATTCGAAATTTAACTATAATACATTGAAAATTAGGTTTCTCAATACTTTATCTGTGAATCTTTATTGTTTTCCTAAGTAAAGAAGGTAGTGATTTAAAATTTTCAGATTTATGCTCAAATGAAGGTTATGTTGTTCTATTTTTCATTAACATGTTAATTCCTCCTTGTATTTCTTTAGCTTTTCTAAAGAAAGTAAAAAAGCAGCAACAACATTGCTTCTTATAAATGGTTCATTTTAAAGTCATCAGTTTATTATAAAATCAGAATATCAAGTTTGCTATGACTACATCTATGACTATGATCCAAACTACTGGATTAAACAACAAGCAAATGAACATTCTCTGTTTTACATATTCATCCAAATTCCTTTTGTGGTGACTATTTAGAGCTGATTTTGACAAGAGAACTTACTAAATAAGCTTGTTTGACCACACTGTTTTTGGAGATGCCAGTGAGCATCACTGAGCCATCCTGAAGGCCATGGTGAATAGTTCTGCTCTTCCAGACCTCTCAGTCTTTTGAAAGGGCTCTCCAGTAAGATGAGCAGGATAGGGAAATGGGTCAGGATCCACCAGCCCCAGTTCACTTTGCTGAAGACCCCTCCATTGTCGGCAGGATGGGCTCTAGAGGGAGCTCCAGCCCTGTCATCTTGTACTTCTGAGAACTTTGCCTTTTACAGGGTCAGGTCCAGACTCATTTTCTCCCTGACACTGCCTGTAGGATGATATTCTAGAGGACGGAGGGTGGAGGATAAAATATGAAGACTGAAAAAGAATAAAAAAAAGGATTCATCAGAAATCACACAGTAGAAGGGAAAGCTCCTTTACCTACAAGGGAAAAGCTAACTCCTCCTGAATATTTCTGCAGCCCCTTGCCTTAATATAAAATGCTTTGAAATTACTCTCTATAATCTATCTGACCTTTGGAGAAGCTGCTGTGACTTCCAATGGCCTCCTTTTTTGGAGAACTCATTGGCATGGTCATCCCCATCAGGTCATTTTGGTTGTTGTTTCTTAGACTGGAGATGGACACATGGGGATGACTTGAGCAGTTCACTGGATAATTCAAAAGAAATTGAGGAATTCAGAACTCTAAGGTTCTAAACAGCCCTTTGGTCTTGGTGGTCATGAACTATGCATTATAGTTGTGTTTCTGCAGGTGCCTGAACTTGTTTTGAAAATTTAAAAAGTAGGGTTGGAAATCCCATTTCTTGGGAAACTTTAGGGACTTTTCAGAATTTAAAAATAATGTTTAAGATAACTCAGAACATGGACCGCAGCCATAGGCAAATAATGCTTCACAAAATCAGAGTGAAAAACTGGGCACCTAATTTAATTACCAGTTCCTACCTACATATTCCAGTCTCTGTTTCCTTAAATAAAACAAAAGAAAAGGAAAGGAATGAGTTCCTTTTATACCCACAAATAGCATTATCCACTGAACACCACTCAAAGGAGACACAAATTCTCAAGCTGGTTCCTATTTTATCTCTTTAGGAACCTGAAGTGCAGAAAGTTCTTTAAAGGAAAATTTTCAAAAAGCACACTTCCCTTCTCTAAATCAATACTTTTTCCGTCTTATACTCAGAGAGCATTCTTTTTAAGCCTCACCAGAATTTTCCCTCATTAGCCCCAGTGCCCTGCTATGGCCCCAGTACCCACTAAAGTGTCTGTGTGTGAACAAACCAAGTAGAAAATTTGAAACTGTACTGATAGTGCAATTTAATTCAGCATGCTAGCATTACTGTGGTACTGCTTAGAATGTTTTGGCCACACATAGTGTGCAGAGAACAAAGGAGAAAATTCTGCAATCAATATGAGTTTGCATTTCATAAGGGCTGTTCCCTTCTTTTGCATATTATTAAAGAATTGACTTTTTTTTTTTTTTTGCAAATTCTCTAGAAAACCAAACAAATGATTGTGAGAGGTGGTCCCTATACACTAAAGTTTTAATTATGATAGAGCTATTCAAGAAATGGAATGAGTCTCACTTATAATTCTTCGTCTCCAAGTCTCATGATGACATGAGCAGTTCATTTGAAATTTTTCCCCAAATGTGTTAAAGTATTATCCAAGTTTAGTGTAGAAATATGATTTATAAGAAGCCAAAGGCTGGGTGTGGTGACTCTCACCTGTAATCTCAGCACTTTGGGAGGCTGAGGAGGGCGGATCATGAGGTCAGGGGTTCAAGACCAGCCTGGCCAACAGAGTGAAACCCCATCTCTACTAAAAATACAAAAATTAGCCGGGCATGGTGGTGCATGCCTGTAGTCCCAGCTACTCTGGTGGCTGAGGCAGGAGAATCACTTGAACCCGGGAGGTGGAGGTTGCGGTGAGCCAAGATCACACCATTGCACTCCAGCCTGGGCAACAGAGTGAGACTCTGTCTCAAAAAAAAAAAAAAAAAAAAAAAAAAAAAAAAAAAAAAAGCCAAGCTTGAATTTATACAATGAAAGAGAAGGTGATTTAAATACCTATTGTAGTTATAAATGTTATTTAGCCTAGCCATCACTTTGATTTTGTCTAACACTTGCAAAATGAACCATTGTCACTTCATCTGCCTCATGTTATGAATAATATATTTTACATTTGTGTGTATGGCTTGCGTGTGTGTGTGTGTGTGTGTGGTTTACAAAATCATACTAAAACAACCATTTGTGTACCTGCTACCCACTCCCCTGATTACATCCCCTCTCACCTAGAAGTATCCACTTTCTTGAGTCTTGAGTTTTGTGTTATTATCTTATATTTTCTTATAGTTTTATCAGTGATGTACACATTCCTGGGTAGCATATTGTTTAATTTTGTCTGTTTCTGTTTTTAAATGAAATGCTTTTAATATTTCACCATTTAGAATGACATATACTATAGATTTTTATTTTTGCAAATACTAATTAGATTAAAGGAGCTCCCTTATATTCCTACACTAAGTTTTTAAATTGTGAATGTAAGTTGAATTTTATTGAATGCAATTCCTGCATCTATTGAAATGATCAAATTACTTTTCCAAATTAATATATATTGATAAGATAATTATAATACTGGATTTTCTAATGTTGAAGTAATTGTGCATTTAAAAAATGAAGCCAACTTTGCCATACATCATGTGACTTGATGCTAATATTTTATTTATTATTTTTAATTTTTTTATTTCAATAGCTTTTGGGGTGCAAATGGTTGTTGGTAACCTGGATGAATGGTATAGTGGTGAAAGCTGAGATTTTAGTGCACCTATAGCCCGAGTTGTATACATTGTGCTCAATATGTAGCTTTTAAATCCCCAATCCCACTTCCACCCTTCCCCTTCTGAATCTCCAAAGACCATCATATCACTCTGTTTGCCTTTGCGTACCTATACCTTAGCTCCCACTTAAAAGTGAAAACATACGGTATTTGGTTTTCCATTTCTGAGTTACTTCACTTAGAGTAATGGCCTCTAGCTTCATCCAAGTTGCTGCAAAAGACATTATTTCATTCTTTTTTATGGCTGAATAGTATTCCATGCTGTATGTATATATGCCACATTTTCTTTAGCCACACATTAATTGATAGGCACTTAGGTTGGTTCCATAGCTTTGCAGCTGTGAATTGTGCTACAATAAACATATGCATGCAAGTGCCTTTTTGATATAATGACTTATTTTCCTTTGGGTAGCTACCCAGTAATGGGTTTGCTGGATCAAATGGTAGATCTACTTTATGATTTTTTGAAGTATTTTCATGAGTAAAATTGGTCTTTTTTTGTTTCATTTGTCACACTGGCTTTACCTAGTTTGGATAAGAGGGTTATATAAGATTCATAAAAGTTGAGAAGTCTCTCTCTTTTTTTGTCTTTGAGAAAAAAATTTGTGTATGAATCAAATGTCTGTTTTTGGAACGTTTAATAGAGTTATCTCATAAAACTGTTTGAGACTGGTATTTCTTTATGGAAGGATTTTTATACTACTATTACATTTCTTTAATTGTTATAGAATCATCTAGGCTTTTTATTTCATCTTGAGTCAGTTTGTAAAGATATATTTTCCTAAGAATTTGTCTAATTATTTTATCTAAATTTTCAAATGTGTTGGCATAAAGCTGCTCCTAATATATTCACATAATAGTGTAAGGGTTGCTTGTGTATTCTCTATGTTCTTTAACTCAATTTTGCCAAAGTTTTGTTATTGCCTTTTTAAAAGAACCAGCTTTAACTTTGTTGATTTTCTCCACTACATTCTTCTGTCCTATAGCATTCATTTTTGCTTTTTAAAATATTTCCTTCTGTTTTCTTTGGGTTTAGTCTCTTGTTCTTTTTCTAACTTTTTAATTTGGTTACCAAGTTTGTTAATTTTTTAGCCACTACCACTTTTGGGAAAATGACCTGTTTATCTATGCTGAGATTTTTGAAAAGGATGTTATTGTAAGTTTTGAGCAGGAATTGCCTGCAACCATTATAAGCATCATATAAAATAACAAAAGTCTATGTTCATTATAAAAAGCTCAAGTTACTTGTTAAAATATTTACAAATATTTCAATGGCATGGTTTATACAAATTACATATACTTGATATTGAAGCTACATTCAATATATTTTTAATATTTAGTACTTTATATTCATTTTTTTCTGAGTTATGTGATGTAAACATAATAAGTGGTTTTACAAAGTTACATTTAGCATAATAGATGATGCTCCTAGATACCTTCCCATTTATTCTAGCAATTGCTATTGTACTAGTATCATTTTCTATGATATGAAAAAGATGAGAAAAAACTCTTTACCACTAGTGGTCAGTTGATGCCCCCATGGTTAATGTCAGCTTTAGTGCTCCACTACATCTTTGGATTGTTGCTTTGTCTTTTTTCTTACTTCTAATATTGTCTTACTTTACTATAAGCTCAGTCTTGCATGCTTTTAAAAGTTTTGAATTTTTATTCCTTCTTTTTTTTTTTTTTTCTTAGAGTCTCTCTCTGTTGCCCAGGCTGGAGTGCAGTGGTGTGATCTTGGCTCACTGCAACCTCTGCCTCCCAGGTTCAAGCAATTCTTCTGTCTCAGCCTCCTGAGTAGCTGAGGCTACAGGCACGTGCTACCATGCCTGGCTAATTTTTGTATTTTTAGTAGAGATGGGGTTTTGGCATGTTGGCCAGGCTGGTCTCGAACTCCTGACCTCAAGTGATCCACCCACCTTGGCCTCCCAAAGTGTTATTCCATATTTTTAAGTGTTCTAGTTATCAGGGTTTTTTTTTTTTTTTTTGGTCATCTGTTCTGCTGTATTGTTCAAAATGTAAGTCCCGTGGATAATATTCTATTTCCTTTGCTTAACTGTGTGGCCACATGAGCTCCAAACATCAAAGTACCAAGTCACCACTTTGTGCCATTGCTCAATGGGGAACAGGATGGGAGAAATGGACACAGATGCATGCAAAGTAATTGTAGTTTCTGAAATGACTACTCAAAACTCATGAATCTCTCATACTGGGTTAGCATCATGTTTTTCTGAGATAAACTATATTAGGAGCAAAGGAATGAAGTTCTCCACTTCCAGTGACACACGTATGTAGTGTAGTAGATTTCTCTTAGTTCTATAAAAATAAAAATACCAAATGAAATAATAGAAATACTGTAATTGGATTCTCACTCCTCCTGTTCTTCTTTCACTCATTCATTTATCCTTCCCTATTGCATTCCTTTTATGTGTATTAGAGGAGATATGAAGACTAACACACTTTCTAATGTTGAGGATCTCTTTGGGATTAGTTTTCTTCATAAGATTGGAAATAATTTTGCATTACCAGGAAGAAAAATGTGGCGGCCATTATACCATACTAGATAAGTGCATAAATTCCAAAGCCAGAACATCTGGGTTTGTGTGGTGGATACTTCTTTTACAGGGTAATTGTATGACCTTGGACCAGTTCCTTAGCCTATCTGTGCCTCAGTTTCCTCATCTGTAAAATGAGGATTAAAAATAGTACCTATCTCAGATCTGGTACACAGAAAACATTGATAAACATTAGGTATTAGTATCACCATCGCCATTGTCTTATCACTCTAGACAGGCAATCCCAGAAAGAACAAGAAGTATAAAGGACTTGGTAGATTGCTCTTCTATAAAAACTCCAGGCGACCTCACTGTTTTATTTCTTTTTTAATCTAGAAAAAAAAATCATGCACATTTTGGTGTTGCCAAGCCATTGCTACTCCACTATTTATTGAGTAAGGTCAGTCCTTTCCATACTAGGCCTTTCTAGGGATTTGGTAATAGTGAGGGGAGAACAGAACAAGGTGTGAAACTTTCCAGGGCTGGGTCCTCTTTTCACCCTCTTTTTGGAGTTAGGGATTGGGGCGCTGCAGAATGATATCATTGAGGCTCAGGTGAAGGGTTGCAAGGAGCTGTAATGGCTCCTTGTAGCCTTTTTGCTAGAAGCTTCCTAAGGACAGGGACCATCGCTGTTTTACTCACTATTGTAGTTTAGTGCCTAGGTTGCTTGTTATTGAAAGTTTGCCTTCTTTTCTAGCTGGGTACAATTGCTCATGCCTGTAATCCCTTGGGAGGCCAAGGCGGGTGGATCACCTGAGGTCAGAAGTTCAAGACCAGCCTGGCCAACATGGCGAAACCCCATCTCTACTAAAAATACAAAAATTAGTCGGGCGTGGTGGCACGCCCCTGTAATCCCAGTTACTGGGGAGGCTGAGGCAGGAGAATCTCTTGAACCCGGGAGGCAGAGGTTGCAGTGAGCCGAGATCGCCCATTACACTCTAGCCTGGGCGACAGAGCCAGACTCTGTCTTAAAAAAAAAAAACAAAATAAAAAACTTTGCCTTGTTTTCTGATACACAAAACTGATGTCACAATCCAAAGCTTTCTATTAGAAACTGATATAAAGACAATTTCTCAGCTCTTTATAGAGAAAGGGTTAACATACTGATTTTTCCCACAGAGTCAGTGCAATGGGAGATCGTATCATTTCTGTATGATCTAAGCTCTATTTAAGAAAACAGATTTGGCTGGGCGCAGTGGCTCACGCCTGTAATCCCAGAACTTTGGAAGACCGAGGCGTGTGGATCACGAGGTCAAGAGATGGAGACCATCCTGGCCAACGTGGTGAAACCTCATCTCTACTAAAAATACAAAAATTAGCTAGGCGTGGTGGTGCGTGCCTGTAATTCCAGCTATTGGAGGCTGAGGCAGGAGAATCACTTGAACTTGGGAGGCGGAGCTTGCAGTGAGCCGAGATCTCGTACTATTGCACTCCAGCCTGGCGACAGAGCGAGACTCCGTCTCAAAAAAAGAACACAGATTCAATTTTGATTTCAAGATTAAAAACGATGAACTATGAAACAAACTTGTTTATGTTTTAACATCTTGTGTATATAAATATGGAATGACACATATTCTAAATGGCTTACCTTGACTAGGAAAATTTGGCACTGAAAAAAAGATATTCTGTTAAAATCACATATGTAGGTCCTATGGTTTGTAATATTTGACCTTAACACAAAGAAGAAAAACATTATAGAGCCAAGTAAACACTAACACATTTGAGAATAAACCTTGTTTTTAAACAGATTGTTTTCCAAAAGAAATTCTTTTTGTTCTCAGGCTTCAGGGTAGCAACTATAAAATCCGAAAGTTGAGCAAGGTGGGAAGATCTAGAGGACAAAAGAAAAAGACTGAAAGACACTGCAGTATAATTCAAGGCGCTAAACAGATGAGACTGGCACGTGTCAGAAGCAGCAGTGACCTTGTGCGCGTCTTACCATCCCTGCTCCATTTAGACATTTATACAATGGTTGCAAGAGGAAGGCTGATCAGGCAAAGTCTAATTGGGGAGCTGAAGAACCTCTTTATTCTCCTCGTCCTCCTTCTACCACTCTTCTCCTTTTTTCTCCTTTGACTCCTCCTTTTCCTTCTATCCTCCTCCCTCTCTTATCCTCCTTCTCTTCTTCACAAATCTGGCTTGAAGTTAAAACTCTCTGGGAAGACAAAAACACAAGACATTTATAAATGAAGAAAGAAAAACCTATATAGGTAGAGAAAGAACATTTTACTTAGAAGCTAACAAAAAGACAATATGAAATAATAAAAAAATTAATTCAAGTCTCCTTCAAAATATAGCAGCATCAATTTGCTGCTTTGCAGAGCAATAATAAAGTGGTGTCCTAAGAGATATTAATAATTGTTTTTTCTTATAAAATAGTTGTCTTACCTTTTCCACTGTTGTGAAGTTTCTTTCTTTTTAATAAACCCCAAGAAATAAGAAAAATGTATAAAATCTTGAGTGCAGTTGTAGAGTAGATATTGAAAGCTAGAGAAAAGTGTTGGGAAATGAATTATTCTGTATAATAAACCCCAGACATACAAGGGAGCCCTTTTATGATATTGCTCAGATACATTGTTCACAAGGTTTCTTTAAGAAGATGCCTTTGATTTTGAAATGACTTTGTGATGTCTGGCTGCTATGGTAACTGCTATTTTATTAAAAAGTAGCATTTATAGCATTAGGAGAAATACCTAATGTAGATGACAGGTTGATGGGTGCATCAAACCACCATAGCACGTGTATACCTGTGTAACAAACCTGCACGTTCTGCACATGTATCCCCGAACTTAAAGTATAATTTTAAAAAAGTAACATTTATAATCAACTAAAATTTCTAACTTTTTGACATGCTATTCTAGAGTTCCCTTACATTTACCCCACTTTCCAACTCATCACATAATTTGCTATAACCTTACTTTTTGGAAATGCCTTTGTTTCCCTATTTTTTAATACGTTAGATTGGTATCATTGTCATATTTGAGTAAAGATTTAGTGTTATTGCGAAGCTAGTTCCTTTTGCCCACGATAGTGCCATTTGCTGAGAGCTTTCCTTATACCAAGTACTATTCTGGTGCTCTATGTATTATCTCATTTAATCCTTACAACAATAATATGAGGTGTATTATTATTATTATTCCCATTTAACTGACAAGGAAATGGAGGCACAGAGAGATTAGGAAATATTGCCCAGGATCATACAGCTACAACTATCCAGTATAGTAGCCTGTCACCACATGTGGCTATTTAAATTTAAATTTAAATTTAAATGAAATGAAATTAAAAGTTCGCCTTCTTAGTTACACTAGCCACACTTCAAATTCTCAATTAGTCTGTGGGATGAGTTGCTACTGTATTGGGAGTGTAGAACAGAATGTCTCTATCATTGTAGCAAGTTCTATTGGACAGAACCGTCAGAGAAGCAATGAAGCCAGTCTTAAACCTAGCGGATTTGGTGGTTTCAAAGTCCAGACTTGTAACTACTGTGCTCAACTGTCTTTTTCTCCCTTCCATAAGAAATAAAGGGACTAGTATAGAGAGTCTATGAGTTGATATTAACCAGAGATGGATAAAGGGCAAGACTGATGAATAGAGACTGAATGGAAGATTCATTTATTCATTCCACAAATGTTTATTGAGCCCTTGCAGAGTGATGGGCTGTTCTAGATGCTGTTGAAACAGCAGTGAACCAAACAGATGGGTTCTGTGACCTCACAAAGCTTATGTTCCGCTGGGGACTGGCAGACACAAACAAGTAATTAAATATATAATCTATCAGGTGATCATAAATACTATGGAAGAGTGGGTGATAGTGAGTGCTGATGAAAAGGTCTCTTTGGCCGAGCACAATGGCTCTCACCTGTAATCCCAGCACTTTGGGAGGCCGAGGTGGGTGAATTCCCTGAGGTCAGGAATTCGAGACCAGCCTGGCCAACATGGTGAAACCCCGTCTATACTAAAAATACAAACATTAGCTGAGAGTGGTGGCTTACGCCTGTAATCCCAGCTACTCAGGAGGCTGAGGCAGGAGAATTGCTTGAACCTGGGAGGCGGAGGTTTCAGTGAGCTGAGATTATGCCACTGCACTCCAGCCTGGGCAACAGAGCAAGACTCCCTCTAAAAAAAAAAAAAAAAAGGAAAGAAAAGGTCTCTTCGACAAGACACCATTTAAGAAGAGACTTGAGAGAAGAAAATGAGAGAGGAGAATTCCAGGCAATGAGAAGGGAATGTGCAGAGGCCCCAAAGCAGAGATCAATGAGTGCAGTTAACATGGTTAGTACCATGTAAATTGGCAGCCATCCAGAGAAATCCCTTCTCTTCCAGATCATCATACCTTATCTATTTAGGCTTCTTCACCTTGAGTCTGATGTCACCTTTCTTCCCTGGTTCTATTACATCTGCTTTTGAGTCAGTAGAGCCCATTTCACTTCTCTGATAAAATACACATTTTTTAGTTTGCAAACTTTGGAACACAAAGCAAATCTTAGCACTCTTCTGTGATTAACCTTGACTTCAAGGGATTGCAGGATCATATTGTTTGAAAAGTTTTTCTACTTTTCATGGGCTCCTTCCTCCAATAAACAGAAACTAGCCTCCTAGACCAGAAGTCACTATATGTAAAACGAGGCTGATAAAATTATTTTCAGGAGAAAATTAAGATGGAAGGAGACTAAATCATAGTTTAAAATTTTACTTCTAGACTCAAGTAATAGCCTTATAAGTTTCATTTTTTATTGTTAATAGTTTGGCCAAACATAGAAAACAAATCCTAAGTGTTTGAGCGAATTTACAATTTTCAAGGTGGCAACACATTGACATTCTATAAAGATAAATTCAACCTCTCATATGCCAAGTATTAGGAAAGATTTTATTCTTATACCTAGGAATTTCCATGGCACCCTCCTGTCCTGACCATCACCTGTGCTTCTCTTGGTCTCTATATCCTGTTACATCGAAGCCCATCCCTGTTTTTCTCTGTTAAGACCTAATACAACTAGGCCAGGGGCAGTGGCTTATGCCTGTAACCCCAAAGCTTTGGGAGGTCATAGCGGGAGGATTGCTTGAGGCCAGGAGTTTGAAACCAACCCAGGCAACATAACGAGACCCATCTCTACAAAAAAATAAAAATAAAAAATTAGCTGAGCTGGGGCAGGAGGATCCTTTGAGCTCAGGATTTGGAGGCTGTGGTGAGCTATGATTTCACCACCGCACTCCAGCTTGGACCTCAGAGCGAGGCCCTGTATAAAAAAAAAAAAAATCTCATACAACTGAATCATTATTCCCTTCTGTAAATTGCAAAAAGAAAATGAATAATATATGTAAATTATTACTATTATATTTATATTGTAAGCATAGAAAATGAATAATATATGTAAATTATTACCATTACATTTATATTTTAACCATTTTACATATAAAATACTTTTGCACGTAAAATTCTTAGAATACTACCAAGTATGTAATAAGAACTTCATAAATATTAGCTATTTTCATTATTATTCTCAGCACTCTAACCACTTTCCCCGCTTTTTTAAAGCAGGTCTTTAATAGATGCCTCAAGGCATCCAATCTACCTTCCTGCAGCCGCCTGTATCTTCCAGCCCCAACCCTGTGTCCTACCAGCTCATGTACAATGCATGTCCCCTTTGATGAGCACTGCTTCTCCTCATCTTCCTAATGTACCCTGCAAATTGGAATTCCTGACTCTGAATCCTGTAGTAGGCACTATTGAGACTTCACCTGTTTACCACGAGCATTTTGTAGTCTGAAGGAAAGATCTCAACGCAGAGAACAATAAGTCTGTTTCTCCAGGGGTGGAGGTTTCTCCACACTTTTCTTTCAGTGGAGGACAGTTCACGTGACCTCACTTCCACATCTCCAGCCAAGGGTTCTGGGTTCCACGGATGTGGGAAGGATCCAGGTATAACCATGAGTTCCTGGCTACTCTTTCAGTAACAGTTGGGGCTTCCCAACTCCATTTAAAAACAGTCTAGAAAAACTCGAAAGTTGGCAGCTGAGATTGAGTGAATTTCCAAGTGCATTGGGTTGGTGCCTGATTTCAGTGGGGAGCCTGTAAGGGCTACCCGGAAAGGCGATTATCCCTCTGCAGTTCTGGATGCCTCCCAGAGGCTCCAAAGGGGTTAAAATTTACTGGTTTTTGTTTGCAATGTATGTATAAGGAAGCACTAAAGCCCCGACATGTTCATGAAACCAGACATTTTATTCATTTTATACTACAAATGAACAACAACAACAAAAAAGCCAGCATATCATGAACCAGACAATGGAGAAGTGTAAGATATTTGGCAGTTTTTAATGTTGGGAAAATTCACATATTAAAACTACCTGTGCTTATAGGCAACTGCATGAAACAGGAGTAAATTAGGGTACACCATGTTGCTGAGGTGTGATGTCAGATGAGACCACATGAGGATGGTAAGGTATCCAAGGGACCACAGTTTTCTCAAAATTTCTTAACATTCTGTCACTGAATCACATTAGTCTTTTTATATTTATATTTCCTCAGGCCTTGGTTTGGGACTGTGTTCCTGAAAGACACAATGATAAATTATTCATTTGTATATAAATAAAGGCAGCAGATTCTGGATGGAAGAAGTGTTTGCAGAGTGAAAGTAATTCCTGTAAGATAAAGGGTAATTCTGAATTATGGCAACTTATTTTCTTCATCAATGCCCTGTTAACCTGAAGTTAAATAAGCTATGAGCATTAGTGCCTAATAGGGCGGGAAGATTGTGCTTCAAACTGGTGAGCAGAACCTGCATAAACTCCAAGTGATATTAGCCATTTCTGTTTAAGGAGCCTTGGAATATACCAGTGTAGTTCTGGGCACTTTATATACAGTGCCTTTGATTTTCTTAACCCTCCTTCAGTGTTGATTTTGTTATTTGCTGATGATGTAGCTAAAGCTCAGAAAGTTATGTGACTTGTCCAGAGCCACCTACCTGGTAAGTGGAAAAGCAAGGTTCAATTCCATGTCTCTCTATTCCTTTATATATATATTTTTAGTTAGTCCCTTTTATTCTTATTTCCTCATTTCCCACTCTCATTGGCTTCCTCACCCACTGACAAACCATTATAATAAGTCTGATATGTATCCTTTTGTTTGTATGGATTCTTGTAAAAAAAAATCTCTCTTGTGTTCCTCCATTTTTAATTTCAGTAAATGGTATTCTGCTATAGATTTATTTCTCTTGTTGTTATCCATTTGTTTATTTTTAAACTGTTTCCACGCAGTGCTAGGTTTTGAAGCTCCACCCACGTGGCTGTATGCACCTCTGGCTCGTTATTGCTGACGACTGCACAGTACTCCAGAGTTGCGTCCACCACATTTCCGCCCTGTCCATTGCCCTGGCAACAGATGCCCAGATTGCCCCTAGATTTCTACCACACCAGACAACTGGGAAGTGGACATCTTGTACACATTCTTTGATGAGCCTAGGTGGGATTGTTTGGGAATTGCTGGACCATAGGGCACACATATGCTAACTTGGACCACTTTGGGCCAGTTTGTTGCTCTCCAGCCTGGCTGCTCCAGCCCCCACACATCTGCTGGCAGTGCCGAGCAGTCTTGCATCCCCTCATCCCCACTGGCACTTCCAGTTTTCTCATTTTTCTAATTTTGGCCAGTCTGATTGTATAAACTGATATTTCATTGTTTTAATTTACATTTCTCTAAATTATTAACGAGTTTGAAAATTATCTCTTCATATGCTTGTTAGTTGAACTTTTTCTACTGCTACCCTATTGTCCAGTTCAGGAGATGAAGGTCATGGTCAGGACCCTGACCATCTCTCTAGACTAGCATTGTTCATCTAAAATATTATGCCACCCACATATGTAATTGCACAATTTCTAGTAGGCACATTATAAAAAGGTGAAAGGAGATGAGTGAAATCAATTTCAATAATATATCTTAATATATCTAAAATACAGTAATTTCTACATATAGTCAACATAAAAATTATTAGTGAAATATTTTATATTCTTTTTCTTTTTGTACTGTCTTTCAAATCCTGTGTATATTTAACAATGAAAGCAAATCTCAATTTGGATGCTAAATTTTCAGTGGTCAAATTGAAATATAGTCACTTTATGCAAGTGAATTTTTGTTTAACCAAAAAATATTTTACACTGCTTATAAAATTTTGGATATGCCTGATTATTAGAAAGCTCTTCCTGTATTGGGCCAAATAGTACTGCTTTCCATGACCACAAATAAAATGTGTAATTCGTCTTCGAGAGAACATCCAAATGAGCCTTGGATTATTGCTCTTGGGTTTTTCTTTCCCCACAACATCTCCTTTTCTCAGTTGTCAATATCCCCAATTCCCCCAATGGTACCTTACATGACATAATTCCTTTGCTTTATCACAGTGGGCCCTTGGGTTGTATGCATTTCAGATCGTCTGTACCTCTCCTGAGACGTCACACTTGGACCAGCATGGTTCTCTAGATGTAGTCCATGGATGGGGTGGTGCCCAGATGAATTTTAGTCCCCTGTGACCCAGACACTCTGCTACAGCCAGAGTAACTTGAAACTAAATTTTCATTTAGCAATCACATTAGGACTTAGTGAACAATTGCTTGTTGTCTGTTTATTCACCTATTGACGTTTTTCAAGCACCCACTATAAGTTTAGTATGTCTGTTAAACTATAGCTTAGACATGGCCTTCTACTCACTACAGTTTCTAAGGAAGGAGAACCAACCTTAGAAAAATAAAATTCTTTTTAACAAATAGTTGGTTGCCCTCCATTGTAGCTCCCCCAAAAAGCCTTCCACAGACTCATTCTCAAAAGTAAGTGTCGCATGTTTAAAAAATTGGACCGGGACCTGAAACTACATAGCGGCAAAGGCTCTTCCTCCACTGGCATCTATCCAGGATGAATTAGTAAAAATCTTTAAATCTGTTGTCAGTCTGACATAAGGATTAGTTAATGTATTTTATGCAAAGGCAAAGCCAGCACAGATTCTCATTTTAATAAGAAATATATGATATAGAAAGATAAATTTTCATCTTTATATCATTGATATAGTACATTATACAGATGTACCTAATTAAGAGATAATGATATGTAATATGGTAGGCATTAATAACAAAGACAATGTGGAAGATTGTAGGACAAACCATCAGTGAAATGATTGTATTAGGATATAGCTTTTGTAATAGAAGAAAACATGCTGTAATGAAGGCATGAAAAATACAGTTGTTTACAGTGACTTTTCCAGGTTTGGTCACTGTTCAGTCCAGGGTAGGTGATGAGAAAGAACAGAACGCAGACTCCAGGCAAGAAG
The DNA here is from genome assembly GCF_000001405.40 of Homo sapiens. Classification (NCBI taxonomy): domain Eukaryota; kingdom Metazoa; phylum Chordata; class Mammalia; order Primates; family Hominidae; genus Homo; species Homo sapiens. The sequence goes on from NC_000007.14 coordinate 104,356,235, forward strand.
GAGAGTAGAGTAGATAAAAGAACCTCCTTTCTTGTTTCCTGTACTCCTTCCTGTTGATTACAGGCTGCCTCTGACCATACACCCAAAGAAAGGGGTAACAACTTTAACCCTTAACTTAGGTGAGGACTAGTTTGAGAAACACCTGATAGTAAGGAATAATCAAGGGCATGGAAAGATAAATGGCCTGGAGTCATCCTTTCCTGACTTTTCCAAATCTCTCCATTTTTGTCATTGTCAGAAGTAGTTTCATTTGGACCATGGCAGCTACAGGGTGCAAGTATTTTTCCTTTACCTTTAATGCATCTTGGAACAGGTGGAGTAGGTGGAGGTTGGAGAGCACAGAACAAATGAAAAAAAGAAAAACCCACATCTGACCCAAGAAGACTGAAGATGGACTCTCTGACTCCTATTTGCCTCCAGACTCCTAGGACTAATTCAGTTCAGCAAACAGTCTACCAAAATACACTGTGCTAGTCATTATAGGATCCCAAAGACAAGAGATGTATCACTCCCACAGTCTAGTGGGGAGGAAATGGCACCAACACCCAGATAATGAGAATCAAGAGTAGAATGTGCTAAATGGCCTAAGGAGCCCATAACCCCTGGCCCACGGACTGGTACTGGTCATGGCTTGTTAGGAACCCAGCCACACAGCAGGAGGTGAGCAGCGGGCTAGCGAGCACTGCTGCCTGAGCCAAAAAGGTTGGAGACCTCTGGCCTGAGAGAAACAGAGTGTTGTAGAAGCTTAAAAGGCAAAAGCCTTCACATTTAATTTGGGGACTTGGGGTCCCCAAATTACTCAAACTATTGAGTAAATAGTCTGTGAGGTAAACCTTAAAGGATGAATAGGATTTTCATAGGTAAAGATGAGCAGGAAAATGCATGCTAGGTTGTTACTCCAGAGGGAAGTCCCAAGTGATGTTGTGCACACAGAATTCTTCACCTACTGTACCTAAAGAGCTAAGTAGTAAAGACATCCATGTTCTTGCTCTCTGGGTCTCGTAGTATCATGAAGATAACCCAGATTATTCTCAGAGCTAGAGATCACCTTTGCTTCCTTGACAAGTCACGTGCAATTTTGACAGCCAGCTACCAGGTTAACAAATATAAATGTGAACCCAGGATACAGATAGAGTCAGGTCTTTTTCCTCCTCTTAAAGGCAATTAGTAGTTATTGACCTGGGGCTTCTGGGTAAATGATTGTCTAAAACATCCATTTGTAAAGGACATCTTTACAACTCCGTAAGCACTAACTTTCGGGTAGCCAACTTCAGCAGACTAGAAAAATCAGCATATTATGTATTTAAGTCTCCCTTTCCCATCCTGTATCAGTCAGGGTTCAATGAGAGAAACAAAACCAAAAGGAGATAAATATTAAGAGATTTATTCTAAGGAATTGGCTTATACAATAGTGAAGACTGGTTGGGCAAGTCTGAAATCCCTAGGGTAAGCTGTCAGGAAGGGCAGACTGGAACACTCAGGCATGGGTTGAAGCTGCCTCCTGCAGGTGGAATTTCTCCTCTTCCTCCTCCTCCTCCTCCTTCTCCTGCTCCTCCTTCTCCTCCAGCTTCCTCTTTCCTCTTTTTCATCTCAGTTCTGCTCTTAAGGCTTCCAACTGATGATGGACTTTAATCACATCTACAAAATACCTATATGGCAACAGCTAAATTAGTGTTTGATTGAAAAACTGGGGGTGCTGTACCCTAGTCTATTTATACATAAAATGGACAATCACAAATCCCATAGACAGCCCTGGTATTAGGGTGAGGGAAGGTAATATAAACAATGGGATCAGGCAATTTACAGCAATGGCGGAAGGGAATCCATCAAAGACACAAAAGGCCACATAGCATATGAGTTTATTTATATGAAATATCCAGAAGAGACACATTTACTGTGGATTTGTGGTTGCCAGGACCTGGGGGAGTGGAGACTGACTGCTGAGTGCGTATGAGGTTTCCATCTAGGAAACATGAAAAAGTGTCGGAACTGGTAGTATGGCCGTACAATATTGTGAATGCACTTAATACCGTTCAGTTGTGCACTTTAAAATGGTTAAAATGTAAATTTTATGCCAAGTGTATTATTACTGTGTGTATAAAAAATAATCAGATTTTTATTTGGTCTGACCACAGTGGGCTCGAAATTGAAACATACTTCTCTTTGGGGGTCAGTAGGGTGTAATTTAAAAGTGTCAGTTTCATATGTTTACCTTTGTTTTAGCACGGGATTTACCTGTTTTTGACAAGTGCCAGCCTTAGTTCCCTTACAGAGTTGAGATGTAAGTTGTTTTAGCCTGTTGTTCTACATGTACAGCTTATAACGTGAGAGCATAGGCAGGCTTTACTTAGACAACTTGAAAGTGTATTGAGCCATAAAGACAATACAGCATTGGGTGACTTTCACAGAGCCAGTGATGGAGATCTTCAGATACAAGAAGCTTTTGTTTAGAGCATGCTGATTGGGAAGATGATCATAAATCTCTGGCCTGTCAGAAACAAAACTGAGATTTAGCTAGGTTATTGTACTGGGGTTCCTGGGAATATTTTACTGCCATGGCTCTTTTCTTCTCGATAAATTCTTTTCAGGCTGGATCTTTATTGAGAGCTGTGATTTGTGGATCCTTTCCTCTGTGTATAGCATGAGCTGTTGCTCGATGGATGTCAGCATAATGATCCTTTTGCAATGGTGACAGTTTGGAGAAATGTTTTCCAAATGTGTTGCTACTGACAGACATAGATGAATTTCCAACAAGAGTTATGGATCACCAGGAAAATGGACTCTGACAGTGCCCTGGAGCCAGGGAGTGAAATAGACCTTCCCCTGGATGAGCCTGCATGGGGCAGATGTGCAGAGATACACAAAGAGGGCCAGCCTGAGAATACCCTTCTATTTACGCCTATGCTTCTTCCTTGTCAACTAGAAACCACACGTTGCATATTTATTGCCCTCAATACAGAGATTTCTCCTTGGGAATATTTTCAGCTCTTTTAGAAGCAACATTAAATATTTTGAAGCCACTAAGGAGGAATTTATTTACTGGCATAAGTGGAACACTAGACACCTGATAGAGCCTTCAGAAGGTCCTATGTTAGGCTTCACTTATGTCACTTTACAAGTTAAAAATAAAATTTAAAATTATTATATACTATCATAGATGCGATTGTTAGCTGATTTGGGTCACTGAAAGACATATTTCAGATAAAATTAATTTTTTGAAGTGTCAATGTTCCCATCCTGAATGACTCAATAAATATGTAAAAAAACTAAGTTTAATTTGATGTGGTCTTTTCCACAAAACTAACTTAGCCAATTCATATATCTTGGCCATTCTTTGACTATTCATGTTCTTGAGTCCTGCACATAGGAAACCATAAGCAGCTTTAATCTTTGTGGGAGAAAGAATTCTACCCAATTCTGTGTCCACAGTCTAGCGGGGAGGAAATGGCACCAACACCCAGATAATGAGAATCAAGGGTAGAATGCGCTAAATGGTCTAAGGGGCCCATAACACCTGGGCCCTGGATTTAAAAAGTGGCCAGCACAGTGTTCTAATTGCCATTGCTGGCATGCTCCAGTCGGGCTGGCCTAGCTCTTGGGAACACCTATTGAAAGACAATTATTTATGAGTGTGACATTGTATGTTGGATGTATAAGATGTGCTAAATACTTCATAGACATGGTTTTATTTTTTTCCAATGACAATTTTCTGTATCATGTGTTATAAACTGACACTCAGAAGTTAGTAACTTACCCAAAGTCACACAAATAGTAAGTGAGATAGTTGCTTCAATTGCAGGACAGTCTGATCCTCAAATCCTGACACTTTCCGTTGCACCATGGTAACAAGGATTTTCAGCACAGTTATTCCCAGAGCTAGTCACCAGGAAGTGCCATAGCACACTTATACTTTTAAAGGGATGGGGTGGGTGATCCAGGGAAGCCACGCAGTAGGAAGATCTGGGCAATGGCAAGTAATTCACTTGAAGAGCTCCTCTTCTCTCCAAAAACACAGCTCATGCATAACCTGCTCTTTGGAGTCTTGCGTTCCAATGTATCATGTTCCACAGTTAACCTCCCCTGTGCTTGCTGTGCACCTGCTCATATGTCTGTACTCATGCTTGTCATACTTTATCGTACCTGGCACAGAACTTGCCATAAAGTAAGATCTTAATGAATGCTTAATGAACTGATAAGGTAAATGCATCCAGATAAAGCTCAGAGAATGGGAAGCCAGAGGGAGGAAACTGAGCAGGTGAAGTAGGAGGTTGGGAAAAAGCAAACTGGACTTGAAGAGGAGCCCCAATTCTATGTCTGCCTTATAGCAGGTGAGCCAGCCAGCCCCAGAAATATACATGGAGCTTGATGATAAAACACAGGCTTTGTAGTCATTATATTTTCAGCTTTAGGGAGGTTGATTTCCACAGTGAGTTGTTGGGTTTTTTTAAAAAAGTGCTTCCGTGTGTGTGTGTGTGTGTGTGTGTGTGTGTGTGTGTGTGTGTGTGTGTATACATTTACATACTTCTTGCCCAGGATGAAAACAAGAAATACTTTGAAGAAAGACTTCAGAGGAGAGTGGAAATAGGGAGATCAACTGCTGTGAAGACTCAAAGATCCCCACTTTGGTCTCTAAGCCAGGGATGGGCAAACGATAGCCCATGGGCTAAATTCCTCTTGTGGACTGTTTTTGTATGATTCTACATGCAAAAGCGGAGCTAAGAATGACTTTTACATTTTTTAATGGCCAAAAAATCAAAAGAAGAATAATTTGTGGCATGTGAAAATGACAAGAAAGTCAAATGTCAGTGTCCATAAATAAAGTTTTATTAGAACCCAGCCATGCTCAGTCACTTGTGTATTGTCTATGGCTGTTTTCGCATTACAAGGGCAGAGTTGAGTGGTTGCCATTGAGACTGGATGGCCCACTAAGCCTAAAATATTTATGATCTGGCTTTTTGCGGAAAACGCTTGCCAACCCTTGCTCTGAGCCTTGGTAGCATCATCCCCTTTTAAGGCTGGTGGGAAAATAGAATAACATTGTTTCCATTGTTTCAGGAGCCTTCTAGCAGAGTATATTGATTGTATTTATAGATTCCTATTGATTTTTGTTGTTACTTTAATCTGTGTTTGTGTGAAGGGCCTGGAATAATTGTTGTACATTGTCAAGGTACATTCTAAATAGCATCTGGAAAATCTCTCATGACTGATTTTGGTAAAGAAGCTTTAATTTCTAAATTGCTTTTGAACTTTTCCATCTGAAAGTGGGAGCTGAAGGAGAAGCAAGGAATAGGTAAATAGCAGCCTTTGGCCCCGCACTACTTTGTGAGCCACCCTTGGGATTAACGAGATAATGTACAGGCAGCATTTTGTGCTTGTCAAGGAAAGGTACTACATAAATATAAGACATTATTATTAGTAACACAGAGAAGGCCTTGAGGAAACGATCTTCATTTCTGACTCACAGAATAATAGGTTTCTACAAAAATAATTAAGATCTGATGATTAAATGTATGCTTGTAATGGGGTCAAAGTAGCAAGGGTTTAGGAACAAGGTAATCTTGGAGTAATGAGAGAGACCACTGTGATTTCAAGATATACAAATCTATCCGGATTAAAAAAGACAGGCAATAATTTTCTGCTCTCTTGACACAATGTAAGATTTGATGCTGCAAGAATAACTGTGATTATTGGTCAGAAATCACTTTGGGATCCACCTCTTTTAAAGGGTTGGCATTACACCACCTGACCAACACTGAGGTTCTCCAGGAACTAGGGGATGTGAATGTGTGATGCAGAAATGCTCCTGGACTTTTCCCTCTTCCCTGCTAGGTCTTCTTCTTCCCAGAGATGTTCCTGGGTTCTAGTTGGGGGTTCTCCTTAGAGCAGAGGCTGGGACAAGAACTTTGGTGCAGGCAGTTTATTTGGGAGGTGCTCCTCAGAAATAATAGTGAGAGATCAGTAAGCATAGACAACTAAGAGGAAAAGTCAGCCAAAGGTGTATTATTGAGCTGGGTAACCTGCAGGCCACTGGGGCTCTATCTGCTGGGGACCCTCTGAGGCGCTGTGTGGAATAAGCCTCAGACCGTCCTTCTGAAGGAGGCTGGAATTAGTAAACTCATTACATCATAAAAAGAGCCATTGCCAGGTTTTGAGGTCACATGTGCTAGGTCATTTGCCTAAGATGTTTTGTTTAATTCTGAAAACAATTGAGAAAGGTATCTTTAGTCACATTGTACAGACAGGAAACTGAGGATTTTATTATAAATGTTATAAAGTCACTTAGTAAGTGTTAGGATGCTGATCCAGGTCTGCCTAACAGCAAACCTCATGCTGTTTCCTCAATGCTATGTAAGGATGTAACTGCCCAATGGGTTCATCTTGTCCACTGCCCAGATAGAGCCAATTTATCAAGAGAGGGGAATTGCAACAGAGAAAGAGTTTAATACTGTACACCCAGCTAAATGGGAGACCAGAGTTTTATTATTACTCACATCAGCCTCCCTGAAAATTCAGAGGCTAGAGTTCTTAGAAGATAGTTTGGTGGGCATGGGGCTAGGGAATGGAGAATGTTGATTAGTTGGATCAAGGATGAAATCATAGGGAGTCAAAGCTGTCCCCTTGTGCTGAATCAGTTCCTGGGTGGGAGCTACAAAACCAGATGAGCAAGTTTACTTGCCTGGGTGGTGCCCAGAGGCATCAGAATGCAGGGTCTGAAAAAAATACCTCAAACACCAATCTTAGGTTTTACAATGCTAATGTTCTCTATAGGAACAATTGGGCAGGTTAGGAATCTTGTAGCCTCTGGCTGCATTACTCCTGAGCTGTAATTTGTAATCTTATAGCTAACTTGTTGGTTTGACAAGGGCAGTCTTCTCCTCAAGGGAGAAGGGAGTTTGTTTTGGCGACTGTTATCACCTTTGTTTAAAAGTCAAACTACAGATTAGATTCCTCCCAAAGTTAGTTCAGCCTGTGCTCAGGAATGAACCAAGGGCAGCTTGGTGGTTAAAGGCAAGATACAGTCAGTTAGGTCAGCAATCTTTCACTGTCATAATTTTCCCACTGTAATAATCTTTGCAACAGCAGTTTCAAGAATACAGCCTCTTTCTCTGTTGGTATATTTTAAAATTATAAATGGTTTCTGATTTGTAATGTTGGAAGGATAAGTATGTGATGGGAGATGCTGCTGCAGTAACGGAGAATTCCTCAAATCTCAGTAGTTGAACCACTCCTTACTTCTCTGATGACGTGCGCATGCAGGTGATGAGGTGGCTCTGTGTTGGTGCAATCCTCACCTGGGGATCTAGGCTGATGGAGCAGCCACTGTCTGGCAGTGCTGGCTCTAGGCTGAGACAGGTGAGGTATCTGTGGCATCCACTCTCAGTGTTGTGCAAGCGCTAACCTTGAATTCACATGACCTTGGGAGTGAACGCCTCCTTCAAATTTGTACCACAGATGCCTCATTTAACCTAGTCAGATCCTTGCCATTGGGACTGCATATAGCAGAGGGAAGAGGGCCTGGTGAAGCAGCCTCTTAAAGCTTTCACCCAGAGTGACATGATTTTTCTGTTCACATTTTATTGGAAAAGCAGGAAGGATGCTGGATTTTGGTGAGCAGTAGTAGAGTCTCCCAGAATAGGTTTGATTTAATTAGCTTTTACAAGCCTCCTCCTTGTCTTGTTAACAGGTTAACAAGTTTAAGCTATTCAGCAGATCATCAAGGCTTGGAATATATTTAATTCAAATGTTGATTTTCCTATGTGGTCTCATGAACATTCAGAATAAACAAGTGCTGCAGCTGAAGCTTCCTATATCTGAGTATTAAAAGTAGAGTCGCAAGGAGAGTGCTCTGTAAAGATTTCCACCCCATAATCAGCCATGCAAAACTAACCTTGAGATTTAGTCATTTTCTAGATAGCCTGGGAGACAGAAGAAACAAACAGGCAGTTGTTATCCAAAGATTTCCTCTTGAATGTGTAATAAGAGCCATTGGCTATAGGCAAAGTTTGATGAAATCACAGTGTGGTGAGGGTGGGGGGACTTGTTTACTAGTAGTTGCCTTCTTCAGCATGTGGTCCAGCAAATTCTTTTGTTGTGGACTGCATTTTCTCTGTGAGCTGAAAAAGACAACTAGAGTAAATGTAAAAGAAACATTAACCATTGACACACACACACACTTCAAAGAGGGACTATGAAAAGAAAAATGGCTTAGTTCAAACAATTGCAAAGCTGGCAGTAGAAGTTAGATTTTCATGTCCACTTTGCCCTGTACATAAGTCCAAAGAACCCAGATCTTCTACCAAAATTGTACTCTTGTCTTGGGGACAAGTTCTAGCAGTGGAGAATGCTGGGTTATGGTCACAACTAGATTTAGGTGTTGGGAGAAAGGATAGGGTGTTAGGAGAAAGGGAATCACATCATGGTGAAAACCTGTTGCATCCTTATATTTTTGTCCACTCTAGCAAGAACACATTGTGTAACTGTGGGCAGGTCATTTAACTTTGTTGGACGCCAGTAGAATGAAACCAGGAGCACGTCATTTAACCCTGTTTTCTTCAACGGTAAGATGAGACTGGAGAAGATTCTTGCTCTAAATTTGGCAAAGTAAATAAAGGAAGAGATTATTGTCAGCTCAGAGAGATAGCAGGATGTTAAAATTTCTTTTTTAGGCTGGAAGAGACTTTAGAAATTTATACTTTGAGAGAAGGAGTCAGTTGAGAGAGATACTGAGGGTGCAGGAGAAAGAGGATTTCTACCATTTAAAGGTTGTGAAAGAGATGGGAGCAGGCTGGGTGTGGTGGCTCACACCTGTAATCCCAGCACTTTGGGAGGCCAAAGCAGGCAGATCACCTGAGGTCGAGATTTCGAGACCAACCTGACCAACATGGAGAAACCTTGTCTCTACTAAAAATACAAAATTAGCCGGGCGTGGTAGCACATGCATGTAATCCCAGCTATTCTAGAGGCTGAGGCAGGAGAATTGCTTGAACCTGAGAGGCAGAGGTTTCAGTGAGCCAAGATCTCGCCATTGCACTCCAGCCTGGGCAACAAGAGTGAAACTCTGTCTCAAAAAAAATAAAAAATAAAAAAATAAAAAAGGAGGTGGGAGCGAGTGGTAAAAAGAGGATAGAAGACTCCATCCTGAATAGGGATGCTTTTCCCTCTAAGACAGACTGGAATGATGAGTGGAGATCCTGTGATTGTTTTTGTGATTTTTTTTTTAAGGTAGTGAAGAGGGCGAGGTAGCATCAACAAGATGAAAAGCCTCGGCCGGGCGCGGTGGCTCACGCCTGTAATCCCAGCACTTTGGGAGGCCGAGGCGGGTGGATCATGAGGTCAGGAGATCGAGACCATCCTGGCTAACAAGGTGAAACCCCGTCTCTACTAAAAATACAAAAAATTAGCCGGGCGCGGTGGCGGGCGCCTGTAGTCCCAGCTACTCGGGAGGCTGAGGCAGGAGAATGGCGTGAACCCGGGAAGCAGAGCTTGCAGTGAGCCGAGATTGCGCCACTGCAGTCCGCAGTCCGGCCTGGGCGACAGAGCGAGACTCCGTCTCAAAAAAAAAAAAAAAAAAGAAAAGCCTCTTTCCAGCTAGGCCATCTTCCTAGAATGTGTGGGCGGGGAGGGGAGATGGATATACTGAAGGGTAGAGAAAAGGTTTGGAACAAATGTGTGAGGAATAGAAACATTTTGGAGTCCAGGAAGAACTCGAAGTTAAACAGCAGAAATTGTAGCAGACCCAGTTGGCATGGCGTGTTTTTCATTATTTGACACACCAGGACCAGGGATGAGGACATCTAAATGTAAGACTGGGTCATCTTGGAATGATTTCCCTTGGCAACTTGGCTTAGGAGAAAAACAGAAGAGTTTGAAGTTTCCTGTGGTCTCTTGTGAGAGCAGAGAGCGTTCTTTGGGCACAAGAGTGTGGGAAAGATGGAAAGGAAGTTTTGGACACTCAGAGAACACTGAGGGTAAAACAGTGCTCAATAAAGATGAGGCCCTAAAGATACTAAGACCTGTGAGTGATTGAAATGGAGCAGGAATTGCACTATCTTTTTGAGAAGATGGAGGAAGAGGGGAACAGAGTGCTGGATTGTGAGTTTATTAGGATAGGGCCAAAGGTCCTCTTTATTTTGGTATCCCAGACCTTAGCATGTTGTCAGGCACATAGTGGATGCTTAATAAATCCCTGCTGAAATAAATTAAGCTGAATATTATCCAGGATGATGGCAGAAGATGAAGACAGAAAGCAAATTCTGAAATTACTGGGCTGTAGACAAGGTTGGCATGTGCAGGTCTTGTCTAATGCAGAGGAGGTGACCTAGTTTATCTTGCCAAGCACCCCGTCAAGGGCTTTCCCTTCCTTTCTCTATGACTGACTTCACAAATAAGAGGTAATTTCCCTAACTGTTGCCAGCTGTGCCTCCCACTTCTATAGGATGGGTTTCTGCTTATCATCCTAATACAAAATTATATTCTCCTGCTTGCCAGTATGAATGCATTTTATGGGAATGGCTTTGACTACATTCTTGATAAAAGAGTGATTCCTAGGGATTCAGTAAATACAATATCGAGAAAATGAAACAGAAATGAGAACCTAGGTAACTTGTATTAGAGATGGGGTAGTTTATTTGTGGATTGCTGAATTTTGAAAGATAGCCAGGAAAGAAAAAATAAATCAAACAGCCAGCACTGCTAAATGTAGGTTTTTTTCTCATTTATTTTGCCAAGTGTGGATGGTTGTTAATTATATAGTTATGATAATACTTCGCAGCTTACTTATGATTGTCCTGAAGCATGTTTTCTAAATGTAGTAAAGTCCGGACTGCATGGGGCCCTCTGGCTCCATTAGTCTGCCATTAAGTTTTATCTGATAAGTGGTTTAAGTTTGCTATGGAGTTTGTGGATTAATTATATTCAGGTGGATTAAGCTGGGTTCCAATGATAAAACTAAAATACTAGAGAGACAGTCTTAATGTTTATAAGGTTCTATAAAGTTTCTACCTTTACTACATGCATATGAATAATGCATTTGATCATCAAAAAGAATGACTTAGGGGTTGAGTTCTGAGTTCCTTTGGACTGTAAACATCAGGGCAGCCCTTGTATTTCCAGCTTGGGAATCAGATGTTCTATGGTTAACTTGTAACCTATGTCGTCAACATCTTTCTTACTCTCCTATTTCCAGACTAGAGAATTGTTATGTTGTTGTACTCAAACTTCTGTGTATTAAGACAGAACTAAGTTTAACCATTACCTAGCATTAATGTTGGGTCAGATCAAATGAGCTATTTATGGCTTTGGGGTATAGATCGTCAGATGTTAAGCAGATGGAACAGGGAGAAAAACTGGCTTGTTGATGACTATGGCTAAAAATAGTGGATTTGGAAATATCAGCATAGGGGGTATATTTTCCAACTTGGAAATTCTGGATCTATTCACATAATATTAGAAAAAAAATGTGTGCAGTATTTTGGTTGGTTTGCTTTTGTTTTTGGCTGCCCAGGCAAATAAAAAATTGAGTTGTAATGACTTGCAGATAAAAGTCACTGTTGCTTAGGAATTGTTGAGACTTTAGGGGGAAGGAGGGCCTCAGTAATTTTTGTTTTAATTTTGTCTAAAGACACAGGGAGCAAATTACATCTCTGTAATGGTTCATTTCCTAGAAGTAGTTATTTCCCCAAGGCTTACTTTCCCCTTGTCCTTTTGAACTTTAAGCCTTTAAAGCCTTTAGCCCAGCACTTAGAAACTTGTCATTGCAATTCTTTGGCTATCATTTCTTGCCTGTAAACCCAGCTTTCCTCTCATTAGGAATTCAGTGTTCTTGCTAGGATGTTTATCCATAGAGAGAAGTATTGAGTGAAGCTGTCAGCTCATTAGCAGTGGGGCATGTGATTTAGACTTGATAGGTTTACTGTGAAATTCAGGAGGGCTGAATTAGGAGCCCTTGCCAGGCAGCTTTTGCTGCCTTTATGTTCCCCACCAGAACAGTTTGGGTTTGAATAATACTTTGCTTGTGGTTAAAACTCTGTGCAGCCTCTTTTAGTTGTTGTTGTTATTGTGGTAAGAACACTTAACATGAGATCTACCCTCTCATTTTTTGAAAGGAAGTATGAGGGAGACAAAAAAAAGGGACCTGAACGGTTCAGTTTGAGACTTTTAAGATTGATTTTAGCTTAACAAGAAACTCCAGGACCCAGGTCAAGGCAACATGCTTGCAGACATCCGCTACCTGAATGCAGTGGATGAGGTAGGGTCCCATTTCTGCGGCGCGTAATCTCCTCCTTTATGTTCACCAGTACTTCTTGGCTCTTTTATTTCTTTGTTCCTGCCTCTACCTAATCTTTCCTTTCCTTTTCTGCCCCTGACTTTCGGCCTTAGCATCTTTGTCCTTTTCCAGACATGGTGTGCACACATGTACGTGTGTGTGTGTGTGTGTGTGTGTGTGTTGTTTTGTTTTGTTTTTGTCTGCATGGCCTTCCCAAAGACCAACAATTTTGTGGTTTCCATGTGGATAACTTCTTTTGGCTGTACTGCCCTATGAGGCATGGCCAGATTGTTCTGCACTGATATTAATTTTTATTAAGCATCTACTATATGCCAAACATTGTACCAAGTGCTGCATACATATAATATTTAATTTGTGGTAGGACAAAGTAATAATAACAGTAACACATATAGCCCTTACTACATACTTACCAGCCCTTACAGACACTGTGCTATACATCTTCTATAAACTTATTTTATATTCACAGCGATCTTATGAGGGTTACATCATTCAGGGTCTCTCCGGGAGACGTAAACCATACCTTTTTAAAGTTTTATTGAGGTGTGATTTATATACTCAAAAATTTGTTCATTAAAATTGTACAATTCAATGAGTTTTAGTAAATTTATAGAGTTGTAATATGATCACCATAATCCAGTTTTAGGACATTACCATCAACCCCCCCAAAATTCTCTTGAGTCTGTGTGCACTCAGTAGTTGCTTGAGGCCAAGTTCCACCTCTAGCCTCATGCAACCACTGATCTGCTTTATATCTCCACAAATTTACCTTTTCTGGATATTTTATATAAATGGAATCCTACAATATGTGGCCTTTTGCACTTGGCATCTTTCACTAATATAATGCTTTTAAGCACCGTACATGTTGTTGAATGTATCCAAAGTTTGTTTCTTTTCATTACTGAATAGAATTTTTATTGTATAAACACAGCATATTTTGTTTATGATTCTCCCAGTTGATGGCTGTTTGAATTCTTCCAGTTTTGACTGTTATCAATAATGTTTGTATTTCTTTTGAATAGATTTCTAAGACTGGAATTATTGGGTTGTATGGTACATTTATGTTTAACTTTTAAAGAAACTCCTAAACTATTTTCTGGAGTGGGTGTACAATTTTACATTCTCATGAGCAATGTCACAGAGTTCGTTTCTTCATATCCTTGCCCACACTTGGTATTATCTGTTCTTTTGATTATAGCAGTACTTGTAGGTTTGCAGTGGTATCCCATTGTGGTGTAAATTTGCATTTCCTAAGTGAATAATGATGTTGAGCAACTCTTCATGTGCTTATTAGCCATTCACATCTTAGTTGGTAAATTTCTATTCAAGTATTTGCTTGTTTGGCTTATTTTTGAGTTATAAGAGTTTTTAAAATATTCTAAATATAAGTCATTTATGAAAGATGTAATTTGCAAATGTTTTCTCCCAAGTTATAGCTGGTCTTTTCACACATCAATTAATTTAACAAAAATAATGTGATATAAAGAATATTAATTGTGTTAATATACATGTTAGCCATGTATTGAATAACTGAAAAGGCCAGAAAAGAACACAAATGTTTCACAGAGGTAGCCAGTGTAGGAAGCAGATAAAACCTCTAAGGATGGAGGAACAAAGGAAGAGGTTGAAATGATAAAATTTAGAAGCTTGGAGAAGGAACTAAAACTTGGTCCCCTGAGGAGAGGCTGCTGCCAGCTGGTGCTGGTGTCTCTGAGGAGGTGCAAAGAGCCTGGTTCTGAGAGTGTAGGAAAAACTGCAAGCTGGAATGAACTACTGCTACTGGAACTTGCTGCACCGACTGGATAAGGAAGAGAGGTTGGGGAGACTGATGGGAAGATCGAGTGTCCTTTTTTCCTCTTTCAGTCTTCCAGGCTCCCTCTAGCACCACCGCCCTCCCCTTTCCATACCACTGGCAGAACCAAAAAGAGAGCAGGGTGGCAAAGCAGAAATGTGACTTCCAGAGTCCCAGCCCCAGCATCGAAAAAGAGAGTACTGGAGGGGTGGGTTTGAAGCTAAGAAACAATAGTTTAATAACGTGCACAGGTAGGTGCTACTATTATCCCCATTTTAAAGATGAGGATAGGGCCGGATGTGGTGGCTCACGCCTGTAATCCCAGCACTTTGGGTGGCCAATGCTGGTGGATCGCCCGTGGTCAGAGTTCGAGACCAGCCTGGCCAACATGGTGAAACCCGTCTCTACTAAAAATACAAAAAATTAGCTGGGTGTGGTGGCGGGCGCCTGTAATCCCAGCTACTCAGGAGGCTGAGGTGGGAGAATTGCTTGAACCTGGGAGGCGGAGGTTGCAGTGAGCTGAGATGGCACCACTGCATTCCAGCCTGGGCAACCAGAGCAAAACTCCATCTCAAAAAAAGATGAGGATATTGAGGCAGAGAAAAGTTATGTAACTTTCTTAAGCTATTAAAGCTAATAAGTAACAGAGCTGAGATCTGAACTTGCACATATGGCTCTGGAGCCCATTTTCTTAAACTGCAACACTATTCCACCTCACTATCCAACATATATTGTAATAAATGCATGGTTTGCCAGCAAAGCCCTTCCTGTTTTGAACTCCTGGATCTCCTGTGGTCCTGTGGTCTGATTAGCTGATAAAAAGCTACGATTGTTTTTCTGAATTCTTGAGAGCATAGACTCTACTTAGATAGTTTCCAAGCCGTGGTTGCTCCAGTCTTCAAAAGAAACCAACCCAGCTGTTTTATTTTATTTTTAATTAAAAAAAATTAATCTTGTCTCCCATTTTCATCTCTCCACTTCTTACAACATCAAAATGGTTAACTGGCAAGGACACGTGGTTTATCTCCCCCAGTGTTACCCATGAAAAGTGTTACTTATGTTTCTCCTCTAGTTGGCATTAGAGGAGAAACATTTGGATATAGTTCTCTCATGGCAACAGGCTAATTCACGTGCAATCCCATGATTCTGTGGTTTGTTTTTCTGGTTGTATTATCTCATTCCTACTTTTTAGATTGCTTTCTAGTCCTCTGAGTTTCAGAATATAGCTCACTGTTTTCACTTCGGACTGAAACTTTATGCTTTCATTGCTTAACTTGCAAATTCTGGAGTAGTGATATTACCATGACTTTCCTCAACTGAGAAATTAGGCAAATTTTCTTTTTTTTTTTATATGAGTCACAATGTAAATGTTATACATGCATAATCAGTTCAATAGGCTATGTGGTCCTCTTATGCTTAGAATTCAAAAGTGACATTTTAGGATACTTTTAACAATATAGGTACATAATTTTGCATAGACAATTTTGCAACAGAATAAAGTGAGCTGTCTGGAATATGCACATAGCATAGGAGTGTTTCCCCATTCCACAAATAGACATGTATGAGATACATATTTTCCCTGGCAGATTTATTCACACCAAAGTCTGGAGCAGAATTTTCTCGCTGCTAGTTGAGAACATCAGAGAGGATAACATTTTTTGATGGATGGATTGCTAACGGCCAGTTAATTAGTATTTCGTTTCCATGAAAGTTACAGTCCATTTAAGAATAACGTGGTCCTTTTGGAACCATTGCCTTTTTGGTGATAATTTGTTACTGTTCCAAACAGTCATTAGAAACAGTACAAATGCAGCCAGAGTAGTTGGGAGCTAAATATGACTTTCTTCCTGTAGCTGGAGGTGCTCATGTATCCACCCACAATATTGAAATCCAGCCTTGCGCAGCCTGGAGGTAATGAGGAAACTACTTTTTCCATGTATACGTTACCTTTTAGGCTCTTGTCCTTTTCCAGTCAGGGAGCCTGTGAAATGGAAATGCAGGGTTGCAGTTTAAAATATATAAGTTGATTTGGGACCAACAGGAGCAGTGAATCTAATGCTTGAATCTAAATATTAGTATGGTTCTTGATTGGTCTGTGATTTCCATGTTTCCAGAATGCTGTTCATATCCTATTATATTTAGGATACGCTGGTTGTGATTGGTTTTGAGGCAGTTATTGGTCTACAAACTCAGTGTGCCGTTTGATACACTGAGGAGGCAATATGCTGTGGAGGAGAAGCTCTGATCCTCAAAAGAAAAGGTCTAATGGTTAACATATGAGCTCCACCATTCAGTACCTGGTGAGATCTTGGACAAGTAACTTTATGTCACAGAATCTCAGGGTCTTCATTTGTAAAATAGGAGTGATAATACAGTATTGTGAGATCCAAGTAAGATATGAAGGTGGTTTGTGAATTTTTAAGTATTACAAGAGATGTCGTTATAAATATCCTTGTATGGTGATTTGTAAATGTTGGGGCAAAGGGCAATATACAGGTTGCTGTGTTATTCGTTGGTTTGCTTTGGAAATGTTCTCTTGTGATTTTCTTATACATTGTCCAGTGAATGGGTGGATCATGAATTAATCAGAATAAAACACCATGTTTCTCATTGATCATACTTCTGAGTAAAGGAAAATGTCTATGGCTTAAACATGCTTTCCCAAAGTTTTCCTGAGAGCTTCTTTACAAAAAAAAAAAGCAGTTCCCTGGGCAAATAAGTTTGTGAAATGCTGCATGCACTATTTTCTGCTAGAGATTCATAACACATATTAGCATATTACAGGTTCTGAGAAATCCCACAATAATTCTGGTGAACTTTGTTAATCCAACATTTCATATTTATTTGACTATTAAGACCTTTCTCCCCTGTGACATCTAATGTAATAATGTATCCCTTTGGTATATTCTGCTTTAAGCCAATTTTTCAAGACGAGGTGCCTGAATTTTAATTGGAAAAGATATAAAAGAAAATAATAGTCTTTCTTATATGCAGAGTAGCAGCCACATTTCAAGAAAAATTGTGAAATAAATGAAATGAATGTTTAGTTGGATGAACTTAGGAAACATTTGGTTCAAAGTATTACGTATGTTTTAAATATTTTTAAAGTTATTTTTGCTTTCTACTTATTGATGGTCACTGTGCTATAACCTGCCATCCCTTCAACTCCTCTTGACTAAAAGACTCAAACTCTGTAAAATATTTTAAGAGATGTATTCTGAGCCAAATATGAGCCCTCAAGAGGTCCTGGGAACATGGGCCCAAGGTGGTCGGGGTACAGTTTTGGTTTTATACATTTTAGGAAGCCGTGAGACAACAGTCAAATACATTTAAGAAATACATTGGTTTGGTTCAGAAAGGCGGGAAAAACTCAAAGGCAGGTGGGAGGTGGGAGGGTGGGCAGTTCTATGGTGGCTGCCCTTAGAGGTGATAGATGACAGATGTTTCCTATTCAGATCTTTAAAAGAAGCTAGACTTTTAATTAATCTCTTTAGGTTTGGGAGGGCCTGGAAGAAAAAGATCTAGCTATGTTAATAGAGATTCTTTACAGATGCTGATTTTCCCCCATAGAGGATGGCTTTGCAGGATCATTTCAAGATATGGCAAAAACAAAAACAAAAAAACATGTTTTGGGGTAAAATATTTTGATTTTCTTCCTTGTCTCATAATGTTATGCCAGAGTCAGGTTGGAAAGTAAGTCACGATACATAGGGCTAAATAAAACCCGTCTGATGAGGATTTATAGTTTGTAGGGCATGACTCCTCAGACCCCTTAGATAGGAATTTGAGCAAGATAAAAAAATCAGAGCTTAGTCCTCACTACCAAGCTGGGAATAAACATGTTTTCAATATTTGTTGATTTAGAGAGTAATTCTATTATCTATCTATCTATCTATATATGTGTGTGTGTGTGTGTGTGTGTGTGTGTGTGTATACATATATATTTTTTTTAAGACAGAATCTTGCTCTGTCACCAGGCTGGAGTACAATGGCGTGATCTTGGCTCACTGCAACCTCCACCTCCTGGGTTCAAGCGATTCTCCTGCCTCAGCCTCCCGAGTAGCTGGGACTACAGGCATGCACCACCACGCCCAACTAATTTTTGTATTTTTAGTAGAGACGGGGTTTCACCGTGTTGGCCAGAATGGTCTCAATCTCTTGACCTTATGATCTGCCCTCTTCGGCCTCCCAAAGTGCTGGGATTACAGGTGAGAGCCACTGCACCCAGCCTCTATATATGTATATTAAAGTTTCCTTGTAGGCTAGAAATGGAGCACGGGTGGGAGACACATGAAAAATGGAAATTAAGACACAGCACCATAAGTACTATGTGGGGGTTGCCTGGGGTGTTAGAAACACGTGGAACCCTGCCTTGATCTAATGGGATAGTTTTGGTACCAAACTCTCTGTGGTTGGCATCAAAGGGACCAATGTTATGTGAATGATTCTGGAACCTACTAGAAGTGTGAGTTCCTCCACCAGAGTGTAAGCTTTTTAGGGCAGGCTTTATGTGTTTTTGTGTCCTTAGGTCCTAGCACAGTGCAAGGCACATGGCAAGCATGGAATTATTATTTTTGAATGTTTAGTGAAGTAGTAGAATTGGCAGCAGAATGGTCTGACTTCCTCTGTCATTTAGATCATGTTTCTTTGCCTTAGCAACACTATTTGCTTCGAGCAATAAATATCAAGTGTCAGTATATTTTCATTTCAATTTGTAATGAATTTTATCTGTAGAAATAATAATACAGGCCAGGCACGGTGGCTTACCCCTGTAATCCCAACACTTTGGGAGGCCAAGGCGGGCGGATCACTTGAGGTCAGGAATTTGAGACCAGCCTGGCCAACATGGTGAAACCCCGTCTCTACTGAAAATACAAAAATTAGCTGGGTGTGGTGGTGTGCACCTGTAGTCCCAGCTACACCGGGGGTGAGGCAGGAGAATCACTTGAACCTGGGAAGCAGAGGTTGCAGTGAGCTGAGATCACACCACTGCACTCTAGCCTGGGTGACAGAATGGGATTCCATCTAAAAAATGAAAAATAACAACAAAAAAGAAATAATAATATAAAGAAAAATGAAAACAATAAACATTTAACATGGTAAAATTTGGTGTGTTTGGCAAACTAGTTGTAACATAAAATCTGTTTGGCAAAATTGAAAGCTGTAAGCACATTAAGATATTAGAGGTTCTGAAAAGAATTGGACTTGACGGGAAAAATTACACCTGGGAAAAACTGGACTTGATGAAAAGTAATCAAAATAGTATAAAGCTAACAAGGCTCAAAATTACACATGATTAAATTTCTTATTGGCTAAGAATTTACAGAAGATTGAAATGTTCGTAACATTTAGATTTGCACAGTTCAACCCTAGAAAAAAATTAATGAATTTGGTAGAGACAATGGGTGCAAAGGAAACCTCACAAACACTATCCTGGATTCTTTACCTAACTAAAGGGTTTCTGAAGGTGAATCTGCCTGGGCTACTATTTCTCTTTATTTTCCAAAGAAGGCATTATTACAGTTCTCTAGCATCATGTCTTTCTTACCTATTAATGTTCTATATGAAACGGTTTTGCATTAATCTTTTCCCCAGCTCACTGTTTCCTAATGTGCTTCAGCATTGTCTGGAATATTTGCTAAAAATCCAGATGCCTGGGTTCTACCTTTAGACTACTAAATCTGATCTATAGGGCTTGGGCTAGGATTTGTATCTTTATGGCACATTAGGTTATCCTTATGCAGGTTGAAATTTGGGAACTACTGGGTAATATGTAGGATTCATGCCTTTAAAAAATCTACTGATATTGGATGTGGGGAAGAACATGAACAATACTGTTGGTGGCAAGATGCAAGGTTAGCACAAAATCATCCATTCATTAATTTACCAAATCATTTACCACAGTTTGTGGGCACTTTTTGTGCCAGGTTCTGTCCTAGATGCTGGGGAGTATAGTGGTCAACAAAGACAAGATCCTGTCCTCACTAAGTTTACATTTTGGTGTGAAAGATTAAGTACAAGTAAAAAAGTATTTTCAGGTAGTGATAATTTCAATAAATAAAGGGTAGAGAAGTTGTTATATAGGATGTTTCAGTGTGTCATAAAATGCCAAGAGACCACAAGAAAGGAGATGCTAGATAAAATCTCTGAGGTGATTCATGTCCCCAGTAGGGGTGAGGGTCACAATGGGAATTTTCTCCTTTCCATTCTCCTGATAATGTCCCTGCTACTTTTTATGGAATGTAGGTTTTCAGGATGATAAGATGGGCCTGAACTGGCAGGGAGTTGTGAAAAGTTGCATCTTGAGAAGGAATTTTCACTCTATGAAAGCTTTTATCAAAATATACTCCTTGGGTGGACATCAAGAAGCTAATACAGTTGTGAAGTGTATTACACTTCACGGGCCAGGCTCTATTACTCTGGGCTGGGAGCAAGCCTTGGCGACACTCCTCCTTGCCCTTGCCAGAATATGTTGGTGAATCAAGTTATGACAGTCATTTTACCAATAATATTTACACCTCCCAAATTGACTTTTTTTTCTGGAAAATAATGTAGCTTTTTTTCCTGGAAAGTTCTAGGAGTCTTGCAAAGCAAATTAGCATTGTTGCTGCTACATAGTATCCCTGGGTTATGACTTTAATATTTTTATGCATGATTTACAATGAAGCTCAGTTTTGTTGGAAATTTTGCTAAGTAAGGACAAAAAGGTAACATCGCAAATTGGCTACATTTTCCCAAATATTTGGATAATGTCCAGTCCCAACTAACTCCATTAGGTCTGCAGGAAGGTCCAAAATATCTCTGTTCTTGTGGGTGGCAGGGGACTGGATGCATTCTGACATCTTGTAAAGTTCCATGCCTTGTTTCATCACAGGATGGAAGGATAGAATTTGCTGATTCATTTGCCATCCTCACAGGTGCCTGGTTTAAACCATCCCTAGGAAAGGTGACTGAGAGAGAAATGCATCATGGTGCTATAAAACACTGAATACCTCTTGCAAAACAAACTTAACTGTTAAAATGTCTTTTATTTTCCCTGCTTATTTGTTACTCAAGAGAGATACAGCCCTATTCTTCACAGGAAAAGAAGAGAAACCAGGTTTCAATGTATCACAAAAGCACACATAAGTAGGAGGAAAAGGAAGAGTTTAAGGAAAGGAGCATTTCAAAGTGAATGCTTGGAAAAGCATCTCTCCATTATATTATCTTTTTATTCTTTGGAATCAAGTCTTAAGGAAATGACAGAGTCTTTTGCTTAGAGTACTTAAAACCATCTAGAGCAGAGGACAGTATTGGCTTTGCTGAAGAATTTACTTGCACCTGTGAGGAGCTGGCTCAATTAATGTAAGTTGACTCTCACCATTTTCTGTGACAGTTGGCAAAACAGTGACTGCTTCACTTTTCACTCCTATCCCCACCTCAAATCATCACAGTATCTGCTCAGCATTACATAACCCCTGGGAAGGACAAATCTGCATATTTTAAAAAATGAATAATGCATCCTAAATTTTCCCATGTATTCTCAATAATAATAACTAAGCTTTTATTTGTCTTTAAGTTAGAAATCTAGAGTTTGCTTGCCTGTGGCTTCTTCAATTATTGTACAAATTCTACCTCGTGAAAATAAAATGGATGCAGCACTGCACTAGAATTTTGAACTCTTCCAAATGAAACTTTCTTTCTACCTATTCTTTTTTAAAAAACAAAAAACAAAAAACAGCTCTCTTGAGGTAGAATTTATATACAAGAAAAGGCATCCAGTTCAAATGTACAGTTTATAGAGTTTTATTTCATTTTTTCAATTTTTAATTTTTGTGGGTACCTAGTAGGTGTATGTATTTATGAGGTACATGAGGTACCTTAATACAGGTATACAATATTTCTAGCACCCCTAACACTTCCCTCCTGCCTTTTTGCAGTTATCCCCTCATGCCTGACCTCAGGCGACTTCTGTCATTAGAGATGAGTTTGCTTTTTCTAAAATTTCAGAGAAATGAACTATGGTGTATGTAGCGTTAAGCTTTTTTGGCAGAGCACGCTTTTCAGATTTATTGAAGCTGTTGTTTTTATTAGTTCATTTCTCTTCATTACTAAATAGTATTCCATTTTGTGGATGTACTATATTTATTCACCTGTTGATGGCATTTCTGTTGTTTCCAGGTTTGAGCTATTATGAATAAAGCTGCTGTGAGTACTCATGTACAGGTCTTTCTGTTGCAACATATTTTTACTTTTCTTGGGTAAACACATAAGAGTAGAATTTCCTGGACATATGATAAGTGCATGTTTTAACTGTTTTCCAGATGGTTGTACTGTATGAGAGTTCCACTTTCTCTGCATCTTTGTTCACATTTGGTATTGTTTTTCCTTTGATTGTAGACATTCCATGGGTGTACTGCAGTATCTCATGTTAATTTGCATTTGTCTTATGACTAGTGATGATGTTAAGCATCTTTTTAATGTACTTACTGGCCACTAGTATATCTTCTTCAGTGAAGTGTCTTTTCAACTCTTTTGTAAGAGTTATGCATAAAAGTTCTTCATATATTCTTGATACTAGTCCATTGATAAATACATAGATCTGGATATTTTCCCCTAGTCTGTGATTTGCCTTTTCATTTTTTAAATAGAGTCTTTCAAAGAGTTCAACTTATCATTTTTTTCTTTTATTCCTTGGATTTAATTTATTCCTAATTCTCCCAACACATCATCCAATGCATTGCTCCCAAATTCTGAAATCGGGGACCCATCATATAAGGTGAGAGTTCTGACTTTCATTTTATAAACTTAGCACAGAAGTTTTGAAAGAAATATTGCCAGATGGCCCGAAGATACAGACTTCGCTGTTTCCTGCCAACTTCAGCCTAACCAGGTCCACTTCTAGGGCAAGCTTGGAAGTCTAGATTGATTGGCAGATCCCTGGTACCGTTTCAGGACGGAGTCAAATCTCCAAATTGGTCTCCCAGGGAATTAGAGGTAATTTGGGGGAACAGTCTGCACTTCTTGGGCCTCCCTCGGCACAGATCAGCCTGAGCCAGAGGAAACTAACTGCCAACATTGGGAATTTCCCTTGTAAGATTGTAAGTCTGCCTCTTCATTTTTTGTGTTTTCTTGAACATGAAAATGGAGTCTGCCCCTTACTCCAAGAGGCTAGTAATGGGGTCTCTTAAGGATAATGATGCATTGAGAGAAGTAGTGTCTGAAATAATAAAGTATGTCTTAACAAATATTGGACAAGTCAATTATTTAAATTGTTCCAAGCTGGCAATAAGGAGCAGGATGTCTGAGGAGGAGGGTGGTACAATAGACACATTGGCTGATGGACTTTTTTGTAGGTGCATCAGTCAATGCTCCTAGGGCAAGATGTAAGAAAAAAGAAAACCAACATGAAGTTTCACGGAAATGTGGAGAAAAGATTTCACCTTTAGGGTAAAGAGAGATGGAGGGAAAGGACTTCTCAGCACAGCCACAGCTCTGCTATACAGAGGAAGCAATGGATGTGGCTGGAGCCACAGCCTGGGACCCTCAGTCCCAGCGCTATGCCAAGTGTTGCACAAACTTGTGCTTATCATGGTTAGAAAGACCATATTTGGGTATTTATTGGGCTGCTATATGAAAACTATCTGACTAGAGCAGAACATTGAATTCTGCCCAGAGCATAGATTTAATGGGAAAAACACACTTGTTTATATTGTAAAGTCTTATCTGTTTCACTATGATATATCTCATATTCTCATTAGTTACCATACTGGTTAACTAAAATCAAACTGTTTGTCTTTCTATTATGACTCCATTACTTACTGCTATGTGACCTTGAACAAGTAATTGTATCTTTTATAATCCCTAGGTTTCTCCAGTGCAAAATGGGGCTATAACATAACCCATCTCATAGAGTTATCTTATGAAGATTCATTGAGATAATCCATATGCCCAGCACACAGTACTTAATAAATAATAATTTCTTTATTTAAAATAATGTACTTGTACAGATATGTATTAAATATATTCAGCAATGAACATTAAGAGATGTTAGATGTGGTAAATAGGAAACAATAACCCAGCACATGGTAACTGGTATTTCTGCAGAAGATTCAAGAACAAATAGAACTAAGCAGTATTCATAGGTATGAATAGAAAACAAAACAAAACAAAAAACCTCCAGGGCTCAAGAAAAATCTGCATCTGCAGATTGAAAGAGTTCACCACATCTGAATACAAATTAATGAAAATATCTGTAATGTAAACATATCTGGGATATTTTTGAGTTTCAAGAGTAAAGAAAAATTCAGGAAACCATTAAGTAAGGAGAAAAAAGTTTCCTACAAAAGAAGAAAGAGTCAAGTTAGATTTAACTCCATAAGATAAGCCTATGAATCAACAGCATTTTAGGAGAAATATTTGTGACTAATGAATTCTAAAGCATAGATGCAAAATCAGAAAGACATTCTCAAATTTGGAAGGACTTAAAAATATGTCATTTATATACAATACTGAAAATTTACTTACAGGCATTCTTTAGCCAAGAAAGAAATTAATAAAAACAACAACAACAAAAAGCAAGAAAGTAGAATTTACGGTATAAAAGGAAATCACTGTGAACATTGAAATCAGTTGTGTAGATTTAATTGAAAATTGTTGAATTTTCAATTAAATGCATAGAGACTGTAAAAGGAGATGTACAGTTGGTGAATTTTAAGGCATATAAATTGGTAAAACTTTTTTAAAATATCAAAAAGTAAAATATAATCTATGTCGCAAAAGACAGAATGCAAAGGAAAGATCAAGCTACTAGACGAGATAGAAAACATAGAGCATGATGACAAAATTAAAACCCATGGTTCACTTGTGACATTTAGCTTAGGAATGTATTCAATGAGGACTGTAAATTAAAGTGGGTGCTATTCTTCTGTGTACTAACCAAGTTGTACAGATCAAGTTGAGTAACAATAATTCAACAGAATGCTGTGTATTTGAGCAGACGTTAAACAGGGTGACTCAAGAGGTCTTCTACTACTATTGGGCTTCTAGTATTTTTGCCTTATGTTCTGAAAAGTTTTTCTTCTCCATATTTCCATGTTATGCTATTCACTACATAAAGATCCAAAACTATTATCTCTTTATTGTACATGATATCCTTCATTAATATAAATAATGCCCTTTGCCCCATTTATTGTTTTGCCGTACATTCTCTTCAGATTCTTTCCTTCCTTCCTCCTTTCTTCCATCTTTCCTTCCTTCCTCTTTCCCTCCCTCACTCCCTCCCTCCCACACGCAGTTATTAAATGTTTACTATGTATCAGGCACTGCACTAGTTCTGGATATAAAGTTGTGAGTAAAACAGAGGTGGTTCCTGCTTTCATAGGACTTAAAAATCTAATGGCAACTTAGGATTGTGACTTCTGTTTTTATTATTTACCTGATGAATCTCTAATCATCCATTTACATTCTACCAAAAACACTGTTGTAAATA